>NC_000005.10:44538324-45170849 GCF_000001405.40 Homo sapiens
ATTTCAATAATTATAAAAGACCTTAGTCCATATCTTTCATTTTTACAGATAAAGGAACTATGACATAACAAAGTTAGATGAATTGCACACAGCTTATTAATGGCAGAATTGCAACCAGACCCCTACTTACTCTCACTCCATTTTGCTGCTTTCTTCTGACCCACAGATTAATAAATCACCATGATTTACTTAGTTTTTGAAGCATATTAACAAGCAAATCTGAACAGTGATAGAATAAAAGCCTAAAATGGTACATTTAATTATAAACCATATGCTGAAGTCCTTCTCTCAATATCCTTCTACTAGAAACTGATCTTGATACTCAACTCTATTCCAGTGCTTTGGTTTTAAATCACACTGCTGCTTCTGAGAAGCACTCATAGATACTCTAGAATCCTTTCTGCTTTTGATCTAGTATGGCATCTTATTTTGGCAGTTAAAGAACTTAAAGTGTCCCATGAGAGACTGTTTGCTTTCTTATCTAATCTTTAGTACATCTAGCAGCAAAACAGGCCATTTCATGGTATTATTCTTCAGGGAGAAGGTTGTTCAAGGATACACAACTCCTGTTGCTTTTATTGTGTGGTCAAATAAATAACTTGAGGCATCTCCAGCTCCTGACTACGTCATGTATTTGTTAGTTTCTTTTTGCAGCTCCAGTTTGCATCCCTCCTATAGGGATAGGTTCCAACTCAAGATCCGGCAAATATTTTCTGAATAGGAGTGGCCTTTCTCTGCTTAGGCAACACATAATGAAGCCTCGCAAAAGCGATTTGATGTTGTTTTCTGAATTCTGTGCTACCTCCTGAGTTGTGAAAGACTTACTTGGCCCGAACCTTTCTCTTGCTTCCTCTTTTCTCATCGCTAACATGACTTGTAAAAGTAACTTTAAAGAAAAGGATCCTGTTGCCATGCTGTATCCTTGCTGGATCACACACGAGGTGTTTAGATGAAGCTTTATGCCCTACGGGCCTGTCTGCCCTGTACAAACATTACAGTGCCCATGAGGCTCTGTAATATTAGAAGGGCTGATACCAATTTTGGAACCTGGTTAAACCCTGGGGGAGATCCAAGACCATGAGTTCTTTTTGGCAGGCCAGGCCACCTGCTCACAAACAAGAAACATGCAGGGGGTTTGCAACCAACTATTCAGAAAGAAAATAAAGTTATGGATGCCAGAAGCTTCATAAATTACTACACAATCTCAGGAAAGGGGGAGTTAAGAGGCTAGGAAGCGGACAACTGCAAGAACACCTGAATCTAATAACATTCTGAAACAGTTTCAACTGGCAGAGAACGTGGGCATGGAAAAAGAAGAACAATTCTGTTTGCCTTTGGTCTGCGGATAAATGCTACTTTATGATGCAGCTAATCAGTGTGATCCTGACCTCTCCTGAGTGTAGGTTATGCTCCTTGACTTCTCCTGCTGACAGGGCACCAGCTGACCCAGGAACTGCTGCGGTCCTGTCTTTGAGCCTTCTTGTCAGCATTTAAAGGTGATTCTTGGATGCAGCTCCTTGGCAGTTCCTAGGTTGTTATCAATCAGTGGTAAAATGAGAAACCCAATAAGATCTCCATAACATTAAATTTATTCAATTTAAAGGACCATCCATTCTTCTAAGAAACTGTTTTTTTCTACTTTTATCTGGTATTATAATGCCCATTTATTTATGAAATGATGAAGAAAGTAGAGAGTAGATGGTAAAATTTTCATTTAAATGTCCTTTATTGGCAAAATTACGAGTTGGCAAGCCTAAGTTCTTCTTTAATATTAGTTTTCCAGAAAAAAAATGAGCCAAGAAATAGCTGAAATTCATTTTAGCAGATTCAGTTATTCTAGTTCTTCATTGACTAAGGACTTTGGAGATTATGGTTTCTTCTGCAGCAGATGTGGTTTAATCTAATAATCTCCAAGGAAGAGAAGTGAATATTGGATCCAATGCTGGATTATATCCTACCTGGATGATTATTGAGATCATGGACATTCCTGTATGTCTGTTTCTCTCTTCTTGGATGTCCAAATATCTAAAATTAACCATATTTAAAAACTATGCTCAACAGATTTCCCATGTCTATGCTTCAGGTTCACTTTCCTGTCACATTCATTAGTGATGGTGCCAGCTTCAGACAGATGCTGAATTCAGCTGAGGGATGCTTCCAGAGTGCTGTGCCTCTTTCTCTTTGCCTTCTCTCTCCCTACTTTGCTTTCCTCCTCTAACTCCCTCCCCTCTACACCCTATGGCCATTTTTTCTCCTTATATCCTGAGCCTTAATCCTGAGTCTGTGTGCTTAAAGTCCTCTATTGTGAAAAATCTCAAAGAGATCTGTCTTAACGTACCTCACCATGAACCAACCTACTCCTCATTAAACTTTTCATCCTGTGTTTTATCCCTGAAAGCCCAAAATCAGGCTTCCCTATGACAACTAATAACCTAAAGCTTATTAGTGACTGATTATAATTTAATATGTAATAATCATTGGGGATATTTGCATGCAAAGAGATAACGGCACCTTAACCTGAAGGAATGATTATAAAAGCACAATTTTGCTGGAGTGGGTTTAAATTTCCTGTGCTTTATTTAAATGTAAGTGGATATGCTACTCTCATGGTGTCTAGGGTTAGTAATATTGGATGTTTTTTAAAAAAAGTCTTCTTTCACTCTTTTTCAACTACACCAATAATTCCTGCTAATTATTTTCTGTTGACATCTTTCTCCATAATGTTCATGTCAGTCTTCAGCTGAAGCACTACAATGACTTTTTAACCAGTTCCTTGTTTATAGTTTAGCATGCTACCCGCTCCTTACCCCTAATTCTTCTGGTCCCCAGTTAGCTAACTATTTCTTAATACAACTATTAGAGTGCTTTTTTTTAAGAAAAATATAATTGTGTAGCTATATAACATGAAAGCCCTCATTGTTTCCCTGTGGCCTATCATGGTTATCCTCTTGTCTCCACTAGCCTCATGGCCAGAGAGAATTTCAAAATATGCAGGTCATTTAGTAATAATCTACATTACTGAGTGTTGTCCCCTATTTCTGGAACACTCTTATTCTCAACCTGTACCCATCCAAGATGCAGTTAAGCATTACTCCTTGCTGTGTTATATACACCTTGCAGAACAGAGCAGTCTGCATTGTAATTATAAATTTATCTATCTCCCTCTCTAGGCAGTGATCTCTCTGAGGCTGGGATCTCTCATTATGTCCCCTTATATTTGCAGTGTCTCAATCCCTGGCATCAAGAAGTTTCCGGAGAAGTATGTGTTTAAAATACCCAAGACTTCTCCCCTAGCAACAGAACTTTCCCAATGTGACTTTCAGTTAAGTAATTTATTAAGACTGTGTATTACATGCTATCTATATTAAAATCTAGGCTTTTAGATACTGGGTGCTGGGTAGAGTCTTAGAAGAATTACCTCCACTTTTCTCATTTAAATATGGAACCCAGAGCTCTGATGTGCCACTCTTCTTATACACCTGATCCATCTTCCGGGCTTTGTATTTCTCTTCCCTCACTTTTAAGTCCCCCAAATTAGGAGGTAGTGGAAATGGCAATTAATAACTGATTTTGGATAAGGAGTGTTTCTTGCCCTTCTTCCCTCATATAGAATACAGAAGGCATGAGAATAAGATTCTATAGGGTCATAAAAATAATAAAAACTGTATTAGAATTTGGAAAAACACTGGAGTTTGCAACCCAGTGTCTGGTTCCAACCATGTCACTATTTATGTAACAAGTCACTAAATTTCTCTGGGTCTTGGTTCTTTATCCGTTAAATATTAGAATTAGACTATATGATTGCTGGAAACCTTCTGACTCTAAAATTCTATGATTATAACTTCACTTACTCATGTAAATAACATGTTTTTGAATCAGTGAGGCGTAAGTGGAAATGCTACAGAGATGAATCCAACGATAAGGAGTATTAGAAGACATTTAAAGAAGAGGAAGGGGTCTTAAGATCATGTACTGAACTACTAACATTAAACATGGGAGAAAATGAAGCTCAGAGAGTCTAATTATCCATCAAAAACATAGGTGTCCCTATTCCGTGTCCAATGACTTTAATGTTTTACTATGCTGTGGTTGATAAACACCCAATACATGATCAAGATAAAAGATACTCAAGATTTATAAAAATGTTAAAAATCACTTAAAGTGAAAAGGTGAGCAAAATACTAACCCTTTATCAGATGACAAGAAAAGCACTTAAGAAATGACAGTGACAGGAAGGACCTTTTAATCTCTTTTTTCCCTCACAGATGTCAGCCATGATGTCATCATGGATGCAGGCAATGATGTGATGGGAAGCAGAGAGCCTCTCTAAAGTGGAGATGGATGAAACTGACTGATTCAGCTGGATAAGTTTAATGCATCGGCCTTGATAACTTTCATACTAAAGAACTTAAATTGACCACAGTCTTTGCTGAGTCACACACAATTATCTTCAAGAACTCACAGAGGACTTAAATGACATAAACTAGAATATATTATGTCTGTTCTTTCAGAAGAAGATTATGGGCCATCCAGGACATTACTGACTTACCAAAGTGGAGAAATAGGTGAACTCAAATGTTGGCTTTTCAATGCCTAGAAAATAATGGGGTTGGAATTGGCTGGACTTGTATGAATGAAATCATAAAATTTGGGGCTGGAAGTGATCTTAGGGATCGTGCAATATGTTGCCTTAATTTATACAGAAGTAAACTGAGCCTTTGAAAAGTCAAATCTTAAATCCTTAGGAGTTTTTTTCCTAACTGAAGTACAGTGTGGCTAGTCTGAACAGCTGAGGTGATGAATAAAGGCAATTTTTAATGGCTTTCTTTTTGCCTCCTCTAAATGATTTTCTTCTTTTGGGCAGATGTTCCCTATTCCTGGAACATTTGTATCCATGAGGAAAGGAGGCTATCCCTACTATCCATGTCATAGCTAGGAATTGTAGCATCACACTAATATGAGAAAGAACCTCTTAGTTACAAATTTCAAAGTAATCAGGGTCTTGATACCCTTAGACAACTTCTTAAACCTTTAACGCTGAGAGAGCTGAGTAACTGAACAACAGAGCTTGCCCAACATCTGAGAATTTACCTGAAGTGAACATTGAATATAAAAATATGGCTTTATAAGGAATTTCTGCCAGATTTGAAACAGTCCTTGTTGAATGACAGGGATTTCAAATGATTAAGAGAATGGCACTGAATTCCCACCTTTGACTTCTACTTGTTTTAGTTGAACTTCTATCAAGCTTTGGAACCCACTTCTCCCAAATTTTTCTGAGGTTCTTGTTGAAAATTATTGACAGGGCCATGCCTCAGGGAGAAAAATACCCACAAAAAAAACAACAAATCACAGATAAGGTCTGTAGTTTCAATAATCTGTTGCTACCCTGAAGATAGCACTAAAGTGATTAACCAAGTCTTTTCTCTATGGGCAGCACTTCTTCACCTTTTTGTCTCTCCAAATTTTCTTCCTTCATCAAAACTCTATTGTTCTGAATTTTATCTCTTTAGGACCCTACTATGGTTTGAATATTTGTCACCTTCACAACTCATGTTGAAATTTAATCCCCAATGTGGCAGTGTTAAAATGTGGGGCCTTTAAGAGGTGATTGGTCATGTGGGTTCTGCCTTCATGAGTGGATTAAAGGTTTAATTAGTTAATTAATAGGTTATCATGGGAGTGGGACTGCTGGGTTTACAAGAAGACAAAGACATACCTCAGCTTACACACTCAGCTCCTTCACCCTGTGATGCTCTGCACCATCTTAGGACTTTGCAGAGAGTCCTCACCAGCAAGAAGGCCCTCACCAGGTGCAGCTCCTTGACCTAAGATTTTTCAGCTTCCATAACTATAAGAAGTAACTTCCTTTTCTTTATAAATTACCTAGTTTTCAGGTATTTTATTATAAGCAACAGAAAACAGACTAAGACAGACCTTTCTTAGCAATGTTATATAATAAATGAATTCTGGCTAAGTAAGTTAATTCATATTTATACTATATTGTATTTAATGTATTTATAAGTACTCTTTAAATACAATTCTTTGGAAGATAATGCCTTAAATTAAGGCTGTTCCTCTCTCTATTTCTGGTAAAACTAGCACTGTATTGCTGGCCAGTGGAGGAGATATATATTACTATAGGAGAAAGGCAAGAGATCAGGCAACCCAAGAGGATATGAAAGGTAAACATGGGATGGAGTAAGTCATGAAAGTGGCTATTTTTTTTCATTGAATAAATACCTATTAATTCTCTGCTGGAATCTAAGACAGTCATGTTTGTAGAAAACAGATATTTTGAGATTAACTCCTCATATAATTCCTTGTATTTCTGCTTAGAAGACAGCCATTCTTTTTTTCTGAGAGCTCTAAAGCTTAATAGTCTGTTGAAAAATTATATTGTGTCAAAAATATGTATACTCATATTTTTTACCCATTGCCACTACTTTTATCTTCCATAGTCATTATAGCACCAATTTGCTGTTTCTTGCATATATCATTTATTCCAGTAGATTTTAGTACATCTTTTGTATTCTCTTACGCCCACTTTCTAGGGGTTTCATATATATTTGATACGTTTTTGTTTTGGAAATGTTTCTGGGACATAGGCATGGGCAAAGATTTCATGATGAATACACCAAAAGATTTCACAATTCAAACACCAAAAGCAATTGCATCAAAAGAAAAAATTGACAAATGGGATCTAATTAAACTAAAGAGCTTCTGCAAAGCAAATGAAGCTATCATCAGAGTAAACAGACAACCTACGGAATGGGAGAAAAGTTTTGCAATCTATCCATTTGACAAAGATCTAATATCCAGAGTCACCAAGCAACTTAAACAAATTTACAAGAAAAAAACAAACAACCCCGTTAAAAAGTTTGCAAAGGACATGAACAGACACTTTTCAAAAGAAGGAATTCATGCGGCCAACAAAAATATAGAAAAAGCTCAATATCACTGATCATTAGAGAAATACACATCAAAACCACAATGAGATACCATCTCACACCAGTCAGAATGGCAATTATTAAAAAGTTCAGAAACAACAGATGCTGGTGAGGTTGTGGAGAAAAGTGAACACTTTTACACTCTTGGTGGGAATGTAAATTAGTCCAGCCATTGTGGAAGACAGCGTGGCAATTCCTCAAAGATCTAGAATCAGTAATACCATTTGACCCAAAAATCCCATTACTGGGTATGTACCCTGTGGAATATAGATCATTCTATTATAAAGATACATGCGCTAGTATGTTCATTGCAGTACTATTTACAATAGCAAAGACATGGAATCAACCAAAACACCCATCAATGATAAACTGGATAAAGAAAATGTGGTACATATATACCATGGAATACTATGTAGCCATAAAAGGAATGAGATCGTGTTCTTTGCAGGTACATGGATGGAGCTGGAAGCTGTTATCCTCAGCAAACTAATGCAGGAATAGAAAGCCAAACACCACATGTTCTCAGTTATAAGTGGGAGCCGAACAATGAGAACACATGGACACAGGGATAGGAACAACACACACTGGGACTTGTTGTGGGGTCTGGGGGAGGAAGAGCATCAGCAAGAATAACTAATGGATGCTGGGCTTAATACCTAGGTGTTTGTGCAGCAAACCACCATGGCACACATTTACCTATGTAATAAACCTGCACATCCTGCACATGTACCCCAGAACTTCAAATAAATGTTGATTTAAAAAAAGAAAATTTCTTTTTAGGTACATAAATTTTTATGTACACACATAAAATTTCTATTTTATGTATGTTTCTGTATTATGAAAAGCCTTCTTGCTAATACTAAGCAGCTATACTCTGATAAGAATAAAAAATTATGCAGTATTGCAAAGGGTTTAAATTTTCTGTTGATGTCATATGAATGTAAGAAGATAACTTTGGAAGTTTTCTGGTAGACATGTTGATTCTTCTAACTCAATTTGTGGAAGTCTTCACTTATATACACCTGCTTAGATAGATTGCCGGAAGACCACAGACAAGTGATTAAACTTGAGCTGTTTTAGGCACAGCATTGCTATTTCATCTTACTGTAAAAAATAAGGAACATTTCTGAGTCATTGCAGTCTTGGAATGTAATACCAAAAAATGAGAACCAGATCAGAAACAGTGAGGCCAAGTACATCATTACTGAGTGAGTAATGTGAACAACTTACATAAACTGTGGCTAAAACTGAATTTTTAGCAGATGACCATAACCTTTTGATTGCATCACGAACAGTTAAAAGCTCTTTAATCTGCATGTTGTCCTTCAGGAAAGAAAAACTCATCAATCCAATTCATAATCTTTAAGACCTGCATTTTTTTCATTAAGAGTTAACCCTATTTTTCCCCTGATTATTTTTTCCCTGTAGCCAGCAGTGGGTGCAACTTAAGAGAATAAGCTGGGGTCCAAGTATGTTTCTTCTATTGACTGTATAGGGAAAGCATGTTATAGGTAATGGAGCCTTCCTTGCTTTATAGCACAGTGGAGTGTCCCACTCCAAAACTTTAGCTAATGAAACAGTTCATGTCTTTCTTTTAAAAACCTGTGTTATATACTGAGTTTCTCATCATTTAGGAAATAGGTTTTCATTTGTATCAAGATCATTTTTTCTTAATTGGAATGAACCCCACCTACCCTCAATCCTAGTTCCAAAATGCAACTTTTCACCAGGACTCCCTTTTAAATGGAAGCAAAGGACATCAGTAGTTTCTTCTGGGAAAGAGATGAACATTTTTTTTGATTTTGGTTTAACTATCTAAATAAAATGTTAATATTCAAAGCAACACATTTTTAGACATGTATTCAAAACACCTGGCTATGTATCAGATATCAATAATAACTATTCCATAGCTGGGTTGGTTTTAGAATTTGGAAACTTTCTTTTCCTCTATTCATATTTGAATGATATTTTAATTTGGTCTTCTGTACTTGGGAAGAAAACAAGAAATGCAAAAAGGAAAAAACAAATTAAGAGTCTCCAGAGTGTATTTGGTATTCTCTAAACATAAATCTTGTTCCAAACACTTTCTCTCTCTCCTCTCCCTCCCTCCCTCCCTCCCTCTCTCTCTTTCTTTGTGTGTGTGTGTGTGTGTGTGTGTGTGTGTGTGTGTGTCTTTCTTTCATGTTCCTTTAACTTTCTATACTATAGTTGCAGAATCCAAGCTTCTACCCCAGACCAATTAAATCAGAATCTTGATTTTTAATAAGCTCCCCTGATGGCCCACAACACATAAAATTTAATGAATGGTATCCACTGAATATCTAAAATTATAATCAAGGTCAAATATTTTTACCTGGAAACTCTTATTGTCTTACCTCACTTACCCTTCTCTCTCTTTTTTTTTTTTTTTTTGAGATAGAGTTTTGTTCTTGTTGCCCGTGCTGGAGTGCAGTGGTGTGATCTCGGCTCACTGCACCTCTGCCTCCCGGGTTCAAGCGATTCTCCTGCCTCTGCCTTCTGAGTAGCTGGGATTACAGGTGCCCAACACCACGCCCAGCAAATTTTTTTGTATTTTTAATAGAGATGGGGTTTTGCCATGTTGGCCAGGATGGTCTTGATCTCCTAACCTCGGGTGATCCGCCTCGGCCTCCCAAAGTGCTGAGACTATAGGCTGAGCCACTGTGCCCAGCCACCTTTCTTTTTTTTTGCCCACACCTTCCCAGTATTAATTTTTTCCATTCTCAACTCTTGAAAAAAACTCTACGTAATTTTGATATCCATGAACAGAATCTTTTTAATATCCTGGCTTTTCAGCTCTTTGAATTTCTTTCTTTCATTTATTTTATCCTCTTCTCTTCTCATCATATGGTCTCATGGTTATATCTGAAACCCTGACATTATTAAAAACTGCTAATATAATAATATCAGTTTTGCTCATCCTCCTCATCAGTATCATCTACTACTTTGCAATTTCACTCCTTATGGTATTCAATCTTTAATGAATTTTTGATACCACTAAGGACCTACAATCCATTTGATTCTCCTACTATTTTTATTTTGCATTACTGTTATCACATTTGACTTCTTTACTTATCTGTCCTGAATTCCATGGCCCATAAATAATCACTCAAAGGAATTTTTCCATGGCCCATAAATAATCACTCAAAAGAATCTATCTTCAGTATCCTTACATTTTGTCTTGGTTTGGTATACTCATCTCACAAAAGCTCATCAGTATCTAAATTAAACTATTTACCTACTTCTTTCAAGCCTCAGCTCAGCTCAATTTGGCTGAGTGTCCCCCACCTCAAAATCATGCTAATGGTCTTACTTTAAATTAGATATCATTGACCTCAAATAGGACCTTGGGATTGCCTGACAAATCTACCACATTTTTCTGTCCCTTTACACACTCTTCTCTACTGAAATCTTCAAACAACATCTCCAACATGTCATCTCTTCCAATGACCATGTATTCCTCTATCCTCAATTTTAGTTGATGACCTTGCTTCTTATTTCACAAATAAAATACAGAAGCATTGAGAAGAGATCTCTCCCTCATACACTTATATCCATATACCTACATGTGGGTGAATTCTTTCCTATTAACAAATGTGAACTGTCCTTACTGCTAGTAAATTCAACCTTGGGCAATAGATGCCAATTATAGCCTAACTGAAGACTTAGCTCTGGAAATTCTTGGGTGTCTCTTACATGATTATTTTTTCTCTGTGTATTGAATTCATCAACATATATCGACCATTATAAATTAGCCTCTCGATGCTCATGTCTTGAAAGCTATCATCCTATTTTTATACTATCTTTTACTGTAACTCCTTAAAAGAGTTATCTATATTTGTGTTCAACTTTTCTTTTCCTCTTTATTAAATTCACTCCCCTAAGATTTTGCCTCTAGCTCTCCACTAACACTTTTTTTTTTCAAAGTTAACAATGGTCTTCATGTTTCTAAGTGTAATAGTCAATATTAGGTTCTCATTTTGCTTGATCTATCGGCAGTATTTGATACAATTGACCTGCTCTTTCTTTATTGAAACAATTTCTGCACTAGGATTTCAAGATACCACACTCTACTGGCTTCCTTATGTCATTGACCGTTCTACTCAATCTGCCTTACTGGCTTTTCATTGTTTCCCTGACCTCTTACTATTGTGTGTTCCAGAGCTCAGTACTTGGCCTCATCTTTATTTGTGCTCTTTCCCTTAGTGACAACATTCATTCCTAATTTTCTATCTACAGCCCTGAACAGTTTCCTGACTTCTAAACTCTTTTATGCAACTGCCTACTCCATATCTCCAGTTGGATGCTGAACATGCATTTTGAACTTAACATGCCCCAAAATGAACTTCCAATCTTTCTCCTAAAACCTACTTCCACCTACAGTCTTCCACATTTCATTAGATGGCAATTTCATTTGTCCAGTTACTCAAGCCAAAGACGAAGTCATCTTTGGTTTCTCCACCAAAATAATCCTGTCAGCCCTGTCATCAAAATGTATCATAAGTCTGACCACTTTTTCACAATTACTTCCTTCATCCAAGCCTCCACCATTCCTCATTTGTATTATTGCACAAGTCTTCTGGCTAGTTTATCTACTTACGTCCTTGTCAACTGACCTTCTAGTCCCTTTCTAATACAGTTGCCACAGTTATTTTTTAAAATCATGTGAGAACTTACCTCTTAAAACCCTTCGACATGTCCATCACACTCAAAGTAAAAGCTGAACTCATTACAATGGTCCTACGTAATCTATACCTTGCTATTTTTTAAGCTTATTTCTACTGTTCCTTCTTTTATGTATTTTAACCTGGCCACAGATGTTTTTGCCTCAGGGCCTTTATATCTGTGATATCTTCTACCTAAAACATTTTTCTCTCACATTCTCCCAACATTTTGGAAGCCTCTATTCCAAGAATGAATTCTACTCACTGCGGTTCCAGCCTCCTAATTTATAGTCTCCATGATTTATCTTCAGATATCTATGTCTATATCTAATCTTACTTATTTGTATAAGATCTGTCTCCCCTTGACTGAATTCAACTTCCACAAGAGCAAGCATTTGAGAAAATTTTGTTCCATCCTGTATCCTTATGCTTTTCAGTGCCACACACATATTTGTGCTCAATATAAATTTTCTAACTGACTGCATAAATACACGAATTTTCTATTACCCCAGTTCTGAGGTCCTAGAATTGCTTGTGGCCCAGACTTTGTGCATTATTGCAAGATTTCTACTTAATCATAGACATATGTATTTTTAAAACTTTGTAATTCATCTATTTCAATATCCTCTCCAATGATGGAATGTTTAAAGGTCTACTTTTCTTGATTGGACACTGAGCACAATTATTTAATGGCCGATCAGATCACTGCTGTCTGTTATGTTTTGTATGGACTCAGCATTGATGAACTACAGGGAGCACTGGCTTTTCTTCATATTCTAATACCAATTACAGATTACTGTGGTGGAAAAAATCTGTCATAATATCTTTATGGATTTTTACAAGAACCTAGTAAAGTATGATGGACCCTGTGGGTGCTTAAAAGATAGTTTAGTAGTGACTGACTACAGTAATTGAATCAATTTGAAATTAATTATTTGTATCATGATTTTTTTTCAGTTTCACAGCAAAGCAATCCTGTTGCAATTTGTTTTTGGTGTTATATACAAGCATAGTGCCCCCATGGAGATCCCAAATATATGTGAATTGATAATAAAGTGGATATTGCTCTTTCTGGCACCTGTTATAGATTTTCAAAGAAATATCACTAGTATATTATCATAGAATTTATTAAACCTGGAAGCATTTCCAAAATATATGTTTATAGTTTTATATTTTAAACTATTCCAAGAAAGAACTCTACTCATTCGTATTCAAACCTCCTGACTGTCTCCCCTCCAATTCATTCTTGTAGTACTGTTGAGTTACATTCCCTCATTGTGACTCCAATCAAGCCATTTTTCTGCTGGAACCATATTGATGGCTCCCTACTGAATGCCAAATAAAGTCCACATTCATCAATATATGTGTGAAGTGATGAGCTCAATAGCTATTCCATAGTTTATATTCAATATTGCTCAAACTATGTTTTGTCAAATACTTGAGTCACACTGGAGGTTAATCATGTTTTAGTGGAAAAACTATTAGAATCCGAGTATGTATGGGAGATGTTGAGTTAACATAAAACCAGCTTCTTGACTTCAGGACTGTTCACAGCCTTTAAAATTCTTCATGGGGTCTCTGAAAGGGAGATAATCTTGACTATGGGACTATATTTTCTCAAGAGAACCTGCTATTTCTACAGGAGTTTATTCTTCTCCTGCAACAAGGTGGGAGATGATAACTATAACTTAATCTTTAGCTTATTTTCATGCAATACAAGATTCTGTTCACCACCTAACTGGCTGGTTGCAGTCCTTGGTACTCAGGACAGCCCTTTAGTATTTCTAAAAGTGTATAGAATAGTACTTTACACCTCTGACAGAAATGCCTTAATGACAATTCTCTGTTTGAAAATTCACATAGCTCTGTTTCTCCAGAATTGGTCCCTGGTGACTTTGGTGATATCATGCTTTCCTGGGTGGTGTTGATGCTAGTAGATGTTCTTTGGTGTCTGGGCATTGCAGAGTTAGACATTTATAGTAATTTTCAATGTCTGGGCTTGTTTGTACCCATATTTCTTGGGGAGTCTTTACACATATTTGAAGACTTAGGTGTTGTGATCTAAGCTGTATCTGCTTTAAGGGGAACCCCAAGCCCATAATGCTGTGGTTCTTGCAGACCCATAGAAGTACCACCTTGATGGCCTTAGACAAGATCTGGGAGAATTCTCTGGATTACCAGGTAGAGACTCTTGCTCTCTTCCCTTACTTTCTCCCAGTCAAGTGGATTCTCTCTTTTGGAGCCACCTAAAACTGGAGGTGGAGTGACACAAGCACCCCTGTGGCCACCACCACTATGATTGCGCTGGGTCAGACATGAAGGCAGTGCAGCACTGGGTCTCACCCAAGGCCTGCTGTAACCACTCCCTGGCTACTGCGTATGTTTGCTGAAGGCCCTGGGGCTCTGCAATCAGCTGGTGGCAAAGCCAGCCAGGCCTGTGTCCTTCCCTTCAGAGCAGCAAGTTCCCCCAGTCCCTGGATGGGTCCATAGGTGCTATCTGGGGGTCAGGGTCTAGAGTCAAAAACTTCAGAAGTCTACTTGATGTTTGTGATGGTTAATACTGAGTGTCAACTTGATTGGATTGAAGGATTCAAAGTATTAATCTTGGGTGTGTCTGCGAGAGTGTTGCCAAAAGAGATTAACATTTGAGTCAGTGGGCTGGGGAAGGCAGATCCACCCTTAATCTGGTGGGCACCATCTAATCAGCTGCCAGTGAATATAAAGCAGGAAGAAAAACATTAAGAGGCAAGACAGGCCTAGCCTCCCAGCCTACATCTTTCTCCCGTGCTGGATGCTTTTTACACTTGAACATAGGACTCCAAGTTTTTCAGTTTTGGGACTTGGACTGGCTCTCCTTGCTCCTCAGCTTTCAGACAGCCTATTGTGGGACCTTGTGATCATGTAAGTCAATAGCTAATAAACTCCCCTACATATATATATATACACACACACACACACACACACACACATATTATGTATACATTCTAAAGAACTATACATATTAAATAAAATATGTTTATTATGTAATAAACATATATACATATTAAATTTAAAAATATACTTTTATTATGTAATAAATGTGTGTGTGTTTATATATTATAAACACACACATATATGTCTTATTAGTTCTGTCCTTCTAATATATGTTTATCATGTAATAAATGTGTGTGTGTGTTTATATATATATATATGTCCTATTAATTCTGTCCCTCTAAGAGAACCCTGATGAATACAGTGGTCTATTGCACTTCAGCTGAGCTGACATTCAAACCACAAGACATTGTCCTTCCTACTCTTCTCTCCCTTTTCCAAAGGCGGAGGAACCTCACTCAGTAGCCACCACAACCACCGGCCATGAAGAGTAATACCGGACTACCACCAATGTTCCCTTAAGGCCCAAGCGTTCTTCAGTCATCTTGTGGTGAATGCTGCCTGACCTGGGACTCACCCTTCAGAGCAGTGGGCTCACCTGTAGCCCAAGACAGGTCCAGAAATGCTGTCTAAAAGTCAAGTCCTGGAAGTGGGGGCCCTAAGAGCCCACTTGGTGCTCTATTTGCCCGTGGCTGGGCTGGTACCTAAGGTGCAAGACAGAGTTCCCTTTACTTTTTGCTCTGCTTTTCTCAAGCAGAAGGAGTTTCACACTGTAGCCACATAGCTGGTAATGTACTGGGTCTCACCTGAAGCCAGCAAGTCTCAGAGGCTCACCTAAGACCCTCCACATATTACCTGGGTATTTTTGCTGGTTATTCAGGGCCCAAAGATTCTTCAGTTATCACGTAATGAATGCTGCTGGGACTGGGTCCTTCTCTTCATGGCAGTAGGTTCTCTTCTTGCCCAGGGTGTGTCTAGAAATGCTGTCTGAGAGCTAAGTCCTGGAATGGAGGCCTCACAACTCTGACCAGTGCCCTAGCCTATGCAAGACAGAGTCCTCCCTACTCTTCCCTCTCCTCTCCTCAAATGAACGAAAGGGATCTCTTTTGAAGCAGCAAGTTCTTCAGCCTGGAGTTAGGGGAGGGGTGATGCCAGCACCTGAGACCAGGTATCTCACTAGGTTGTGTGTCCTCCCTCACCCACCCTGGCCAGTTCATTGTCTCTGGGCCCAGTTCAGCGCTAGGACTCACCTAAGAGTTACTGTTTCTATGGCTTAGATTGCCTTTCAAGTTTACTTAAAGACCAGAGCACTTTAGCCCTCAGTGTTAAGGCTCCTGAGAACTCAAGTTCCAGCCACTGGGATCAGCCATTCCCCTCCAGCTAGGGCTGGTTTAAATGCTCCTTCCATGGATGGGCTTCTACTGAGCGTGGCTCAGTTTTCCCTTCTGCTCCAAAAGGACAACACTGAGTTCAAGGCCTCACAATTGCTCTGCTCTCCCTCCTATTGAACCTAGAGATGCTCTCTGCATCATATCACTGTCAGGGGGTTGGCAAGTGGTGGCGTCAGCGATTCAATACTTTTTTTTTTTCTATCTTTTTAGTGCCTCCTCTTTCAGCTATACAAAGATAAAACCAGGTGCTATGAGGGCTAACCTGATTTTTGGTTCTTATGAAGGTGTTATTTTTTGTGTAGATAGTTGTTAAGCTGGTGTCCTTGTGGGTGTTGTAGGGGGTGACAGGTGGAGCACTGTACTCCACCATCTTCCTCTGCCTCTCCTCCTTAATGACACTTCTCTGGTTAACTCATAATCACCTGCAAGAGTATGACCAGAGGTGAGCTCATCATGGAAGACTTTCCTGAAATCCCAGTATGTGCAGTAATATCCCTTTTCAGAGATCCTACCACATTATATTGACATTGTCTCTTTAGTTGTTTATTTCCTCCACTGCCTCCAGTGCACTGAGAATAGAGAATGTGTTTATTTATCTTCATATACTTGATGACTTATGTCGTACCTAGAAAATAGCAGGAACTTGATAATTATGTCGAAATAAACTAAAGGTACCAGATGATATATATTTGAAAAGTGGACTATGGACACTATTTTCACATTATGATTTACATACATGAGCATATTCTTTAGTTTATATAGTAATGCATGTCTGTGAAAACAGAGGGAATTAGGATAAAATAAATCGTTGCTAAAAATATATTATTTTCATCCTGTATGTGATAGGCACTCTCTAATTCAGTAATCTGTTAGATTTCCTTCCTTTTTAAAGCATGTATTTCGGATATTAACAAAGAGACACTAATGTTATTTAAAACTGTTTTGAAATGCTTAAGAAACCATATGCACAGACTAGTGTTGCTAATGAGTTTAGTGATTTCATTAGCTCTTTTGCAGTAGTGCCCTGTGATGATTTAGCAAATGGCAGTAAAGAAAGAGGCAATGACGGTAGCTAAAAAGTTTACTTCTTTTGTTGCTTCTTGGACTTTGGCTGATGCTATGAATACAGAGCGTGGATGGAGGAGACCACAAGCTGTGTCTCTTTTCTCTCTATCAGCTGATGGTTGGAAGGAGTCCCAATATACCCAAACCAAGAGAATCCACTGCATGCAGAGAATATCTCTCTTGTCTTAAAAAGGCATGAATATCTTCTTTTAGGAAATACAAAAGTAATTGTTTAACTCTATGTCAGTTGATTTCAACAGGTATATTCCTGGAAATTATTAATTTTCCTAATGCTTTCTGAATAATCCTTTGTTTAGTGATATAGAATATTAAAAAGTGGCTTAAATAATTTCTTCCCTCAAAGAACATACCATATAATTGGGGAAAGAGAGTAAACTCTCAAATAACTACAAGCAATTCAACATTAGGATACCTGCATTTTGAATAATACAAAATGCTTAAGAGTGTATAGGATTGTTTCTATATGAGCTTCCCAAGGAGGTATTTGTGGAAGAAGGAACATTTGAACCAGACCATGGCTCAAGTTAGTAATAGAAAATTGAAGACTAAGGAGGGAATTCAAGGCAGAAATAGCAAATGGACACAGACATAGAGATGGCTAATGATGGCATATGTCCAGGGAGTGTCCTGTAATCCAGTTGAGCTGAAGTGTGTGCTTTAGGTAGGGAAACAGTGGTGAATCAGACTAGACTACTTGTCTTGGATTAACATTGATCACAGTCTTAAATATTAAACTCTTCATACTTAAAAAAAACAAAAATCAGAAGTCATTGAAGGTGTAAGGGCAGAAAATTTTATATTAACAGTGGGTACCAGAGTTTCTGTTAGGGCAAAAATTGTCTGTCATTGGAAAAAATATCTGGACTTTTAAATCAGGGTGGCAGAATTAACATATGGTTAAAAATTGTACCTTTCATGGCAAAGATAGAAGATGCTGGAAAATGGGACAGAGTGGAACATGCTAAGAAGTAAAATAGTGCAAAATTCTCCATATGTTTTTTAAAAAAATTAGAAACACTGATTTTTTTAAAAAATAAATGTATTAGTTTATATTTTGTATTAAGAATATAAAGAGTGACAATTTGCATTTTTAGAGATAGATTGGTAGAGTAAAATGTGGTTAATTCAATAGGTGCTATGGAAATAGTAAAATGCTGAGAAAGGCAAATGAAAAATATATGAAAAACAGCAAAAAAAAGGAAATATATGTTGAAATATATCAGTAATCACAATGTATTGTAATATAATTTATTAAAGGTGTGAAATAAGAGATTGAACTTTTTTAAAAATTAAAATATATGCATGCTCTTTATGAGTCAATTAAATACTCAACATATTAATAGAAATGTTGCAAATATATATTTTAAAATTAAAGTAATGGTTCTTGACTGCTTTCGTTTCAGCAGCTTTTGAATTCTTAAAAAATATTAAGAACCTGAAAGAGTTTCTGTTCATATGGTTTATATTCACTGGTATTTACCTTACTAAATTCAAAACAGAGATATTAAAAGAAACAGTTTTAGTGCCTTTAAAAATAACAATAAACCCCTTATATATCAATATAAATAACTTTTTTGAAGAATAACTTTTTTTAAAACAAAAATAAATTAGTTTGAAGAATTGCATTGATTTACAATATTAATCATTTTTAATATCTTAGTTAATAGAGAGTGGTTAGATCCTCAGAGCTGTGCCTACATTCAATCTGTTGCCATACCACGTCACGTAATATTTGGGAAACTCCACCATCACTCATAAGATATGGAGAATAATAAAAAAAAGACATCTTAGCATTATCAAGAAAATAGTTTTGCTGTCACAGAATCTCTGAAAGGGTCTCAGTGGCCTCCAGGAATCCCTGGACAACACTTTGTGGACTGCTACTATTAAGAAAGCTGGAGGGCAATATTATTGTCAGGCAAAATTAACTTAATGTGAAAAACATTTAGAAAAAACAAAGGGGAGAAGTTTGTGCAAAAAAGAAGCAATATCAGGAAGATATAATTATTACAGACTTTCATGGACTTAACATCAGAATTTTGAAATATATCAAGAAAAATTTGATAGAACCACAACAAATTACTTAGAACTTCATAATCATTCCAGGAGATTATACTCTCACATAATCATCAGAAGAGAAATAATTATTGACATAAATGATTTAGTAATACAGTTGGTAAGTTTGAGCTAATAGGTACACAAAGAACTTTACAGAGCCAAAATAGAGAACACATTCTTTTAAAACAATGAAATTATTGAAAAACTTTGTTTATGTATTTGAAAGCCTAGAAGAAATTGATAGTTTTCTAGAAACATATACATTACTAAAATTGAACAAGATGTTTTAAAAATATATAAACCTTGATGGTATATTAGGCCATGAAAAGAATCTCAACAAATTCAAATTATTAGCCTTTTATAGATCATATTTTCTGAGCATGATGCTTGAAATTAAATACCAACAACTATGAGATAGTGACAAAAATCTCCATACATTTGAAACTTTAAAAATGGACTTCTCAATAATTCATGATTTAAATAGAAAATCATAGGAAAAATTAGGTGGTCCTTATATTACTTTGGAGTAAAACTATTATCTTAAATTTATTTCTTCAGAGACAGACACTGATGGTAACTAAGCTAATTAATTAACTCAAAAGTTGGGTGGGATTGAAAAGAAATATAACTAAATACAAAGAAGAAAATAAAAAATAAAAAATTTAAATTTAATGAATTTAAAAACAGACTAACAATTGGAAAAACAAATGTGGAGAAAACCAAAGTACTTATCTTTTTCTTAAATAATGATAAATGAAACTCTGGCAAAGTTGCAGAAAGGAAAAAATTGATTTATAATATTAGAAATAAAATGGACTCCATAGGCAAGTAGGCATAGTTTTTAAAAAATGTTATAAACAATCTGAAAAAAGTTATAAACAATGTGAAAAACTAGGTGAAATGAAAAATTTTTTAGAAACATGGAAATCACCAAAATTAATAACTATGTTTTTTTTTAAAAAACCTGACCAGATGAAACAGTGTACAAGAATACAATCAGTAGCAAAAATTTCCTCCACTATGTGCTGCCAAATCCAAATGTTGTTATGGGTTTTAGTAAAATTTGAAGAATAGAATTTTTCTATCACATGCAACCTGTTATTTATATTGGAAAAGAGAGCTACAAAAAATTTAGCAGGACAGGATAACATTGATATCTAAACTAGACAAACAAACAAAACTATTAGCTAATTTCATTTAACAAAAATTCTAAATAAAATGTTAAATTAAATCCAACCATATGTTAACACATACTCACAGATTCATACAAACACATGTACAAATACATTACCTAACAGACTATGTCTTGGGAGTTTATGGATAATTCACTATATAAAAAAGACTTGATGACCAAGAACCCAAAACCAAATGCAACAAAAACAAAGATAAATATGTGGGACCTAATTAAACTAAAGAGCTTCTGCACAGCAAAAGGAATAGTCAGCAAGTAAACAGACATCCTACAAAGTGGGAGAAAATCTTCACAATCTATATATCTGACAAAGGACTAATATCCGGAATCTACAAGAAACTCAAACAAATTAGCAAGCAAAAAACAAAGAATCCATCAAAAAGTCAGCTAAGGGCATGAATAAGCAATTCCCAAAAGACATGCAAATGCCAACAAACATATGATAAGGTGCTCAACATCACTAATTATCCGGGAAATACAAATCAAAACCATAATGTGATACCACCTTACTTCTGCAAGAATGTCCATAATCAAAAAATAATAGATGTTGGCATGGACGCGGTGAAAAAGGAACACTTCTACACTGCTGGTGGGAAGGTAAACCAGTAAGACCGTTATGAAAGCCAGAGTGGAGAGTCCTTAAAGAACTAAAAGTAGAACTACCATTTGATCCAGCAGTCCCATTACTGGGTATCTACCCAGAGGAAAATAAATCATTACACAAAAAAGATATTTGCACACACATGTTTATAGCAGCATAATTCACAATTGCAAAAATATGAAACCAGCCCAAATTCCCATCAATCAATGAGTGGATAAAGAAATTGTGGTACATATATATATGATGGAATATTATTCAGCCATAAAAAGCTGCATTCGCTGCAACCTTGATGGAGCTGGAGACTATTATTCTTAGTGAAGTAACTCAGGAATGGAAAACCAAACATTGTATGTTCTTACTTATAGGCAGGAGCATATGAGGATGCAAAGGCATAAAAATGATACAATGGACTTTGGGGACTCAGGGAGAGGGTGGAAGGGGGGTGATGGATAAAAGACTATAGATTGGGTTCAGTGTACACTGCTTGGTGATGAGTGCACCAAAATCTCAACAGTCATCACTGAAGAATTTACTCATGTAACCAGATACCACCTGTTTCTCCAAAAAACTATGGAAAAAAAATCTATCAATATAATTCAACACATTCAAGGATTAAAGGAGGAAAACATGATCAGATCGGTAGATACAAAACCAACACTAAAAGTTCAATAATTACTCATTATAAAAGAACTCTGAAGTTAGAATTATGAGGGATCTGGCTTGGCCTTATAGAAGGTAGCAACTAATAACCTTCTGTAAAAGCCATACTTTGCAGTGAAAACTTAGAAGCATTTCTGTGTGACTCAGGAATAAGATAAGATTACACCTTTCCTGCAGACAGATCAATATGTAAAGGGGAAACAAGAGGTATATAATATGAAAGAAATAGACTAAATTTACATCATTTTATAGATAATATAATCTGCATAGAATATCCAAGATTATTAATAAGCAAAACTTCAGAAATTACAAAAGAATTTAGAAAAGTGTAAATTCTTCAAAATTAACATAAAATTAAAAGTAATAGCACTTCTTTATAGACATTACTCTTGCTCACTGCTTTTTCTTTTCTTCCTAGATAACATAGAGAACTATATTTCCCCAGTTTTTTCAGAGCCAAACAGAGACACATGGCTAGATCTTTCAGGGGTTATTTCTCCAGAATGTTTCTCAGATAGACTTGTTTTATTTTTGAATGACAATTGCATATTGAACTCAATATGCCTACCCATCCTTAAAGATGAAGGTCATTTCACATACCTGGCTCATTCCTGTAAGAGCAATTCTTTCCTGGGAGGCTCCTTAGCCCATGCAAAATAAATTTTGCAAGGCTTTTGTGTTTCCCACTAATTAATGTCCAGTCAAATCTAAACCTTATGAGTGGATATAGTTTAAGTATCACCTGGCAAACCTGATATTGATCCATTTCAATATCAGAGTTAAACAGAGTTAAAGATTCTAAATAAAAGCAAAAAATTGATAGCTAAATTGTTTCCACTGAGAGTTTCTTCAATAAAAGCACTTTTAAATCAGAACTAAAAATATCTATTGTGAGGTCAGGCACTTAGCATATACCCTTAAATGATAAACACTTATTCACCTTTAGTGGATATAAATGGCTGTGACATGATGCAGCCCACATCCAAAATTTTATTTTAAAATCTCAGCATTATGAAAGATCAAAATACATTTGGTGTTGGTGTGTTTTGTTTCTCTCATAATTCCACTTCTAATTTTAGCCTGCCTTCTTTCCATATCCTGTAGCTTTTCAAGATGTTTGGTTGTACAACTTAGTTGAGATTCCTCAAGAGAGGAATCTCATTGCTCAAGAGAGGAAAATCATTGCACGAAAGACAACTACTGGTTTTTAAAGATATTTACTATGGCTATATTTGAGCCACTTGTGATGTCAGTATTGGTCAGTGTGTGGGCAGAAGGCTAAAGATGACCCCCCAAGATTCCTGTCCTCTGGTTATTTAATCAAATGCTAATCTAGACACTGCTGGGAAGGTTTTTTGCAGATAACTTAAGGGTACTAATTAGTTGACTTTTAGGGGAATGCTCTTGGATTATCTGGTTAGGTTCAATGTCTCATTGAGTCTTTAAAAGCAGGAGAGGAAGTCAGAGAGATTTCAAACATGAGAAAGATTAAATGCACTGTTGCAGGCTCTGACATGGAGGAACCCCCGTGAAATAATTGGAGAGAAGCCTCTAGCAGCTGAGGGTTGCCCCCAGCTGAAAGCCAGCAAAGAAATAAGACCTCAGCCTTACAATTCCAAGAAACTGGATTCTGCCAACAACCTGATTGAGCTTGGAAGAGGGTCCTTCTTGGGGACTCTCAATAAGAGACCAGTGAGCTGATAATTTGATTATGTCCTTGTGGTTTCTAGAGCAGTAAAACTAGTGGAGTCAATCTATATATCTGACCTACAGAACCATGGGATAATGGATGTTTGTTGTTGTTGTTGTTGTTGTTGTTGTTTTATTTTTTTTAATAGTTTTGGGTTCACAGCAAAATTATGAGGAAGGTACAGAGATTTTCAATACATCTCCTGCCCCTTCACATGCACAGCCTTTCCCATTATCAATACCCACGACCTAAGTGCTACATTTGTTACAATTAATGACCCTACATTGACATATTATAATCACCCAAAGTCCATAGTTTACATTAGAGTTCACTCTTGGTGTTGTACATTCTATGGGTTTGAACAAATATAATGACACATATCCACCATTATCGTATGATAAAGAGTGTTTTCACATCCCTAAAAGTCCTCTGTATTAATCTCTCACTTCTCCCAGCCTCTGACTACTGATCTTTTTACTCTCTCCATAGCTTTGCTTTTTCCAGAATGCCATATTGTTGGAATCATATGGTATGTAGCTGTCTCAGATTGGCTTCTTGCACTTAATAATACACATTTAAGTTCCCTTTATATCTTTACATGGCTTGACAGCTCATTTCTTTTTAGTACTGAATATTCCATTATCTGGATGTACCACAGTTTACCCATTAAAGTACTGAAGGACATCGTGGTTGTTTCCAAGTTTTGGTGATTATTAATAAAGCTGGTATAAACATTCATGCGCAGGTTTTTGTACAAACATGCTTTTTTCAAATCCTTCGGATAAATACCAAGGAGTGGGATTGCTGGATCATAAGGTAAGTGTATATTTATTTTGTAAGAAAATGCCAAACTGTGTTCCAAAGTGACTACAACATTTTGCATTCCTACCAGCAGTGAATTAGAGTTCCCTGTTGCTCCACATCTTTACCAGCACTTGTGTTGTCAGTGGCCTAGGTTTCAGCTATTCTGAAGGTGTGTATCTGTATCTCATTGTTGTTTTAACTTGTACTCCCCTGATGACAATGATTGTGGAGTATCTTTTTATATGCTTATTTGCTGTCTCTATATCTTCTTTGGTGAGGTGGCTGTTAAGTACATTTGTACATTTTTCAATTTTTGGTACATTTTTGGTACATTTAGTACATTTTTCAATTGGGTTGTTGGTTTTCTTACTGCATTATTGGGTAGAATATTTTAAGCATTCTTTGTATATTTTGGATAACAGTCCTTTATCAAATATGTCTTTTGCAAATAATTTCCCCAACTCTTTGGGTTGTCTTCTCATTCTCTTGACATTGTTTTTTTTTTTTACAGAGCAGATGTTTTTAATTTTAATAAAGTCCAACTTATTAATTATTCCATGGATCATGCCTTTGGTGTTATATCTAAAAGTCATTGCTGAATCCAAGGTAGATTTTCTCCTATATTATTTTTGAATATTTTACCATTTTGTTTTTTACATTAGGCTATGATCTATTTTGTGGTAGTTCTTGTGAAGGGTGTGAGGTCTGTGTCTAGATTCATTTTCTTGCATATGAATGTCCACTTGTTTCAGCACTATTTGTTGAAAAAAAAAACTATCTTTTGTCCATTGTATAGTCTGTGCTCCTTTGTCAAAAGTTGATTGATTAGATTTACGTGGGTCTATTTCTGGGCTCTTCTTTCTGTTCTATGAATCTGTCTATTCTTTCACTGATACCACACTATCTTGATTACTATAGCTTTACAGTAAGCCTTGAGGTCAGGTAGTGTGAGTTCTCCAACTTTATTCTTCTTTTAAAATATTTTGTTGTCTATTCTGGGTCTTTTGCCTCTCTGTATAAACTTTAGAATCAGTTTGCCAATATCAACAAAATAACTTTCTGGGATTTTGATTGGGATTGCATGGAATCTATAAATTAAGTTGGGAAGAATGGGCATTGTGACATTATTGAGTATTCCCACCCATGAATATAGCATATTTCTCTATTTAGTTCTTCTTTGCTATCTTCCATTAGAGTTTTGCAGTTTTCCTCATACACATGTTGTACATATTTTGTTAGATTTATTCCTAAGTATTTCATTTTTGGTGGTGTTAAGGTAAATGATATTATGTTTTTAATTTCAAATTCCACTTGTTCATTACTGGTACTATTATATCCCTTTATCATTATGCAAAGCTTTTCTTTATCCATAATAACTTTCCTTGATTTGATGCCTGTTCTGTCTGAAATTAATTCCTTGTTTCTTTTCTATTCTTTATGTCTTTTGATTAGTTATTTCTTTTCTACTTGATTCCTTATTTCTTTTGATTATTTCTTTTCTGTTTGATTCCTTATTCTTTATTCCTTTTTTCTATTTTTGATTCCTTATTTCTTTTGATTGGTGTTAGCATGGTGTATTTTTCTCTATCCTTTTACTTTTGGTTTACTTGTGTTTTTATATTTAAAGTTGGTTGCTTTAGAAAACATGTATCTGGGTATTTGGGACTTATTTTTTGATCCACTCTGACAATTTCTATCTTTTAATTGATGTAGTTATATCACTGACATTTAAAGTGATTATTGATATAATTGGATTAATATCTACCATATGTTACTATTTTACATTTGTTGTCCTTGTCTTTATTTTGAATTTGTTTTTCACTCTTTTTCTACTTTTATTGTTCTAATTGAGCATTTTATGATTTCACTTTCTCACCTTTGTTAACATGTTATACATTTAAAAAAATTTTTAGTGGTTGTGCTAGAGTTTGCAGTATACATTTACAACTAATCAAAATCCACTTTCAAATAACACTATACCACTTCAGCAGTTGTGAGTACCCCAAATAATCCTACTTCATTCTGTTCCTTGTATCATTACTGTTATATATTTTACTCATATGTACATATTTATAAATACAGACATATATAAGCAAATATAAATGAATACATTGTTGCTGTTATTATGAACAAATTGTTACATGCTAAATCAATTAAGTAAAAAAATGAAAATTTTCATTTTACCCTCACTTATTTCTTCTTCAATGGTCTTTTTTTAAATGTAGATCTGAGTTTGTGACCTATATAATTTTCCTTCTCTCTAAAGAACTTATTTTAACATTTCTTGCAAAGCAGATTTACTGGCAACAGATTCCCTCAATTTTTATTTTCATTTTTTGGTTTTCACTGTTGAAGGATAATTTCATAAACTGCAGAATTCTAGGTTGGTATCTTAACTCTCTCAACACTTTAAATATTTCATTCCATTCTCTTCTTGCTTGCATGGTGTCTAAGGAGATGTCAGATATAATTCTCATCTTTGTCCCTTCATAGGTAAGGTATTTTTGTCTTCATACTTCTTCTGAAATGTTTTCCTTATCTTTGATTTTCTGCAGTTTAAAAATGTCATGTCTAGGTGTAATAATAGTATAGGTGTTTTTTATTTTATTTTTTATTTTTGCATTTATCCAGTTTAACGTTCTCTGTGTTTCCTGGGTTTGTGGTTTGGTATCTGATATTAATTTGGAGAAATTCCAAATTATTATTGTTTTAAATATTTCTTCTTCTTTTCGTTTCTTGCTTCTCCTTCCAACATTCCCATTATATGTATTTACACATTTTGTATTTGTGCCACAATCCTTAAATATTCTGGTTTTTTTTTTTTTTTTTCAGTTTTTGTTATACTCACTTTTCAGTTTTGGAAGTTTCTACTGAGATATGCTCAAGATCATAGATTTTTTCCTCAGCTGTGTCCAGTCTACTAATAAGCTCCTTGAATGCATTCTTCATTTCTGTCACAGTGGTTCTGATCTCTAGTGTTTCTTTTTGGTTCTTTCATAGGATTTCCATATATCTGCTTACACTGTTCATCTGTTCTTGAATGCTGTCCAGTATCTATTAGAGCCCTGAGCATATTAATCATAGTTGTTTTATATTCCTTGTCTGATAAGTCCAACATTTCTGCCATATCTGTTTCTGATGCTTACTCTGTCTCTCCAAATTGTATTTTTGCCTCTTGGTATGTCTTGTGATTTTTTCTTAACAGCCGGACATAATGTACCTGGTAAGAGGAACTGCTATAAATAGGCCTTTAGCAATGTGGTAGTGAGGTGTGTGGGGAGGAGAAATTTACTCTATAGTCCTATCATTACATTTCAGTCTTTTAATGGGCTAATGCTACTGAACTGTGAATGTCACAAGTCTTTCTAGGTTTTTTTCTTCCCCCTTAGGTGGAACAGGTTGGCTGACATGAGCTGGAATTGGATATTTCCCTTCCCTCAATCAGTTCTGCTCTGATAAAATCCCAGCAGATCAGGATCTGGTGAAATCATATCTCTTGAGGTAAAGCTTGTTAAGAAGAACAGAGTACTCTGGTGAATTGCAAAATGGTTCCTTTTCCCTTTCCCTTACTGGAAGCATGAAGGAACTTTTCTCTCATATTTACTGTGGGAACCTGGTGGAGTTCCTGGAGGTAAATCTCACAGTATTGTGGCAGTCTCCCTATGATTGGGTCTCCCGGAGTTTTTAACTCTCAGACTTGTCCACACTGAGCCGCTAGCAATTCATCAATAACAGCTCAGGTTTTCCTACCCTGGCACTGGTTCCCCTAGCAGTGTCTCCTCATGAGTCACTGCTCAGTGAAGCCAAGACTCCCTGTATTTGTCTATCTGTCTCTCCAATCTTGGGGCTAATGGTTTGCCCTATGTCCTTATCTTTATTACAGATTCAAGAAGAGTTGTTGCTTTCTCAGTCTGTTCAGCTTTTTACTTGTTTGAAAGAATGTTGACTTTAACCCTTTTGCCATTTAGAAAAAAGAAGTGCAGCTCACTGCCAGTGCTCATTTAATTTTACATAAACATGCTCTTTGAGGCTGAAGCAAATATGACTGATTTTCAACATGAAAATGAAATATAAAAACTGGTATTGGCATTATTTCTAAACAGAACTAACATCAGAATAGTCTGAATCATCAGAATCATCTGTTTCGGAAACATCGTATTCATCCAATGAATCTTCAGCCAACAACTGTTCGAGAATGATGTTAACATCATGTGTAGGAAAGCTACCATTTCTAGGATTTCACATTTTTAGCTATCAAGAATTACTATATTTTGTAAATGGAAATACCACCACTAAAACTAGAATGCCATAAATAGAATGATGTCTTTTGTTTCCAAAGTTGATATACTAGAGTGATACAAAAATAATAATAAATGCAAGATATTTTGTGGCAAAGTTATTTTGGGGTAAATGCCGCAACCAAAAGCACTGCCAGCAAGTATTCTCAGGGCAAATGGGAGAAGGGTTTTAAGCTTATTTAAATATGAAACTGGAACACAGAAGTCCCCACAGGTATTGCTTTAAGCTGCTATGTTTGTGGTAATTTGTTGTAGTAGCAATAGGAAACTAATATAGCCAGCATGAAATCACTTCAAGGCAGAGTGTAAGAAAATTTCCTAAGTCAATGTGATGTCACTTCAGGAGAGACTATGGTAAGACTTTCTTTTCCTGAATAAAATTACTACTGGGAAGATAGTTAACATCATTAGACTAAATACATGAGTATTGCAGAATTTTTGCATAAATATTTGAGACCGAGATACAAAAAAAAATTTGGAGAAGTGTTTTCTTTTTTTTTGGTAGGTATGTTTATATGAAAGCTCTATTAGCTTTCTCTAAGGATCATCTTGGAGTATTTTTACCTCTGAAAACCATTAATGTATTTGATATGATTCTTTTTTAAAAATTTAAATTTGTGCACAACTTTTTGAAATATATCTATTGAATGTAAGTGGTGAGTTTATAGGCCATATCACTGTACTACTTTATTATTTTTCAGATTAATTGACTTTTGAAAATTGGTTTTTATTAGCACCAGTTCCAGAAAATAAATTATCAAAGAGGAAAAGGAAAAATCCTCTAACTGTACCGATTGTTGAATGTTGCAGCCCTATACCTGCAATTATTGGTTGAAATAAAATTCAAATATCCATGCTTTTATTTGAATCTAAATAAAAATATTTACTTTACCTACATTTTAAAAATGTATTAACTATTTGTGAATTGTTTGATTAGATTAAATACCCTAACTGAATCCTGTTTGATAAAAATGCAAAAAAGGGGGCTTATTTGCCCATATAGTTTACTATTTCAGGTGGGAAGTTACATCAAGTTGGCCAAAGCAAATGCTTGTGTCACTAATAATTATGTGTGTGGACTCTCGCAGTTGCAGTGGACTACCCTAGGGAGTAATTGACATAGTTGTTTGTTGGCCTGTTGGCTAACCTGTACTTTCTGACTTTTCTCTATGTCCTGTACCTCCAAAGGAAATATGACCTGACATGCTTGGAAACTCCATCTACTGAGTATGACCTTGTATAATGTGAGTTTGCTGGGCCTGCTTTGAAGAGGTGACCTGACTCTGAGCAGATCACCTAAGTTAAAAAAAGAAAACTAATTAGGCACTAAGAAAAGTTCCATTCTTTTGAGACTGAAAGCATTCCATTTGGTTTTGTGCACATTCAAATGGTCTGAAAGAGTTAATAGTTTCTGAAAATAATGTCTTGTTGAAAAATAATGATGACTGCATTTATTTGGGTTATCAGTGGAAGAAATAAATATAAATTCTATTTTCCTAGTACATACATTCTGAGGTAATCTATTTTATCTAGGACAGCTATCTTGAAATTATTTTCTTGATAAGTTCAGAATTTTCTACAGTTTAAACTAAAATGTGAATTCATCATTGATTACATTATAATGTATAGCTTTGTTTTGTTTTGCATCCTAACACATTACTTAGGAAAGTCATTACTTAGCTAAAATTATCTGCTTAAAGGCATGGAGTTGAGGGAGATTTTCAGAAGCTACATTATAAAGCGATCAACATCAACTAGTCTTTTAATGTTAATAATAGATTCTGTTTTCCTCTGTTTTTCCTCAAAGAAACTTAACAGCTATTACGGGAAGTATCTTATTAAAATGTCCCTATAACAGTCATAAAGGAAGAGGATTATTTATTTTAAAGCTAGAGAAACTCAGATATTAGGAAGTATATCTTATATAAAATATATATTAAATAACATTTTTTGCTCACCTGTAGGAGAGAAACTCTTTGTCCAATAGTAGATTTTAGCCTGATTCTCCATGAGATGACCTAATGAAACCTGATCAAAGATTCTCATTTGACCAGTCACCCTGCCCTTCCTCTACAACTCTCTGTTTATTTCCAATTTAAACTGGTGTCAAGCTCTCCTCAGCTGATGACCCAGATATTTCTGCACTTAATCATCTTGCCTGAAATGAGTAAGGATGAAGTTTCTATTTTGTCCTTCTTAGCCTATTTCCTTGATCCGCCATGGACCCTGGTTGTAATGATCATGCAGGTCCTCTATCTATGCATGCCAGAGATTCTGGACAGACAAGTATGGGGACATCCCTTTCTTTATTTGATTCTTTTGTCAATTTTTTATAAAAGTTTTATTGCTTTCAGTCCTTTGGAGAAATGGAAGCTGAATGCTAACCCCAAGGACTTCTGTGGCCTATCATGAACTGGGCGTGAAATAAGAGTTTCTTGGAGAAGTAGATTCCTTGAAGTTTCTGAGACAAAAACTGGACTTCTTGTGATGAAAAGAAAGCACAGTCAGAATACAAACTGATAATGGATTGGGTCCAAGTGGCCAGCATCTTAGACTATGGAAATTTGCTGTTGGACATTAAAGCATGACACAAGTTACCGAAGAAGAGAGAAGCTGCTACAGTCCGTAACAAAAAAGGCTGTACTGTTAGCTAGCCAAACACATACACAGAAACCTGGAAAAGAGTTAGTTTTCTTTCTTTTCATGTTCAAATGACATAGTCTACCTGATGCAGAAACTCTCACATGGCAAAGGTTAATTAGAGGTTTCCATGGACTATATCCCTTGCTCCTGGGCTACAACAGGACATGAGGCTTAGCCTAACTCTCTCCACATGCAGCAAATTGCCACCCTTGTTTGGCAAAAAGCTTTGCTTCTTTTGGACCTTCTCGCCTTCATCCTCTCTATAGTTCCAGCGGTTCAACTTCCTTTCATTCAGCTTCTAGTGTATGCATTCTCTACTCCATATGAAGGCAACCGCTGAAGTGAGGCAGTGGGAGATGAGAGGAGGAGAATCTAAAAGGCTCAGATTCTGAAGGGCAAAGAAGAGAAGACTTAGGGATGGTCTAACCTCAGGACAGAATAGCTAAAAGCCACCTGAGCATTAACCCTGAGGAAATTAACATCAAGCTCAAGCTTATTATTAAAAAAATCTATATCTGTGGAGCATCTTTTCTGGATTTAAGTTAAATAATAAAAAAAAGACAGGACTGCATTTGAGAATCCAGTAGGCAGTACGAGAGAAAAGAAAAAGAGGGACATCACATTTGCAGTGGTGTGCACAAAATTGCATTGCCTGTATTACACAGTAATGTAAATATTTTGAAATAGGCTGTGTATTTGTAAGCATACTCTCTACCTTCTAAATTATTAAGAGCCAAGTGATATACTAGTATGATTTTAAAATAAAGCAAAAGGAAGGGCTGAGGCCTCTGTATTAGTCTGTTAGGGCTGCCATGGCAAAATATCATAGCAGTTGTGGCTTAAACAGAGATTTATTTTCTCACAGTTCTGCAGCATGAAAGTCCAATATGAAGGTGACAGCAGATTTGGTTTCTCCTGAAGACTCTCTCCTTGGCTTGCCAATTGCCATCTTCTGCTGTGTCCTCACGTAGTCTTTTCTCTGTGCATATCTTTAATGCCCCTTTCTCTTATAAGGACACCAGTCATATTAAATTACACCCGCACCTTCATTACCTCTTTTAACCTTAATTACTTCCTTAAAGGGCCATCTCCAAATACAGTCATATGGGGGATGAGGGCTTCAATTTGTGAATTTTGGGGGACACAATTCAGTCTCTAACAACCTCCCTCACTGTCTGACTCTATGCCATCATGCTACTGTTTCTGTGAAGCTCAGACTCTGGTTCATACCTATACCTTGTTTTTTGAGTCTTGCCATCTGATATCTAAGGAATCCTCTGATTCCTACTGATGACAGCAGTAACCACAATTGGACACAAATTCTGTATGATCTTTTGATTAACCTGGAAGGAATTTTGATCTTTGATCAGAGCTGATTTAGATCACACTGTGACAAAGGAATATCTCCACTCATGAAATTTATGGGCCTCTAAAACGATCAAAATGTCTTGAACACCCATTCATAATGACACATTTCAACAGCCAAAAGGGATCTTTTTCTTGGGATTCCTTCCATCGTTCTGTGGAAAAGCATTATAGAGGGAGTGCTTGCATGTGACTTTCTGGGCTAAAGTGACTACTAACAAGAATATATTCTTGCAGAAAATGCTGTCATAGTATCACCATATATTACCACTATGAACATCACTTCCAGAGATTATAAAAGTCTCTCTGGATGTAATAAAATAGATTAGGCTGGAGATCAGTACAAAGCCATATTTTATTATTGCAAATGTGCTGAAAGCTGAGATTTGTGCCTGGCTACTGTAGAGAAGAGTAGGTCAGTTGGTTCAAGTCATAACTCTGTTCTTTTTCAGTAGTGCCTCAAATAGATAAAGCCTCAATGTGTGTATGACAAAAAGCACTCAATGACATTTTTCATTTGTAAATGGTGAAATAGATAGGGTTATGTAAACAGAAATTAAGGTCAGATTTTGGCTTTTGATAGAAATTGGGGTCTGGGTAAATCTTTTGTTGATTTCAGTAAAAATTGCTTTTATATTCATATAACAGAGAGTAGATTTTGGCACCTGACTCCGCATATCAGCAGCTGTCTGCTACCAATCTTGATGAAAATTTGACGTAGCAATATTCACAAATAAGGCCAACTTCCAACATGCAAAATGCTTCTTGTTTCACAAATTCTAAAAATAAATTAAGTAAGAAAACTTAAAAGAGATTAAAGTTCTGGATACTAAACCAGTTTATATTAGAAGCAGAGAATATTATAAAATTCTGTGCCAGCCCTTAATAACAGGAAATCACACACACAAACACACACACAAACAGAGACACACACCCCCCCCACACACACACAGGCACAAGCAAAAAGATGTCTCATCTTTTAAGTTCTGAACATCACATGCATTCTCATGTTTGATTAAGAAGGATACAAATTATACATCCAAATAGTCGATAAACATAAGAAAAGAAATCTTAAATAATACTATAATTAGAATATACCATTTTATATATCCGTTTCCATATCCATATGCATTTACACATCAACATCTACAGCTGCAACTTCAGCTCTATCTACAGCTACTTCTATGCCTATCTATCTACATTTATCTGTATACTTAAAAATCAAGTTTATTGATGTGGCTCTTGACGACTCTATTGATGAGACGTAAAGATGGGTTTGTGAAATATTATCCCAACTTTACCCTTAACCTCCCTTGTGAGACTATGTACAAACCCTGTTTTCACAACCCGGGAATATAACCCCTAGCCACTTATAAGTTTTGGCTGTGTCCCCACCCAAATCTCATCTTGAATTGTGGCTCCCATAATCCCCACCTGTCGTGGGAGGGACCCAGTGAGGGATAATTGAATTATGAGGGCAGTTTCCCCCATACTGTTCTCATGGTAGTAAATCAGTCCCACAAGATCTAATGGTTTTAATAATGGAAGTTTCCCTGCACAAGCTCTCTTGCCTGCCACCATGTAAGACATGTCTTTACTCCTCATTTGCCTTCCACTATGATTGTAAGGACTCCCCAGCCATGTGAAACTGTGAGTCCATTAAACCCCTCTCCTTTATAAATTACTTAGTATTGGGTATGTATATATTAGCAGCATGAGAACAGGCTAATACACCCACCAAAAAACTGAACTCATTGTCCCTTCTTTTTCTAACCAAGAAAAACACCTAGAGGAGCATAAAATTGTAATAGGTACCAGTTTTATTTACACAGTACATCTGGGAAAGCAAGTCAGATCGAGTCACTCCCCTGATCAAGTCCTCTAAGGGTTTCTTATCTCACTAAGAGTAAAAGCCATGCCCCTATAATGACTTGAGGCCTTACATAATTTGCCCCCCATCTATTGCATCTCACCTAAACTACTCTTCTTCCTTGACCATTTGCCTGCTCCAGCCATACTTGCTTCCTTGCTGTTCCTGGAATAGATCATGTATACTCCTGCCTTAGGTCTTTTGTCTCCGCTATTCCTTTACCCTTAAAAGTGTTTGTTCTCCGTGGCTGCTCCCTCATCTCTCTTGGGTCTTTACTTCAATGACATTGCCTCAGAGAAGCATTTCTGGGTTCCCTTATCAAAATGTACATAGCTCTTCTTATTCCTCTTTCGTGCTGTTTTTCACCTTAGAGCTTATAACTAACATCCAATGCATTTTACATATGTGCCGTGTTTTCTATTTATCCCACCAAAGAACAATACTGCAACGGTTTGGCTGCTGCTGTATCCTCTGTGCCTAGACCAGTGCCAACCATAGAGCAAGTGATCAATAGAGAATCAAATCTTTCTCCCTGCTGCTCTTATTCTGTATTTCTCATCAGGTATTTCCTGCCATGCTAGTAGAGTAACATAACATTTATAATGTCTTTATTTCAAATTTTGCTAACTTGTTCATCATTGATTTTTTGCATTAATTTTGGTTTTTAAAAATATCATATCAAAATATTATCTATGTTGACTATTGAGATTTTTGGTGTTTCCTTAAATTTTGAGCCTCAGGCAAATGTCTCACTCACTTCATTCCTCTTACTATAGTCCTGGCTTTTGATGAAAAAATTATTCCTGGGTCCAATATTGGGTTAGACTAAGTGAACCAGTCTTCTTTATGAAGGTTGCCTCAGCTTTTTCAAAATACAATTTTGCGTTCTGACTTCCAAAAAGGAGGAGAGAGTATGCATCATTTTCAAAACTTGTTTGAACTTGAAATCTACCACCATGGAGCATTTTATGAAGCTGGAGCACATTGATCTTTCAAACCAACTGTCTTTTTTTTTCTACTGAAATTCTAGGTCTTTTATAATATCTGTAAGGAAATTTTTAAAATAACAAGTAGTTCTGAAAAAAGGAATGAAGCATAAAGTTAAAGAACAACAGATTCAGGAAATATAAAAATGGCACAAATTTATTAATAATAGTTGTGAAACATGATTTCTATTATTTCCTTGATATACACATGTAGTAATAACTAAGGAGAGCCTTCCCAAGCTTGCAACCAGCACCTATGTCATCTTGATTCTTCACATACCATAAGCACAGCTCCAAATCCTCCCACACTCTTCCAGTCCAGAAATTATTTTGATATCTACAGGGAAAGGAGTTTCTTGTACTCAAATGTAAACAGACTTATAACATACATTTGAAAAACAATTCAAGTTTATAAGAGTGTAATAATAACCAGAGGTAAAATAGACATTTGAAAAGAGCTTAGGTATACATTGGAAATCAACAGAGTCAAAGTAAACAAGGTAATGTATATATCTAAAAGAATATTCAGATATATATCTGAAATGAAAGCGAATTACAGTATACGCTCAGAAGAAAAAAAGGAGCTCTGCATTGAGGTTTATTGATTGAGGTTTTAACTTTTGGAATTCTCAGAATAAAGTTTTCTTGATTATGGAGGGGCTGGTTTGCCCCATCATTGTCCCCTTGGTGGATGGACAGATCATTAGACACTTTAGGGAGAGGTGAAGGGGACTGGCTGGGAAGGAGGCCCTACTTTCTAAGCAGCTGGAAACTGCAGTCATAAGCAATATGAATATTTATAAATTACACAATCAGCATTACTCCTAATTTTCCTGGCCATATCACTAGTCCTTAGACTCTATTGATGGGACATAAATAGGGTCCCATATCTTCCCAGTTCTTGGCATCTTCATTTTGGTCTAGTCTTGAATCCTACAGATTAACCTCCTTTTTTTTTTTTTTTTTTTTTTTTTTTTTTTTTTTTTTTTCCCTTCTAGTCTATGGAAGCCCTTGGCTTCTTGTAGGACAACCCTTGGACATAGAGAGAATATCCATGATGCAACAAAACATGGGGATAGCCTGCTGCATATGTAGAGTCAATAAAATTAATAGGCAGCAAGTTAACGACCCAGTGTTACAAGAAGCACAAGTAGGTAGGGCGCACATGAGAAGTGGCTTCACTGGAAAACCCAGGAGAAAACCCAGTATTTTTAAGCACGGTGTGACTCTTCCTTTTGAGTGCAATGTCTGGATTAAGAATTTAGAGGCAATGACTGTTAGCTGGAGGCCGGAGTTTGTGACCACAGGGCCCCTGTGTATCCTGACAGCACAGCAGCTAATGTCGTTCAGAGTGAGTGACACAATGCAAGAAGGAAGTCATGGTGCCTTTTACAAGCTAATTTCTGAAGTCTCACACAATCACTTTCCCTTTATTGTTTTCGCTAGAAGTGAGTCACTAGGTCCAGTCCACCCTCAAGGGAGGGGAATTATAAAAGATTCTGCCTCTGGAAGGGAGGAGTACCAAAACATGTGGAGACATTTTGTAAAACTACCACATGTGGGAACCTCCTTTCCTTTTCTTCGTATTTCACTGGAGGAACACGCCTGCTCTGTCCCCATTCCTCTGCCCCATCCTCCATCTCTCTGTCATTTCCAGGGTGGGGAGTGATGTATTTATTTGACTGATGACTTAGAAAGAAGGAACTGGCAAAGTGGTCTCATCCCCTTTCTCTCCTCATATCTGCTTGCTTGCAAGGAACGTGGGTTTCCACTGCTCCTGGCCAAGTGGTGAGCTTTTCAGATAAGCTCTGTTCCCATGACAGCTCAGGCTACCTACAATTGGGTGGTACCTCTACTTGAGGGCTGAAACAATAAAAAGCCCACCTGGTACTCAGGCCTAGGACATATTCTCTTACATCATTTTTACCCACTGGAGGAGTGATATTTTGTCCTCTGTCTGCTTGACTTCTCTGTTTTCCAATTGGTTTTGACAGACAGGGAAAAGGGGTGCCATTTATTGACCTTAGTGATCATTGGCTTGCACTCTTATGTGCAGTGTACAGAAGAAAGATATACATAGATACATGTAATATAATACAGTGTAAACCAGCAGCATGTAAAATACATAAGGAGGTATAAATGAGGGTGGAGGTAACACCTAGGGAAAGTAAGAAACAATTTTACAGACGAAGTAAAATTTGACTCTAGAATAATGACTAGGAATGCTTCAAACAGAGAAAAGGACAACAGAAATCTAGCAGGAATGAACCAAATATGAAATTGCGACACGCACACACACAGCCATGCATCCTCAGAGATCATGCACATATTTATTGTGACTGAAACTCAGGTAAGATAGAATTGGCGTGGAGCAGGAAGAAGTAGGAAAGGTGGGAAGAAAAAACTTTGAAGCATTTTAAAATAGAAATGAGGTTGATTTATAGTGCAGATAGAAAACTAAGGCAACAATGAACTATAGAACAGGACACAGGAAGGGGTCAGTTTCGGAGATGCCATAGAGCATTTACTGTGGATAATGTTCTCTAAAGTAGTGACACTGAATGATGTCAAGGATAGTCACACATCAGGCAGGCGTTAACACTTTGCAGGGTTTTATTTTATTTTTCTTTTTATTATACTTTAAGTTTTAGGGTACATGTGCACAACGTGCAGGTTTGTTACATATGTATACATGTGCCATGTTGGTGTGCTGCACCCATTAACTCATCATTTAACGTTAGGTATATCTCCTAATGCTATCCATCCCCCCTCCCCCCACCCCACAACAGGCCCCGGTGGGTGTGTGATGTTACCCTTCCTGTGTCCATGTGTTCTCATTGTTCAATTCCCACCTATGAGTGAGAACATGCAGTGTTTGGTTTTTTGTCCTTGCGATAGTTTACTGAGAATGATGGTTTCCAGCTTCATCCATGTCCCTACAAAGGACATGAACTCAACATTTTTAATGGCTGCATAGTATTCCATGGTGTATATGTGCCACATTTTCTTAATCCAGTCTATCATTGTTGGACATTTGGCTTGGTTCCAAGTCTTTGCTATTGTGAATAATGCCACAATAAACATATGTGTGCATGTGTCTTTATAGCAGCATGATTTATAATCCTTTGGGTATATACCCAGTTCTAGATCCCTGAGGAATCACCACACTGACTTCCACAATGGTTGAACTAGTTTACAGTCCCACCAACAGTGTAAAAGTGTTCCTATTTCTCCACATCCTCTCCAGCACCTGTTGTTTCCTGACTTTTGAATGACCACCATTCTAACTGGCGTGAGATGGTATCTCATTGTGGTTCTGATTTGCATTTCTCTGATGGCCAGTGATGATGAGCATTTTTTCATGTGTCTTTTTGGCTGCATAAATGTCTTCTTTTGAGAAGTGTCTGTTCATATCCTTCACCCAATTTTTGATGGGGTTGTTTTTTTCTTGTAAATCTGTTTGAGTTCATTGTAGATTCTGGATATTAGCCCTTTGTCAGATGAGTAGATTGCAAAAATTTTCTCCCATTCTGTAGGTTGCCTGTTCACTCTGATGGTGGTTTCTTTTGCTGTGCAGAAGCTCTTTAGTTTAATTAGATCCCATTTGTCAATTTTGGCTTTTGTTACCATTGCTTTTGGTGTTTTAGACATGAAGTCCTTGCCCATGCCTATGTCCTGAATGGTATTGCCTAGGTTTTCTTCTAGGGTTTTTATGGTTTTAGGTCTAACATTTAAATCTTTAATCCATCTTGAATTAATTTTTGTGTAAGGTGTAAGGAAGGGATCCAGTTTCAGCTTTCTACATATGGCTAGCCAGTTTTCCCAGCACCATTTATTAAATAGGGAATCCTTTCTCCATTGCTTGTTTTTCTCAGGTTTGTCAAAGATCAGATAGCTGTAGATATGCGGCATTACTTCTGAGGGCTCTGTTCTGTTGCATTGGTCTATATCTCTGTTTTGGTGCCAGTACCATGCTGTTTTGGTGACTGTAGCCTCGTAGTATAGTTTGAAGTCAGGTAGTGTGATGCCTCCAGCTTTGTTCTTTTGGCTTAGGATTGACTTGGCGATGCAGGCTCTTTTTTGGTTCCACATGAACTTCAAAGCAGTTTTTTCCAATTCTGTGAAGAAAGTGATTGGTAGCTTCATGGGGATGGCATTGAATCTGTAAATTACCTTGGGCAATATTGCCATTTTCATGATATTGATTCTTCCTACCCATGAGCATGGAATGTTCTTTCATTTGTTTGTATCCTCTTTTATTTCGTTGAGCAGTGTTTTGTAGTTCTCCTTGAAGAGGTCCTTCACATCCCTTGTAAGTTGGATTCCTAGGTATTTTATTCTCTTAGAAGCAATTGTGAATGGGAGTTCAGCCATGATTTGGCTCTCTGTTTGCCTGTTATTGGTGTATAAGAATGCTTGTGATTTTTACACATTGATTTTGTATCCTGAGACAAGTCCTGGACCAGATGGATTCACAGCCGAATTCTACCAGAGGTACAAGGAGGAACTGGTACCATTCCTTCTGAAACTATTCCAATCAATAGAAAAAGAAGGAATCCTCCCTAACTCATTTTATGAGGCCAGCATCATACTGATACCAAAGCCTGGCAGAGACACAACAACAAAAAAGAGAATTTTAGACCAATATCCCTGATGAACATAGATGCAAAAATCCTCAATAAAATACTGGCAAACCGAATCCAGCAGCACATCAAAAATCCACCCCAACATGATCCAGCCCACCATGATCAAGTGGGCTTCATCCCTGGGATACAAGCCTGGTTCAACATACACAAATCAATAAAAGTAATCCAGCTTATAAACAGAACCAATGACAAAAACCACATGATTATCTCAATAGATGCAGAAAAGGCCTTTGACAAAATTCAACAACCTTCATGCTAAAAACTCTCAATAAATTAGGCATTGATGGGATGTATCTCAAAATAATAAGAGCTATCTATGACAAACCCACAGCCAATATCATACAGAATGGGCAAAAACTGGAAGCATTCCCTTTGAAAACTGGCACAAGACAGGGATGCCCTCTCTCACCACTCCTATTCAACATAGTGTTGGAAGTTCTGGCCAGGGCAATTAGGCAGGAGAAGGAAATCAAGGATATTCAATTAGGAAAAGAGGAAGTCAAATTGTCCCTGTTTGCAGATGACATGATTGTATATCTAGAAAACCCCATCATCTCAGCCCAAAATCTCCTTATGCTATAAGCAACTTTGCTTGGTTTTATTCCTTTCAAACTAATGAACAGACAAAGCAGGCAGAGATAAATTTTAATGGAAAAATCTTTTTTATTTTATTTGTGAAGCTTTTTACCTATGAAAGTCTGTTGGCTGAAGATCATTAGAGTTTGGCTAGCGATAGAAATACGTGTCCAGGTATCACAACAAACATGCTGTTCTTGTTCTAATAAACATGATTAAACCAAAATTAAAAAAAAAAAAATTCTCACCCTGGGAGGAGCCAAGATGGCCGAATAGGAACAGCTCCGGTCTACAGCTCCCAGCGTGAGCGACGCAGAAGACAGGTGATTTCTGCATTTCCATCTGAGGTACCGGGGTCATCTCACTAGGGAGTGCCAGACAGTGGGCGCAGGTCAGTGGGTGCGCACACCGTGGGCAAGCCGAAGCAGGGTGAGGCATTGCCTCACTCGGGAAGCGCAAGGGGTCAGGGAGTTCCCTTTCCTAGTCAAAGAAAGGGGTGACAGACAGCACCTGGAAAATCAGGTCATTCCCACCCGAATACTGCACTTTTCCGACGGGCTTAAAAAAAGGCGCACCACCAGATTATATCCCGCACCTGGCTCAGAGGGTCCTACACCCACGGAGTCTCACTGATTGCTAGCACAGCAGTCTGTGATCAAACTGCAAGGCTGCGGCAAGGCTGGGGGAGGAGCGCCCACCATTGCCCAGGCTTGCTTAGGTAAACAAAGCAGCCGGGAAGCTCGAACTGGGTGCAGCCCACCACAGCTCAAGGAGGCCTGCCTGCCTCTGTAGGCTCCACCTCTGGGGGCAGGGCACAGACAAAAAAAAGACAGCAGTAACCTCTGCAGACTTAAATGTCCCTGTCTGACAGCTTTGAAGAGAGCAGTGGTTCTCCCAGTACGCAGCTGGAGATCTGAGAAGGGGCAGACTGCCTCCTCAAGTGGGTGCCCGACCCCTGACCCCCAAGCAGCCTAACTGGGAGGCACCCCCCAACAGGGTCACATTGACACCTCACAAGGAAGGGTACTCCAGCAGACCTGCAGCTGAGGGTCCTGTCTGTTAGAAGGAAAACTAACAAACAGAAAGGACATCCACACCAAAAACCCATCTGTACATCACCATCAAAGACCAAAAGTAGATAAAACCACAAAGATGGGGAAAAAACAGAACAGAAAAACTGGAAACTCTAAAAAGCAGAGTGCCTCTCCTCCTCCAAAGGAACGCAGTTCCTCACCAGCAACGGAACAAAGCTGGACGGAGAATGACTTTGACGAGCTGAGAGAAGAAGGGTTCTCTGAGCTATGGGAGGACATTCAAACCAAAGGCAAAGAAGTTGAAAACTTTGAAAAACAGTTAGAAGAATGTATAACTAGAATAACCAATACAGAGAAGTGCCTCAAGGAGCTGATGGAGCTGAAAACCAAGGCTCGAGAACTACGTGAAGAATGCAGAAGCCTCAGGAGCCGATGCGATCAACTGGAAGAAAGGGTATCAGCAATGGAAGATGAAATGAATGAAATGAAGCAAGAAGGGAAGTTTAGAGAAAAAAGACCAAAAAGGAATGAGCAAAGCATCCAAGAAATATGGGACTATGTGAAAAGACCAAATCTACGTCTGATTGCTGTACCTGAAAGTGATGGGGAGAATGGAACCAAGTTGGAAAATACTCTGCAGGATATTATCCAGGAGAACTTCCCCAATCTAGCAAGGCAGGCCAATATTCAGATTCACGAAATACAGAGAACGACACAAAGATACTCCTCGAGAAGAGCAACTCCAAGACACATAATTGTCAGATTCACCAAAGTTGAAATGAAGGGAAAAATGTTAAGGGCAGTCAGAGAGAAAGGTTGGGTTACCCTCAAAGGGAAGCCCATCAGACTAACAGCGGATCTCTCGGCAGAAACCCTACAAGCCAGAAGAGAGTGGGGGCCAATATTCAACATTCTTAAAGAAAAGAATTTTCAACCCAGAATTTCATATCCAGCCAAACTAAGCTTCACAAGTGAAGTAGAAATAAAATACTTTACAGACAAGCAAATGCTGAGAGATTTTGTCACCACTAGGCCTGCCCTAAAAGAGGTCCTGAAGGAAGCGCTAAACATGGAAAGGAACAAGCGGTACCAGCCGCTGCAAAATCATGCCAAAATGTAAAGACCGTCGAGACTAGGAAGAAACTGCATCAACTAACGAGCAAAATAACCAGCTAACATCATAATGACAGGATCAAATTCACACATAACAATATTAACTTTAAATGTAAATGGACTAAATGCTCCAATTAAAAGACACAGACTGGCAAATTGGATAAAGAGTCAAGACCCATCAGTGTGCTGTATTCAGGAAACCCATCTCACGTGCAGAGACACACATAGGCTCAAAATAAAAGGATGGAGGAAGATCTACCAAGCAAATGGAGAACAAAAAAAGGCAGGGGTTACAATCCTAGTCTCTGATAAAACAGACTTGAAACCAACAAAGATCAAAAGAGACAAAGAAGGCCATTACATAATGGTAAAGGGATCAATTCAACAAGAAGAGCAAACTATCCTAAATATATATGCACCCAACACAGGAGCACCCAGATTCATAAAGCAAGTCCTGAGTGACCTACAAAGAGACTTAGACTCCCACACATTAATAATGGGAGACTTTAACACCCCACTGTCAACATTAGACAGATCAATGAGACAGAAAGTCAACAAGGATACCCAGGAATTGAACTCAGCTCTGCACCAAGCAGACCTAATAGACATCTACAGAACTCTCCACCCCAAATCAACAGAATATATATTTTTTTCAGCACCACACCACACCTATTCCAAAACTGACCACATACTTGGAAGTAAAGCTCTCCTCAGCAAATGTAAAAGAACAGAAATTATAACAAACTGTCTCTCAGACCACAGTGCAATCAAACTAGAACTCAGGATTAAGAATCTCACTCAAAACCGCTCAACTACATGGAAACTGAACAACCTGCTCCTGAATGACTACTGGGTACATAAAGAAATGAAGGCAGAAATAAAGATGTTTTTGAAACCAACGAGAACAAAGACACAGCATACCAGAATCTCTGGGACACATTCAAAGCAGTGTGTAGAGGGAAATTGATAGCACTAAATGCCCACAAGAGAAAGCAGGAAAGATCCAAAATTGACACCCTAACATCACAATTAAAAGAACTAGAAAAGCAAGAGCAAACACATTCAAAAGCTAGCAGAAGGCAAGAAATAACTAAAATCAGAGCAGAACTGAAGGAAATAGAGGCACAAAAAACCCTTCAAAAAATTAATGAATCCAGGAGCTGGTTTTTTGAAAGGATCAACAAAATTGATAGAACGCTAGCAAGACTAATAAAGAAAAAAAGAGAGAAGAATCAAATAGATGCAATAAAAAATGATAAAGGGGATATCACCACCCATCCCACAGAAATACAAACTACCATCAGAGAATACTACAAACACCTCTATGCAAATAAACTAGAAAACCTAGGAGAAATGGATAAATTCCTTGACACATACACTCTCCCAAGACTAAACCAGGAAGAAGTTGAATCTCTGAATGGACCAATAACAGGATCTGAAATTGTGGCAATAATCAATAGCTTTCCAACCAAAAAGAGTCCAGGACCAGATGGATTCACAGCCGAATTCTACCAGAGGTACAAGGAGGAACTGGCACCATTCCTTCTGAAACTATTCCAATCAATAGAAAAAGGGGGAATCCTCCCTAACTCATTTTATGAGGCCAGCATCATTCTAATACCAAAGCCAGGCAGAGACACAACCAAAAAAGAGAATTTTAGACCAATATCCTTGAAGAACATTGATGCAAAAATCCTCAATAAAATACTGGCAAACCGAATCCAGCAGCACATCAAAAAGCTTATCCACCATGATCAAGTGGGCTTCATCCCTGGGATGCAAGGCTGGTTCAATATACACAAATCAATAAATATAATCCAGCATATAAACAGAACCAAAGACAAAAACCACATGATTATCTCAATAGATGCAGAAAAGGCCTTTGACAAAATTCAACAACCCTTCATGCTAAAAACTCTCAATAAATTAGGTATTGATGGGACGTATTTCAAAATAATAAGAGCTATCTATGACAAACCCACAGCCAATATCATACTGAATGGGCAAAAACTGGAAGCATTCCTTTGGAAACTGGCACAAGACAGGGATGCCCTCTCTCACCACTCCTATTCAACATAGTGTTGGAAGTTCTAGCGAGGGCAATTAGGCAAGAGAAGGAAATCAAGGGTATTCAATTAGGAAAAGAGGAAGTCAAATTGTCCCTGTTTGCAGATGACATGATTGTATATCTACAAAACCCCATTGTCTCAGCCCAAAATCTCCTTAAGCTGATAAGCAACTTCAGCAAAGTCTCAGGATACAAAATCAATGTACAAAAATCACAAGCATTCTTATACACCAAGAAAAGACAAACAGAGAGCCAAATCATGAGTGAACTCCCATTCACAATTGCTTCAAAGAGAATAAAATACCTAGGAATACAACTTACAAGGGATGTGAAGGACCTCTTCAAGGAGAACTACAAACTACTGCTCAACGAAATAAAAGAGGATACAAACAAATGGAAGAACATTCCATGCTCATGGATAGGAAGAATCAATATCATGAAAATGGCCATACTGCCCAAGGTAATTTACAGATTCAATGCCATCCCCATCAAGCTACCAATGCCTTTCTTCACAGAACTGGAAAAAACTACTTTAAAGTTCATATGGAACCAAAAAAGAGCCCGCATCGCTAAGTCAATCCTAAGCCAAAAGAACAAAGCTGGAGGCATCACGCTACCTGACTTCAAACTATACTACAAGGCTACAGTCACCAAAACAGCATGGTACTGGTACCAAAACAGAGATATAGATCAATGGAACAGAACAGAGCCCTCAGAAATAACGCCGCATATCTACAATTATCTGATCTTTGACAAACCTGAGAAAAACAAGCAATGGGGAAAGGATTCCCTATTTAATAAATGGTGCTGGGGAAACTGGCTAGCCATATGTAGAAAGCTGAAACTGGATCCCTTCCTTACACCTTATACAAAAATCAATTCAAGATGGATTAAAGACTTAAACGTTAGACCTAAAACCATAAAAACCTTAGAAGAAAACCTAGGCATTACCATTCAGGACATAGGCATGGGCAAGGACTTCATGTCTAAAACACCAAAAGCAATGGCAACAAAAGCCAAAATTGACAACTGGGATCTCATTAAACTAAAGAGCTTCTGCACAGCAAAAGAAACTACCATCAGAGTAAACAGGCAACCTGCAAAATGGGAGAAAATTTTCGCAACCTACTCATCTGACAAAGGGCTAATATCCACAATCCACAATGAACTCAAACAAATTTACAAGAAAAAAACAAACAACCCCATCAGAAAGTGGGCGAAGGACATGAACAGACACTTCTCAAAAGAAGACATTTATGCAGCCAAAAAACACATGAAAAAATGCTCATCATCACTGCCCATCAGAGAAATGCAAATCAAAACCACAATGGGATACCATCTCACACCAGTAAGAATGGCAATCATTCAAAAGTCAGGAAACAACAGGTGCTGGAGAGGATGTGGAGAAATAGGAACACTTTTACACTGTTGGTGGGAGGGTAAACTAGTTCAACCATTGTGGACGTCAGTGTGGCGATTCCTCAGGGATCTAGAACTAGAAATACCATTAGACCCAGCCATCCCATTACTGGGTATATACCCAAAGGACTATAAATCATGCTGCTATAAAGACACATGCACACATATGTTTATTGCGGCATTATTCACAATAGCAAAGACTTGGAACCAACCCAGATGTCCAACAATGATAGACTGGATTAAGAAAATGTGGCACATATACACCATGGAATACTATGCAGCCATAAAAAATGATGAGTTCATGTCCATTGTGGGGACATGGATGAAATTGGAAATCATCATTCTCAGTAAACTATCGCAAGAACAAAAAAACAAACACTGCATATTCTCACTCATAGGTGGGAGTTGAACAATGAGATCACATGGACACAGGAAGGGGAACATCACACTCTGGGGACTCTTGTGGGGTGGGGGGAGGGGGGAGGGATAGCATTGGGAAATATACCTAATGCTAGATGACAAGTTAGTGGGTGCAGCACACCAGCATGGCACATGTATACAGATGTAACTAACCTGCACAATGTGCCACATGTACCCTAAAACTTAAAGTATAATAATAAAAGAAAAAAAACTTAAAAAAAAATTCTCTGTGATGAAACCGACCCTCCTAGTTAGAGAGACTTTTCCTCAAGAAAAAAAAAAAAAAAGTCTGTATCTTCCTAGATTTGCATTTGAAGATGGTGGATGGTGGTGAAAAGGCAAAGTTAGATGGAAGGAATGCTTTTTAGCTAAGAAAATTAGCATGATTCTAGACATGCTTGGAGATCACAATCCCTACATATAAAAGACCAGAGGAAGAAAAAGAAAAGGAAAGCTTCTCGAGTTACATGAAATTTCATGTACAGAGTATCATGAGGTAATTTAAAAGCAAAGACTCAAGGGTACATACCTTCACCAGGTAAAGCCCATACCCCAAAACAATGGGAGAGAAATTAACTGTGAAAATCTCCGCTGGAAGAGAGCAGGTGTTGGTGAAAAGAGACATGGGAAATATGTTTAGCATTTGAGAGGGAAAGGAAATGAAAGTGGGGAAAGGAAAATATGGGGAGAGGAAATTCAAATTCACACTGTAGTCTGCCCGTGTTTTATTGGTAAAATTTAAAAGCTGGGAAACTGGCCATCACATTGCAAAGTCAGAAAATCATTTATGCGCCTTATGGGATCCAATGACTCCTTGCCAAAATAATAACAAATCTATTTTTATCTTCTCTCGGGGACTGTCAACCACTTGCTGTTTAATCACCTTCTAACTAATGTTAGTATTCTAAAAGGGGTAGTGCTGTTTGCTAGATAGCAATATTAATATCATCACATGTACCCTAAAACTTAATAATAAAATTTAAAAAAAAAGAATAGGCTAGTGTTTTCACTGATCATTGCTCTTTGACTTTTCAGGTATTTTTCCTTTCTTTTATATGCAATTTCCCCAAAGTAATAAATTTAATAAATTTAAATATTTCATGATTTATAAGAATTACTTGTGTATAATACATAAAAGCTGTTTCCGAAAATGAAAATTTTAGCTACCTTTCAATGCCTGAGACTATTTTAACATCAAACATTTTATCTGTTAATTAATAAATTTTTCAGAAAAAAATCACAGTTTCACTTATATATGATTCCAATTGTTTCATCTGATATATCTAGGGGAAACAAATATGTTGTACGTTATGCCCACGTTTAAATTTATATCGGAATTACTCCAGTGAGTTGTAATTACTTCTAATTATTTATTATATGAATATAATCACACTATCCCTTATCTCAGTATTTTAAAGGAATGATAGCTGCTTATGGAAAAAATATTATAATTTAGTCATTAGTAGAATCTCTGGAAGTAAGATCCTAAGTAACTTTAGAAAATCCTCTTTTTTAAAATAATGAGATGAATTCCAACATTTATTTGTAGGAGCTTTTTATGATAGCTCACAATACAACTTGTACATTAAAATTTTTGGATTAAATATACGTGAGAATCAGTGAATATTATATACCTGGAGACCTACAATGTTCATTTGTATATTAAAGGCTATAAAAAGTTCTATCATAAATTACATTTAATTTCTTAAAATACAGTGTTTCTCAAGCCCACTGGAACACTGGAAGCTTTTCTTATGCTACATGCGCTAATATCTTATAGGACATAATTTGGGAAACGCGAAGTTGTTTCATAATAATATAATTAAGGAACCTAATATGATCCCCAGGAAGGTTAAGCAGCTGGCTCATTGTGGTGCCACTGGTTTATGCCAAGATCCAGAATAATCCATACATCTCCCAACTACCAATTATTGACAATGTGTGTTACTGTTGGCATAGTGACATTATGATTCTTCATTTTTAGAAGTGTTTTGTAACTTACTTTTAAATCTCCTGATAGCTGATGAATTAAGGTGATATCATACATTTCTCTTTCTACTTTTTCCATGTCATAAATGATATGATAATATGGCTAAGAGACAAAAAATAATGGAAGATTTAACACTAAGCCCTGGTTTATCTGATCTAATTTAAAATGCCCCCTTCTCATCCACATACCACACTTACTCAGATCCAACAGACACAACGGCTTACATAGATTCCCCCTTCTCTCCCCCTCATCCATCCCTGCACACATATCTGAGAAACACCTTAGCATTGGTTTCAGGATTTCCTAATGGGCTGTGGAGCAGCTGTAAATAACACAGTGCTATTCGAGCCAATTGCTCTGAACCGGGTGATATGATCATATTCTTTTTAACGACTTTCTCTGAGGTATGAGTTGAGATTTTTCTCCTTCATCCTCATGCTGTATAATCTGGATTTATGTTCAACGTGACCGTTGAGCCTTCACAATGAATTTGTCCTGTGAAAAGATCAGTTGATACGGAGCCTGGATCCCAGATTCTCACCACAGAGTGGGCGCTCATTATTTGCACGTCAGCATCTAAGTCATCAATCTCTAGCAGCCACACTCACCCAGATGAAGCTCCAAACCCAGGTCTTGTGGATCACATATAACCCATTTCTTTTTTTAATGAGTCAATAAGCCTCAATTCCTGGACATCTATTTTAAGCATATTGAAAGTGGTACCCTCTTTCCTGCAGGGCATGAATCTGAAGGCATATTGAGCTGAAACAGCTACGTCATTTTTTAACTGTGAGGGGAGAATCTGAGAATCTGAGAAGATGAGAATGGAGCCAAGATAGCATAAAGTGGATCCAAGAAATGGAGAGAAAGAAAGTGGGTTTTGCTAACATTGTCTGATCGAGTGGTACTTGAGGCTAGTTGTTGCTTAACTTTTTTTTTTTCTTCTCGAGACAGAGTCGTGCTCTGTCGCCCAGGCTGGAGGGCAAATGGCGCGATCTGGGCTCACTGCAACCTCCACCTCCTGGGTTCAAGCGATTCGCCTGCCTCAGCCTCCCAAGTAGCTGGGATTACAGGCGGGCGACACCATGCCCAGCTAATTCTTGTATTTTTAGTAGAGACGGGTTTTCGCCATGTTGGCCAGGCTGGTCTCTATCTCCTGATCTCAGGTAATCCGCCCGCTTTGGCCTCCCAAAGTGCTGGCAACACAGACGTGGGATCACAGACGTGAGCCACCACACTCGTCCCCCTTCCCAACTTTTTAATTACATGAACCAATATATCTTTTTTCTCCCCTTTAGGGTATTAGGGTGGGTTTTGTACTATTAGTAATGGAAAGTCCTAACTAAAACATATTGCTTGCTGCTCTATCACTACATATCTTTTTGCCATATTATGGTCGTCAGCTTAGATTATGCCACCTTCAAAATAAAGGGAATAGGGTAATGCCTGAATGATCTATAATTCTCTTTTATTTGTAACGTTCTTTGATCCCTCCATGGTTAGTAGTAGTGGCAGGCACTCTGCAAAATAATGGCTTTTGACTTTGGGGTCTGAGCTCAGAATGTAGTCCTTAAAAATCATTTTACCATGGTAAGAGTTATGAAAGACTTCTGCTTTACAAAGTTTACACAGTTCTACTCATTGATCCTTATATGAGAGAACCGGGGTTAACAAATTTTGATATTTTTATCATAAACAAAATGTAGTTATTATAAAAGTGTGATTTAAGGATTGCTTAGCCAGACCTCAGTCACGTATGAAACTTGAGAAAATAAGAAGCCAAGGAAATTATTTCTTTTTAATAATGTTTAATATATATTCTGATGTTATGACACCAGTGGATCCACTTAAAGTAAACATATCCATGTTTAAGCATCTACCTGACAGCAGAAGAAGACAGTATAATAACTTCTGGGCAAGTGAGGTGATTCCTTCCCAGCCTGTCTCCCTTTCATCTTTCCTTCCTTCTATCCCTTGAATTTAGGGTGGTAGGTACTCTGCAAGGTATCAAAAATAATAGTGAAATATACTTAATGATATTTTTGTGGAAACATAGTCTAAAAATGGAACCAGTTATAAATCAAATGACATAAGATATGATTATTACACATAATGATAATTTCTTTGAAGGAAGTGTACAGAGTGCCATCCATAGTGTGAAACAGGAGGCTCTGACCTGCTGAGGAGGAAGATATCCCTAAAAGAGTGCTCATCGAACTCAGATCCATAGCAAAATTTGGAACTAAGCCATAAAGGAGAGAATGCTGCTAATGTACTTGCAGAGAGTAGAGCATGTGTGTGGCTCTGAGATAGGAAAGCACACAGCATGTTTAAAGGATTAAAGTAGGACAGTCCAATGGGTTTGGAGTATAGACAATACAAGAGAGGCCAAAGCTGAGGCTGGAGAGAGTCAGGGGCAGGTGGTCATGCAGAATGGTGTGTTCTATGTTAATGGGTTAGGTCTTTATACTAAGGATAATGAGAAGTCATTCAAATTGGAAACTAGGCCGGGCACGGTGGCTCATGCCTGTAATCCCAGCACTTTGGGAGGCTGAGGCGGGCAGATCACGAGGTCAGGAGATCGAAACCATCCTGGCTAACACGGTGAAACCCCGTTTCCACTAAAAATACAAAAAAAAAAAAAAAATTAGCCGGACGTGGTTGTGGGTGCCTGTAGTCCCAGCTACTTGGGAGGCTGAGGCAGGAGAATGGCATGAACCCGGGAGGCAGAGCTTGCAGTTAGCCAAGATGGGGCCACTGCACTCCAGCCTGGGCGACAGAGCAAGACTCCGTCTCAAAAAAAAAACAAAACTGGAAACTAGAAGGAATATCATCAAATTGAGATTATAAAATATTACTTAGTAGTATGAAAAATGACTTCAGGGCATATGTTGAGAACCATGAGAATATTCTAGCAATAGTTCAGACCAGAGATAATGGGGGTTCGTGCTTGGGGATTGTAGGGTGGGTGGGAAGGAAATAAATTGATCTACACTGAGGGATACATGCAGATGACTTCTCGGGGTTATATAGATCACTTACCTTTGGCCCTCAGCATCTAGCACAATACCCAATTTTAAATAGCGAACAAAATAATTTTATTTAATATATTAACTTATGCACTATTTGATTTAAAGATAATTGACTCTATAGAAATAATTATTTAAATAAATATTGACAAAGTCAACCCACTCCTTCTCTCTCCTTTAGGAAATATTGATATAAGCCTAGTAAAACATAGAATTGAGTAATCATTATGTGTAAGCAGCCAATGTAGCTTATTTAGACTCAAGTCCCGGCATTTTACTTTGAGCTGTGTAGACAGTCACTGGCTGTGGTTTTTACTTAAGAACACAAGATTTTCTAGCTTAGATGATGACCCCTGGAAACTATTCTAAATTCATTTACTTTAAACATCAGAAACCATTTGCAGGAAATAACAGTCTTTTTGACAGAAATTTATATCACCAGAAACTCAGACATTTTACAGAATGTAACAAATAAGTAATACAATTATTGCATACTCAAAGGGAATTTTAATTTTAATTAAAGTCCACCCCCCATTTAAACATATCTTGTTAAAAGTATTTCCTCTCCCTAAGATGTTTGTAATTTTAGGGTAATATTCTCTAACAAGAGCCAGAAGTGTCTGTGATTCCACGTAAATGTAACATCTTAAGTGCAAAAAGGAAGGCAAAAGTTATTGAATAATAATATTTTATGGATGAAAATGATCTGAAGTATTTTAATGAATAGATGTATTACATTTATTTCTCTGAGAAATTCATTGAAAAGGAACCTTTCTTTTCCAATATTTATGAGATTTATCTCTAGTAAGAGACAACATTTAACATAAAATTATATTAAGGTGTTAGATTAACTCCAAAGGCTAAATATAATATCAAGCCATTCATGCATATCTTACATGAAGACTTTAATAATTTCAGATCACCTTTGGTATACAAATTATCTCCTCTTACTTACAATCACTGGCACATCATTCCTTTTCCAGAATGTCATGTGAAATTTAGTCATAAAATATGCTGATTTTTGTCTATTCCCAAATTCATGCAGAATGTGCCTTCACTGGGTTAAAAAGCTTCACCAAGGCTATCTACTTGCACACTGGATACCTAAGAAAACCCTCCTGATCCACTCTTACTTGAAGATCTATTAGTTCTACTATTTAGGCTCTGCTTCCAGTTGGGAGACATGCCACCTGATATGGTTTGGATATTTCTCCACTCCAAATCTCATGTTATAATGTAATCCCCAGTGTTGCATGCAGGTGGGGCCTGGTAGGAGGTGTTTTGGTCATGGGGGCAAATCCCTCATGAATGACTTAGCACCATCCCCGGGGTGATGAGTGAGTTCACAAGATATCTTGTTTAAAACTGTGTGACACCTCCCCAATCTCTGTCTTGATCCCACGCTTACCATGTGATGTGCCTGCTCCCACTTTATCTTCCACCACAATTGTAAGCTTCCTGAGGCCCTCACCAGAAACAGATGCTGGAGCCATGCTGGTACAGCCTGAAGAACTGTAAGCCAATTAAATCTCTCTTCTTTATAAATTCCCAGTCTCAGGTATTCCTTTACAGCAATGCAAGAACAGCCTAATACACCACCTCTTCATATTTTGCATCCTGAACCTCAACTGCGAGTGACCAATGGTAGTGCTGTCAAGGCAACCCTTTTGGGCATTAGTACACAGTATGAAATCTAATAACAGTTGCTGGCAAGCGCCCTCATATTTCCTCTTCATCCTCTTTGATACCTTATAGTTCTCCAACTTTGTCAACTAGAAAGGATGTACTGTCTTTTCCCAATATTTTTTCTACAATGTATCTATAGAATTTATCAATTGAGCAACTCTCAAAATGCATGGCATTCAAAAAAATTTTATACAGTTTATGGCTAAAATCTTTCACATATTTTAATTCAATCTCTTCCATTTTTTTTCAGTGAGGAACCACAGACATGAAGAATGTAGATGACACATTCCAAGTCACAGAGTAAATTAATGACAGGACTAGAACTGCAAAACATTTTAACGTCCTACAAAACTAAAATTTTGCGCTCTACATACATAAGTAGGGGAGGGTTTTAAAGCCATAGTGCTAATAAAAAAAAGTTGAGAAACAGATTGATATGCGTAACCCTATTTACATAAACTAAATTTCAGGCATCAAAGGAATGTTCACATTAAATAAGTTAGGGCATTTTCTTTTAGAGTGGAGGGAAAGGAATAAAAGTGGAACATAGGGGAAAAGTATAATAATTAATTAAAAGCACAGTAGAGACTTTGCATGGATGAAATACAATAATGTGCCATGAACTGAAATGTGATTCTCTTAACGATTTCTTCCTTGGGTGGCCTTTTATTGCCAAGACTAGAACTAGCTAGCTTTCTGTCACTTGTAACCAAAACAATCCTACCAAATGCAAATTATACCTAGAACTTTTGTACAAGTTTATAAAATTAATTGGTCATCAAAACCAAATGAAGTGTATAGATCTCAACTTGTTAACAGAGAAAAAGAATAGAAAGGTGCCAGTGAATACAGAGAGGAGGAAAATATCAAAAGCCTGAGTGGCCATCTTTTAGAGCAGAAAAAACATACTGTTATTATAGCCAATTGGTGTAGTCATGACACGTGAACACAGAATCTAATTGTGAATTACATAATAATTTTGCTTAAAATGACATACCTTGGACCAATCTAGTTACAAATAGTTGTATGTGTTTTTATGAAGAGAAAAAAATCAGACCATTTAATCAAAGAAAAAAGATTAATTATGTTTGAAGATAGGCTTTTGAAGAACTTTTTGTAAACTAATATTTTTTGCTTTTGTGTGCCAGCACAGAATTCTTTGCTTCTACTTGGGAAATAAAGAAATAGATATAAAAATATGTTTAGAAGAAAAATAAATATAAAAATACCTTAATTAACATTGATTTTTTAATTAAAATGACTTACATTGATATTTCACATTTAAAAGTAGGCAGTTAACAGACACTGCACATGATATACCTCAACAACACTATTTTTACTTTACAATTGATCAAATTAACAGAGATTATTAACTACCTACGGTTTTATAGAAAATGTAATTCAAAATAAAGTCTCAAGATTATTTCTAAAATACCATGTAGAAGTCCATGATATGATAGGAAATTAGTTCTCTATTAAAAAGATAAGACATTTCTAGCTCCTTTAAGTTAGTGACTAGTTAGTCCCTTCTTGTGTGCTTTAAAATAATTTATAAATCATATTATTGACATTGTAGGTGCTGTATCAAAGGACTCACTATTATAGAGCTTGTCTCCCAAACATGTTTCTACTTTATATTACCTCTACTTAAAGTAACACTTTTTCCTGGAAAATGCTGCTTCCAAATTTTACATTTTACATTTTAAATCCCTTCAAATTTATGTATTTAATGACTTTTAGTAAAGCCTTGGCATCAGCAATGTTGTCTGTTGGGCAAAGACACATCTATAACCCAAAGTATCTTTTATCAAAGGTGATCAAGATGCAGAAAAGAAAAACAAGTTTCACTGGCAATCAAGACAGGAACACTGGAGGGTCCATTGTGCCACTGGAATCAGCCTAAAACCATAACAGTTACATTTTTATTAAAAGCCCCTTATGCCAATATGTGTGCATGTTTTCTTTTACTTATGCTACTTCCAGAGTCCTTTAGGTTTCCCTTCAGGCCCAATGTGCTTTATTTTGTTTGAAGTGAGATTGTATGAAATCCTTCTGCAGACTCACTTATATATTCCCTAATCGCCTTTGGTTAAGTTTTGTTAAAATGATCACGTATTACATGACATTGTAATATGAAACAGAAAAGAGACCAAATGATACTTTTGCTAGAGAATGTAGAGATTTTGGCATACTTTTATATTCCCAAATGTTATTTATTTGTTTAGAGATTATTACCTTTTAATGGTTTGTAGGGCAAGTCTGAAATTCCACTGAGTTTTATACTTAAGTGCACTATTTTGAATCTGGAAAATTGTAAATAAGAACATTCTGTATATGGAGTAACCTAATGAAAATCACTTATCATCTCTAAACTTCAGTCACCTCATTTGCCAAGTGAGGCAAATCTCTCTAATGGGATACTGTGCATATTAGTTTTTAAAACCATTCATGTAATTTGTATTTATGCAAAAATAGTAAATTTGGGGTTTGAAAGTTCCTTTCAAGATTATCTATTTCAGAAACCCTTGTCTCAAATGAGAAAATTGTCATCTAATTGCTAATAATGTATGTTTTTACACATAGAAGAAACTCAAACGATTTCAAGAATATTTGATTCAATAAGACGTTTATTGTTAAGCAAGCCCCGTTTTTTTCTGCTTGTTTCTTATTTCATAATCAGTACAATTTTCCTTCTCCTTCCCCACTCTACTTCATTGCTGTTTTAAAGAATATCAACGTTTTTTTCCAGTTGCCAAATGGGTGATGGTGTTTTGTTGGGGAAAGAACACAGGTCTTCTGAGATTCAGTTCTGCTTCGTCCCACTGTAGTTTTTTTTAACAAGTTGCCTATCTGTCTGTGCAACTTGTTTTTCTTCTCTATAAAATAAAGTTTCTCCAAAGGCTTTACACACACACACACACGCATGCATGCACACACACACACAGTCTTGTTTTCCCCTCTACCCTTGCTCACCTTCACTTATGGGAAGTATTTGGTGTTCTTTTTAATCTTTTGCTTTCTTGACTCTACAGTTCTGTGTTATTCTGGGTTATCTCATACCTTTCTGTTTCTGTCCTGGCTCTACCTCTCAAAGTCATAGTGTTTTTTGAAGTTCTGTACTACTTTTTTACTCTTTTTATCAAAATAGAATCTCAGCAAACAGTGGGAAGTCAGAAAGGAAGACTTGGACTGGGATTCTGGAAAAGCTGCAGGGGTGAGAAAATACCAAACGTTCATTATTCTAGGCAAGATGAACGTGGATGTCTGAAAGCAGGTGCTAAATCACAGGCCCATGGGAGAATAGTCATGTCCAGACTGAAGGTACCTATCTGAACTTGGGTTTGGATCTTGGAATATAGACATTGGACTTCACAGAAACATGTTTGCAATGAGCTAAATGCAGAAAGCTATTTCCCAGAAATCTGGATTACAGAGAACCAGTGAAAGTGAATAAAGTCAGATAAAGATCAACATCATACTGATATTTACAGATCTCAATAATTACTGGCCAGGGTGTGTGGCTTTTTCCAGTAATATTTACCTCTACCTTACCTCAACCACTACAGCTGTGTTCTCACTCACGACATTGTCAATACCAACGACCATCTCCAAAATATTGGCTCTGTTTTCCAGTCTGTCCTACTGACTTCTAAATCTTTAGCTCACGTAGTATGCTACTTCAACTCTTTGTGACCTCATTCAATTTTCCATCCAGTGATAGTTTTACATTATTAAAATTATTTTAATGTATGTCTTCTGCTCTCTTTCTACCAACTTAAGAGTCGGTGGAACTTTATTGAAATTGCTCCTTTGTATACCCCATTAAATCCCTTAACCACTCTTCTCTTGTTAGATTCACCTGGAAATGCCTGAATTCTATTTAAATCTAACTATCTGTCTACCCTATGCCTACACACAAACACTGAACATTGTTATGTATATTCACGGTGCATGCAAGCATGTGCACACAAACTCTCTCTGTCTTTCTTTCTCTCTCTCATGCTGACTTATCTTACTCTAAGGTCATGACACAAATCATCAAAGTGGAAATACAACATGGCAGACAATCCTATTGTACTCCCTTTGTATATTTTCTTTTATACAAAAATGTTCAGTTTAAACCTCTTCTCTCCATAGACGCTGATGATTTGCATCTATCTCCCTTTTATGGCCTTCATTTACTCTTCCAAATTCCTGTCCCTTAGCTTGCCTTATATTTATTGAAGAATAAAAACAACCTAACAGGAACTCCTTCATATTCTGACCACCCATTAACCAACTCACCTATAACTGCAACCATTCTGTTTCTGTGGATGAAGTATCCTATCCCTTCTCCTATCAACGCCAAGCCATCCATCTATACTTTCATTTTTCTCCAGACTGAAATTCAAACCATTCATTTATTGTACAGTACTTTATGAAAGCATGTTTTCAATTGTGTCTGAGCTAGTAAATCAAAACTTCTCACTAAATGTGAAGCAAATAAATGTCACCTTGAGCTTTATCTAACTCTGATTGGAAACTCATAAAATATTTAGAATTTATTAATACTACTATTTATTTGTTCTACATTGAATTTCCATTTTGAGTAAGATGTAATCTCCATGGTACTATAAAAGATCATATAGATTTTTGTTGTTTCTATTTTTGTGGTGGAAAAACAGATATTTTTGGCAGCGTGTTCTAGTTCACATAGTTTATCACAAACTAAACTCAGGTTTCTTTTGTTGCCTGGGCAAATTCCAAATAACTTATTCTTCACTTTTATTCAGTCACCAAAACAATAACCTTGAACAACAGAATGGGCTGTTCTAGAACAGTTCTGAAAGAACCACTCTATTAGTCTGTTCTTATGCTGCTAAAAAAGACATGCCTGAAATTGGGTAATTTATAAAGGAAAGAGGCTTAATCGACTCAAAGTTCATCATGGCTGAGGAGGTCTCAGGAAACTTATAACCATGGTGGAAGGGTAAGCAAACATGTTCTTCACATGTTGGCGTCAAGGAGAAGTTAAGAGCAAAAGGGGGAGAAGCTCCTTATAAAATTAGATCTTGTGAGAATTCAGTCACTATCATGAGAACAGCAGCATGGGGGTAACTGCCCCCTTGATTCAATTACCTTTCACTGGGTTCCTCCCATGACATGTCAGGATTATGGGAACAACAGTTCAAGATGAGATTTGGGTGGGGACACAGCCAAACCATATCAATCTGGCCCTGGCCCTTTTCACATCCCATTTCCTCACATTTCAAAACATAATCATGTCCTTCCAACAGTCCCCCAAAGTCCTTACTCATTCCAGCATTAACTGAAAAGTCCATGTCCAAAGTCTCATCTGAGACAAGGCAAGTACCTTTTGCCTATGAGCTTGTAAAATCAAAAGCAAGTTAGTTACTTCCTAGATACAATCAGAGTGCAGGCATTGAGTAAATACACCTGCTTCACATTGAAAAAATTGGCCAAAACAAAGGGACTACAGGCCCCAGGTGAGTCCAAAACTGAACAGGACAGTCACTAAACCTTAAAGTTCCAAAATGATCTTTTTTGACTCCATGTCTTACAACCAGGTCACACTGATGCAAAAGGTGGGCTCCCATGGCCTTGGGAAGTTCCACCCCTGTGGCTTTGTAGGGTACAGACTCCTGGCTGGCTGCTTTCATGGCTGGTGTTGAGTGTCTGGGGCTTTTCCAGGTGCACAGTGCAAGGTGTCAGTGGATCTACCATTCTGGGGTCTGGAGGATGGTGGCACTCTTCCCACAGCTCCACTAGGCAGTGCCCCAGTGGGGACTCTGTGTGGGGGCTCCAAACCCACATTTCCCTTCTTCACTGCCCTAGCAGAGGTTCTCCATGAGGGCTCCACCCCTGCAGCACACCTCTTCCTGGACATCCAGGTGTTTCCATACATCCTCTGAAATCTAGATGGAGATTCCTAAACCTCAATTCTTGACTTCTGTGCACCTGCAGGCTCAACACCACAAGGAAGCTGCCAAGGCTTGGTGCTTGCACCCTCTGCAGCCACAACCCAAGCTGTACCTTGGCCCCTTTTATCCATGGCTGGAGCATCTGGGATGCAGCAAGTCAAGTCCCAAGGCTGCACACAGCAGGGAGGCCCTGTAACTAGCCCAGGAAACCATTTTTCCTTCCTAGGCCTCTGGGCCTGTGAAGGGAGGGTAGCCATGAAAGTCTCTTTACATGCCTTGGAGTTATTTCCCCCATTGTCTTGGTGATTAGCATTTGGTTCCTCATTACTTATGCAAATTTCTGCTACCAGCTTGAATTTGCCCCCAGAAAACTGGTTTCTCTTTTCTACTGCACCTTCAGGCTGCAATTTTTTCAAACTTTTATGCTCTGCTTTCTCTTGAATGCTTTGCCACTTAGAAATTTCTTCTGCCAGATACCCTAAATCATTTATCTCAAGTTCAAAGTTCCACAGATCTCTAGGGCAGGGTAAAAATGCTGCCAGTCTCTTTGCATAGCAAGAATGACCTTTACCCAAGTTCCCAACAAGTTCCTGATCTCCATCTGAGACCACCTCAACCTGGACTTTATTGTCCATATCACTATCTGCATTTTGGTCAAAGCCATTCAACAAGTCTCTAGGGAGTTCCAAACTTTACCATATTTTCCCATCTCCTTCTGAGCTCTCCAAACTGTTCCAAAATCTGCCTGTTACCCAGTTCCAAAGTCACTTACACATTTCCAGGTACATTTACAATAGCGCCCCACTCCCGGTATCAATTTACTGTATTAGTCTGTTCTCACACTGCTAATAAAGACATACCTGAGACTGGGTAATTTATAAAGGAAAGAGGCTTAATTGACTCAAAGTTCAGCATGGCTGGGGAAGCCTCAGGAAACTTACAATCATGGTGGAAGGGGAAGCAAACATGTCCTTCACATGGTGGTATCAAGGAGAAGTAAAGAGCAAAAGCAGGAAAAGCCCCTTATAAAACCATAAGATATCATAAGAACTCAGTAACTATCACAAGAAGAGCAGCATGAGGGTAACAGCCCACATGATTCAATTACCTCCCATTGGGTACTTCCCATGACACATGGAGATTATAGGAACTACATTTCAAGATGAGATTTGGGTGGTGACCCAGCCAAACCATATCAACCACTTTGTATTAAGGAGACCTGGCAAAAGCCCAAGAAAATCTAGTTGAGATGGCTAGTTAATGGCTCATAAATAAACTTAATAATATGAATTCTAAATGGCTCTTATGGTAGAGGGGAGTAAAGAATCATAAGACACTGTCCATTAATGCTCCTTTTCTTATTTTTTATGTTCTTCTTTTGTCTACACTTTTAAAAAATGAATTATGGTGGGCTACTTAGGCACACTTTTCTTAACATTTATTTTAAGTTCAGGGACACATGCAGGTTTACTACATAGGTAAACTTGTATCATGGGGGTTTGTCATACAGATTATTTCATATTTCAGGCATTAAGCCTAGTACCTATTGCTATTTGTCCTGATCCTCTCCCTCCTCCCACCCTCCACCCTCTGATTGGCCCCAGTGTGTTTTGTTTCCCTCTCTATGTCCATGTGTTCTCATCATTTAGCTCCCACTTATAAATGAGAACATGTGGTATTTGGTTTTCTGTTCCCGCATTAGTTTGTTAAGGATAATGGCCTGCATTTCCATCCATGTCCCTGCAAAGGACATGATCTCATTCTTTTTATGGCTGCATATAGTATTCCATGGTGTATATATACCACATTTTTCTTTATTCAGTCTACCACTGATTGATAGGCATTTAGGTTGATTCCATGTCTTTTCGATTGTGAATAGTGCTGCAATGAACATATGCATGCATGTGTCTTTATAATAGAAATTTTTATATTTTGTAGGGTATATACCCAGTAATGGAATTGCTAGGTCTATTTCTGTCTTTAAGTCTTTGAGGAATTGCTACACTGCTTTCCACAATGACTGAACTAATTTACACACCCACCATCAGTGTATAAGTGTTCCTTTTTCTCCACAACCACATCAGAATCTTATTTTTTGACTTTTTTTTTTTTTTTTTTTTTTGAGATGGAGCCTCGCTCTGTTGCCAGGCTGGAATGCAGTGGTGCGATCTCGGCTCACTGCAACCTCCCAGGTTCAAGTGATTCCCCTGCCTCAGCCTCCCAAGTAGCTGGGACTACAGGTGTGCACCACCACACCTGGCTAATATTTTGTATTTTAGTAGAGTCAGGATTTCACCATGTTGGCCAGGATGGTCTTGAACTCCTGACCTCGTGATCCACCCAAAGTGCTGGGATTACAGGCATGAGCCACTGCACATGGCCCTTATGTTTTGACTTCTTAATTATAGCTATTCTGACTGGTGTGAGATGGTATCTCATTGTGGTTTTGATTTGCATTGCTCTAGTGATCAGTGATGTTGAGGTTTTTTTCATATAATTGTTAGCCACATGTATATCTTCTTTTGAAAACTGCCTGTTTGTGTCCTTTGCACACTTTTTCATGGGGTTGTTTGATTTTTTTCTTGTAAATTTAAGTTCCTTATAGATATGGGATATTAGACCTTTGTCAGATGCATAGTGTGAAAAATTTTCTCCCTTTCTGTAGGTTGTCTGTTTATTCTATTGATAGTTTCTTATGCAGAAGCCCTTTAGTTTAATTAGATCCCATTTGTCAATTTTTGCTTTTTTTTGCAATTGCTTTTGGTGTCTTCATCCTGAAAAGTTTGCCCATGCCTATGTCCTAAATGGTATTGCCTAGATTGTCTTCCAGGGTTTTTATAGTTTTGGGTTTTACATTTAAGTCTTTAATCTATCCTGAGTTAATTTTATTATATGGTGTAAGAAAGGGGTCCAGTTTAAATTTTCTGCATATGGGCAGCCAGTTATCCCAGGACTATTTGTTGAATAGGGAATCTTCTCCCTGATGTTCCATCAGGTTTGTGGAAGATCAGATAGTTTTAGGTGTGTGGTATTATTCTGGCCTCTGTATTCAGTACCACTGGTCAGTGTGCCTGTTTTTGTACCAGTACCATGCTGTTTTGGTTACTGTTGCCCTTTAGTATTGTTTGAAGTTGAGTAGCGTGATGCCTCCAGCTTTGTTCCTTTTGCTTAGGATTGCCCTGGCTATTCAGGTTCATTTTGGTTCCATATAGATTTTAAAATAGTTTTTCCAGTTCTCTGAAGAATCTCAATGGCAGTTTAACAGGAATAGCATTCAATATATAGATTGCTTTACGCAGTATGGCCATTTTAATGATACTGATTTTTTCTATCCATGAGTATGGAATGTTTTTCCATTTGTTTGTGTCATTTCTGATTTCTTTGAACAGTGGTTTGTAGTCCTCCTTGTAGAGCTCTTTCACCTCCCTAGTTAGTTGTATTCTTAGGCATTTTATTCTTTTTGTGGCCATGTGAATGGGAGTTCATTCCTGATTTGGCTTTCAGCTTGACTGTTGTTGATTCTTAGGAATGCTAGCGATTTTTGCATATTGGTTTTATATCTTGAGACTTGCATGATAGTTTTAATTTTACTTTTTCAACAAATATTTATTAAACACTTAACTACAATTAATCCAGGGATTATGTGACATGGCAACCTCTTTTATTCTCACTCCTCTTTGCTTTTGTTCTTAGTCAAGCAGACATTTTTGAGTCATTTTAACTCTGTATTATCTCTTACTCCAACTGAAGACCAAATCAGTTTTTTCTACCTTTAAAATTTCTTAAACTGATTTTTTCTTTTTCATTCCTGGTATCAATATCTTATTATTATCTTTTGCCTGAATTGTTGGAAGTACTTTCTAACTAATCACCTTGTCTTTTTTCTTGTACCTCTGAAATAAATTTTTGTACTTCTTGTCAGAATGGTTTTCCTAAAAATCAAATTATTTCACAATCACTTCCTTTTTCAAGATCCTGCAATGACAATTGTCTTTAGAAAAGCACAACCTCCTGAGCACTGCATATAAGATCTGCAGTGCCTATCATTCCACTTCTAGTCTCTGAGATATGTTCTGGAAATTTTTGACATCCTGAAAGTGCTAAGAACTCTCAAATTTGTGCCTTTTTCCTTGCCCTCCCTTTGCTTGGAATTGCCTTCTTCACTTTTTCCTAAAATCCCTCTTCATTCTTTGAAGGCCAGCTCAAAGTTTCACCTTCATAAAGCCACACAGTCCCTGTTCCCTTTAGAAACTGTTATTCTCCTCCTCCTTTTTGCTTCTGCAAATATTTTCAAACACACACATAACTGCATTAAATTATGTCATATAGATCTTTTTCCATGTAAGCTGCTTGACATGACATGGCTCCCAGAATCTTGATCATTCTAGCTTTCTTTGGATGTTCCTTAAGAGTGTGTGCTTCAGAAAGACACCACCTTGTTACAAATCCTGGCTTTGCCATTCACTATGCCTGTGATCCTAGGGTGTGTATTTAATCTCTCTACCTTCAATTTTCTCCTCTGAAAATGGGAATATTAATGATAATACATTTGGGACCCCTGATTATTGAATTAGATAATGCATTGAAAATGCATAGAATAGTACCTGGTACTTTTTAAGTGTTCAATAATTTAATAATTATTAGCTATTTTATTATTGTTATAATTTTCATATTAAAATATGGTCCCAATAACTGATCAAAGCAAAGAGTAATAACAATGACTATCATCATCATGATTAAGAGTATGATTATTGTTACTTCTACTACAAGCACTATTTTTTGAACATGTACCATGTGCCAGTCTTGGTGATAAGCATTTACAGGTGTTTCAATTAATCCTAAAATACATGGTGAGTGTGACTATTATCCTCTTTAGAAGAAAAAACAAACACTTTGAGAGCTTAGACAGTTTTTCTAAGGACACATAGGTAATTAGTATGACAGCCAAGACTGAAGTTTCGGGGGGGTCTCAGACAATCTTCTCTCATAACTACTCTGTTATAATATCTCCCCAAGGGGCTAATACATCACCTCACCCAAATCTTAAGCTTCTGTGAATGCACTGAGAGCATCCTGTGACAAGTAGCAAAATATATTAAAAATTTAGGTGGGGCCATTTTATGTGAGTCTTCTTTGACTAAATTTAAACCTAGTGATTCCAAAAATTATACTATTATATGTTCTTCCAGGGCCTAATGAGAGAGCCAGGCTAAAAGGATTCTTCACTGTTACATGGAAATATGAAAAAGAGAATTACAAATAATGTAATGAATCATAAATATAAAGTCAAATATTTTTCATTCATGGCACTAGTTATTATTTCATTAAACTTTCATGTATTTGCATACCTAATACCAAAATATAGCTATTGACCAATATATGAACAGCATGAGGAAGAATAAGGCCAAATATGTTGAAATAAACCCTTAAATAATTGAGACTGTTACTACTATTTTTTAATAGACAGCTATTTCTTCCATGTTTATCTCTGGAAAGCCAGAACATTTGCTACGAGGTATGGACAGTCATTTTTAAATGATTTTCCAGCAGCCAGAGAACAGTTTGAAATGACCATTTTCTTGATGACCAACAGCTGACCAGGAATGATGACCCATGCTTAGAGCACTGGCCACTTTCTCATTTTTCACTTTGATATGAATGAAGGTCAGAGAAGTGTAATCCTATAAACCAGAAACTCCTATAATTTAAAAATACATTGAGACACATATAAAGTACAAGTACACAGTTTACTGCAGATAAATGCCAATTCAACAAAACATCAGGAAACTTCTCAGTTCTACCTTTCAAAATCAGTAAACTATTTTTAAAACACAGTAATTTATATGTCCTGAGTAGTCTATTGCTATTGGAGATGTTGTCAAGGAGACCATGATATTAAAAGATGTTATATGAGACTGAGACTACTTCTGCTATTTCTTATTATATTGCTGATACCTTAATATATGGGACTATTGCTCACATATGCTTTACTGGAAGCGTTTCTGTCCCCAACATATACATATGCTTGTAGTTTAGCATTTCATAATAGCATAATAGCACCCTTAAAAATTTAGCTTTAAACAATACTGCAGAAGAGATGGAAAAAAATGGAGGATAGGAGGCAGGACTATTTTGCAGCTCCCATTCAGATGGACAGAGCAGAGTGTGGAGATTGACATCATGAACTTTTCCTCCAAGGAACATAACTGGAAGGCTGAGAGAATCCACAGATCCTTTGAAGGAGGCTCTGTGGCGCAGCTGAAGAACTGTTTGCTGTCTCACCTGGGAGGCTTGTAGCCTGGGGCAAGTTCTCAGCTCTGCTCACAAGCTGCCTAGAAATAAACCTGGTGCCGTTGGGGGTGCATGCTGGGAGTGAGACTGGCCTTTCGGGCTGCAAGCTGTATAGGAGCTGAATGAGGCCTGTTGCTGCCAGCTTTTACCCACTTCCCTGGTGACCTGTGTGACACAGCAGAGACAGCCATAATCCTCCTGGGAACATAACTCCATTAGCCTGGGAATCACACCTGCATCCCCCACAGCAGCCACAGCAAGCCTTGCCCAAGGAGAGTCTGAGCTCAGACATGCCCAACCCTGCCCCCACCTGATGGTCTTTCTCTACCCACCCTACCCACCCTGGTAGCCAAAGACAAAGGTCATAATCTACCACAGCTGATGTGCTCTTGAAAGCGCCACCTTCTGGCCAGAGGCCAACCAACACAAAACCAGTGCACTTAACAAAAATACAACCAAGGACGCTCACCGACTCTACTTCTCTCCCCTGCTACCTCCACTGGAGCAGGTACTGGTATCTACAGCTAAGAGACCTGAAGAAGGATCGCATCACAGCACTCTTTGCAGACACTCCCCAGTACTAGCCCAGAGCCCCGTACCTCTGCTGGCTAGCTAGATCCAGAAGATAAATAACAATTGCTGCAGTTTGACTCTCAGGAAGCCCCATCCCTAGGGGAAGGGAGAGAGCACCACATCAAGGGAGCACCCTGTGGGACAAAAGAATCTGAACAACAGCCCTTGAGTCCCAGATCTTCCCTCTGAAATAGTCTTCCCAAATGAGAAGGAACCAGAAAATCAATTTGGGTAATATGAAAAAACGAGGTTCTTTAACACCCCCAAAAGACCACAGTGGCTCACCAGCAATGGATCCAAACAAGACGAAATCTCTGAATTGCCAGAAAAAGAATTCAGAAGGTCAATTATTAAGCTAATCAAGGAGACACCAGGGAAAGGTGAAGTACAACTTAAATTTTTTTTAAAAAAAGATATAGGATATGAATGGAAAAATCGCCAGTGAAATAGATAGCATAAATAAAAAATGACAAATTTTGGATATCAAAGACACACTTAAAGAAATGGAAAATGCACTGGAAATTCTCAGCAATAGAATCAAACAAGTACCGGAAAGAAGACGGCTTTTGAATTAACCAAATCCAACAAAGGCAAAATAATAATAATAAGTAAATAAACAAATAAATAAGGAACAAAACTTCCAAAAAGTTTGGCATTATGTTAAATGATCAAATTTAAGAATAATTAGTGTTCCCAAGGAAGAAGATAAATCTAAAATTTTAGAAAATATATTTGATGGAATAATCGAGGAAAACTTCTCTGGCCTTGCTAGATATCTAGACATCCAAATACAAGAAGCTCAAAGAAAACCTGGGAAATTCATTGCAAAAAGATCACCCCCTTGGCACATAGTCATCAGAAGTCGAGCTGAAGCAAAGAATCTTAAGAGCTGTGAGGCAAAAGCATCAGGAGACCTAGAAAGGAAAACCTATCAAATTAACGGCAGATTTTTCAGCAGAAATCCTACAAGCTAGAAAGAATTGGGGTGCTATTTAGTATCCAGTCTAACTAAGATTCATAAATGAAGGAAAGATACCGTCTTTTTCTGACAAATGCTGAATTTGCTGCTACCAAGCCAGCACTACAAGAACTGCTTTTAAAAAGCTCTAAATCTTGTAACAAATCCTCAAAGTACACCAAAATAGAATCTCCTTAGAGCATAAATCTCACAAGACCTATAAAACGACAACACAATGAAAAGAAACCAAGGCATTCAGGCAAAAAATAGCAGGATGAATAGAATAGTACCTCACATCTCAATACTAACATTGAATGTAAATGGCCTAAATGCTCCACTTAACGGACACAGCATTGCGGAATGGATAAGAATTCACCAAACAAGTATCTGCTCTCTTCAAGAGACTCACCTGACACATAAAGACTCAAATAAACTTAAGGTAAAGAGGTAGAAAAAGATATTTCATGCAAATGTACACCAAAAGTAAGCAGGAGTAGCTATTTTTATATCAGACAAAACAGACTTTAAAGCAACAGCAGTTAAAGACAGAGGGGGACATTATATAATGATAAAAGGACTAGTCCAACAGGAAAATATCACAATCCTAAATATACATGCACCTAACACTGGAGCTCACAAATTTATAAAATAATTGCCACTAGACCTAAGAAATGAGGTAGACAGTGACACAATAATAGTGGAGGACTTTAATACTCCACTGACAGTGTAGCAGGATGAGCTGCAGACAAAACTCCTCAGACACTGGGTTAAAGAAGGAAGGAGCTTTATTCACCTGGGAACTTTGGCAGACTTGCGTCTCAGAAGCTGAGCTCCCCCAGTGAGCAATTCTTGTCCCTTTCAAGGGCTTACAACTCTAAGGGGGAAAGTCCACGTGAGAGGGTCGTGATCGATTGAGCAAGCAGGGGGTATGTGACCAGGGGTTGCATGCACCAGTAATCAGAATGGAAGAGAACAGGACAGGGATTTTCACAATGCTTTTCCATATAATGTCTGGAATCTATAGATAACATAACCGGTCAGGTCAGGAGTTGATCTTTAACCAGGCCCAGGGTGCAGTGCCAGGCTGTCTGCCTGTGGATTTCATTTCTGCCTTTTAGTTTTTACTTTTTCTTTCTTTGAAGGCAGAAATTGGGCATAAGACAATATGAGGGGTGGTCTCCACCCTTAACAGCACTAGATAGGTAATCTAGACAGAAAGTCAACAAAGAAACAATGGACTTAAACTCTACCCTAGAATAAATGGATTTAGCAGATATTTACAGAACAGTCTACCCAATTAACTGCAGAATATACATTCTGTTCTACACAGAATATGCATAATATACATGGAACAGTCTTCAAGTTTTTTTTTGTGATAGGCCACAAAATAAGTCTCAACTAATTTAAGAAAAGTGAAATTATATCAAGTACTCTCTCAGATCACAAGGGTATAAAATTGGAAAAAAACTCCCAAAGGAATCCCCAAAACCATGCAAATATATGGAAATTAAATAACTTGCTCCTGAATGATCATTGGGTCAACAATGAAATCAAGATGAAAATTTAAAAATTCTTTGAACTGAATGATAATAGTGACACAACTTATCAAATCCTTTGGGATACAGCAAAAGTGGCAATAAGAAGAAAGTTCATAGCATTAAATGCCTACATCAAAAAGTTTGAAAGAGCACAGATAGACAATCTAAGGTCACACCTCAAAGAACTAGAGAAACAAGAAAAAACCAAATCCAAAGCCAGCATAAGAAAAGACATAACCACAATCAGAGCTGAATTAAATGAAATTGAAACAACAACAAAAAACAATACAGAAGAAAAATTAACAAAAAGCTGGTGCTTTGAAAAGATAAATAAAGTTGATAGACCATTCGTGAGATTAACCAAGAAAACAAGAGAGAGGATCAAAAAAGCTCAATTAGAAATAAAACAGGTGATATTACAACCAATACCACAGAAATACAAAAGATCATTCAATGCTAATATGAACACCTTTATATGCATAAACTAGAAAACCTATAGGAGATAGATACATTCCTGGAAATATACCACTCTCCTAGATTAAAACAAAACAAATAGAAACTCCGAGCAGATCAAGCAGATCAATAACAAGCAGCGAGATTGAAATGATAATTTAAAAGTTATCAACAACAACAACAAAGTCCAGGATCAGACAGATTCACAGCTGAATTCTATCAAGCATTCAAAGAAGAATTGGTACCAATCATATTGACACTGTTCCAAAGATAGAGAGAGAGGGAATCATCCCTAAATCATTCTGTGAAGCCAGTATCTCCCTATTACCAAAACTAGGAAAAGACATAACAAAAAAAGAAAACTACAGACAAATATCCCTAATTAACATAAATGCAAAAGTTGTCAATAAAATACTAGTTACAGAATCCAATAGCATATCAAAAAATAATACACCATGATCAAGTGGGTTTCACACCAGATATGCAGATATGGTTTTACATATGCAAGTCAATAAATATGATACATCAGATACAGAATTTAAAATAAAAACCACGTGATCATCTCAATAGATGTAGAAAGAGCATTTGATAAGATCCAGCATTCTTTTATCATTAAAACCCTCAGCAATATAGGCATAAAAGAGACATAACTTAAGGCAATAAAAGCCATCTATGACAAACTGACAGTCAACATTGTACTGAACAGGGAAAAGTTGAAAGCATTCTCCCTGAGAACTGGAACAAGACAAAGATGCCCACTTTCACCACTTCTATTCAATCATAGTACTGGAAGTCCTAGCCGGAGCAATCAGACAAGAGAAAGAAATAAAGGGCATCCAAATCGGTGAAGAGGAAGTCAAACTGTTGCTGTTTGCTGATGACATAATTGTATACCTAGAAAATCCTAAAGACTTATCCAAAAAGCTCCTAGAACTAGTAAATGAATTTAGCAAAGTTTGAGGATACAAAATTAATGTGCACAAATCAGTAGCACTGCTATACACCAACAATGATAAAGCTGAGAGATCAAGAACTCAACCCATTTTACAATAACTGCAAAAATTAAAATACTTAAAAATACAGCTAACCAAGGATGTGAACGGCCTCTACAAGTAAAACTACAAAACACTGTTGAAAGAAATCATAAATGACACAAACAAACACATCCCATGCTTATGGATGGGTAGACTCAATATTGTGAAAATGACCATACTGCCAAAACCAATCCACAAATTCAATGCAATTCCCATCAAAATGTCACCATCATTCTTCACAGAACTGGAAAAAAAATTCTAAAATTCATATGGAACGAAAAAAGAGCCCACATCACCAAAGCAAGGCTAAGGAAAAAGAACAAATCTGGAGGCATCACATTACCCGACTTCAAACTATATATAAGGTCATCATCACTGAAACAGCATAGTACTCGTATAAAAATAGGCATATAGACCAATGGAATAGAATAGAGAACCAAGAAATAAAGCCAAATACTTATAGTCAACAGATCTTTCAAACAGCAAACAAAAACATAAAGTGGAGAAATTACGCCCTATTCAACAAATGGTGCTGGGATAATTGGCAAGCCACAGGAACAAGAATGTACCTGGATCCTCATCTCTCACCCTATAAAAAAATCAACTCAAGATGGAACAAAGATTTCAATCTAAGACCTGAAACCATAAAAATTCTAGTAGATGACATTGAAAAAACCCTTCTAGACATTGGCTTAGGCAAAGACTTTATAAAAAAGAATGCAAAAGCAAATGCAACAGAAACAAAGATAAATAGATGGGACTTAATTAAACTAAAAAGCTTCTGGGCAGTAAAAGAAATAATCAGCAGAGTAAACAGAACCCACAGAGTTGGAGAAAATATTCGCGACCTATACTTTCCAAGAAAGGACTAGTTTCCAGCATATACAAGGAACTCAAACAAATCAGCAAGAGAAAAACAATCCTATCAAAAAGTGGGCCAAGGACATGAATAGACAGTTCTCCAAAGAAGATATTCAAATGTCCAACAAACATATGAAAAAGTGTGCAACATCACGTACTATCAGAGAAATGCAAATCAAAACCACAATGTGATAACACCTTATTCCTGCAAGAATGGCCATAATCAAAAAATCCAAAAACAATAGATGTTGGCATGGATGTGTTGAAAAGGAAAAACTTTTACAGAGTTGGAGAGAATGTAAACTAATGCAACCACTATGAAAAACAGTGTGGAGATTCCTTAAAGAACTAAAAGTAGGCTACAATTTGATCCAGCAATCCCATTCCTGGGTATTTACCCAGAGGAAAAGAAGTCATTATACAAAAAAGATACTTGCACACACATATTTATAGGAGCATAATTTGCAATTGCAAAAACAAAAAAATGGAACAAGCCCCAATGCCCATCAATCAATGAGTGGATTAAAAAAGTATATATTTTATATACCATAGAAAAGGAATGAAATGACATTTGCCACAACCTGGATGGAATTGGAGACCATTATTCTAAGTGAAGTAACTCAGGGATGGAAAACCCAACATCGTATTTTCTCACTCGTAAGTGAGAACTAAGCTATGAGGTTGCAAAGGCATAAGAATAATACAATGAGCTTTGCAGACTCCAGGGAAAGTGTGGGAGGAGAGTAAGGGATAAAAGACTATACAGTGGGTCGAGTGCACACTGCTCGGGTGATGGGTGCATCAAAATCTCAAAAATCACCACTAAAGAATTTATTCATATAACCAAACACGACCTGTTCCCCAAAACTTATTGAAATTTTAAAAAAATTAAAAATAAATCAATTTGGCCAGACTTCATGCTAGAAAGAAATGGACAGTTGCATTTTTTTCCAAGCTCAGACAGCTAAATTATAATCACATGATTTTATCATTTGAGAATTTTCAATATTAAAATTAATAAATTAGAATTAAAGATTTATGAAAGTTAAGGAAATAACGTTAATTAGCTTTAGCCATTGGTAACAACAATATGAATAACTTTATTGGCATAGTAGGGGGTGGAATTCTGTTATAAGTGAGTTGAAGAATGGATGAGAGATACCTAAACGAAAGTGAATTTCAAGAATTTAAACCTTAACTGAGTAGAAGAAAAATTTAAGGATGTGCTTCAAGAGGGAAGGAGGGAAGGAAGCTATAGGAAAGGAGACAAACATAAATATAGAAGTTGTAAATTCAGAAAAGTAGGAAAAGCAAGTATAAAATAGCCTTAGATAGCAGGGGTACCACTTTCAGATCAGAATAAAAGAGGTAAAAAGTGTGTAGATGTAGGTAAGTGTGTATGATGTGGTGAATTGTGAGGAAGAGGGAAGCTGAGCATATTAATTCCTGTAGGCCATTCTTTTTTAAGTGGAAAATGCTAATAGTGTATGTGTCTTGGGCAGGGCATGGTGCTTAAGAGAGATACTTTCTACCAGTACCCCCAGATTCACCGTTTCCCATTCACTACTCTTACCTGTATATTTCTCTTTGTATTTCTACGTTTGTTATTGTTCTGCACTTCTACATGTGTAATTGAATAATACCTGTTGATATGCTGCACTAGAAAACCATTTTTGATGGGAAACGTTCTAAAGGGTTTCATAACATTGGTCACATGTGTTGGTAATTTGGGGGATGTATTTTTCTATCGGAGTTCCTTCATTCTTTTCTGAATTTCCTGATAAAAACTACTGTGAAATGCCAGGTGTTCAGACGGCTGAGCATACTAGCCGTTTTAGGACTTTGGTGAAGCTGATACATTAAATAACAAGATAGAAACACAACATTTTGTCTATACATAAAATTAAGCCATTTATTTATAATGAATGGGAATAGATAACTAAAGAATGGCTCTAATATGAAATGCCCATATGGCAAAAGTTTTGTTCCCCAAATCTTACAAGTCATTGTTATTTCCATTGAAGTATCTTTTTGCAGCATAAGATGGGGATGTTCTTAGAAATCTTCTCACTGGCTATCTGCTGAAACTTTTCCTGTCATCTTTCCAAAAAGATTCCTGATAGAATTTTGAATTGTGGTTTTCAAAAGTTAAAGTGCTTAAGAATCATTTGGAAGGCTTGTCAACAATTAAAACAACTGGGCCCTACTCCCAGAAGTTCAATATCAGAAAACTGCTCTTGTTAACAAATTTTCCTAGTAATTTGGCTACATGCAGTCCTTGGAACACACATCTAAATGATGAATATTTTCTATTTCTCTCTGTCAGCTTACCCAGAAGCAGGCTAAATATATTTCTTATAGTAACTGTACATCTGTAGTCAGGTTTTCTAAACTAGTTGAAAGATTTGCTCATGGACTCCTTTGAGATTATCTTCTGTGAAGACCTAGCCCATATTCCAGGGCTACACTGTTTTACAAAATCATGCACTCTACACTTATTTGTGTTATTTCATTTATATACACATTATAATGCCTTATGCATAGCATTTGTACAGTTGTCTCCAAATGATTAAAAAAACACTAAATTCAAGTTGATTGAAAATGTATTAACACATCCTTACCCTTTTAGACAAAATATACTGAACATAATTTTGAAATGACTTCTCTCGACATCCATTGTTACGCTGTTAGACAACATACTTTTTGTCTTTTTTTTACATTTTTCTGTGTCCTCCCTTAAAGCAAAACTGGAAGAAGTTACTGTTTCTGCTGACACTATGCTTGCTTTATGGGCTCAACTCTCTTTTGAGAACCCATAGGACATTTTCTATAGTGATTTTATATCACTTTTCAATTTAATAATAGCTTTTTATACATGTTTTAATTCAGCCACTATAGGATAAACTTTTTGAGTACAAACAATTCTGAATAAATATTTATAATTTTCTTGTGCCCAACGTTGTTTTGCTCCTAGTAGGTGCTCACTAAAAACCTGTGGAATAATTGAGTGAATTTGTATGATAAATAAGAATCCAAAAGACTATAAACGAAGGGCTAGAATTAAAGTGCATATCCTTAGTAAATGAGTTTTATGACATTTCTTTAGGCTGCTGAGAACATCTTTGGTGATATTGAGTTCCAGAAAATTAAGGTTGATGGAAGAGTAAATTATTGCAAAGTGTGTGGTTGTATGTTTTGGCTTTTAAAATATATGTATGCTCCATATAGTAGATAAGCTGAAAAATTAGCCATTTAAATGTGTGTTCCAAGGACTGCATGTAGCCAAATTACTAAGAGAAATTGTTAAGAAGAACAGTTTTCTGATATTGAACATATTTTAGGTAAACATTATTTATGTTATAAATAAATTATCTCTCAACCCATTATTTGAAAGAAACATTATTCATTTGTAATCTACCAGTTAGGTAAGCAAATAGACTAAGCCAATTTCTAAAAACCTAACTTCTTTGAATACATATGTGTAAAAATATGTCTTTATATACCCTTACTAATTTCTTATCACATTGCAGAAAATAACCTATCATAACTCCATAAAATAATAAACTTTTTTCTTGTGTAAAGCACTTTCTAATATTCAAGGTTGACATGGTAAACTATCATTCAAATATATTGTTTCAAGAAAATATTTTACATTTACATTTTATTTGTTACAAAAATTCACATTTAAGTTGCAGTTTAGATGCGATCTTTAGCATACTATCTTAATTGAAGACGTTAGCTAGATTTTATAATATGAATATTTTGGGCTGTAATTTGAAATCCCATGAGCTACCATCATGGGAATCTATTTACTTTCATGTGAGTCAATGATTTGTGTCTCTCCCTGTTTATTTGTCTATTGGAAGAGAAGAAGGAAGATGACATATAAGTATTTTTTTCTCCACATTTGTGTACTTACAAGGAAAGAATTTGTCATAAATTCAAGTGGAAGACAATTCAGGTACTAATGGCAGTTCCCTAAATCGGGAATGAATGGTTGCTTTTTACTATACTGTTGTACTCAGATAATGACCAGTTCATACATTCTGTCCATTTCTTGTGTAGACAGAAAAGTTAAGTTAGAAATAGAAAATAAAATTTTATAATATTGATTATTGTGCATGTTGGTTCTTTTCAAAACAGAGTCTTCTTTAGCACATTTTTGTTAGTTTTAGAAGTAAAAATAATTGATAAATTACTTATTCTATTTCTATTCAACTGAATAGTTACTGAGGTTAATGATGATGTCTGTATGCATCTCTTGATATACCCTAGGTGGCAAAGCTCATGATTTCTCTTCTTTACTGAGTACATAGAAACTGCTATACAGTAAGTATGTAGAACCACACCCTTCATATAAAACACACATTTTATAGTCTTTAAATAGAGATTATAAAAAGCACATAGCACAAATTTAATTTAGTCGAGGTAAGGCATTCTCAAGTTATCTAATAGTTTAGGATGACCATGATAAAACCTGAACTAGATTTATGCACCTAAAATCTGCCTCTGCCTGTCCTTTGCTATTACCAGAGGGAATTAAGGATGGGTGAACCCAGCCATGTTTTGGGTTCGTCAAACATCTTGAACTACTTTTCCACTGTTCTGGGTTAGGCAAAACCCAAAATATGTTTCACCAAGCACATTTTCCCTTAATTCTTAAACCCAGGAGTATTTTAAGGTAAATTTAATCCATATGCTTCTGATTCATTTACACTAAACTCATCAAAATGTTCTGTCTTAAGAGCTATTTGATGTGCAAGGACCTTTTTGAATATTTTATAAGCTTTTTAAGTCCTATGCATTGGGTTTTCACATTCAACCAAAGATCAAGTGAACTCAAATCTTAAAATGATGAGGTTTGGTTGCAAAGTCTAAAACATCAAGGTTTGTGAAGGTTCTAAACTTGGTTACGTATAGTTCAATCCTTGGTGAGAATATATATTAATTTTTTTTGCAGAATGTAGATTGCATAACAGAATGAGTAGTGAACAAAATGCAAAATAGGGCATGGAAATATAAAGAAGCCAAGTGACAAATAATTCAAAGCAGATTGAATGTCTGTTCTTTAGCAAGAACCATGCATGAGCTAACATAATGGAGGATGACATTGCAGCTGTTTTCATTTTTCTTTCTTTTGGGAGGACTTTCTTCTTTTTGGACTGTATTTGGACTTTTCTGAAAGTTCTCTCTATCTTTTGGGCAGTTACAGAACTCATAGCTAGCATTCTAGCACTAACACAAAATAGAAGAAAATAATGTTTAATATCATAAAGAGTTAGTTAGCTTTTGTTATGATAAAAGCTATAAAAATTACTAACTTCATTTCTTAAGATATAATCATACTATTACAACTTTTCAGTTTGCAAAGAAATAGTCATTAGATTGATATTAATTATTAAATTCACCATCAAATTCACAAATTGAATTTACTGTCATGTGCCAACTCCTGTAAATTTAAACTGGAGGATACTTACTAAAATTTGTAATAAACAATGTTATATTTGATTACAAATACATAAATTCATTTTTATCTCTTGTCATTTTTTCTATCTGATTCAGAAGACCAGATTGTAGTTAAGATAAATTAGTATATAACAGTAGTTGGGGACTTAGCTTAGTAAATAAGAAAACTCAGTGGTAAGACAGAACAAGAGAAAGTAGAATAGAAAACTGTCATGGACAAATCATTTATCACAAGCTAAAAAATTGAAATCTTGTTCTTCTCAGTTACAGAAAGTTCTAAGAACGAGACCCAGACATTGAATAAAGTTAAATAAAAAGCAATAATAATTTTAACATAAGCTTTGACAGTTGCACATGAGAAAATTTGTTTTTCCTACTGTTGTTGACTTAAAAAGCATTTTAGTGGCTTTCAAAATAGTCTGTTGTAATAAGACGCAAATGGTAGTAAGTATCTTTATAATCATTATCTCAATCATTGTATCTTCTCTTTCAGCACTTTGTCAGGAATATTGAGTGACATAGATGAGCACATTAATGGAGAGGGAGAGGTAAGAACAATGTATTACAATGAGATGAATTTCTTGACTAAAATGACATATCTGAATATTTCTATTATTTTTCAATTTTTATGCCAATTTCTATTTGACAATGTCGTACTAGCATTATAGTTTTGAAAAGTCAGGGCTTTGAAATTAATATATTTTAGTTTTTAATCCACACTAGCTGGTTCACATTAAAAGTGATTAAGCCTTTTTTTAGCCTCAAGTTTCTCTTCTGTAAAATAAGGACAAAAACACAGCATTCTTAAAATTATTGAAAATCATAAGGTAAATGAACAGCTTAAAATCAAACAGACTTTGGAGCCAAATAAGCGCTAAGTAAGCGGAACTTGTAAGATAGACAGTCTACCTCTGTTCAAATTCTTGGTGGTGAATTATCCACCACCAGAAAAGGCAGTGCACATCCCATTTTTTCAGGTCTTTATGCTGTGTTGACTTGACTGTGCTGACTTGACTGTGCTACAGCCCATAGCTTTTCAATCAAACACTGATCTATGTGTTTCTAGGAGGTTATTTTGCAGATGCGATTATGGCCCATAATCAGCTGCTTTCAGATAAATTATCCTATGTAACCTAGGTGGGCCTGTTTCAATCCAGGGAAAGGCCTTAAAAGCAGAGCTGATTGAGACTTTCCTCATGAAGAAATTCCTGTAGACAGCAGGCAACATCAGCTCCTAACCAGGGGTTCCAGCCTGCCCTTCCCGACTGCCTGTCATATGGATTTTGATTGCCTAACCAATCCCCACAGTTGCATAGGCCAATTCTTTACAATGAATCTTTGAATATATATATCTCCTACTGATTCTGTATCTTTGCCTGTACCTTGACTAATACAAGGCCCAAGCATGAATTCATTCAGCAAATAGGAAAAGTTTTCTGTATACTAAGAATTGTTCTAGTTACCAAGGATGCTATAGAGAACAAACTAGATATTGCCCTGATCATCATTTGAACTAATAGAGGATACTTCCTTATACAAATTTTTATAAACATAATTATTTAGTTAAAATAATTAATAATGCTTTGAAGTAGAATTACAAATAGATGGAACTTTATTTCCATATTAGCTTTTTTAGTTTTCATATAGAAACAGTTAAATTATTTTCTCTTGAATTTCAGTTAGACTTATACTTTAATTCAATGATGATTTTGCTTCTGTGAATCTAGATTTTCTGTTACAAAAATACAAGTATAGATTTTCCTCTATGTGGAAAAACATAAATATTACATTTTCTGAGTTTTATGTATTCATTGAACAAATATTAACTGAGTGCTTCTAAGTACAGGAAATCAAGGTGAATAAGACAGAGAAGGTCCATTTTACCTGCTTTAGAACCTATTACTGTTGCCTCAGTGATCATCATTGCCATTATATTTTTTAAATTGTATTGTCATGTAGATAACATGGAATACTCATTTATGTGACTGTAACATAGGCCTCTTGAAACTTTTGGTGGGAAATATTTAATTGTGAAATATGTTTACCAGAACAATAAAAAGAGGCTTTGGAAAAACAGAGTTATCATTAAATGTTGAAAATAAATATTAACATTTTGAGATTTGAGGACACCCTTTTGCATATGTTTTTCATTTAAATCTTGAAGGAAATAAACAAACGTTATCAGTAAGCAAATATCAAGGGAATGCAATCCTTGAAATAGAAAGTGTTACAACTAATTTTTCTATTAAAAACATTATTTTCAGTTTCTTCTTCACTGTTCCAATATTATAGTCTAGTTAGCCTTTAAATCACAAGTATTTAAGCTCACAAAAGTTCATTACTGTTTCTCATTTATAATTTCATAAAAGTCTTCAGAAATTAGCTATTTTATTGGAAAATAATCAAATGAATGTTCCCCTTTCTTTGATTGTCCTCTCACTCCCACCTCTTGCCCCAAAAGCAATTAACAGGGCCATTTTACATGTCTCCTTAAATTTCATATTGCCAAGCCCTTTAGTAGCCAAGTCCTAGCCTAGAATTTCTCAGATGTTATTCAGATTGAAAAAATAACAGTTTTCTTCACTTATAAATGAAAATGCTTTCTTACTGAATTGGATGGGGAAAAACAAAGTATATACATGTTTTTACTTAGAAACAATAGCTTTGGTGACTGAGAAAGCAAGATGTTTGCAAAAGCATTTTAAACATGGACGACCAATTTGCAAATCATTTTTTTAAATTTAAATTTCCACAGACATGTTTTTTAAAACAATTTTATTATGGATTTAAGGGGTACATGTGCAGGCTTGTTACATGGGTATATTGCATAATACTGCAGTTTGGGCTTCTAGTGAACCCACTACCAAATAGTGAACATAGTGCTCAATGGGTACCTTTTCAACCCTTGCCTCTCCCCAACCCTCCCCACTTTTGGAGTCCCCAGTGTCTGTTATACCCATCGTTATACCTGTGTGTACCCATTCCCAAACATGTTTTTAATTACCCTGAACTGAAAGGAAATATAATAGGAGAATCTCTGATTTCTCAGACTTTCATAATTTTGAAGGTTGTAAACAAGTTCTGTGTTGTAATTTTTTTTGAAAAACACATTTTCGTACATTGATTTTGTATCCTGAGACTTTGCTGAAGTTGCTTATCAGCTTAAGGAGATTTTGGGCTGAGACGATGGGGTTTTCTAGATATACAATCATGTCATCTGCAAACACGGACAATTTGACTTCCTCTTTTCCTAATTGAATACCCTTGATTTCCTTCTCCTGCCTAATTGCCCTGGCCAGAACTTCCAACACTATGTTGAACAGGAGTGGTGAGAGAGGGCATCCCTCTATTGTGCCAGTTTTCAAAGGGAATGATTCCAGTTTTTGCCCATTCAGTATGATACTGGCTATGGGTTTGTCATAGATAGCTCTTATTATTTTGAGATACGTCTCATCAATACCTAATTTATTGAGAGTTTTTAGTATGAAGCGTTGTTGAATTTTGTCAAAGGCCTTTTCTGCATCTATTGAGATAATCATGTGGTTTTTGTCTTTGGTTCTGTTTATATGCTGGATTACATTTCTTGATTTGCATATATTGAACCAGCCTTGCATCCCAGGGATGAAGCCCACTTGATCATGGTGGATAAGCTTTTTGATGTGCTGCTGGATTCGGTTTGCCAGTATTTTATTGAGGATTTTTGCATCGATGTTCATCAGGGATATTGGTCTAAAATTCTCTTTTTTGGTTGTGTCTCTGCCTGGCTTTGGTATCAAGATGATGCTGGCCTCATAAAATGAGTTAGGGAGGATTCCCTGTTTTTCTATTGATTGGAATAGTTTCAGAAGGAATGGTACCAGTTCCTCCTTGTACCTCTGGTAGAATTCGGCTGTGAATCCATCTGATCCTGGACTCTTTTTTGTTGGTAAGCTATTGATTATTGCCACAATTTCAGAGCCTGTTATTGGTCTATTCAGAGATTCAGGACATAGGCATGGGCAAGGACTTCATGTCTAAAACACCAAAAGCAATGGCAACAAAAGCCAAAATTGACAAATGGGATCTCATTAAACTAAAGAGCTTCTGCACAGCAAAAGAAACTACCATCAGAGTGAACAGGCAACCTACAAAATGGGAGAAAATTTTCACAACCTACTCATCTGACAAAGGGCTAATATCCAGAATCTACAATGAACTCAAACAAATTTACAAGAAAAAAACAAACAACCCCACCATCAAAAAGTGGGCAAAGGACATGAACAGACACTTCTCAAAAGAAGACATTTATGCAGCCAAAAAACACATGAAAAAATGCTCATCATCACTGCCCATCAGAGAAATGCAAATCGAAACCACAATGAGATACCATCTCACACCAGTTAGAATGGCAATCATTCAAAAGTCAGGAAACAACAGGTGCTGGAGAGGATGTGGAGAAATAGAACACTTTTACACTGTTGGTGGGACTGTAAACTAGTTCAACCATTGTGGAAGTCAGTGTGGCAATTCCTCAGGGTTCTAGAACTAGAAATACCATTTGACCCAGCCAACCCATTACTGGGTATATACCCAAAGGACTATAAATCATACTGCTATAAAGACACATGCACACGTATGTTTATTGCGGCATTATTCACAATAGCAAAGACTTGGAACCAACCCAAATGTCCAACAATGATAGACTGGATTAAGAAAATGTGGCACATATACACCATGGAATACTATGCAGCCATAAAAAATGATGAGTTCATATCCTTTGTAGGGACCTGGATGAAATTGGAAATCATCATTCTCAGTAAACTATTGCAAGGACAAAAAACCAAACACCGCGTGTTCTCACTCATAGGTGGGAATTGAACAATGAGAACACATGGACACAGGAAGGGGAACATCACACTCTGGGGACTGTTGTGGGGTGGGGGGAGGGGAGAGAGATAGCATTGGGAGATATACCTAATGCTAAATGATGAGTTAATGGGTGCAGCGCACCAGCATGGCACATGTATACATATGTAACAAACCTGCACATTGTGCACATGTACCCTAAAACTTAAAGTATGATAGTAATAAAATAAAAAATAAAAATTAAAAAAAAAAGAAAAACACATTTTCTATACAATTGTCAAGTGTCAACAGATTTCCAGGAGGATCACAAAGGTACAAATTTTTTACATTACAAGATTATTCATATATAATCAAACAATGTAACTATTATAGAAATGAGAACAGTACATTTGGTAACTGATATTCAGGCTATTACTTATTGTAGATCTTACCAATAATTGACACGAATGGGCTGCCTGTGCACCATGAAATCCTGTGGTTGTAACTTTTTACCTTTTCAATAAGTTTCATACTACAGTCATTTACTTGTTTATAACAATTTAATTATTTGTACTTAATACGTGATATAAATAAATGTTATAAATTAATTTTACCATGCCTCATATAGACATCCTTAGATCCTATCAATTTATTCCACCATGCCCTACAATTAGATTATTTTCTATGAGTCATGATGAGATTCATCACCTTATTGTGTAAACTTTCTGAGGCAACATCCTTTCTTTAGTTAGTCAAGTTTTATCATTTCTTGAAAATGCAAGTACCCACAAATTAATAATCCTAAAATCCTTATTAATTCTTACAGAAAAGGTTTTGTGTTAAAATAAAGAAATATAACGAAAATAATAAAGATCCCAAAGCACCTCATTTAAATATGTGGCATACGAAAAGAAAAAAATAATAAAGTGATTTTACAAGTTACTGTCTTTCAGGTTTTATTTTTCACTGACATGCCCAAACAAGAAAAATGTTTCCATGCAACCAAACAATACATTAATATGGAGTTTAGTAAGGGAGAAAATATTGAAGGCCAATCTGTGAGCAGTTAGAAGACAATAGAATATTGAGCCTTCAGCAGCTTGGTCCATAATGAACAAATCATGCCAGACCATAATAATAGTCTTGTTTGATAGAGTTGCAAAACTAATTAAAGAGGATACAACTGACATCATGTATTTGGGCTCCAGTGAAGCATTTGAACAGTGAATTATGTACTTTTACTTACAAATTAATTATAATTGCCTTGGATGAAAATAGAGTCACATGGATTGGGAACTGGCTGAAAGATTATAAACAAAAATAGTAGATTGTAATGAATGCAGTTAGAGGATAACTACAATGGGTTTTCACAATGGTCAAAAAGTTTTGTAAATCTCTATTTACTGGTTGTTGAAGAATATTTTTCCTCAATAATGTTGAGGTAGAAATGTTTTGGGGTTACCCAGTATAATAACCAAATAAAGAAATTAGACATAAGTATAATGTTTCATATGAATTAGTAACTAATTTAGAATTTATGAGTTTGGCTTACATCAACCTTTGAAAATGTTTGTCATGTGAAAAGCATGCATTATAATATTCAGGTAACAGCTGGTGCCTTAAGAGAACAGAGTATTTCAGAGTACCACTTGCTATTTAGGTACTATTAATTATATATATTATCTGCTTATTAAAGTAGGTTAATTAGGTTAAAGTAGGTTTAATAGCACCTTATTAGAAACATATCAAAGAAATAAAATGACATTTTCTAATTTTTACAAATTTGTGCTTATATTTTTCACCATATTTGTTCAAATTAAATTTTACAGTAACAACAGAACAGTGTTAAGTATAAAAGATTGAAAATATAATATCTATAGACATTTTTAATTTGCAGGAAACTATCAGAAAATAGCTCTGAAAGTCTTCTTCATGAAAAAAGAAGGAAATTATCTATGGATTTATAATAAAGTATAGTAGAACAGTTTTTCCAAAATGTGAACCATAAGGTATTTTAGGAGTTATGTAATAGTGTTTTAAATTATATGCATTTGTGTATTTGTGTAAAGATCCCAAAGCACCTCATTTAAATATGTGGCATACAAAAAGAAAAAAATAATAAAATAAAGTGATTTTCAAGTTACTGTCTTTCAGGTTTTATTTTTCACTGACATGCCCAAACAAGAAAAATGTTTCTTGTATATGAGTAGGAAAAATAAGCAATTTAATCCATGACATAAATATTTCTTTTAAATATATTTAAGTTAAAATAAGTCATCTCAAGAAAATATTAAGCAAAAATTGTTCACTTAATATTTACCAGTATAAAGTATAAAATGATATAAAATATGGCCAACTTCAAGTAATTGGTAAACAAGACTAATATTTGTGAAATATTGCAGATGAAAGGTCATTATTGCCTTAAATTGAGCCAGAACGATTTTTAATGACATGAATGGGTAACACTGAAATGGTACAGGTAAGATCCCAATAAAAAATAAAATTAAAATGATAACCAAACAAAAATAACCTGCATAACATTCGAAATAGTGCAAAAATTTTACAGCTTCAGCAGATAATTCATTTATTTAAGCAATATTCTATTAATTGTTTCTGCATCACAGCAAAAGAACCTAAAGAGTCTCTTGATGTTTACTAATATTTAACTTACTGGAGTGACATATTCTGACTCTCTCTCCCTTCCAATTTTTAAACGTTGATGGAATAAAATAAAAGCATATCAAACATACAATAGAAGGAATTATTGTCTTGATTAGGTATAGCTTTAAATGGAAAGAGTAAACTCAATTCAGCTGAATTCAGTTGAATAAAAACTATTGCTTCAAGATTTTATTATCATTTATGTATTATTTTATATAACCTGACAGGGACTTGATGTAGTAGAGTAAAATGCACACATTAAGTAAAAAGCATATTTAAAAATATTTTATACAAGCAGAAGCAAAAAAAAAAAAAAAAAACAAACAAAAAACTTTTGGTTTGCACAACAGCCTCCCAAGGGTAAAGATGAGATTTACATCACTGGTTGTACTCAAAATTCACCCTGATGAGCATTGACGCCAACATTTAAGAGAGTATTCTCATAGGAGAGATTAGATGACCTGTCATGCTTTTTCCATTTCTTATTTACATGATTTTGTTGTCCTAATAATCATTCTTCGTAAAAACAATTTGCTGGCAACCTGAGTGTGTTTTAGTTATGTCCTTGGGAGTTGCCTGGCTGTGTTCAGCTAGAGCCCAGCTGTCATCTCCAAACATGGCGAAATTAGGAAATGGCACACCATCTAATCCGATCCTTTTCTTGAACATTCTACTTGCAGAAACAGCTTTAATAATTCTCAGCTTTTGGAGCTGAAAAACAAGCACTATAACTTACCTTACAAATATAATAGCAATAATGATACAAACTCTATTTATAAATTTCTGCTTCACCATAATTCTTTGTTTGAATTAGGTTATGACCCTTGCCTTACCATAATTTTGCCTGAAATATTAGCATATATTCATCAATCCATTAATTTTTTTCACTTAGGACAAGTTTCCTAAGTGTCTACCCTGCTAGCTGTGCTAGATGTTGAAGATACAGTGATGAAAAGATACACATTTTTCATGGCACTGGAGGGCATAATTAGGTAAATGAATACTATGGTTGATGTTTGTGTACTCCCAAAATGTATTTGTTGAAATCCTAATTCCGAATGTGATGATATTAGGAGGTGGGACCTTTGGCTGCTGATTAGGTCATGATGGTGAAGCTTTCATAAATGGGATTAGTGCCCTTATAAAAGAGGTTCAAGAGAGACCTCTTTCCCCTTTCACCATGTGAGTAAGCCAGTGCCATCTACAGAGAAAGTGGAGTCCTCACAAGATGCTGAATCTGTCAGCACCTTGATCTTTGACTTGCCAGCATCCGGAATTGTGAGAAATAAATTTCTATTGTTTAAGCCACCTAATTTATTGTATTTGTTATAGCAGCCCAAACAGGCCAAGACAATGAATAATTAACAATAAAAATAATATTTATAAGATTAGAAAGTAAAATGTTTTGGAGTTAGATTGAAGAGATATCCAACCCAGCCTTGTTGATCATAGAGGTGATGATGAATTGTATCTCAGAACAAATTATGAGTATATGTGTTTGTGTGTATGCATAAAACATATATGTACATGCATATATATATGCCATAAAAGCTAGACAAAGAGTACAGCTCTATGAAAGGTCCAAGGAAAGAGAGTATGAAATATTTAAGGTGTTAAAAGATGTCGAATTCTACCAGAGGTACAAGGAGGAACTGGTACCATTCCTTCTGAAACTATTACAATCAGTAGAATAAGAGGGAATCCTCCCTAACTCATTTTATGAGGCCAGCATCAGCCTGATACCAAAGCCTGGTAGAGACACAACAACAAAAAAGAGAATTTTAGACCAATATCCCTGATGAACATCGATGCAAAAATCCTCGATAAAATACTGGCAAACCGAATCCAGCAGCACATCAAAAACCTTATCCGCCATGATTAAGTGGGCTTCATCCCCGGGATGCAAGGCTGCTTCAACATATGCAAATCAATAAACGTAATCCAGCATATAAACAGAATCAAGGACAAAAACCACATGATTATCTCAATAGAAGCAGAAAAGGCCTTTGACAAAATTCAACAATGCTTCATGCTAAAAACTCTCAATAAATTAGGTATTGATGGGACGTATCTCAAAATAATAAGAGCTATCTATGACAAACCCACAGTCAATATCATACTGAATGGGCAAAAACGGGAAGCATTCCCTTTGAAAACTGGCACAAGACAGGGATGCCCTCTCTCACCACTCCTATTCAACATAGTGTTGGAAGTTCTGGCCAGGGCAATTAGGCAGGAGAAGGAAATCAAGGGTATTCAATTAGGAAAAGAGGAAGTCAAATTGTCCGTGTTTGCAGATGACATGATTGTATATCTAGAAAACCCCATCATCTCAGCCCAAAATCTCCTTAAGCTGATAAGCAACTTCAGCAAAGTCTCAGGATACAAAATCAATGTGCAAAAATCACAAGCATTCTTATACACCAATAACAGACAAACAGAGAGTCAAATCATGAGTGAACTCCCATTCACAATTGCTTCAAAGAGAATAAAATGCCTAGGAATCCAACTCACAAGGGATGTGAAGGAACTCTTCAAGGAGAACTACAAACCACTGCTCAATGAAATAAAAGAGGACACAAACAAGTGGAGGAACATTCCATGCTCATGGATAGGAAGAATCAATATCGTGAAAATGGCCATACTGCGCAAGGTAATTTATAGATTTAATGTCATCCCCATCAAGCTACCAATGACTTTCTTCACAGAATTGGAAAAAACTACTTTAAAGTTCATATGAAATCAAAAAAGAGCCCGCATTGCCAAGCAAAAAGAACAAAGCTGGAGGCATCACACTACTTGACTTCAAAGTATACTACGAGGCTACAGTCACCAAAACAGCATGGTCCTGGTACCAAAACAGAGATATAGACCAATGGAACAGAACAGAGCCCTCAGAAATAATACCACACATCTACAACCATCTGATCTTTGACAAACCTGAGAAAAACAAGAAATGGGGAAAAGATTCCCTATTTAATAAATGGTGCTGGGAAAACTGGCTAGCTATATGTAGAAAGCTGAAACTGGATCCCTTCCTTACACCTTATACAAAAATCAATTCAAGATGGATTAAAGACTTAAATGTCAGACCTAAAACCATAAAAACTCTAGAAGAGAGCCTAGGCAATACCATTCAGGACATAGGCATGCGCAAGGACTTCATGTCTAAAACACCAAAAGCAATGGCAACAAAAGCCAAAATTGACAAATGGGATCTCATTAAACTAAAGAGCTTCTGCACAGCAAAAGACACTACCATCAGAGTGAACAAGCCACCTACAGAATGAGAGAAAATTTTTGCAATCTACTCATCTGACAAAGGGCTAATATCCAGAATCTACAAAGATCTCAAACAAATTTACAAGAAAAAAACAACCCCATCAAAAAGTGGATGAAGGATATGAACAGACACTTCTCAAAAGAAGACATTTATGCAGCCAAAAGACACATGAAAAAATGCTCATCATCACTGGCCATCAGAGAAATGCAAATCAAAACCACAATGAGATACCATCTCACACCAGTTAGAATGGCGATCATTACAAAGTCAGGAAACAACAGGTGCTGGAGAAGATGTGGAGAAATAGGAATACTTTTACACTGTTGGTGGGACTGTAAACTGGTTCAACCATTGTGGAAGATGGTGTGGTGATTCCTCAAGGATCTACAACTAGAAATACCATTTGACCCGGCCATCCTATTACTGGGTATATACCCAAAGGATTATAAATCATGCTGCTATAAAGACACATGCACATGTATGTTTATTGCAGCACTATTCACAATAGCAAAGACTTGGAACCAACCCAAATGTCCATCAATGATAGACTGGATTAAGAAAATGTGGCACATATACACCATGGAATACTATGCAGCCATAAAAAATGATGAGTTCATGTCCTTTGTAGGGACATGGATGAAGCTGGAAACCATCATTCTCAGCAAACTATCGCAGGGACAAAAAAAATACCGCATGTTCTCACTCATAGGTGGGAATTGAACGAGGAGAACACTTGGACACAGGAAGGGGAACATCACACACTGGGGCCTCTCGTGGGGTGGGGGAAGAGGGGAGGGATAGCATTAGGAGATATACCTAATGTAAATGACAAGTTAATGGGTGCAGCACACGAACATGGCACATGTATACATATGTAACAAACCTGCACATTGTGCACATGTACCCTAGAACTTAAAGTATAATAATAATAAAAAAAAGGTGTTGAATATACTAGAGAGCAGAGTTTGAGTGGAGGATAATGAGACAAGGCTGGAGGGGCTCTGTCTTGGTCTGTGTTGTGTTTTTAATAACAATATCTGAGACAAAGTAATTTATCAGAAACAGAAATTTATTGGCTGATGATTTTGAAGACTGGGAAGTCCAATATCAGGGTGCTGTCATCTCACGAAGGCTTTCTTATGGCGTGATCACATGGTGGTAAGCAAGAGGTCAAGAGAAGGGTAAGAGGGGGCTGAACTTACTCTTTCATAATGGTGCTAATTCCACTTGTGAGGATGGAGTTCTACAGGCCTAATAACCTCTTAAAACTCCCAACACTGAATACTGTTACAATGGCAATTACATTTCAACATGAGTTTTAGAGAGGACAAACATTCAAGCCATAGCAGGCTCCAAGTGTTGTGTACTCTACAATTCCGGAAGCACTATTTAGATACACTATGCCACCAGGTGAAAGAAGTCAGGATCTAATTTAGAATAGAAACAGTGAGGATGGAAAGAACTATCTAGGAGGTAAATTAAATAGAAGTTGGTGATTGGATAGCGGCGTGAAAGAGAAAAAGAGATTTTTGCTTGAACAATTGCATGGGTGGATAGTGCTAAACATAGAAGGAGGAGTCAGTTTCAGGTTGACTTGAGGTAGTTTGAACTTGTTGAGGTGTTCTTGAAATAGTTTGAACTTGTTGACTTTGAGGTATACATGGGAACTCTGGTGGCTGGTTCTAAGTTATATATGAAGTTTTGCAATTCAAGAGGAGAATCTGGATTAAGATAGGTATTTTGAAAGGATAGTCATTGAAGCCATGGGAGTTGAAGGATAATGGCAAGAAAGAACATGTAGACTGACATCATTAAAGGGCTTAGCATACCCTGAAGATCAGCAATAATTGAAAGATGAACACAAGAGGAGGAGAATACAAACTAGTATGAGACACAGCTACTAGACAGAGTGAACTTTTAGAAAACTGGTTGATATACTGAAAGGTTAGAAAGCAGTATTAGGCACAGCTATAGCTCCTGAAATAATTTTTATAATCCCAAATTTGAAAAACAGAAAGAAAAATTAGTCATTTTTCTGGTTTTATGTAGTGCTATAGCTGTATAGCTGTATAATCCTAGAACTATAATAATTATTAAAGAATATCTATGTCGATTTTATAAATTACTTTCAATAATCCAGGTTTTAGCTTAACATACATGGAATTAAGATCCCATTTTCCAAAATAATACAGAAATGTGTAAATCACAGGTAAGCAGAGGAAAGCCAGCCAGTTTTTTTTCTTACACACACACACCACACACATAACACACACCTCACACACCAAATGGATGCAGAATACTTTTTCTAAAAAGAGACAAGAAAATGCTAGTAAATATACTTCTAAACTTTCTATATAAGGAAATAGATAACAATCGGTTCTTGTTTATGGTTAAAACTTAGTATTAATTTTCAAGAAAGTAAATGAAAACATGGAGGAATAGAAAAGATATAGAGAGCCCTAATTTCTTTAATCAAAATATTAGTATTGCCCCCATTCTTAAACACAGATGAAAAATGCCAATATGAGTTTCTTTTTTTTTCTCAGCCAAGCATATTATGAAAATAAGAATGAATAATAAAATGTCACGCTATTGACAGAAGAAAGAAAACAAAAATACAAAATTATGAATGAAATGTTATTTGTATTCTGTGTAAAATATCATTATTTGCTCTTAATTAATGTTGTTTTCTTGGTACTTTAGGAAGATGGGAACAAATGAGAGAGACTTTAGTGGGCACATTGTTCTTCATAACATAGATCATTATTAAAAACTCTGTGCATTGTTCTGAATTTGAAGATGATGCTTTTTTTAATCACTGGCATATGATTGTGTATATAGAAATCCAAAATGTGAAGCAATCCATCCATCAATTGGTTATTTTGTTTACACAAAATCAGAAGAGTTCATTTGACTGATTCCCCTATCCCTGGATGTTTGGGCATTAAATATGTAACCCAGATGTCAGTTAGGACCACCTTGTCCTCCTTGAGATATAGATAAGATTGGCTTGAATCATGATACCACTTTGTGGAAGGCTGAAACCCTTACAAAATATGTGAGATTCAGAGAGATTGAATTCCAATGCCTCCTCCTCCTTCAGCCTTCTCTTTCTGTGTTTGTTTCCTGTCTCTTTTATCCACTACATGATTTCAGATTTAGACTCTGAACTTTTAAAAAAAAGTTCACAAAACAAAAATGTAGCTCACTCACATGAAGCATTTGTAAGCATAGAAATCCTTTTAGAAGGTTGTGACAAGGGGAGATTAAGAGGAAAGAATACTTACACTGTTGCAAGAAAAGTAACTTCAAAGTTAGTAAAAGTCACTCTGATTTCTTCAGCCATCCTTCTGGATGGGAATTTGCACTGACCCTTTAGCCCTTCTGGAATTGTGCTATGGGATAAATTGATGTGTTTTTATATATAGGTATACCTCATTTTATTGTGCTCCACAGGTACTGCACTTTTGACCAATTGAAAGTTTGTGGCAACCATTGTCAGCAAGCCTCTATTGGCACCATTTTTCCAACAGCATGTGCTCACTTCACGTCTCTGCATTATATTTTGAAAATTAACACAACATTTCAAACTTTTACATTATTATTACATTTGCTAGGGTGATCTGTGATCGGTGATCTTAGTTGTTACTATTGTAATTATTTTGGAGCACCACAAACCTCACTCACATAAGAGGGTGAAGTTAGTTGATAAATGTTGTGTGCCTTCTTACTGCTCCACCCACTGGCCATTTCCCTGTCTCTCTTCCTCTCCTTGGGTCTCCCTATTCCCTGACACACAACAATATTGAGTTTAGGCCAATTTGCAATACTATAATGGCCTCTAAGTGTTCAAGTGAAAGAAGAGTTGTATGTGTCTCACTTTAAATCTAAAGCAAGAAATGATCAAGCTTAGTGAGGGAAGCACCTCAAAAACTGAAACTGGTCAAAAGCTAGGCCTCTCTTGCCAAACAGCCAAGTGATGAATGCAAAGGAAAGGTTCTTAAGTTAAAAGTCCTACTTCAGTGAACATACAAATGATAGGGAAGCAAAACAGCTTATTGTTGACATGGAGAAAGTTTGAGTGGTCTAGATAGGAGATCAAACGAGCTACAACATTCCCTTAATCCAAAACCTAATCCAGAGCAAGGCTGTAACTCTCTTCAATTCTATGAAGGCTGAGAGAGGGGAGGAAGCTGCAGAAGAAAAGTTGGAAGCTAGCAGTGGTTGGTTCATAAGGTATAAGGAAAGAAGCCATCTCCATAACACAAAAGTACAAGGCAAAGCTGCAGGTGCTAATATAGCAAGTTATCCAGAAGGTCTAGCTAAGATAACTGATGAAGATGGTACACTAAACAACAGATTTTCAATGTAGAAGAAACAGCCATATATTAGAAGAAGATATTACCTAGGATTTTTGTAGCTAGAGAGGAGAACTCAATGCCTGGCTTCAAACGTTCAAGGGACAGGTTGACCCTCTTGTTAACAGCTAACGCCACTGGTGACTTCAAGTTGAAGCCAGTGCTCACTGACCACTCCAAAAATCCTAGGGCCTTTAAGAATTATGCCAAGTGCACTTTGCCTGTGTTCTCTAAATGGAACAACAAAGCCTGGATGACAGCATATCTGTTTACAGCATAGTTTACTGAATATTTTAAGCCTACGATTGAGCCCTAACGCTGAGAATAAAAAGATTTCTTTCAAAATATTACTTCTTATTGACAATGCAACTGGTCACCAAAAAGCTCTGATGTAGATATACAAGGAGATCAATGTTTTCATGCCCACTGGCACAACATCCATTCTGCAGCCCACAGATCAAGGAGTAATTTCAAATTTCAAGTCTTATTATTTAAGAAATACATTTCATAAAGCTATGGCTGCCATATATAGTCATTCCTCTGATGGATTTGGGCAAAATCAATTGAAAACCTTCTGGAAAGCATTAATCATTCTCAATGCCATTAAGAACATTCATGATTCATGGGAGGAGGTCAAAATACTAACATTAACAGGAGTTTGTAGGAAGTTGATTCAACTCCTATGGATGACTTTGAGGGGTTCAAAACTTCCAATGGAGGAAGAAACTGCAGATAGTCTAGAAGTATCAAGAATACTAGAATTAGAAATGGGGAAGATGTGACTTAATTGCTACACTCTCAGGATAAAATTCAAAACGGTGAGAAGTTGCTTATTATGGATGAGCAAAGGAATTGTTTGTTGAGATAGAATATCCTGGTGAAGCAGCTGTGAATATTGTTGAAATGACAACAAAGGCTTTAGAATATTACATACACTTAGTTGATAAAGCAGTGGCAGGGTTTGAGAGGACTGACTTCAATTTTGAAAGAAGTTCTACCATTTGTAAAATGCTATCAAACAACATTACATGCTACAGAGAAATCTTTTGTGAATAAAGAGTCAATTGATGTGGGAGATTTTGTTGTTGTCTTATTTTAAGAAATTGCTACACCACCCCAACCTTCAACAAACACCACCCTGATCAGTCAGCAGCCATCAGGGAAGATCCTCCACCAGCAACAGAATTAGGATGCCCTGAAGACCTAGACAATTGTTAATGTTTTTAAGTAATAAAATATTTTTAAAGTATGTACAATTTTAGACATAATGTTATTGCACACTGAGCAGAGTACAGCATAATATAAACATACCTTTCATGTGGACTGAAAACACCCCCAAAAAATGAGACTCACTTTATTGTGATACTTCCTTTACTGCTGTGGTTTGGAACCAAACTTGTGATATTTCCAAGCTATGCCGCTATATACACTGATATTTAAATGACAACATTGTTTGTAAGGGTTAAAATAAGAAATGATTGTTTCCTTATACAATAGTATGATCAAATCAATCAAGATAATCCATACAGTGTAATTTTGAGCAGTCACTTAAAAAGAATGAAAATCTACACATTCTTAAAGTCTCCAAAATGTATTATGAAGTGAAAAAAAATCAAGGTGCAAAATGATGAATGTGGTATGTTCCCATTTGTGGAAATATATAAACATGTTTGGAACTGGAAGGATACCAAAATTTATTACCACAGTTCCTTTTAAGGGGAGGTTCTGGGTTAGATGGAATGGGCTTTCTTTTCTGTTTCATAATTTAGTATTGTTTAATAAAATTTAATTTATATTATTAGTTAATACGTGATTTAATTTAGATAAAATTGTCTTATTATCTCATTCAGAATAGCTTAACCACTCTTTTATGATTATTAGAAAAAGAGTTTCTACTACAATAGAATCCCAAGAACTTAACATACTCCTCTCCACTTCACATTCTAAGCTCTGGCCACCCTGGCTTTCTCCCTTCCTTGTCAACTTGCCAAGTCTATTCTCAAACTAGAGCCTTTACACTTGCTCTTTCCTCTGCTTAGCTTGGAATTCTCTTCTCCAGCTGCCTTACTTCATTTGAGTCTCTATTTAAATGTCACCTCTTCAAAAGATACCTTCTGTGACCATCCTGTTTACCCTAAGTTCCCTAACCCAACTAGTCACCCTAAGTTCCCTAACCCACCTAGTCATCATTCTCTAACCCTGTTTCACCTGCTTCAATTGTTATTCCTTTAAATTACTTATTGTGTTTGCCTCTGTGGGTGTGTTTCCCCTACTAGAACATTAACTTTATAAGATCAATGTTTTATCTATTACTATAATTTCAATGCCCAATAGTAAGCACTTAGTTAATGAATGCATGAGCAAATGAATGAAAATGAATAAATTAAGGAGTTCACACGTGCCCTTTGGGTCTCATCTTTTATAATCTAGGAGCTTACAAAAACAATTTTCTTTTTAGGAGGAATTCATGTGTCAAATCTTAAACATTACATTTATTTTGAGTATTTATTTACTCCACATAACTTACAGGAGTCAAGACTTGAAGTAGGTTTTGATAAAATTATTAGAATAATAGACATCATCTAGGATTTCGTGAGGCTAATATAATTCTCAGGAGGCTGAGGCAGGAGAACCGCTTGAACCCAGGAGGTGGTGGTTGCAGTGAGCCGAGATCACACCACTGCACTCCAGCCTGAGTGACAGAGTGAGACTCTGTTTCAGTAATAATAATAATAATAATTCTAAAAATTTGAACCATTACTGTGTGCTGATGCTTGCATTTTAAAAGGTAATCTTCCCAGTAATCTTATGAGCTGAGCCCTATTAGGATATTCATCTTCCAGGAAGGAAAGGGATTGCTCAAGATCATGCAAGCACTTACTAACCTCAAATTCCCAGAGGACTCAGGATACTCTGATAAATTTTGCCATCAATTGACTTGCTTAAACAAGGTATCTTGTGTTTTTCCCATAGTAGGGAAGGGGATGGCAGCATCTGCTAAATGTTTTTAACAGAAATAGTAACGTGGTAAATTAAACCATAGTTGCATGCTAAGAAGAAAAGGTTCTGTTTTTCTCAACACATTCATATTCATTTCATAGAATCATCAAGGTAAACAAATTTTCATTTTTTATTTATAACAATTACTAGTGTTAGAGAATAGTCTATAGACATGGAACAGATGAAAAAAAACATATTTTAGGGAAGACGTATGGATTGTGTGCTCCAGGTAAGACTGCCAGCCTTACCTTTTTCCCCTAACCCTTGACACTGCCAGTCTCCTCACTAAAAACTGAATAAGGGACAAAATCCAATAAATAATCTATAATTAGAATTAAATAGTCACCTTTTCCTCAGAATAAATCCCATTGTGTCTTACATTTCCTTTTCCTCTCAGGTAACACGAGAAACGGCAGCCTCCAAGGTCTTCCATCACTCTGCAAATTCTTACCACACATGGCTCTGCGTATCCCCTGACCTGACTCACTCCTCCCTAATCTCTAAATTCCTCCACTGTATCTACTGGATATCATAATCTAAAGTCAGCAAAATCTCCTATTTTATCAAGCCCTTTTGTAAACATTTCTCTCTCTCTCTTTTTTTTTTTTTCACTAACTAGATTCTCTCTGGGACACTCAAGTGTGGCTTACCCCTCTTTTATACCATACTTCACTAGGCCTGGAGTTATTCTGGTAAGCAGAATAACTCCTCCCCTTGTCCCCAAAGATGTCCACATTTAAACCTTAGAATCTGTGAATATGTCCCCTTACATGGCAAAATGGACTTTGTAGATGTGATTAAGTTAAGGAACTTGAAATGGGAAGATTATTTTGAGTTACCTAGGTAAGTCCATTATAATCATTTTGGATTCTTATAAGAGGGAGGCAGAAGTGTTGGAGTCAGGGAGAGATTTGAAGATGCTAACTGCTAGCTTTGAAGATGGAAGAGGTCAGGAGCCAAGAAATGCAAGCAGCCTCTACGAAGCTGGAAAATGCGAGGAAACAGATTTTTTTCCCTGAAGCCTCCAGAAGGAATGCAGCCCTGCTGACACCTTGATTTTGGCCGGTGAAAAATGCTGCAGACTTTTGACCTTGAGAACTGTAAAATAATAAATATATGTTGCTTTAAGACACTAAATTTATGGTAATCTGTTACAGCAACAATAAGAAACCAACACAGATGTCTTTCTTGCTTATCTTTGTTATTTCCAGACCATACTCCTCAACCCTCTTAAAGACCCCTAGCTCCTTTGAGGTATGTGCCATCAGGCTAAACCATCTGCCACTCCTCCTTATTGCTGTCATCTGCCAACCCTCTCATTATTCCATTACATTCATTAAAAGTATCTGATCTCTTCTCACTGTCTTTCCACCATATTTGTATCATCCTTTATGCTGACATCTGCATCAGGATACACATGATGCATCTGATACACCTTCCACTTGGACATTGCAATTTCTTAACCTGCTTACATTCAAAGATCTTTTCTTCTGCCTCCTCCATCTCCAATCTTAGAGTCATACTATAAATCTTTTCAGAAATAATGACAGAAGTACTTCCAGATTCTCAATTTAAGGCTTTTTACTCTCAAACATTTTTCACATATCATTCCATTTTACTTTCTCCAGTGCTTTTATTCTAATAACCTCCTGAGCTGCCTCAGATTCGGTTTATTGACCTACATTTTACCATCTGTCACCTCATCATGCCCTCACTTTGGGTTTACCATCCTAGATTGAAAGAATGTTCCATCATTACATCATTTCATTTTATAAATCCTCAACTCCCTCACTTGTTTCTCCCTCCACAATACTACCATGACAAAACTCAAATCCACATAAAGTCTTAGCCATTTGACTTATTCTCATAACTGGATAATAACACATCATCCAGCTGACTGGATTCACTTGAACTACATGACCATAAATATCTATTGGTTCTTAAGCATCGCCACTAATTCTGTTACATTTTTTAAAATTACATTTTTTCTGTCCTCAACGTATCAATTCTCCAACCTCTCATTTTTCAAGTTAAGAAAGCAATTAAGTAAGAACTTTATGTAACTAGCACTTTATGTAACTTTATGTAACAAACTAACCACTGGGGAAACCAAGTGAAAAAGTGTTTTAGAAATAAAGGAGAGAATATTTGCTGTCAAGATAAAGAGATGGAGAAAGTGCATATATACAATTATTTGAGAAGTTTTATTAAAAAGGGAGAATTGAGAAATAGTAAAGAGGAATAGTAGGATAATGTTTATTTATTTTTTTTTTAGTTGAGAGACATTATAGTGTGTTTGTGTGCTGAAGTATCTCAGTAGGGGAGGAAACATTAAGGATTTGGAATTACTGGTGCTATTAATTTTAATAAGATTTATAACATAAAAGAGCAGGAGAGACGGTGAATGATTACATGAGCAAAGAACTTGGGTAATATACAGGAAGAAAGATTGGCCTCATATAAGAACAAAGCCACCATTACATACAAGCAGATGCAAGCAGTAGGTAGTATTTACTGAGTGCCTCAGCACCCAACACGCAGAGTCTTTCTCTTTTCCATGTGCTCTACACTTTGTGTATGTGACAGCCTTTAAACATTCTCAATGTAATCCTCACAAAAATCTTATGAAATCTTCTTTTACAGTTGAAGAAACTGGTGCGTCAGAGATAAAGTAATCCAAGGCCACAGTGGTACAAATGGCAGGGCAGGACTCAAAGGCAGGCCAGTCTAACTATATAGCTTTCCCTTTCCAGCCACTTCCCTGATTCTTATGTCATTGTCATACCTGGGGTTTGTAGTGCCTGCAATGAAAACTCCCCACTTGGAGTAGAGGCAAAGCGAAAATACACTAAGCTTAAATACAGGTTAGTTTTCAATGTCTGTGCCTCATGCCTTCTTTCTCATTTTTGCTACCCCTTTTCTCCCTTGGCATAGTGACATCGATAGTTCTTTCTAATGACACTAATTGCTTCCTTTACAACCCTTACCAGAAACTTTGAAAGTTGGATGTTTTCCTGAGGCAGAGATTTGAGTACGGTGGCAGGATACAAACCAGCAGCAGTTGCAGAAGGGCGCTTTACTCTTTTAGTGAGCACCTGACTGTTTCTCTTATTGGCCAAAACAAATATGGCCTAGCAAGTGCTTGACGTCTTAATAGCTGTGAGATTATTCATGAATAAGTCCCCTAATTAATTTATAATTATGTGCAGTTTATTGCTCTATGAGATTAAGAACACGTTAAAGACTTTTGAGTTGAGGCAACCTGAGGTGGGTCATCCTCCAGCATATCAGAGCTCATTCTTTCATAAAGCAAAGCCTTTTTGCAGATCAAGGAGAATTCTACTTCTCTACCTATTGCTTTTAAATTAGTTCTGCACAAATTTTTTTGTAAGTATTCAAGATTCTTACTTTTTTAATATATACCTTTTGGAAACCATTTAAAAAATGAGCAACTATTCATTCTGTCTGGCTCTCAGTGTGTGTGTGTGAGTGTGAGTATGCATGCATATGCACCCTTGATTTTTCTTATCTCCTGATTATTGGTGGTAAATGGTATAAAGATTTAACAATAGTTTATTGCTTATGAGGCATTTCCATTCTAGAATATTATACCTTAAAAGAATTAAAGTTTGTGTGATTGGTGAGTTCATCTGTTCCTAATAGTCCTTTGTATACCACTGGTATTTTTTTTTTTTTTTTTTTTTTTTTTTTGAGACCGAGTTTTGCTCTGTCACCCAGGCTGGAATGTAGTGGTGAGATCTCAGCTCACTGCAACCTCCCCCTCCCAGGTTCAAGCAATTCTCCTGCCTCAGCCTCCCAAGTAGCTGGGACTACAGGCATGCGCCACCATGCCCGGCTAATTTTTGTATTTGTAGTAGACATGGGGTTTCACTATGCTGGCCAGGCTGGTCTTGAACTCCCGACCTCAGGCCTCCCAAAGTGCTGGGATCACAGTCGTGAGCCACCCCCCACCCCAGCCATATACCACTAGTATTAATATTATAAAAATTGGCAATTATCGGCCGGGCGCGGTGGCTCACGCCTGTAATCCCAGCACTTTGGGAGGCCGAGGCGGGTGGATCACGAGGTCAGGAGATCGAGACCATCCTGGCTAACACGGTGAAACCCCCGTTTTTACTAAAAACACAAAAAATTAGCCAGGCGTGGTCGCGGGCGCCTGTAGTTCCAGCTACTCGGGAGGCTGAGGCAGGAGAATGGCATGAACCCGGGAGGCGGAGCTTGCAGTGAGCCGAGATTGCGCCACTGCACTCCAGCCTGGGCGACAGAGCGAAACTCCGTCTCAAAAAAAAAAAAAAAAAAAAAAATGGGCAATTATCGTAAAAGGAGTTCACATTTAGTGGAGGTCTACTCTTTGTATGTTACACACATCTTATTTAACCTGGGCTTGTTTCTGTGTCTACTTCATCCCAAATCAATTTCTGGGTAGAAGGTGAAAATTCTTTTTCCGCAGAAGAAAGTTAGCCTATCTAATTTACTTGTAGTGAATATATAGTATTATTTGACTTTTTAATAATTTCAAGCTATTTCCTTACTTTGTTGTATAGAAAGTTCAAAAGTCTTATAATTTTTGTCTTTTCTTTAATTTTTGTATGTGCTGGTTATAAACTGTTTCATCAAACTAGTAGATACCTAATTAGCAAATTGCCTTGTTGATTAATCTGGCCCATTAAAATTAATACAAAGAAGATCTTCATGAGATAAATTTAGTAAATTTAATATTTTTTGATACCATGCACTGTTGCAAAGGGTAAAATCAATCAATATTTATTAATTCACAGTGAATAAAGAGATCCCCACATAATTACATAATATTTAAAATTATGTAGTATTAACAATTACATTAATCAAGGCACATAAGGAAAAGTCAAAATGTCTCCACACGAACATTCTTTAAAATTCAATGTAGAGTTAAGAAATCGTGTTATTAATATGATTGTAAATATAAAACATATCAATTGTTTTCATAATGTTGATTTCCTTTGAGGAGTAGCTCACATGTTAAGCAATATTTTGCTGCTGGAATTAATTACTTAAATGTCCGTCCTATCAGTGAAACAACTAAAAAGTAAAATTGACAGAAATTTGTATCATACGCTATGAATCTCTGACCATGAATTTGGCCATATGCTGGAATGAAAGATTCCATGCCCTAATTGTCTCACTGAGAAATATTTATTTACTAAATAGCTTTAACTTATTAAACAGTTATCATGTATGAGAATTAATTAAGTCTATGGCCATACCACTATGAATGAGCCCGATCTCATCTGATCTCGGGAGAATTAATTGAATATAATCTGTGACTTTGGACGAGTTTCAGAACACCCGAGGCTTAACATTTACTTTTTTTTTTTCTATCTGCAGAACTGGAGTTGTCATAGCTACTTCATTTATTTATTGTGATGAAATGTAATTATGTATATAGAACAGAGGGTGCAAGCTGAAATGCTCCATTGAATCTGGTCCACAGAACACTTTGTGTGGCATGTATGCTGATTTAAAGATAATCTCAGCCAATATTTGAAATTGCGAACATTTTATATAAAAATGAAGATTTCTGATTTTTCTTAAAAATTCAGAAGATGTGGCAGCAGTGAGCCTACATTCCTGGAGGCAACAACTGTTTGTATATTGAAAGGCCTAAAATGTTAAGTGCTTTCTTGACAAGCTTGAGCTGCTCAGCCTATCTGTAGATTCCTTTTGTCTCACCAGATAGGCGCCCAACGGAGCAGCAAAGAATCCCCAACCGGCAAGCCCTTCTATCAGCTGGTCTAGCTACGCCTCACCCAGCTCTTCACTTACCAGGCTTCACCTATCTACCAGCCTGCTAAATGGCTCAATGAAGCCAATCACATCCACCTGTGGGAACCAGGTGGTTCCTTCTGTGACTGCGAAGCCTGTCTCTCACAGTCTCTGCTGGCTCACTGATACAAGTGCAACCCTGTGTAGCACTCCTCCCCCAGGCTATCAGTATTGCAAGTAATAGACGGCTGTCAGTCACATCTACCCAGTGTCAGGTGTCATGTATTTGGCCGCATCATCCTATAGAGGGCAGGAAATCCTGTCCTCACAAATGAATGAGTAGGAGATTGTCAAAATGAATGGAGTTTAGTAGTAGCTGTGTCTTTAGAGAGGGAACTTGCTTGTCAGTTCTTCACACTCATGTTCAGTCTCCTTCACTGGTTGATTTTGCTTTCCTGGCTGTCATAGACAGCTGCATTGTTGTATAGTGTATAGCTCAATTCTATATACATAAAGCTCTTAATATGTGTAGTTAATTTATTATATTATGAGAGAAGGTAACATTTGAGGTAGACCTTCAGGGCAGAGAATGTGAGGTGGAGATAGGAAGAAGGTTGGGTGGGGGGATTCATTACAGATAATTACTTCCTTGTAATGTGTTGACTTAGATCTCCTTCCCAAGAACATGAGAATCTTTTGCGTCAGTTGTGTTAGATCCTAAAACTCCTAACCTTAAGTTCTATTATCATCCCTGCTCTATTCTCATTCAACCAATGCTGAGAATAATCAAGGCACAACATATTAAGCAGATGCTTGTGAGATAAGAATCCATTATGAGAGATCTGCTAAGGTGAGAATAGAATTTCTTGCAGAGAATAGAAGAATATAGTGTTGGAGAGATAGGGTAGGACCATATTAAACATCAATTTCCTCTGAGCAGTTTGTGCTGTATTTCTAAGCCAACATTTTAAGAAAGGGTGTCTGATTTATGGTCAGGTCATCCTCTAGCCATGTGGAGGATGGGTGGGAGCCAAGTTTTCAAAAGTGTTCAGTGGAGCCAAAGAGTTTATTGGAGGTGCTATAGGCATTCTTCAAGCACATAATTCCAATGCAGTTTTTAAAAGATAATTTAACATTTTCAAACAGATTAAAAGTCATGCACAGAATAAGAAATTTTGAATATTGGAGACTTCATGGTATTGAAAGGTGCTGCTGGCTTAACTCCTTTGTTGAATGTCCTGAACTTGGGGTAAATCTCCCCTGGCTGCTTTTGCACATTTATTTGAGGCACTTATAAAAATATATTTGATTAGGGAGGTTACTGCTCCACATTGGTTTTGATTTTGTGCTCTTTGTTTATGTAGATGTTTGTGTTTTTAACCCATTTTGCCCTGTGAGAATATTCAAGTAAAAATATTGTTTCCAGATCCATGGTTTGAAATCACACATCTGGCAAAAGCAGGCACATCAGCTGGGTACAGGTTCTCACCACACTTTGTCAGTTGCACAGTAATAAACAAATGCTTAATGCCTAGAATGGAGGTAATATTATATTGTACTATCTTTTGCACTTACATTAAGCTCTATTTAATATTTGCCCATTTTATATTTTACAATCTCACTGGACATTTCAGTGGCCTCTTTTTTGCCTAACATTTATCAACAATATATCTATTTATGTTTTATTGGAGAGGTAACATAATTACCCTTGAAACTAGAAGTGAATTTTTAGTTAAAAATAAGTTTAAAACTAGCATTTAAAAATTGACGGCTATAATGAAAATCATTTGGCTGAAAATAATATGTAAGTTGTAGCACCAACTAATTTCACAACTAGTGGTAAATACCATGAAAACAGAATAGAACATAAAGGTGAGAGTTCATGGTTTTGATTTTTTGTTGCTTGGGGGTTTGTTTGGACAACCTACTGTATTATATATATTACCCCAAGTTGTGATATGAATCACACTGCTTTTAGACCTAGGCATGAGGAGCCTCTGCCCTGGGTCCCATGCTTTAGAGGGTTCTATTTTTTTGTTCTTTATAGCTACATCCCTTTTCATAAAGCAAATGAGTTCATTAAATTAAAGAATAATCTCAACTGTTTTCCAGACCATGTTCTTGGTGTTCTGTATTCCAGAATTTTCTGCCCACAAGTCTACTTCCAAGGTCTACATGGAGTTCTTACCTAGGTCAATCCCCCTGAAACATCTATGCTGCTGGTTTGTATACCCCTAGGACTGAGGAGTGGCGAAGGGTTGTCTTTTTATTGATTGTTTTGGAGCTTTGACTTGTGGTCAAGATGACCACTTACATGCATGAAAAGCACCTCAAGGTGTGAAATGAGGTCAGAGACAAGGAGAGAAGCTGATCAGACTGCAGACTGGGGGCCAATTGGTAGGACGCCACCATATACCACAGCAGGACTCGGTGGAGTCCAGAATCCTAAATTCAAATCTGGTCATCCACATCCTTATGGAGGTATATTTCTCAAGGTAGTGTCACGGAATCCTTGGGGTGTCCCTTCACCAGCTGGAAATATCTATAGCTGGTGGTGCCTTCTGCCTGAGTATTGCTTGCACCCAATAAGCTTGTTCTACCCACTTTGCCTGGCAGGCTGCATTCACCTCACACTACCAGCTCAGATCCAACACCTGCCAAGGGTGAGTGAGGCACGGAGTGGCAAGGGGTGTGTGGGTAAGCAAGCGTGGGGTCTTGCCACTGTGCACAGCCAGGCATACTGGTTGCTGCAGCAGGGCAGGCAGCTCCAGGTGCCAGCACAGGTGCCAGCTCTATGCAAGGCTGCAGGTGGACCAGATGTACCACACGTGGCTTCCACTATGGGCACCTGTGTTTAGACAAGGGGATCACAGTGGGATCTGGAAGCTTGGAGATGCGAGGAACCGCAGAGCCCCAAAGAGGGTGTCACAGCCCTGGCTTGGGGAACCCCTAGGTCAGGGCTCCCCAAAGGCCCACAGCTCCTCTCTCCTTCCTGTCACCCACAACATGGCAAGAGGGGCTGGGGCGCATTTCAGTCCAGCCATTCAGTGGGTCCTGAGTTCTTGTCCCACCTCCAGGAAGAATGAGGTACATGACAACTGGAGGGTGAGCAAGGTGGAGAGGAGCTTCGTTGAGTGACAGAACAGCTCTCAGGAGACCCAAAGTGGGTAGCTCCTTTCTGCAGCAGGTCTTCCTGACGAGTGTCCTGCTCTCAGTGGAGAGAAGGCCTAGAGTGGGTAACTCCTTTCCACAGGCAGGCTGTTCCAATGTCTGTTGGGGTCTAGCTGAGTCCAGGGTTTTTATGGTCTCAGAAGGGAGGAAGTGTGTGCTGATGGGTCCATGGGCAGCCATGGGTGGGCCTGAGAAAAGCACCATAAATTCTCACTCTGGGCCATAAACTCCATCCAAAACTGGCAGCCCGGCCTCCAGGGTTCAGGCTCTCCTTGGCTTAAAAGTGAGGTTTCACCAGGGACCCACCCCTTTCAGCCCAAGAACCTGTCTGCTTCCTGCCAGCAACATGCCATCCACTATGCCCAGGCTGTTCATGCAGAGGAACACCTGCAGTCCAGTGCCAAGCCACCCTTCAGCCCTGCTTCTGGCCTCCCTCCCTGAGCTCCTCAGTGCCCATAGCTTCAGAGGGGGGCCAAAGGAGAGTAGGGATGGGCTGGCATGTCAGCGCTGCCCCAAGTGTGCACATACCTGGCTAGATGGCAACAGTGCCTATGTTCAACTTCAACTTTGCTCCAAAATCAAAGTGGGTGCCAGGAGCAGAGAGAGACCAGGGAGCAGGAGCAGGCACTTCCAAGCCTGCAGGGGTAGGGGGCTGCTTTCTGAGCCCCTGAGAGTGCAGGGATGCCCAGATCTAGAGCTGCAGCTGGGCAGCTGCAGCTGTGCTTGGGAGTGCAGGACTCCTGCCCCTTTAACTTGATAGGGGACAGGGCTCCTGCCTGTTCCTGGTATCTACCAGCTCTACCACCCCTGGTGGAGCTGGTGTCCCTGCAGTGGCTGCTCCAGAAAGGCTACCACTATTAGTAAGAGATAGAACATTTTCAATATGGTATGGGAGTTTTCATTTATATTCTTGTTCTAGGTCCTGCAAATATCAAAGGTTTTTCTGCATGAGATAAAATTTATATTATCCTTACAATAATCCTATAGGTGGACACGACTGTTTTCCGTACTTTAGAAGAGGGAACCAAGGCACAAGATAACTGCATAGCTATCTGTGGCCACACAGCAGTGAGCAAGGTTTTGAAGAAGGCTGGTATTGCCATCCTAAGGTATCTTAACTACCGTACTGTGCTGCTTCACAAAACACTGCACCAAAACTTCTCACAGAAAATTCCTGGACAACAAGAAAGCTGATGCCAGTAATTTATTGGATTCACCTTTTAAGGTAATAAAAATTACCTCAGTCCATAATATATTTTATGCTGTAAAATTGATGTTTTTATAGCCCCTGCTGTTATAATGTCATTTTGTAAGAAAACATTCAGCACATAAAAACAAGGCTCTTCTCTTTCATCATTTACTGAACAGCTTAACGTTTTCAACACACACACACATACACACACACACACACAAACAAAATTCAAATGTCTCAATAAAAATTTGTATTCAAAATAAATTATATTTATTTGTATTCAATAAAAATTTCTATTCAAAATAAATTGCATTGCAATGAAGTAGGCATTATTCTATACACAGATTTATGAAATCTACTTTTGACATTATAATGAGTCTTTTGCATACATAAATTGCTAAAGAAAGCATTGCCTAATAATTCTGTTTCAGAGAAGAATCAAACAATGTGCAACATACTAGATGCATCTCTTTAAAGGAAAGAATTATGTGGAATCTTTATAATTTACCTCTATGAGAGCATAGGATTGCTGGTTTTTCTATTTTGATTGATTTTTTTAAAAACATAGCCATGCGATAGACCAAAGTGTGATTTTTTTTTTTTTTTTTGTAAATCACACAGTAATTTACAACAGAAGAAGAAAAACTTAGTTTTAACACAGTATCCAGTAGACTGGCAAAAGTGTAGTGATGCCCTACTCATGATGTGAATACACTGTGAGCAAGAAGCATACCCACACAGGTGTAACAACACTTTAAAAATGTATGTAAGTCTTGGAGATTAGCTAACTGTTAAGAAGATGACAGTGTCTTCAAAACAGTATCAGATAATTCCACATAAATTCTTGATTTAGTGGGTACAATTTTAAGTTTCAGATTTTTTAGTTACCTGTAATCATATTGGCAGTGAGTTCCAGAAATTTTCCTTTTTATGCTAATTAGATAAATGTCTTTGGGTGAAGTACTGAATCAAGTATTTAAAATGAGATGGGAAAATGCTACCTTTTAAAGACAAGAAGTAAATTCTTTAGCCAACTACCTCTTAAGCAAAGTTGTGTCATTTTGAACACCTGAATGTGTTAGAGTTGAATGAATTTGACTTAGAGCTGCAGATAAAGTGCCAGAAATGAAATTAAAACATCTGAACCTAACGTTAAAACAAAATAAATGTGGCTGCTTTGAGACATTGAATGGATAGCTGATAAATATCCATGGATAAATGGTAAAGTTTTTAATATTTAAAAATATGTACCATTGACTACTTCATACTGCTACAAAATGCATTTGAAATTTTTTTTCTGGCCAAGGAACCTATTCATCCACTCTCTCCAAATTAAATACTTACTAGAGAAATGTTGGCACTTATTAACCTTGTAATATGAATTAGAAACAAACTTGACCTTCATATATTCTTTTACACTTATGAATCTATTTAACTGCATGATTTATCTGCATGATTCAGAATTTTCTTGATACCATGTAACTGAAGTAAGATTTAGAAATATATTTTCTTGATACCCTGTAACTGAAGTAAGATTTAGAAAGCTGAGGTGACAGTTGTCACCCATAATGCTGATAAATATAGGAATGAGTCAATTATAAATTTAAACCTTTTGTGGCATTATGCTACCAAAATATCTCTTTTTTAAAAAAATTTGTGGGTGCTGCATAGAGCTTTATTAAAATTACGGCTCAGCTGTTCAAATACTTGATGAGAAGACAGAAACCAGCAGAGGACATGCAGGAGTTTGAGCAAGAGCTGCTGAGGGCCAGAACCAGGGTGCAGTGTGGGGAGAGAGAAAAAAAGGAACCTGGGCTTAAGAGTTTAACAGTCATCGCATAATTGTCCCTATCTAAAAAAGTGTGTCCAATGTAACTTTGTCCTAGCAGCAGCTGCTGATTTGTTTTGATTTACCCAAAGAAGATTGGACAATCTCTAAAGAGAATTATGATGTTCCTTCTAAGACCCGGTGCTGTATACAGAACATAAAAGTCCTTTCTTCCAGGCAGGCTGACCATTTGAACATGTGTAATTATAGAAAGAGAAAATAATCAGGCCCGTTGATTCCACTTAGATGACTGAAAGTTACCTGATCATGGGAGTATCCTCATGTCCTCATGTCTCTTTATTCTTAACTAACACATATTCATCTATTTTTTACTGGCAAGTGCCTCATAAAGCTAATATCCTATATTGCTTCATATAAAGGAAAAGGAAAACTTTTATTACCTCAATACATCCAGCAAGCAATTTATTCTTTAAAAAAAACTTTACTAGTGAATGAAATTTTAGTTTAATATAAAAAAAACACAAAAACAAGTAAGACAAAAAAACTTTCTTATCTATTCCCCTATTTTTCAGTTGTTTCCCAAAAGCGGGGTACTGTGTCTTTGTATTCAAAAAATGGGTCATGGTAAAAAAAAAAAAAAGAAAGAAAGAAAAAGAAAAAGAGAAAGAAAATGTGTAGTTCCTGGGAGATCACTACTGCAAACCAATATCTTTAACTTAGTATCTTCCTCCTCCTCCCACGTGCACTGATGAATGACACCTCGCCCAAAACACCCAACCCCACTCCCCAGCAGCATAGCTGTGGGCTATGTTGATCTGTTCACTGAAGAAATTTTACTGCTGAAATTCTATTTGGTGTAACGTTATCAATTGGCTTTTAATTTTAGAATAGTATTGCAAATGAACTCAGTGATTACTTATCAAATTATTAATACTTTGCTGTTCTGCTCTTTAAGTCAGAAAAGAGGATATGAGGTATTGAGCAAAGGGACTGCTCTGAAGGTTAAAAACCAAAACAACAGCAACAACAAAAACATTGTTAATGTGGCCTCGTACCTTTCAATTACACCCATTGCCTGCGTACAAAGATTTCTCCATTTGGCAGGCCACAAGTGCTGAAATAAATGAGTGTCTTAAGTATTCCACTTTTGATAAGAAATAAAGATTATTTGTAATTTCACTGAAGGGACTGCTTTTTTTCTTTCACTGTGACTTCACAGAATGTGAAGTTGAACATTGAAATAGTATCTTGATAATATTACTTTAAAATCTCACTTTGCCTGACTGTATCAAATAACCATTGGTGGCTGAAGAGAAATTTGAGCAAGCCGAATAACTAATGCTTTCAATCTTTACATAGTCTCTGTGAGATCAAATATAAATTATATGTACTTTTATTCTTATAAATAGGTTTATTGAACTCCTTGCTGAGTGTATTTTTTTCTGACCTAGTAAGTGAGGTATTATCTGAGGCAAAACAGCATGGAGAGTGTTTATTTACCAGACGGGGAGGATAAGGAAACCAGGATCTCGTAACGGACTTGACATGAATGGTGTGTACTGTGCCCTTTCCTTTGGAGCTTCAGCAGCTACTAAATCCTGCTGGGCTTCCTATTGCTGGCTGACAAGAAACAGAAGCCTCTTCCCACAAGTGACTGGTGGCAGATGGATCAAGCCACTGAAATGCTATGCCCCAGACTTTAATCTGTCCAGCTGAACTGGGTCATTACAGAGTGTGCTTTTGCACACTGCTGCTCTTAGGCCGCAATTTATGTGTAGTGTGGGCAATAGTTAGTTTAATTTAGCACATTTATTTTAAACACCTACTATATGCCTGGCAAGGTGCTGTGTGCTTTTCAAAGGTTAAAAAAAAAAAAGACATGAACACAATGTATTAGCTTGTTGTGTTTCATTTTTAAAGGGAGTAATGAACGTGAATCTAAGAAGACATGTAATTGAAATAAATCAACATACCTTGGTCCTCAATTTTCCTTTAGATTAGCAAATTCATTCATGAGTAATTAATGACCAGAGTAGTTAGGGAAATGAACAGGATAAATATGAATAGGTATTTAGGGTAAGAGAATAATATATTTTAAAAATCTCAAAAATTGTAATTGCACATATGGAATTTTAAGTAATGGCTATTATTATTTACTTTTTGGATTTAGATTTAGAATTACAGAGAACAATATAATAACAATTTTATATTGTTCTAATCTCCTATCTACTTATTTATCTATCTATCCATTTATCCTTTCATCCACCATATATCCATCCATCTGGTTATTTCTATTTATCTAAAGTTTTCTTTGGTGAAAACTGAGTTTCCTAATCATTTCTCATATAAACTACTATAATTTTTTCATCTATACCTAATAATTAAAATAATTGAGCTCTGGATCAGGCACATTGCCTAGGATTTTTATCCTGAGAAAGCTGGCTCCTGGGTAGTACTGCCTGAAAATGATGCTGGCAAAAGCATCCAAAATACCAAAGGCAAATCTTATTCTAGAGGTTTTATGAGCCCAGAAAGTCCTTCCTCTAAACAACTTGCCCACTTTTGCATGTGTTGCCATCTTTTCATTCTTAAGCACTTTGAGAAACATAAACTGGAAAACACGATCTGTTTTTAGACTTATCCCTTAGCCCAAGTTAGGGAGAAAAAGTGGGGAAGACTTGTGGGCCTATTTTATAGATGTGAGTGTATGAGAACATCTTGTGGCATCCAAGCTGGAATCAGCTAAAAGTATTTTTTTGAAAAAACCCAACAGGTAGACTAATTTGGTGGATGAGTTAAATAAAACTCAAATTATGTTTGCTATTTCACCATTTGCTATTCAAGTGTCCAGCAATAAAATAAAAGGTCTGGCCTCTGTTTTAGACAATTCCATGAGTCTAAAGACTAGCAAGACAATTTTATCTGAGATTTAAGGCAAATTATATGTCAGTGACATTTTTTAAGATAGGCTTTCACTTTAATTAACATATAAAATATGCCTCTTCAAAACCCCAATACATTAGCACAATGATTTTATTTCAAACCAGAATGGAGGTAGGCATATTTTGATTGAATTGTACATATTCTTTCCAAAAGAGTGCTTTAAAAACGTGACAAATGCTTCTTTACTGAAGGAAGAGCACTTCTTTCAAACAGAAATGCAGCACCAATCTGAATATGAAGTTTGGAAGGCAAGCTACATAACGTATTATTTCTTTATTAGAGAATTTACTGCTTTAAAATGTGTTAACAGTCATAGGCTGATTCTCAAAGTTTTTGTGGTGACACGGACCTAAGGAATTTTACTGCAATTTGAAATACCTGGGTTCAATTCCTTGACTTATAGACATTAAGAGCATTATTTGAATTTTTTGAAAACACAGATTTTACCCAGAGAATCAGACTCAGTAGGTCTGGAGGAGCCTGGGAATCTATATAAGGGCCAGAGTTATAACTGGGAAACCTGCCAATCAAACCTTTGCCAGGGTGTAATATGTGTTTAGTGGATTCATTTATGAACTGAAACATGATTGATTTAATGTGCAGTTCTAGTTTCCTAATGGTTTTGACTCTTCCATTTCATTCAAGTGTTAGTTTTGGTTTAAAAAATACTCTCTAAAAATAATTTCCATCTTCCCCACACTACCTACCTCTAGAAAGCTGCTTATTCTTTTACATTGATGCAAATATCACCACCTTCAAGTGGCCATTCATCATTATTATAGCTGAACGTAATCCCTTTTTACACAGAAATTATTCTTCCACAGACTTGATTTTACTAATTTGCATTTTGGTGTGTCTACTTGAGAAATGTGCCTTTAAAATTATTGTGGAGTCTATTGTAAGATTTTCTTGATAACATTATTACCTGGCATTTTAAAATTACTGTACTAGATATTTGCTATTATTATTATTTGCTATTATTATTAGGTGTGGTTAGTTTTAATACTATGAATTCTGAAAATCAGTTCATCACCTTTCTCTCTTCACCCTGAATGAAAGTAGATTTGAAGGCAAGTTTGTGGTTGAACTATAATAAGGAAGGGAACACCTTTAGGTTTGTCACTGGCCCAACTTTTTGTCTCTTCCATTGCATTGCTTGTCTCCCATTTAATTTATGTAATTTTTTGTCACTTAATGAATTGATGGAAGCTGCATGATCTTCCTTCTGGAGAAGGGTAAAGTACGTAAAAATAAGTAAGTACACATGTTTTTCTTTATCCTACTAATCGAACTGCACACAAATATGAAGGAATTAAAGAATAGCTTAATTTTAGGACACAGCAAATTATAGAAAGTTGGCATTTAAACAGAAGAGTTTGAGAGGGGGAAAGTATGTATAGAAGACACAGTGGAGGTCACTGTGTGGTAGTAAACAATTTTCTTCTCAATTTGCTTTGCTGTCATTTGAAGAAACATACACATTTTTGTGCATCTGTCCTTTGTGATCTTCCGTACCATTTTCAGTGGGGTAGATGTTCTTTTTGTGATAGAGGCAGGTGGGGTGAGATTTCAGGATCACTGCATGGCCTTATAGTAAAACTAGCCTGATAATTTGGAAGCCCAGTGTCACATAATATCAAACAGCCCCTGGGCGTGTTCATTATTGCTTTTCCCGGGAAGTTTTTTGCTAAAAATGTTAAATTTCTTAAGTGGTGTTTTTAAACTGCTGTCTTATACTGAAATTTTTAACCATAAGAACAACAAAAAACAATCCCCCTTTTATAAATAGTACTGGATGACTAGAAATAGATTTCCAACCATGAAATCTCTCAAAAGCTCAGAATGTTTTTGCAAACCACAAGAGCATTACTTCTCCACAAGAGCATTATGGCTGTGGTTTATAATGTCATCTGGATTTCTTGATTGATTTATAGTGTAGTTATCCAGCCATCTCAATTTATTAGCTTAAGCATTTTTTCTAGACTTAACTTACATGTCTGGTCAAATCAAGGCTTCTCTTTAGTTCCCAATAATGCCAAATTGCTTGAATCCTGCAAATTCCACATTAGTGAAAGGTCTCTCAGCTCCCTCAAGATTTATGTCTCCAACTTTCATTGAACAGAACTATTCAATCAAAAGACTTACACTATGTGAAAATTGGTGACAACCTGTTTTGGTTGGGAGGGCAAAGCTACCAGAGATGGCAAAGATCTATTGACTGAACACCAGAACTCCTTCCAAATTATACCAAGCCCCACTTGGAGGGGAATTCTGTGTCTGGAACTTAGGCAGTGAAATGTGAGCACCATACATAAATTTAATTGTCTCCTATTTAGCTCTATTGGTATTTTTTTCTCATGTGCTAATCCTATATTTTCTGGCCATTAGTAAGTAGAGAAACCAAATAAATCTGCCATTTTAAAATGTGTTACCGTTATACAGTAATTACTAGCAATAGAAACAATTCCAGAACTTATATCCTAGTACACAAATAAGTAGGGTAAGAAAACTGTACAGAATAAACTATTAAAATAGTTACTGCACATAATTGCTCAGTAAAATAACGATTTTAGAGTAAAAATGATAATTGGATAAAACTGTAACAGTATATTTTGATATTCATGGTAGGCATTTAGATAACAACTGTGTAAAACAAAAGGAATCTGGAGATATATTTTAAGAAATTCTCTAAATATATCAAAATCTTTGTTATTAAGACTCTTCACCTCTTATTTATCATGTTCTTACAAATGTTTTAATTTTAGGTCAGTACTTTTATGTAATCCATTTGGAGTTTGAATCCATTTGGGATTTGAATTCTCAGCACACTTGTGTTACAGAGCAAGAGTGATAAATGTTTGGGTGTAGAATCTTACTTTTGGAGTTCTGACTCAAAGAACAATTTAACCAAAGAGTAAAATTGGGAATATAATATAGGAAATACTTTTGAACCCTTACTTTCAGAAATTTAATGTAACTTGCACCACCTTTCCCCAAGTTGCTGACTGAAGTGAAAATTTACGTTTTCTTCATTTCTGATGATAGCAATTATGTCTGTGCTTTTGATGACTTCTCTTAATGTTCTTTATTTTAAGCAGTAGATATTTCTTCATTTTGTAATTTTTAGGAAAAGGATTGGGGAGGGCAAAACAGTGAGTCAAATATGGATTTCAAAAGGCAGATATGTATCTTTTTGAGATCTTCAAATGCAAATAATCTTTCTGGTCTAAAATCTTAAGTTGTTTAACAGTAAAAAAAAATGTCAAATCTTTTTATGTCTTTCTTAATCAAATCTGAGATGTTGATATTTCACCGAGACACAGTTTTTAATGGAAGACATGTGCCTATGTTGATTGTAATTTTATATATTTACTAATATTTATGAAAATAGATACAGAAAAGGACTTTAACTTTGCAATTTCAAGAGACAAGATAGTTTGTATCAAATTATTTGTATCATAACCACTTATGTAAATTATGTTGACAAGCATGCATCAACTTTACAGATATACTGTTATTCTCAGAAGACTGCCTAGTGAAAAGTAAAAATTATGATATAGAAAAAAAGAGAATACATATGGATCAGAAAGCCAATGCCTGTCCTTAGAGTTAGGGGTTTCTCCTTTTGGCTATAACCTTTGAGCATCCAGTCTCAGCTTTTTATACCAAGGGGATATTTTCACAGACTTTGTGTCACTGAATCTGATCATAGCCTACTTGCTGACTGTTAAACATCTTATGCTGGGAATGAGATCTTATTATTCTTCACACTCTTACTTTTCTATAGTATCTATACCTTGCATCTTTTCTTAAATTTCTGGACATAAGAAGGGCCTCATTAATACGTGGCTCTGTAGATCTTATTGGCTTCATTATACACGTCATTTAGCATTTCTTTTCTAATGGGTGAGACAACCCATAAGGAAGCAGGATTAGCATTTCGTATGGTTAAATGTCTTCACAATGTCAATACCAATAAATATCTGTTGAAATCTAGGACTGGATAGAATCTAGTATTGTAAATTCTAAGCATGAGCCTTGGGCCAGTATCTTAACCTCTCTAAGCTTCAGCTTCCTTGTCTTGCTACATGGGCATAATGCTGACCTCATATATTGCTATATTAAATATGACAAAAGTTCTAACCATATCTGCCACATAGAAATTTCTCAATGGTTGTCTTCCCTACTTCCACAGCCAGCCAGATACATGACATTTATGACAATTACCACTTTTTGTGCTTGATATTAAAAGTTTAGTGATCTCTGCTTTATGTGTTTGTATTTTATTTATTTATGAATACAATTTTTGAAGGTAGAAGTTTATATTTCTTTGTGCTTACCATGTCATATTAACAGAGTGTTGAGTAGTGTTGGGTGCATGGTAAATGTTGAACACAGCTGCTTACTGATTGGTTGACATAAGCCAAAACTTCTTAAAACTAACACTTTTGATATAAAACCGTGCCCAGGTGTGTGCTCATTAACATGGGTAATTAAGAGTTGCCCATTAAAATCACATCTCTAATAGTAACTACATTGGGGTAGAGAGGATAAAAGTTATGACTACAGAGGAAGAAATAACTAATTAAGTAGTTGTTAAACCGGAAAATGTTTTAAGCTGCATTATTGCATATCCTCTAAGCAAGTTAGAAATATTGCCATTTCCAGTAATGGGCTTTCCTCTGCTTGTGTGGGTAATTATGTCACACAGAATTGGAGATGCTGCCAGGGATGTTGGGATGAAATTGTCACTGGGGATTTATCTAAGAGGAATCATCTAGAGGAAATTTAAAATTTTTTAATTCACTGAAACAATCATATCAGTTACACATATTTTTCTCTTGGTTTTATACCATAGGGTTTTAAAGACGATAACTTCTAATTCATATAATAAAGCATGCAATTTATGATTTTCCAAATGTATTGAGAATATTTATTTATTTTGTAATGGTATTTATTTCTTAACAAGCTCTCTGCCTCATAATCGAAGTCCTATTATAAATAACCCATAAGTTGCTTTCACATAGAATATAACTTAAACATCATTTTATTTACTCAGCAATAAGTCTTTAATATTTTCTCTTCACAGGCTAGAAATATAGTGTATATATGTCTTAACAAAGACAAGAAAGGTAAATTCATAATACAATACAGACACTAATAATACAAAAATTCATAGACCACCTTTTTTGGTAAATTGTCCTTATGTCTGCCAATAATATTATTAAAGGTTAATGTAAACTCTAGGGTGAGATGTTAGGCTTACCTATGACAGATTGGAAAGAGGATTCTGGAACATTTCAAAGGTAAAAGAAAATAGGACTTGACAGATTAAAGAGCTCTGAGCTGTGCTCACCTTTCTCAAACTGCCCTTTATCAGATGGATTAATGCGTTCTTACCATTGAAAAAGACAGGCTGCTACCCAAGACAGTAACCAAAGAGATTGCTGACTGTGACCTGGCATTAGTAGAAGAAGAACGGGAAATGTTTATTTCCCTGTCACTATACTGAAAGAAATAGACAGCTTGAGGCCTGTGGCTTATCTTAAAATAGCTTCTTTAACACAAAGAAACAAGTTGGAAAGTAACAATACAGGAAATGTAAAGGCTACATACCTAAAACTTGAGGCATCTGTCCAAAGAGCATATTTACTTGGTAAATTCAAGTTACTCTGCAATTTAGACTTATTTTTAATATGAATGGAGTAGGTCAGACTCCTTTCTGGTTTAGTCAAACTTGAAAAAGTCTTTCTGTTTGATTATCTTCTTAATTTATCGATTAGAATATTTTAAAACTTCTTATATGAACATTATTAAGTTATACATTTCATAAAATTAAATGCATGTATTTTAAGTGTACGGCTTCCTGAGTTTTCAAAACACATATATCCCTATATAAACAACATCCTGGTAAGTATATAGCGCAAGTCTGTCATCCCCTCAAATTATCTTATGCCTTTTGAACTCAATCTTACTCCTTTATCCCTGGCCGCAGGTAAATACTGATCAGCTTGGTTTCACTAAATTATTAAATTTGCCTCCTCTAGATTTCACATAAATAAAAGTATCCAATGTGTTCTCTTTTGTGTCTGACTTGTTTTTCTCAGTATGTTTTCTAACATTATCCATGTTGTGTAATTAGTAGTTTGTTTCATTTGGATTGCTGAGCATTAATCCCATTATATGAGGGTTGCACAACTTGTTTACAGATTCACTCTGGTACACACTGGTTGTTTCCAGCTTCTTACTATTATGAATAAAACTGCTGTAAGTGTACACATCTTTTTGTGGACATATCTTTTTATTTTTAGGGTAATTCACTAGGAGAGGATTTGCTGGGTCAAATGTATATATGTATTTCAGCTATGTGTAGAAGTAACCACACTCCTATCTTCTATACATACTCTGAAATCTGGGTGTTTTTCAAACCCCAATTCTTGACTTTTGTGCATTTGCAGGCTCAAAAACACATGGAAGCTGCCAAGGCTTGGGGCTTCCACCCTCTGAAGCCATGGCCTGAGCTCTACATTGGCCCCTTTCAGCAAGGGCAAGAGCAGCTGGGATGCAGGGCACCAAGTCACTAGGGTGCACATAGCACAGGGACTCTCTGAGCCTGGCCCATGAAACCATTTTCCCTCCAAGACCTCCAGGCCTATGATGGGAGGGGCTGCCTTGAAGACCTCTGACATGCCCTGGAGACATTTTCCCCATTGTGTTGGGGAATAACATTCAGCTCCTTGGTTGCTTATGCAAATTTCAGCAGCTGGCTTGAATTTCTCCTTAGAAAATGGGATTTCTTTTCTATCACATTGTCAGGCTGCAAATTTTCCAAATTTTTATGCTCTGCTTCCCTTATAAAACTGAATGCCTTAACAGCATCCAAGTCACGTCTTGAATGTTTTGCTGCTTAGAAATTCCTTCCACCAGATACCCTAAATCATCTCCCTCAAATTTAAAGTTCCACAAATCTCTAGTGCAGGGGCAAAATGCCACCAGTCTCTTTACTAAAACATAACAAGAGTCACCTTTGCTCCACTTTCCAACAAGTTTCTAATTTCCATCAGAGACTACCATAGCCTGGACTTTATTGTCCATATCACTATCAGCATTTGGGCACAGCCATTTGACAAGTCTTTAGGAGGTTCCAAACTTTCCCACATATTCCTGTCTTCTTCTGAGCCCTCTAAACTGTTCCAACTGCTGCCTGTTACCCAGTTCCAAAGTCACTTCCACATTTTCAGTTATGTTTACAGCAGCACTCCTCACTCTACTGGTACCAATTTACTGTATTAGTCCATTTTCATGCTTCTAATAAAGCATACCAAGACTGGGTAATTTATACAAGAAAGAGGTTCAATGGACTCACAGTTCCACATGGTTGGGGAGGCCTCACAATCAGGGCAGAAGGCAAGGAGGAGCAAGTCACATCTTACATGGATGGTAGCAAGCAAAAAAAAGAGCTTGTGCAGGGAAACTCCCCCTTATAAAACCATCAAATCTTGTGAAATTTAATCACGATCATGAGAACAGCACAGGAAAGACCTGCCCCCATAATTCAATTACCCCCCCACTGGGTTCCTCACACAACATGTGGGAATTGTGGGAACTAAAATCATAGGTGATATGGTTTGACCATATCCCCACCCAAATCTCACCTTGAGTTATAATAATCCCCAACATCAAGGACAGAGCCAGGTGGAGATAATGGAATCTTGAGGGCAGTTTTCCCCATACTGTTCTCAGGGTAGTGAATAAGTCTCATGAAATCTAATGGTTTTATGAATGAGAGTTCTCCTGAACAAGCTCTCTTTCCTGTACGAGGTAAGATGTGACTTTGCTCCTCATTCACCTTCTGCCATGATTGTGAGGTCTCCCCAGCCATGGGGAACTGTGAGTCAATTAAGCCTCTTTCCCCTGTAAATTACCCAGTCTCAGGTATGTCTCTATCAGCAGCATGAAACTGGACTAATACAGTGAAATGGTATCAGTAGAGTGGGGCACTACTGTAAAGATAACCAAAAATGTGAAAGCAACTTTGAAACTAGGTAACAGGCAGGGGTGGAACAGTTTGGAGGGCTCAGAAGAAGAAAGGAAGGTGTGGGGAAGTTTGGAACTTCCTAGAGACTTCTTGAATGGTTTTGACCAAAATGCTGATAGTGATACAGACAATAAAGTCCAGGCTGAGGTGGTCTCAGATGGAGATAAGAAACTCGTTGGGAACTGGAGCAAAGGTGACTCTTGCTATGTTTCAGCAGACACTGGCAGTATGTTGCCCTTGCCTAAGAAATTTGTGGAACTTTAAACTTGAGAGAGATGATTTAGGACATCTGGCAGAAGACATTTTTAAGTAGCAAAGCATTCAAGAAGTGCCTTGGGTGCTGTTAAAAGCATTCATTTTTATGCATTCACAAAAATATAGTTTGGAATTGGAACTTATGTTTAAAAGGGAAGCAGAGAATAAAAGTTTGGAAAATGTGCAACCTGATGATGTGATAAAAAAGGAAAAACCTATTTTCTAAGGAGAAATTCAAGTCAGCTGCAGAAATTTGCATAAGTAACAAAGAGCCAAATATTAATCATCAAGACAGTGAGAAAAATGTCTCCAGGGCATGTCAGAGGTCTTCATGGTCAGCCCTTCTATCACATGCCTGGAGGCCTAGGAGGGAAAATGCTTTCATAGGTCAGAACCAGTGCCTTGCTGCTTTGTGCAGTCTTGGACTTCGTGACCTGCATCCCAGCTGTGGTTAAAGGGGCCAACATAGCGCTCAGGCTATTGCTTCAGAGGTTGCAAGCCCCAAGGCTATGTGGCTTCCACATGGTGTTGGGTCTGTGGGTGCACAGAATTCAAGAGTTGAAGCTTGGGAACCTCCACCTAGATTTCAGAGAATGTATGGAAATGCCTGAATGTCCAGGCAGAAGTCTGCTGCAGAGGTGGAGCCCCCATGGAGAACATCTGCTGGGGCAGTGCAAAAGAGAAATGTGGGGTTGAAGCCCTCATACAGAGTCCCCACTGGGGCACTGCCTCGTGGAGCTGTGAGAAGAGGGCCACTGTCCTCCAGACCCCAGAATGGTAGCTACACTGAGAGCTTGCACCGTCCACCTGGAAAAGCTGCAGACACTCAGTGCCAGCCCATGAAAGCAGCCAGGAGGGAGGCTGTACTCTGCAAAGCCACAGGGTCAGAGCTTTCCAAGGCCATAGAAGCCCACCAGTTGCATCACCATGACCTGGATATGAGACATGCAGTCAAAGGTGATCATTTTGGAACTTTAAGATCTGAGTGCCCTGTTGGATTTCAGACATGCACAGGGCTTGTATCCCCCTTCATTTTGGCCAATTTCTCCCATTTGGAACAGGTGTATTTACCCAGTGCCTGTACCTTCATTGTATCTTGGAAATAACTAACTGCCTTTTGATTTTACAGGCTCATAGGCAGAAGGGACTTGCCTTGTCTCAGATAAGACTTTGGATGGTGGACTTTGAGTTAATGCTAAAATGAGTTAAGACTTTGGGGGACTGTTGGGAAGACATATCTAGTTTTGAAATGTGAGGACATGAGATTTGGGAGGGGCCAGCGTGGAGTGATATGGTTTGGCTGTCCCCCATCCAAATCTCACCTTGAATAGTAATAATCCCCACATCTCAAGGGTGGGAACAGGTGGAGATAACTGAATCACAGGGGCAGTTTCCCTTATACTGTTCTCATGATAGTGAAGATGTCTCATGAGATATGATGATTTTATAAATGAGAGTTCCCCTGAAGAAGCTCTCCTGACTGCTGCATGTAAGACATGCCTTTCCTCCTCATTTACCTTCCACCATGATTGTGAGGCCTCCCCAGCCATGTGGAACTGTGAATCAATTAAACTTCTTTTCTTTTTAAATTACCCAGTCTCAGGTATGTCTTTATTATCAGCATGAGAACAGACTAATACAATAGGTAAAAACTTACTAGTGCCATTTTGTTCATTGTTTTCTGGTTGGTTTGTATCATGTTTACACACAACAACTGAGGAGCTTGGAGAGCCTAAGTAACTTGCTCACTAACCACAAAGCCAATAAATTGTAGTGTGAGGATTTGAAACCAGGCAGGGAGCTCTGTAACTGGTATGCTGGCCTGTTCTACTTTTCTCGCTTGTTACCTTTTGGTGTTCAGATTGTTGTGGGTGAGCAAGCAGCAGAACTGCACTAGATTCCATGTTTGTCTCTTTTCCTAAATTTTGACCTATTTCATTTGTGTTGTTGTCATGAAACTGCAGCTTCTTATCTTCACCTGCCACAAACCTGCTCATAGCCACAGACTTCAAATGCATTGTACTCTTTGACCTTATTTTTCTATTGCTTCTCAGACTTCATGGTCTCTTGCTTTCTCATCTATTTTGGAGTTGTTTTGGAAAGCAAAATTTTCCAAAATTATTTTAAGGCAACTTTATTATGTCATTTATTCACAGGAAACAAAAATAACATTTAGGATTTCTGACACACTTTTAGATAAATTTTTTTACAAATTTTGACAGAAAAGAACTTACTGTTTAAATATATTCCTACCTCAATTCTAAAGAAATATTCACTACTTCAAAATGAAATTTAAGACCTTTAAGATTTTTAAATGTTAGAATCATTTTTTATATACTAAGAAACATCTAGATAAGCAGAAAGCTAATATGAAAGTGTTTAGTGGCTCTCTAGTAACCCCTAAAATATAGTTGACCCTTGAGAAACATGAGGTTAGAGGGACTGACCCCCACCATAACCCCTCAAAAACTTACCTATTAATAGCTTACTGTTGACCAGACATCTTACTGATGTATAGAGTTGATTAACACAAATATTGTATGTTATATGCATTAAGTACTCTGTTCTTACAATGAAGTAAGCTGGGAAAAATAAAATGTTACTAAGAAAATCACAAGAAACAGAAAATATACTTACTATTCATTATGTGGGAAAAGGTCATTACAAAGGTCTTCATCCTCATTATATTCACGTTGAGTAGGCTGAGAGGAGGAAGGGCAAAGTCTGGTCTTGCTGTCTCAGGAGTGGCAGAGGTGGAAAAGATGGAGGAGGTGGAAGAGGAAGCAGGAGAAAGAGACAGTCAGTAGAAATTTATGGAAATACATCATAACTTCCATCTTACTTTTTGCTTTTAAATTTCCCTAAAAATATTTCTACATGATATCAGTCCTACTTCCCTGCTGGGTTGGTTTCAGTGCCTGTGTCATAGAAGGGTCCTTGAAATAAAATTAAAAAAACTCAAAAGCAGTCTTGAATAATTAGAACACTTTTGCCAGATTATCTAATGCCAATTTGTTTCTGGCAGATTCTTCTATGTCTTCTTTCTCATTGTCTGGCACTGGTTTGGAAGCACTCATCTCCATCAAATCATCTTCTGTTAAATCCTCTGGTGTGGTGTCTATTAGCTCTTGAATTTCTCCAAGATCCATAATTTGAAACGTTTACCCCCTACCTTTTTGCTATATCCACAATCTCTTTTATGATATCCTTGATTGGCTCTGTCATAAATCCTGTGAAGTCATGCACAACATCTGGACACAGTTTTCTCCAGCAGGAATTTATTGTTTCAGGCATGATGGCTTTCACGGCTTTTTCTATAAAAAGAATGCCATCTTCAATGGTGTAATCCTTCCAGACTTTCATGATGCTCTCACTATTGAGGTTCTCTTGCATAGAACTGACAATTCTTTCCATTCAGTGCTGTGTGTAATGAGCCTTTAAAGTCCTTGTGACCCCTTCATGCAGAGGCTGAATTAAACATTGTGTTTAGGGGCAAGTAGACCACTTCCACATCTTTGGTGTTAAACTCATGGGATTCTGGATGGACAGGGGCATTGTCTAATATTCAAAGAACTTTAAAAGGCATTCCTTACCAGTAAGGTACTTCCTGACCCTAAGAACAAAGCATCGATGAAACCAATCCAGAAAAACTGTTCTCTCATTATCCAAGCCTTCTTGTTGTACGACCAAAAGTTTGGCAGCTGGTGTTCGTCTTTCCCTTCAAGGCTCCAGGGTTAGCAGCTTTATAGACAAGGGCAGTCCTGATTATAAACCTGACTGCATTTCCAGAAAATAGTAAAGTTAGCCTATCCCTCTCTACCTTAAATCCTGGTGCTCTCTTCCCTTCTTTATTAATAAATGCCTTTTGTGGTATTTTTTTCCAGCATGAGACACATTCATCTGCATTAAGTACCCTGCCAGCAGATATTCTCTCTTCTCAATGATTTTTTAAATGGCATCTGGGAACTTGTCTGCTGCCTCTTATTTGACAGAAGCTGCTTCTCCTGTTATCTTGAGTTTTTTTTTAAACCAAACCTCTTCCTAAAATTATCAAACTATCTTTTACTGGCATTAAATTTTCTAGCTTTAGATCATTCACCTTCTTTTTGCTTTAAAGTGTCAGATAATGATCTTGTTTTTCCTTGACCTATATTAGCATCTATTCTCATGCCTTTCTTAGACCAATTCTGCATCCACATAAAAGTTGCATTTTCAATACAAGATTAAAAGATATTTTACAAAAAGTACAAGGGTTGTTTACCTGCTGGCATAGCTGCAGCAATGGCTACATGCATTTCCTTTTCTTTTTTAACAATGGACCTAATGATGGATTTATTTATCTCAAAATGGTGGGTAATCATAGCTGCAGATCTCAACCTGTGGTACATATCAAGCAATTCAACTGTTTCTTGTAATGTTATGACTTTTCTCTGCTTCTTGGGAGCACTTCCAGCATCACTAGTCATATAGGTCCCATGGTGTTAGTCAAGGTTTACAGTGTTACACTTAACATTATAAAAAATATGTAAGAATTGAGAGTCATCACTTTTATTGCAATATGCAATTTACTGGAAAGACAAATTGCTCATGTGGATATGATTTTTTATGTGTTAACTCCTGTCTCTAAAATACACACACACACACACATCCCACTCATTATGACCACATTGAACTCTGCAGTTTATTCCTGAATGTGTCATCTTTTTCAGGCAGGCATATGTTTGAAAACACTTAGTCCTCAGCCTTTTCTTATTTTCTCAGAGATCCTGTCCATGTTGTAAGACCCAGTTCAAATGTCACCATCTACATATTTTGATGTCAGTTTCTGCTTGCTATTGATTCCCATGAATAGCCATTCTCACTCTATATTGAATTAAACAAAAGAGAGGTTTCTGACCAGAAATATATAATTTTGGGGGGAGTTCATTTGAGTTAACTATTTGTCATGAAATCTTTTGTTGCTTTCAAGGCACAACAATGAAATTGGCTTCTACTTATGCCTATGTTCCATGCTACAGATGGGAAGAAGCACAGTTCATTAAGGTAGGATGTCTGATCTAATATCAGATGAGTAAAAAAATCTGCATTAGAGTGAAAAACGAGCCTGTACTATGACTCGAACATTTGATGAATTTATAGGATTACTGACTGTGCAATTCGTACTGGCACCATCACTGGCTGTTCAGAGATTTATATTTCCTGAAAGGAATTAATAGGTTTAGGAGGGCATTGCTGATGAAATTGCAGATACCCAATTCCAAGCCTACATAATGGGCATGGAATTAGTGTATATTAAATCACCTCTCACGGTGATTTAATATAAAAGGAGGTGATTGAGTATAAGAGGAATAATGGTAATATTAGGATGTTTGAGGATTCTAAAGTACATCAGTGAAGGCAAGATTATGTTATAGTTGTTTTCATTTGGAAAATGAAAAGGAGTAAAAATAAAATATAAACCTTGGAGTCTAAACCTTGATGAAATTTAAGTCTCCCCTGTTCTGGAAAAGAAGAGGAGAAATTTAACATGTATAAGGAGAAATTTAACATGTGTAACAAAATACATTTTCAAATTGATTCCAACTGATGTGCTTGTCTCACCATTGCATAACTCTGTAACATGTAATAATGTTTTTCTAGACAGTCTCTCACTCTGTCACCCAGGCTGGAGTACAATGGCACAATGATAGCTCACTGTGACCTTGAACTCCTGGGCTCAAGTGATCCTCCTGTCTCAGACTTGAGTAGCTAGGACTAAAGGCATGAGCCACCATATTCAGCTAATTTTTTTTAAAAAAAATTTCAGAGGCAGCATCTTACAATGTTCCCCAGGCTATTCTAGAACTTTTGGCCTCAAACGAATCTCCCACCTTGGCCTCCCAAAGCATTGGGATTACAGGCATAAACCACTGCACCTGGCCCCTGTAATATAAAATTGATGCACCCAAAGATCTTAGGATATATGGAACTGTAAGAAGTAATAATAACCAGGTCCTCATAGCATCATAGACTACCTTTTGTTGATTTCTCTCCATTTCCTGAGAGTCTACAGGAACTAATGCCACCATAAGTCACATTTTTATTTTCCCTGTGGCAGCACAAGAAATTCAAGCTTTGCAGTGTATGGTTTGATTTGAGATGTCTTAATCTAATCATCATCCATCATCCTCTAATCTGACACATCCTATATGCCTTCCCTCTTCAGACCCTTTTTCTTTGCTCCTTGAAACACTCATATGTGATCAACACGGTCTCATTTATCCTTGTTATCTTTACCTTGACTAAAACCAGGTTATGCTACTTCCCTGGAGGACCTCTCAAAAGGAAGCTGTTTGTTCTATTTCTTTCTCATCTGTCCCAGGACTAGGTATTGCATTAGGAGATCCCTTGCTTCCCACTGCTGCTTTTAAATCATTTCATTTCCTTCTTCCCTTCATTCTTCCCAAATGCAAGGTCTTTCAACTTTCATTTCGTGCTACACTCTGCCCTTTATTGCTGCTCTCTGGAATTTGTGGTCACTGTCCCTCATACACTGAAAACTCACATACCTCTACCTCTAGCCCTGTTGTATTCCTGATGACTTGAGCACCCAAGGGAGTGATACATACAGCACTGGTCAATCATTTCTTTACCTGCCACACATACAGCAATCTTTAATTTCAATAGCCTTAGCCACTCATTCCCAAATAATGCTTGGATCATGCACATTATCATGAGTAAATACACCCATGTCTGAAATCCTGATTTCAAGTACTTCCCAATTTTTCTGTCTTTTCTTTACTTTCAGCTCACAGAAACAATTCTTCCACCATATTAAAAACTCTAATCCAATTCACTTGTTCCACCACTTTTTTTATTCATTATTCTCTCCTGTCTTTACTTTCTTCCTCCTATTTCTTGATGCACTATTTCAATCACTCACTTCTAAACACACTAGGTTACTTTACCTAATACACTCAAACCCTCTTGGGATCCAGTTTTCCACCTTCTTTATGCCTATGAATTTTATGGAATAAAATGATATAAATGGGTCGACTGGTTTTATTTTAAATTACCAATTGTACATTTAAAAACATACTTTCTGAGAATTATAGTTTCCAGCTTCATCCATGTCCCTACAAAGGACATGAACTCATCATTTTTTATGGCTGCATAGTATTCCATGGTGTATATGTGCCACATTTTCTTAATCCAATCTATCATTGTTGGACATTTGGGTTGGTTCCAAGTCTTTGCTATTGTGAATAGTGCCCCAATGAACATACGTGTGCATGTGTCTTTATAGCAGCATGATTTATAATCCTTTCTCAGCAAACTATCGCAAGGACAAAAAACCAAACACCGCATGTTCTCACTCATAGGTGGGAATTGAACAATGAGAACACATGGACACAGGAAGGGGAACATCACATACCGGGGACTGTTGTGGGGTGGGGGGAGGGGGGAGGGATAGCATTAGGAGATATACCTAATGCTAAATGACGAGTTAATGGGTGCAGCACACCAACATGGCACATGTATACACATGTAACAAACCTGCACGTTGTGCACATGTACCCTAAAACTTAAAGTATAATGATAATAAAAATAAAATAAAATAAAATGAAAGTTAAATTAAGAAAATAAGTTAGCCAGTACAGACACGAAGAAGAGAATTCCACATAAAATAAACAATATATATTCAATCCCTGAGTAAAAGAAAGAACTATGTATTGAGAATTGGAGGGCCAGTATGGGCAGAGAGAAAAAGGGAACTGATCTGAGATAGGTCAAAGGGAGAGGGCAAAGGAAAAAAAAAAAAAAAGCATACTTTCTAATGTTGTGTGGTTTTGCTCTCTTTTCATAGTAAATTGCATCTACCTTTCCAAGGAAACAATTTTAAACCTTCTTTCTTTTTCAAACCCTTCACAACTCCCCTCACCACACAAACACACACATACATGCATATCCCACCTAATAATCTTCATACTGTCATATTTCATTGAAAAACTAGAAATTGTTATTTATTTTAAATTAACTCAACACATTTTATTGTAAGGAAACTGTCTTATTTTCACACTACCAAATTGTCCTGCTTGCAGGTATATGGATCTGGTGCTGCTCCTAGTCAATAAAAAAACTATCCCTGCTACAGTCAACCAGGACAGTACTCTCCACTGGTGCTCCAGATCTCATTCTCCCTTGTCCTCGCAAGGATTTTGCCTGTATAATCATCTTATATCTTCTTTATCAATATTGCTTTCCTTTTTATTGTATTATCCTCACTAGCCTCTAAAGTGTGTTTACTATGCCATATTTTTAAAAAGATAAATCTCCATTTCTCACTAGATAGGGCTCATTACTCTGCTTAGTGTCATAGTGATGGCAGCAGAGGCCCATCTGGAGCAGCTGCTGTGGAGATGTCACCTGCAGTGGGGGAGGTGTGGCTGGGGCTGGTTGCTCTGCGGAGCCCATGGGGGCTGGGAATAGGAGAGAGCCCTGCTCCCTGTTGAGGTGGCAGTGTGAGAGCCCCATGCTCCCAGGTGCAACTGCAGCTGCGCAGCCACCGCTCGGGATCCAGGCATCCCTGTGCTCTAGGGAGCACATGAAGCCTCCTGCCCCTGCATGCTTGGAAGTGCCTGCTCCCCTTCCCTGGGCCTCTCCTGTTCCCGGCACCTGCTCCAGCACAAAGCAAAGTTGTAGCTGAGCCCAGGTGTTGTTGTGACCTGGCCAGGTGTGCCCGCACTCAGGGCAGTGCTGACACACCAGCCCCCTGCTGCCTCAGTCCCCTCTGAAGCTTTGGGTACCAACAAGCCCAGGGAGGGAGCTTGGGTGGGGCCTGAGGGCGGCTTGGCGTGGACCTGCAGGCGCCTCTCAGCATGGACAGCCTGGGTGTGTGGACAGCATGTTGATGGCAGTGGGAGGCAAACAGGTTCCTAGGCAGGAAGGGGCAGGTACCCAGTGAAACCCCACCTTCAAGCCAAGCCAGGGATGGCCTGAAGCCTGGGAGCTGGGCTGCCAGTTCTGGGTGGAGTCGTGACCTAGAATGAGAATTTGTGGTTCCTTTTCCAGGCCTGCCCATGGCCACCCATGGACCAATCAGCACCCACTTCCTCCCTTCTGAGCCCATAAAAACGCCAGACTCAGCTAGACTCACTCTTCAGGATGACCTGCCTGTGGAGAGGAGTTGCCCCCTTTGGGTGTCCAGGGAGCTGTTCTGTTGTTCAATAAAGCTTCTCTCTGCCTTACTCACTCTCCAGTTGTCTGCATAACTTTATTCTTCCCAGAAGCGGGACAAGAACTCAGGACCCGTTGAAGAGCGAAAAGAGCTGGAACATGTTACTGAGTGGCTCACCAACCTGTGGGTGATGACATGTTTTCTGACTTAGGGAGTAAAGAATAGCAGTCCTTCTGGGAGCCCAGACCTTGAGGTTCATTGAGTCAGCGCTGTGACTCACTGTAATACCCTCTTTGGGGCTCTAAGGTTCCTGCTGTTTCCCAGCTCTCAAGCACCAACACCTCCAGAGGCTGGTGCCTGCAGCAGAGGCTGCATGAAATATGTCTGGTCCAGCCACAGCCTCACATGGAGCCGACACCTGTGCCAGAGCCTGGAGCTGCCCTCCCCACCACAGCAGCCAGTGTGCCTCGCTGTGGACAGTGGCCAGACCCCGTACTGGATCACCCACACAACCCTCACCGCTCTGGGCCTGGCTTGCCCTTGGCAGGCATAGGATCCAGGCTGGTAGCATGAGCCAGCCGCAGCCTGCCAAACTGAGTGGGTGGAATGACCTCAGCATGCATAAGCAAAAACCCCAGCAGATGCACTGCCGGCCACAGAAGTTTCTGGCTTGCAAAGTGACACCCTAAGGATCATGTGACAATAGCAAAGTCTCTTAAATAAGTAATCAAGAATTGTCATATCCACATCCTCACCTCCCATTCAGATTCTGATCCATTCAAATCTCACTTTCATCCCCACCACACTACTGAAACTTTTATTCTCAAGGTCACCAAAATCATCCCGCTACCAATTCCATTGGACTATATCTCTGTCTTCTTCTCCCTTGATTTCTCAATGATGTTACACACAGCAGCTCTTCCCTATTTCTTAAAACACTCTCCTTTCTTGTCACTCTTGACACCACTGACTCCTGTTTTCTTTTTAAAAAAATGTCTCAAGCTTCTCCCTTCCATTTCTTACACAATTTGTCTTACTCCTCCAATACCTTCTTCAACTCTTTATGCTGGAATTCCTAAACTGCCTTTCCTGAAATCTATTCTTTTTTACATCTATACTCTGTCCCTAGGTGTTTTCACTCTTTTGACTGTAAATACAATCAAATGCTGATAATTTTTATGTTTTATGTTGATATTGCTAGGCCAGATCATTCACTGAGCTCCATATTTATATACACAACTGTCTATATGATGGATGCCTCAAAGTTATGTCCAAAATGTACAAACCTACAATATCTGTTTCTCATACAATCTTCCTCATTTCAGTTAATGCCATCACCATTGATCCAAGCAAGCAAGCCAAATCCATCAGACTATCTTCTTCCAGTTCATTGTAGGTTATTTAATTTTTATCTTTAGTGTCTTATTTCAAATGTTATCTTTTCAGAGTCTTCTCTGACTATCCCATCTAAAATAAACTCCTTATCTCCTTTCATATCTTTTTGTGTATGTGCTTCACATTTTTGCAGTCTATATTATTTTCTATTTTCAGCACTAGAATCATTGCCAGTTGTGAGCAGATTTCTTTCTTTTCACTATACGTGTATCAGATAGTGTAAGACCTGACATATAGTAGGCACTTAAATCTTTGTAAATTAAATAGAAAAAAATAAAATTTCAAAACATATCTCATAATAATTTCACATAATTATACATTATAATTAACCAGATTAATGGGTTAAATTTATTATATGCAGGTCTAGCAAGGACATTACGATAGAGAACAAGGTGTATTACTAGTCCCATCCCCACCCAATGAACACATCATGCTTGTAATAGAATTGTTGAAATACCATTAAAAATATCCAAACTCTATTTCTAATATGAATTATGGCTTTCTTTCATTTGTCTCTTCCATTACTTCTTATTCCTTTTCTAAATCTTTAGTTATGTAGACATAGTTTTGCTGTATAATTTAAATTCTGGTTTCAGTTACTTGAATTAATGCTCCAGTTTTACTTCTTGGATTTGGCTTAGGCATTTCTATAGAACACAATACACCTGGGCATGGTTTGCCATAGAAGTTCACTTTTGGCTTTATAATCATGCACTTGCTATCATTTCTACATCCCATAAACATAGATAACAGAGTCACACAATCTCTCTAGATCTGGGAAATTCCCAGCAAGACCTCTCTTCAGCCAGCCTTCACTAGGAAGTTCTTTTTAAGAATTAAATTTAATTGTTACAGACACAAGCACAATCATATTAATTAAAAATAATGGTGAATATAAATTACTTTAACTGAAATGATTTGTTTAAGTAAAGGTGAACAATGAAATTTCAATTCAGAATTGGCCTTTGTTAAGGTGTAATAATTTTACAAAGACTAGCTATTAATCTTTTGTGGAAAGCTGAAACTTTTTTTATCCTAACTTTAAATGCAGTAATGATTTTTAGACTCAAGGATTTGTAAAACCTTAAATTCACACTAGAAAAAAAATTTAGAAATTCATTAATGGTAATATCCACATATATTTAACACTTTCTAGTTGTACATGAAACATATCCAAGTGCTTTTCAGGATAATCTAAAGTCTAGGACTATTTGTAAAAGCTGGTTTTGGCTTTTAAAATTATATTTTAAGCAGGTTCTAAGGGAGAATTGTAGAGTGTAGGAAAAAGTGACTAAGAAAGACGATATATCCTCCCCTCTGAGCTACGGTGAGTGTGGCATTTGTCGTATTGATACAATAAAAATAATAAAGCAATAATCTTTCAAAGATGTTTCACTATTCCATGGAAAGAAGTTGAATCTATTGAAAGAGCTAGAACTGGCTAGTCCAACAGAACTCTAAAGTTTTATTTTTGGTAGCACCAAGGAGGTCTGGGAAATTCTCTGTTAGGTACAGAGAAGGTGATTGACAGAAAACACATGACCTCTTCAGTAGACATTACCAGTGTTTGAAAATCCTTCGTGAAATGAGTGCTGGTGGCATCCAACCCATCAATGGCAGGGCATGTGAATGTGTGAAGGTGGGCAGGGGAAAACTGGTAATGGTACCATTATGAGAAATCAACAATTGCCTGAGAAATTGCTAACAGAGGAGGAGGGCAGTGTAGTTAGCAACAGATTTTTGACTGATATTAAAAGTAAACTTGGGAACTTAAATGAAATCTTAGGTCTGTTCCTTTGTTGACATTAGATAGTATTGCTAATTATTATCAGAATTTTTTTGTATCTTAGAGAAGCAATGAACTATTGTTTGGATGAGTTGTTAGCTTTTGAGATGGGGGCTCAAATAACTATATCCTTCTATATCAGGGGTTCTCCTGATATAAGATTCACCTAGATGTGTGGATGACTTCCAAGTTAGCACAAGTAAGGAAACAAAGTAAGTTGAATTATGAAGTTTAACTTTTTGAAACATGGCAATTCATTGTCATTCAGAAAAATGAAAAAATTTTTGAAAGTCTGTTTGAAATCAAAGTCTATCTTAGAGTTGTTAAAACTAAAATGAATGGGAGGAGCCAAGATGGCCGAATAGGAACAGCTCCGGTCTACAGCTCCCAGCGTGAGCTACGCAGAAGATGGGTGATTTCTGCATTTCCATCTGAGGTACGGGGTTCATCTCACTAGGGAGTGCCAGACAGTGGGCGCAGGTCAGTGGGTGCGCGCACCACGCTCGAGCCGAAGCAGGGCGAGGCATTGCCTCACTTGGGAAGTGCAAGGGGTCAGGGAGTTCCCTTTCCTAGTCAAAGAAAGGGGTGACAGACGGCACCTGGAAAATTGGGTCACTCCCACCCGAATACTGTGCTTTTCCGATGGGCTTAAAAAACAGCGCATCAGGAGATTATATCCTGCACATGGCTCAGAGGGTCCTATGCCCATGGAGTCTCACTGATTGCTAGCACAGTAGTCTGAGATCAAACTGCAAGGGGGCAGCGAGGCTGGGGGAGGGGCGCCCGACATTGCCCAGGCTTGCTTAGGTAAATAAAGCAGCGGGAAGCTCGAACTGGGTGGAGCCCACCACAGCTCAAGGAGGCCTGCCTGCCTCTGTAGGCTCCACCTCTGGGGGCAGGGCACAGACAAACAAAAAGACAGCAGTAACCTCTGCAGACTTAAATGTCCCTGTCTGACTGCTTCGAAGAGAGCAGTGGTTCTCTCAGCACGCAGCTGGAGATCTGAGAACGGGCAGACTGCCTCCTCAAGTGGGTCCCTGACCCCTGACCCCGGAGCAGCCTAACTGGGAGGCACCCCCCGGCAGGGGCAGACTGACACCTCACACGGCCAGGTACTCCAACAGACCTGCAGCTGAAGGTCCTGTCTGTTAGAAGGAAAACTAACAAACAGAAAGGACATCCACACCAAAAACCCATCTGTACATCACCATCATCAAAGACCAAAAGTAGATAAAACCACAAAGATGGGGAAAAAACAGAGCAGAAAAACTGGAAACTCTAAAAAGCAGAGCGACTCTCCTCCTCCAAAGGAACGCAGTTCCTCACCAGCAACGGAACAAAGCTGGATGGAGAATGACTTTGACGAGCTGAGAGAAGAAGGCTTCAGACGATCAAACTACTCTGAGGTATGGGAGGACATTCAAACCAAAGGCAAAGAAGTTGAAAACTTTGAAAAAAATTTAGAAGAATGTATAACTAGAATAACCAATACAGAGAAGTGCTTAAAGGAGCTGATGGAGCTGAAAACCAAGGCTCGAGAACTATGTGAAGAATGCAGAAGCCTCAGGAGCCGATGCGATCAACTGGAAGAAAGGGTATCAGCGATGGAAGATGAAATGAATGAAATGAAGCAAGAAGGGAAGTTTAGAGAAAAAAAGAATGAAAAGAAACGAGCAAAGACTCCAAGAAATATGGGAATATGTGAAAAGACCAAATCTATGTCTGACTGGTGTACCTGAAAGTGACGGGGAGAATGGAACCAAGTTGGAAAATACTCTGCAGGATATTATCCAGGAGAACTTCTCCAATCTAGCAAGGCAGGCCAACATTCAGATTCAGGAAATACAGAGAATGCCACAAAGATACTCCTCAAGAAGAGCAACTCCAAGACACATAATTGTCAGATTCACCAAAGTTGAAATGAAGGGTAAAATGTTCAGGGCAGCCAGACAGAAAGGTCGCGTTACCCTCAAAGGGAATCCCATCAGACTAACAGCAGATCTCTTGGCAGAAATTCTACAAGCCAGAAGAGAGTGGGGGCCAATATTCAACATTCTTAAAGAAAATAATTTTCAACCCAGAATTTCATATCCAGCCAAACTAAACTTCATAAGTGAAGGAGAAATAAAATACTTTACAGACAAGCAAATGCTGAGAGATTTTGTCACCAGCAGGCCTGCCCTAAAAGAGGTCCTGAAGGAAGCACTAAACATGGAAAGGAACAACCGGTACCAGCCACTGCAAAATCATGCCAAAATGTAAAGACCGTCGAGACTAGGAAGAAACTGCATCAACTAACGAGCAAAATAACCAGCTAACATCATAATGACAGGATCAAATTCACACATAACAATATTAACTTTAAATGTAAATGGACTAAATGCTCCAATTAAAAGACACAGACTGTCAAATTGGATAAAGAGTCAAGACCCATCAGTGTGCTGTATTCAGGAAACCCATCTCATGTGCACAGACATACATAGGCTCAAAATAAAAGGATGGAGGAAGATCTACCAAGCAAATGGAAAACAAAAAAAGGCAAGGGTTACAATCCTAGTCTCTGATAAAACAGACTTTAAACCAACAAAGATCAAAAGAGACAAAGAAGGCCATTACATAATGGTAAAGGGATCAATTCAACAAGAAGAGCTAACTATCCTAAATATATATGCACCCAATACAGGAGCATCCAGACTCATAATGCAAGTCCTGAGTGACCTACAAAGAGACTTAGACTCCCACACATTAATAATGGGAGACTTTAACACCCCACTGTCAACATTAGACAGATCAACGAGACAGAAAGTCAACAAGGTACCCAGGAATTGAACTCAGCTCTGCACCAAGCAGACCTAGTAGACATCTACAGAACTCTCCACCCCAAATCAACAGAATATACATTTTTTTCAGCACCACACCACACCTCTTCCAAAATTGACCACATACTTGGAAGTAAAGCTCTCCTCAGCAAATGTAAAAGAACAGAAATTATAACAAACTATCTCTCAGACCACAGTGCAATCAAACTAGAACTCAGGATTAAGAATCTCACTCAAAACCACTCAACTACATGGAAACTGAACAACCAGCTCCTGAATGAATACTGGGTACATAACGAAATGAAAGCAGAAATAAAGATGTTCTTTGAAACCAACAAGAACAAAGACACAACATACCAGAATCTCTGGGACACATTCAAAGCACTGTGTAGATGGAAATTTATAGCACTAAATGCCCACAAGAGAAAGCAGGAAAGATCCAAAATTGACAACCTAACATCACAATTAAAGGAACTAGAAAAGCAAGAGCAAACACATTCAAAAGCTAGCAGAAGGCAAGAAATAACTAAAATCAGAGCAGAACTGAAGGAAATACAGACACAAAAAACCCTTCAATAAATTAATGAATCCAGGAGCTGGTTTTTTGAAAGGATCAACAAAATTGATAGACCGCTAGCAAGACTAATAAACAAAAAAAGACAGAAGAATCAAATAGACGCAAAAAAAATGATAAAGGGGATACCACCACCGATCCCACAGAAATACAAACTACCATCAGAGAATACTACAAACACCTCTATGCAAATAAACTAGAAAATCTAGAAGACATGGATAAATTTCTGGAAACATACACTCCCCCAAGACTAGAACCAGGAAGAAGTTGAATCTCTGAATAGACCAATAACAGGGTCTGAAATTGTGGCAGTAATCAATAGCTTACCAACCAAAAAGAGTCCAGGACCAGATGGATTCACAGCCGAATTCTACCAGAGGTACAAGGAGGAACTGGTACCATTTCTTCTGAAACTATTCCAATCAACAGAAAAAGAGGAAATCCTCCCTAACTCATTTTATGAGGCCAGCATCATCCTGATACCAAAGCCGGGCAGAGACACAAACAAAAAAGAGAATTTTAGACCAATATCCTTGATGAACATTGATGCAAAAATTCTCAATAAAATACTGGCAAAACAAATCCAGCAGCAGATCAAAAAGCTTATCCACCATGATCAAGTGGGCTTCATCCCAGGGATGCAAGGCTGGTTCAATATACGCAAATCAAGAAATGTAATCCAGCATATAAACAGAACCAAACACAAAAACCACACGATTATCTCAATAGATGTAGAAAAGGCCTTTGACAAATTCAACAACCCTTCATGCTAAAAACTCTCAATAAATTAGGTATTGATGGGACGTATCTCAAAATAATAAGAGCTATCTATGACAAACCCACAGCCAATATCATACTGAATGGGCAAAAACTGGAAGTATTCCCTTTGAAAACTGCCACAAGACAGGGATGCCCTCTCTCACCACTCCTATTCAACATAGTGTTGGAAGTTCTGGCCAGAGCAATTAGGCAGGAGAAGGAAATCAAGGGTATTCAATTAGGAAAAGAGGAAGTCAAATTGTCCCTGTTTGCAGACGACATGATTGTATATCTACAAAACCCCATTGTCTCAGCCCAAAATCTCCTTAAGCTGATAAGCAACTTCAGCAAAGTCTCAGCATACGACATCAATGTACAAAAATCACAAGCATTCTTATACACCAACAACAGACAAACAGAGAGCCAAATCATGAGTGAACTCCCATTCATAATTGCTTCAAAGAGAATAAAATACCTAGGAATCCAACTTACAAGGGATGTGAAGGACCTCTTCAAGGAGAACTAGAAACCACTGCTCAAGGAAATAAAAGAGGATACAAACAAATGGAAGAACATTCCATGCTCATGGGTAGGAAGAATCAATATCATGAAAATGGCCATACTGCCCAAGGTAATTTACAGAATCAATGCCATCCATCAAGCTACCAATGACTTTCTTCACAGAATTGGAAAAAACTACTTTAAAGTTCATATGGAACCAAAAAACAGCCCACATTGCCAAGTCAATCCTGAGCCAAAAGAACAAAGCTGGAGGCATCACACTACCTGACTTCAAACTACACTACAAGGCTACAGTAATCAAAACAGCATGGTACTGGTACCAAAACAGAGATATAGATCAATGGAACAGAACAGAGCCCTCAGAAATAACGCCGCATATCAACAACTATCTGATCTTTGACGAAGCTGACAAAAAAAAGCAATGGGGAAAGGATTCCCTATTTAATAAATGGTGCTGGGAAAACTGGCTAGCCATATGTAGAAAGCTGAAACTGGATCCCTTCCTTACACCTTATACAAAAATCAATTCAAGATGGATTAAAGACTTAAACGTTAGACCTAAAACCATAAAAACCCTAGAAGAAAACCTAGGCATTATCATTCAGGACATAGACATGGGCAAGGACTTCATGTCTAAAACACCAAAAGCAATGGCAACAAAAGCCAAAATTGACAAATGGGATCTCATTAAACTAAAGAGCTTCTGCACAGCAAAAGAAACTACCATCAGAGTGAACAGGCAACCTACAAAATGGGAGAAAATTTTCGCAACCTACTCGTCTGACAAAGGGCTAATATCCAGAATCTACAATGAACCCAAACAAATTTACAAGAAAAAAACAAACAACCCCATCAAAAAGTGGGTGAAGGACATGAACAGACTCTGCTCAAAAGAAGACATTTATGCAGCCAAAAACCACGTGAAAAAATGCTCACCATCACTGGCCATCAGAGAAATGCAAATCAAAACCACAATTAGATACCATCTCACACCAGTTAGAATGGCAATCATTCAAAAGTCAGGAAACAACAGGTGCTGGAGAGGATGTGGAGAAATAGGAACACTTTTACACTGTTGGTGGGACTGTAAACTAGTTCAACCATTGTGGAAGTCGGTGTGGCGATTCCTCAGGGATCTAGAACTAGAAATACCATTTGACCCAGCCATCCCATTACTGGGTATATACCCAAAGGACTATAAATCATGCTGCTATAAAGACACATGCACACGTATGTTTATTGCGGCATTATTCACAATAGTAAAGACTTGGAACCAACCCAAATGTCCAACAATGATAGACTGGATTAAGAAAATGTGGCACATATACATGATGGAATACTATACAGCCATAAAAAATGATGAGTTCATGTCCTTTGTAGGGACATGGATGAAATTGGAAATCATCATTCTCAGTAAACTATCGCAAGAACAAAAAACCAGACACCGCATATTCTCACTCATAGATGGGAATTGAACAATGAGAACACATGGACACAGGAAGGGGAACATCACACTCTGGGGACTGTTGTGGGGTGGGGGGAGGGGAGAGGGGTAGCACTGGGAGACATACCTAATGCTAGATGATGAGTTAGTGGGTGCAGCGCACCAGCATGGCACATGTATACATATGTAACTAACCTGCACATTGTGCACATGTACCCTCAAACTTAAAGTATAATAATAATAAATAAATAAATTTAAAAAAAAACAAAACTAAAATGAACTACACAAAGGTCTGTTTATGTTGAATTTAGAGTACTTTAAGTTTCCAGGGAAACAGAACATATAGAAATGAAAAGCAGATGTTACTAAATTGACACTCTGGAAAACTCCCAAGAGGTTTAATCCTCTGCTAGGTAAGATTGCTTGCCCCAAAACTTTATGTGCCAATTTTTTTTGCAGTGTGAGTTTTGACAACTACACTGTTCCCAGAACAAACTTATATATTATTATGATATCCTAATGCTTTTGTTATTACCGTCTCTTACAGTGCCCACTATTGCTTTGCTGCCAAGTAAGAGCAGCATATATATCTATTCTTTCTTCCAGAAAAAAAAAATGAATCCAAATTTAATACTGGAAAATTCACATGAAAATATGTAGCCCAATTTGCCATTAAATTCACATTGTTTAGGTTTAATTGAAACATAGCATCTTATATTTTTACCCCATAGTCACTTCCCTTTACTTTAAAATATTTTCAGCAGAAACGGGAGTAGAAAACAGAGTCAGGTCAATAAGTCATTCGGATTCTGAATTCTGTAGTAAATTTTGAATTATACAGATATTAACTAATCAATTCTAACAGTTTTTCTGAGACTACTGAGCATAATATTCTACAGTGCATGAGTTGCTCCATGGTGAGACAGTCTTAGAGGTTTGTTTGTTCTTTCCCACCACGGAGACACTGTTTCACATATAACAAACACCTTAAAACCATCAACGTCTGTGTTCAAAGACATTGCTATAGGAAGCCTAATTGGTGTGCGGATGCAAAGTTAAGACCATCATTTTTTTCTGCTCTTTGCCCATGTGAAATCTGTTCGTTCTGCCCTATGTACTTTCAGTGCCTATTTGCAGCATGGCCTCCTGTTCTGCACAAAATTTTCCTGAGGTCTGAGGCCAACGCAGCAGCTCTGTTTTTTACAGCCTAGCAGATGGGCAGCAAGCCAGATGTAGTTGGTTTTTGGCAGCCATATTTTCCACATTGCTTGGTGGTATACCTTATACACATGGAGGTTGATAGTTGGCATATATGTTCAGTTACTGTAGAGTAGCATTTTTCAATCTTGCACTATTGACGTTTTGGACTTGGTAATTATTTATTCTGGGCGGATGTCCTCTGCATTGCAGGATATTTAGCAACATTCTGGATCTCTGTGCACTAAATGCTAGTACCACCACTCATCCAAATTGTGACAACCAATGTCTTCAGGTATTTCTAAGTGTCCCCTGGGAGCAAAAGCATCCCCACTTGAGAAGTACTGCTGGAGACAAAGGGAAAATGAAGAGGCTTTGTGGCAGACAAGTGTTGTTTAGGAGAATATAGCTGGTGGCACTGGGTAAGATATGAGGGAGAGGGGAGATAAACCAAAGAAGAGGTTTGGAAGGAAAAGAGCCCACATTACAGTGACCAATTAGGAAACAAAATGAGTTGTCTTTGACTTTGCTTCAGTAAATGTTTATTAAGTTGTTACTATGAGCTAAGCACAGTGTTTATTGCTGTAGATATTTAGACCAGTGATGCATATATATTGCTTGCAATCTGGTAGGGGAATTAGAAAAAAAAACTTAATTACAATCATGTATGAGCTGCAGAAGTGAAACTTAACCCAGTTGATTCAAAAGGGAAGAGAGGCTGGGTGTGGTGGCTCACGCCTATAATCCTAGCACTATGGGAGGCAGAGACAGGCAGATCCCTTGAGCTCAGAAGTTTGAAACCAGCCTGGGCAACATAGAAAATCCCCTTATCTATAAAAAATACAAAAACTTAGCTGGGCATGCTGTCATGCACCTGTAGTTCCAGCACTTGGGGGGCTGAGGCAGGGGGATCACTTGAGCCAGGGAGGTTGAGGCACAGTGAGCCAAAATCGCACCACTTTGTTCCAGCCTGGGTGACAAAGTGAGACCCTGTCTAAAAAATAAAATAAAAAAATAAAAACCCAAAAATCAAACAAACAAAAAACGGTGGGGGGAAGAGAGAGAGGTGACAAGAAAGGCTACCCAGAAGATTGCCCTACATGTTGAAGGTCAAAGAAGAGTTCATCACATTTAGAAAGGTGTGGGAAGAATATTGTACTTAAAGAGAGACAGACAGTCTGATATCAGGTAAACAGGCAGAGAGAGGGACAATACAAGAAAATGATGCATTTAGTGGACTATAAGTAACACGACCATGCTGAGCAAAGATGTTTAATAACAAAGAGAGAAGCTAGAGAAGAGGTCAGAGACGAATTATGATGAGCCTTGGGAAGTAAATTAAGTTTTACCTATAGAACATATGTAGAATTTTGAGCTAAAGAATGATACAATAAAATTGATGTTTTAGAAAATAACTCAGGAAGTCATGAAGAGAAAATACTGGAGTTGAGAATAGACAAGAGGCAGAAAACTTGGAGGTTAGTATAGATATCCACATAAAGTAAAAATAAAGAAAATGTGAGAAACAGGATAAAAGTAGAGAAACACCAAGGAGTAATTGCAACAATCCAGCACCATCTCTCCCAGAATAATACCTCAGTTAAGGTGTAAGTGGAGAGAAAGAAGAGGAGATATCTTGTGTAGATGAGTATAGACAGAATCCAGAGAAAATGGCTGTGGTAAGTGATAAAGAAGGAAAACTACTTGGATAATTCAGGTTTCCTACTTAAATGATTAACTGTATGGTAGACTCATATATCAAGTGAAAAGGAAAAAAGAAAAATCAGTTTGTTAGGAATCATGATAAAATCAGTTTTGGATATGTTAAACAAGTCATCTAGAGGGTATTCAAGGGGAAAAGTGCAATGGGTAGTCGAATATTTGGTTGAAAATTCAGCAAAGACATCTTGTTTGGAGATGTGTATTTGTAAACCATTTGTCAATAAATGATCACTGAAGCCAGAGTTATAAAGAATATTACTTTGAAAGAATGAGAATAGAGCAAAGATGGAAAGACATCACCCAGCTAGAAAGCAGAGCAGAGCCAAGAGTTGAATCAAAGCATGTGAATCCATATTTGGGGCTCTGAGCCACCGTATGGTCTTGACTCTGATTTTAAACACCTATCCATAATTCCTTCTTATAAATTACTCCACCATCATGCTATGTGGGGCCTTTCCTCCATCCCCTTAGGAGGAACAATAATACTCCTTACGGCATCACTATCCCCTGTACATACTTTTATTGTAGCACTCAATAGGCTTCATTGCATTTTATTTTACATTAGATATTGCTTTTTGAATAGAAAAATCATTCTGTAATCAGCTTGTATTTCCGGTACTTAACAGAATGGTTGTATGTACTAGGTGCAATAAAGCTAACTTTTGTTGATTTCAAAGCACCTAGTATATACAACCATGCTATTATTCTACATTTGTCGAAAGAAATGTAAATAATACAAGTGGATCTGCAAGAAATAAGTTAGATTAAGAGTAATACGTTTTTTATAAGCTCATTCTGTTTGCCATGACTTAAAATGTTAACTAGTCTTAAAATATTTTATACTTATGCTTATTTTAAAGTTAAATCATATACCCAGCCACAAACTTATTATTCACCCCATATTCTCATTTTTCATTGTATGCTGCTAACACTGCCACCATTAAAGCCAAACTACAAAATTCAGAAGACAGACAACTTTGGAAAGCAGGCGTAAGAACAAACAGGCTGTCTAATTGGATCTCCTCATCTTTTACAAATAAAATTCTAGAAAACAGCAAAAGAAATAAGATCTAACTTCGTTTAAAGTTAATGTTTATAACAATAATATCATCTCTTAATTTATAATTTGGGGTAATAATAATTCAGTCTATTTTTTTGTTGGTGGTGATACGTATTTTATTGTGAAAATTTGCAAAAGTAGACTGATAGGCTCACCTATAAAGAAGCATAAATAATGTAATTTTCACTCATTTTAAGAATATTATCAAAATCACTATAGATATTAGTTCTTAAATTATCATATACATATGTGTGTGCATATTATAGTTCTTTAGAAATCAGCTGTGAGTTATAGCTGATAGTAATGTCTTAAAATTTCCTGTTAATTTTTCTCTTCTGGAGGCATAAACCAAATTATATTCCCCCAGGGCACTGATTATATAAATTATAAAACATGAAAATGTTAATGCAAATCGGGCACTACAGTAATGCCAATAACCCAATATAAATAAATACTGTCAGTACTAGCAAATCACTCACTGATTTGTAACTTGGTTTGTGAGATTTTGTCTCATTATATTAGAGTTGAGTTGCTCCTAAAGAAGATAATTAAATTCAACACAATGTTAACATGCCAAAGTGGAACAGAGTCCTGTAAAAAGGGTACAGAGGACTCAAGACCAGATGGCCAACTAGAAGCAGCCAGGAAGAACATCTCTCATGGAGAGACCAGGAATTTGGGAAGACTGGCACACTCTGAGCAGATCTTTTGAAGGAAAACATTGAGGGTGGATGAAGGGAGGATGCAGAGCATGGGCTGAGGGGGCAGGAATCTCAGAAGCCTGCACAGGGCTTCCAAGCACTAGCATTCCTTACTAGCCCCCATTAACTCCTGGGGAAGGGGTGAGTTGAATAGGTGGGGAGTGGCCCGCTCTTACCATGAAACTCCAGAATCCTAGCAGCAAGAGACCCCATGACCCCTGTGGACACGAGCTGTCAGGGAGAGCTGCTTAGAGAGGTGGCAGGGGCAGGCCTCCAGCCTTTGTGGAGCCCAGAGGTATGATATGGAAATGTCTTCAGTAGAGCACAGCCAGGGACACCCATCCCCCAAGGCTTGCCATGCTCCTCTAGGAGACATTAGTCTTAGGGTGACTGTCAGATCTGGACACAGCAGGATGGTCTTGTCTGTGGGATGGGCCAGTCTAATCTAAATTCCTCACTGTCTGCTGGCCTCTACTGGGCCCCAGCCTGGCTGTGCCTCATTGCAGTGCAGACTCAGCCCAACCAGAATGCTTCCCAGGGACTATATTCATAGCTCATTCACCAGCAGACCACACCTGGCTGTCACAGTGTTCCAGCAGAACAGCCCCTGCAGACACACACCAGTCCACATGCAGCCTCCCTCCACCATGGGTTCCCCCCTTCACCATTTTGCCAGCATGCACTCACCTATGGTGCCCCCTAACACACTGCTTTGCCAATAGGTGGACCTCACCTCCCCTACCTCACCAGTGCACATGTTGTGAACTGCCAGTGTGGTAGTGTGATCACATTCCCTTAAAACACATACACGCAGGCACCCTGCTGCACCACCAACTCTGGTGCAAAAGATCACTAGCTAGACTGCTAACTAGACTAGAAAAAGAGAGAAGATCCAAATAAACTCAATCAACAATGAAAAATGGCACACTACTACCAACCCCACAGAAATACAAAAAAGCTTCTCAGAGACTACCATGAACACCTACCTTTATGCAAACAAACTAGAAAATCTAGAAGAAATGGATAAATTCCTGGAAACATACCACCTCCTAAGAATGAACTGGAAAGAAATTGAATTTCCCAACAGACAAATAACAAGTTCTGAAGTTGATCAGTAATAAAAAGACTACCAACCAGAAAAAGCCCAGGACCAGACGGACTCACAGCCAAATTCTACTAGGTTTGTAAAGAAGAGCTGATACCATTCCTGCTGAAACTATTCCAAAAAATTGAGGACGAGGGACTCCTCACTAACTTATTCTATGAGGCCATCATCATCCTGACACCAGAACCTGGAAGAGACACAAGAAAACTTCAGACCAATATCCCTGATGAACATAGATGCAAAAACCCTGAACAAAATACTAGCAAATCACATCCAGCAGTACATCAAAAAGCTAATCTGCCACCATAAAGTAGGCTTTACCCATAGGATGCAAGGTTGGTTCAACATATACAAATCAATAAATGTGATTCATCACATAAACAGAAACTAAAACAAAAACCATATGATCATCTCAACAGATGCAGGAAAGGCTTTTGATAAAATTCAACATCTTTTCATGTTAAAAACTCTCCACAAACTAGGCATTGAAGGAACACGCCTCAAAATAATAAGAACCATATATGACAAACCCAGAGTCAACATCATGCTGAAAAGGCAAATACCAGAAGCCTTCCTTTTGAGAAATGGAAGAAGACAAAGATGCCCACTCTCACCACTCCCATTCAACATAGTACTGGAAGTCCTAGCCAGAGCAATCAGGCAAGAGAAAGTAAAAGACATCCAAATAAAAAGAGAAGAAGTCAAACCACCTCTTTCTGTAGATGATATGATTCTATACCTAGAAAACCCCATAGTCTCTGCATAATAGCTCCTAGATATAATAAATAACTTCAGCAATTTTTCAGGCTACAAAGTCAATGTACAAAAATCAGTAACATTTCTATACACCAACAACATCCAAGCAGAGAGCCAAATCAAGAATGCAATCCCATTCACAATAGCCACAAAAAGAATAAAACATCTAGGAATACAGCCAATCAAGGAAGTGAAAGATCTCTACAACAAGAACTGCAAAACATTGTTGAAAGAAATCAGAGATGACACAAATGAATAGAAAATCATTCCATGCTCATGGATAAGAAGAATCAATATCATTGAAAAGTCTATACTACCCAGAGCAATTTACAGATTCAATGCTATTCCTATCAGACTACCAATGACATTCTACACTGAGCTAGAAAAAAACTATTTCAAAGTTCACATGGAATCAAAAAAGAGCCCAAATAGACAAAGCTATCCTAAGCAAAAAGAACAAAACGAGGAGCATCACATTACCAGACTTCAAACTATACTACAAGGCTGCAGTAACCAAAATAGCATGCTACTGGTAGAAAAACAGACACATTGACAAATGAATCAATATAGACAGCCCAGAAATAAAGCAGCACCCACACCTACAACCATATGATCTTCGACAAAGTTGACAAAAAGAAGCAATGGGAAAAGGACATTTTATTCAATAAATGGCACTGGTATAACTGGCTAGCCATATGCAGAAAACTGAAACCAGAACCCTTCCTTACACCATATACAAAAATCAATTCAAGATGGATCAAAGACCTCAATGTGAAACCATAAAAACCCTTGAAGACAACCTAGGAAATACAAATCTGGACAAATGCCCTGGCAAAGATTTCATGATGAAGATGTCAAAAGCAATTGCAACAAAAACAAAAATTGACAAATGGCAACTAATTAAACTAAAGAGCTTCTGCACTGCAAAAGAAACTGTCAATAGAGCCACAGGCAACCTAATGAATGGGAGAAAATATTTGCAAACTTACACATCCAAAAAAAGGCCTAATATCCCGTATCTATAAGGAACTTAAACAAATTTACAAGAGAAAAACAACCCCATTAAAAGGTGGGCAAAGGACATGAACACACACTTTTCAAAAGAAGATATACACACAGCCAAAAAGCATATGGAAAAATGCACAACATCACTAAGCATTAGAGAAATGCAAACAAAAACCGTAATGCGATCCCATCTCACGCCTGTCAGAATAGTTATTATTAAGAGTCAAAAATAACAGATGCTGTCATGGTTGCAGAGGAAAGGGAATGCTTATATATAGCTGGTGAAAATGTAAATTAGTTCAATCACTTTGAAAAGCAATTTGACAATTTCTCAAAGCACTTAAAACAGAATTACCATTTACCTCACCAATCCCATTATTGAGTATATACCCCAAGGAATATATCTCATTCTACCATAAAGACACGTGCATGCATATGTTCATTGCAGCACTATTCACAATAGCAAAGACATGAAATCAACCTAAATAGCCATCAACAGTAGACTGCATAAAGAAAATGTGGTACATATACACCATGGAATACTATGTAGCTGTAAAAAAGAATGAGATCATGTCTTTTGTGGGAGCCTGGATGGAGCTAAAGGCTGTTATCTTTAGCAAATTAATGCAGAAACAGAAAACCAAATACTGCATGTTCTCAATTATTAGTGGAAACTGAATGATGATAACTCATGAACACAAAGAAGGGAACATCAAACTCTGGGGCCTACTTAAGGTTGGAGGGTGAGGACTGAAAAAGTACCTACTGGGTACTATGTTTATTACCTGGGTTACTAATAATTAAAAAAAAAACACTGGAAGTAGATACTGCAAGTTTTAGATAGTGCAATAGTGCAAGTTGTAGATAGTGCAAGTACCGGTAGTAGTGCAAGACTCACTTTGGAAGGTAGTCTTGGAACCACTTAATCTCTGAATCCTAATAAAAAAAATCAAGTAAGAGCAAATGTTATCCCTCTGTTTTTATAAAATATGTTTTCTGTGAGCTTTACTAAATAATTATATTGACTATGCATAATCATATTCTAAAAATATATATCCACTACATAGACACATAAAATTCCTACGGACACCCAGTGTAGCAAGTGTGACCTTATTCTCTCAAGGTACTGAAGTGGCTTCCAATAAAATCAGAACTGGATCAAGTATGAAGTCTGGGCATCATTCATGAAGATGATGCAATGCACCTATAGTCAGCTGGGCATGTGCTTTGAGTTGTTTTTCTAGTTGTGATGATAGATTTGAACTGATTCCTCTGCACTTTCTCATCCACTCTGTTTTGGGACCAAAGACACATATTTTAGGGACAGCTCGCTGAAGCTAGTGGTAAAGTCTGTGGCAATAAAAGAGAGAATTCAAACTGGCCAAACCCACAGCCTTGGCTTCATATTAATACTATGCTCCTATCAACAGAGCTAACTGGTGGCAGACACTGCACACATTTTGAGAGATTTCTATAGTGGCCCATCAGATACCAACGGAGCACTAGAAAATCCTCATTTATTTGCATTGAGGCCAAAGAAGGCTGTACATAGTAGCTTGTCTTTTCTTAAACATCTATCAGAATGGCCTGTCACTTTTCATGTTTATGGCTAAACAAGGCTCAAGTCATCGGGCCCCACTTCTGATATGAGCTTATTATCAGTGGAAGAATGAAAGCAGATGATCCCATCATCTTTTAAAGTAGTGACATGAGGTGATACTGACATCATGTAAGATCTGGGTTTAAACCACCTTACCCTCCAACAATTATTTATTGAAAAAAATTAATGCTCTTAGAAATTTACATAAGTTTTTCTGAAGGAGCTAAAAAAACAAATGTTATACCCACGTGCTTATCGTAAAACAAGTCTCAGGTGAAAACAGGGACTAAATTATCTTAACCCAGAGATTCTCAGCATTGTATATAAATTGCAATCAGCTGGGAGGCTTTAACGATCACTGATGCCTCTTCCAAGTGTTTTGGGTGTGGTCTGGGCCTGGGGAATTTCAAAAACTCCCCAGGTGATTCTAATGTTCAATCACAGTGTAGACTGCTGCTTTGAAATTTAGGGGAGAGAGTAACAAGTTGCACTATTACTCAATATTTTGCATTTGGCAGAGAGTTTCTGATTTCCCATTAATTTAATTAATTAACACTATATCTATATGTACATCCCACATGAAATTATATCAGTGGTAGAATCTATTTGGGATTTCTCTAAACATTCTTTTTTTTTTTTTTTTTTTGAGAGAAAATGACAGGCATTCACTAAATAAATGCAAACTGCTGTGAAATCTGTTAGGATTTAAATTTCAGGACTAAAATCTCAAGTTAGATCCAAATATTAGAAGCATGATATTTGAGTATTATATATAGGTTAATCCATTGTCAATGGCTTCCTGCCACTTGTTTCCTAATGCTTTTTTAGAGGGAATAAGTGAACCGAATTTTTCAGCTGAAAACCTGATATTTCATTGCCAGCATTTTCCACTAGGCAGCTTGTTGGTTATGAATTCTCATCATCTTCTGTTTCAGGAAGCTAAGAGTTTACCGCACCATTTTTAATAGGTTTGCTAATTTTAATAAGAAAATAAAAAGTAATTAAGATGCAGTGATGATACCTTAAATAGGGCATTTTTATGTAATGATGATGTCAAGCTCCGTATCAAAAATATATTCCTATTACTTATTTATATTTTTTATTTAAAATATAAATTTTTTTAAAATAAAAAATATAAATAAATATATTTTATTTATGGCATTTTTATGTAATAATGATGTCAAGCTCTGTACCAAAATATATTCCTATTAATTACTTATTTTATTTAAATTTCTAACTATCCATGAGAATTAAATGTTCTTGTTCTTATCTGCTAGATGAATACATTGGTGATTGAGAAGATTAAGTCAAAAATCCAGTAATTTTCCTCCCTAAAGTATGCAATATAAAAAAAATCTGATAGCTTAATTTTAACATTGAAGCTCTAGTGCATCATACTGCTTTATTCTTTTTAAACGAGAAGTCCATTAAAAAATTTATTGGCTTAAAAAGTGGTACATTTTTATATCAACTTAAGGAGTTTAAAGGCCTTGAAGAATATCTATTTTAATTGTTTGGCCCAGAGCTTAAGTATCTTGTATGATATCATTAAAAGGCACTGACTGTTTAAAATGATAGGGAACTGACTACCTCTTTAAATATCCCATTTCGCCTTTAGAATTGCTTGAAAATTCCTCTTTCTATTGAGCCAAATTTATTTCCTAGTACTTTCCATCTGTATCTGTACTTGCTATGTCTTTATGGGCCTGCAGACCTAGAGTCTTAGTGCTTTCCAAGTGACGGTTTTTCAAATATTTTAAAACAAAACTATGCCCTTTTTAATTCTCTTTATTGGAACTAACATGGATTGTGTTGGTAATTATACAACTATTCACAAAATTTATTGGTTTACCATATATTCACCACTCTAGAAGATAACTCCTGAAGTCTTATGCCCCTAACTCCTATGTCTCTTTAGATCACAATTAAATTCCCAAATCTTAAGACAGTGGATATACTCAAAACATATTGTTAAATAAAATAAATGAAGTGAGGTGGACTATATTTTTGTTTCCATATACTTAATCCTCCTTGCTGTGAGAAGGTTGCACATCCCTTTGTTGCCACTTGACTTCAGTGCCTTCTGTGACAGAATTCATGCCTGACCATTGATGTAGTGCATGTGCCATGTCTCAGCAGAGTTTCCAGAGGCCTTGCCTGGTTCCATCAGCTCTCTTGCTCTTTCTCCCAGCCACATGTCTGGCATATCCCAGTAGAGGCTGCTCTTGTGCTTGGATCCTGGAATGAAAAAGACCTGCAACCTATCCTAGCCAGGAGCTGCACCAGATCCCAGACTGCTGTTATAATAGTTGTAAGATTTTATATATATGTGTGTGTGTGTATATATATATATATATATATATACACACACACACACACACAGCACACCTATATATACATACACACATATATATGTAAATGTATGTGTATATATACAGTGTATAATGCAGCAAAACTAACTTATGAGTTAATTGTTAAAGCATGTCTGCTTAATTACCAAATTACTTGATTTCCAATTAAAAAGTTATAATGTCTCACTTTTTGACAATAAAGATATTTACTTTATTTCCTGTCTTCGATTATCTTTCCACAAGTTTTCCAGTCTAACCGATAGTTATTTAGCAATCTATTTTGCAATGCTCTAAGTATCTTGAGAACTTGGCCTCTCTTAAAGGATAGATAATTATCACCAGAACTACTAAAATGGTAGTGCTCTCTTACCAATGTTTGTTTTATGTTTTTCAGCATGAAGAAAATTTTACTCAAGAGGGAAATTAAAGCAATTAAAAAAGAGAGTCAATTTACTTTCTTTTTATTATTTTTTATCATTAGACTATCCAGATATATCCAAAAACCATAAAAGTAATTATGTGCTTTGCATCCATAATACCTGTCCTAGAGGTTTACTCTACAACAGTATATACATGAAAAAATATTCTATGGAGAATGATGCAATTCACACTATACATAATAAAATGTAAGAAAAATACAATATAGAAATTAATGTAACTCTCTTTATAAGAAAATGGTTAAGAAAATTGTGGAGTTTTAACTTCATACAGACCTAATTTGATGGTTACACTGTAACCACTTATTAAACTGCCATGAATGCATCTTAAAATTCTATTAAAATCCACCTATAATGAAATAATCACACTATAATATTGACTTTCTAGCCTTAAGATTGTTGCTTGTAGCATTGCCCAAGCTATTGTTTTCCTATAGATGTGCTTTATGAAACCTCTAGGTCTCAAGGAGAGTCCTGGTATCTTACTCATTTATGCGTCCTCACTTCATGACACAAGAAAACTAAATAAACTAAATGGAAATAGGAGATCCCTGTGGATTTGGAGATGAGTGTCCAGTCAGTGCATCCATGGTGTTTTGCCCTTGGAGGAAGCCTGCTACTGTCATGGTAATTGCTTCTGTGGGTTGAGGGGGACTCTCACTGAAGCTCCCATCTTTCCCAGTCCCTTCCCACCCACAGTGAACCCCCTCCCTAACACCTATTTGCATGGTTAGAAAACATGCCTTTTCAGTAAATGATATGTGACTTCCATGCACATGTCTCATAATGAATGTGGATAAGACCTATGACTGTAATCAATTTTTTGAAAAATCTTATTTATCTGTTGTCTTGCCTGGATTGTATACTTACTCATTTGAGTCAGACTCTTGATATTTACCGTGAAGTCAGCTGGGACCTTACTGAAATCAAATGAGCTCTTGCTTCTCATTGCAGTGTCTAAAATCATCCTGTCTTCACTCCAACTCTGAGCTGCATGTATGAGACTGAAAAACCATTCCTAGCTCAGATTCTCCTGAACACATTTCAGAGTGAAAAAAAGAATTTTGCTTGAATCCGGACTACAGGATATGAAAGAAGTGTTCCGGAAAGAAAGTTCTCTTCCTTCTTTTCTTGGTTCAATGAATCCTGTGCTTTAAATCATGCCTCTGGTTCTAGAATTTGGTGCTGCTTCTCACAGTGTTAAGCATCTGGGCTTTTAGGCTTTTCAGAATGCTGTATACTTTAGGAAGGTCAGCACTTTGTAACAATTTTCCAAAGAAAACAGTCTTTGTTGCCATAACCTTCTTGTATAACCAAGTTCACAGAGCCTGGAAGCATTTTGTAATTGTATTGAAACAGCAAAAACTGCCCTTGGGGACCACCCGAAGGACAAGGATAAATTGGTTGCCTCCATTAAGTGATCTCTAAGCATCAAATTTTAGTAGAAATGTTGGGGAGTAAGTGATCACTTAAAAAAAGAGGTTGCCTAAGGTCTAAGAGTGCAAGTTGGCCTATATTTAATAACTGCAAGGTCATTGCATGAAATCAGTAAGAGGAAGCAGAGAGAAGTGGGTATCTTATTTCTATACTGTGTTCTGATTGTTTGTGAAGTCAGCTGACCTTCAAAATGGAATGATTGCCTTAAAAATATCATATCACCTTGTTAACAAAAAAGGAGATCAAAGATTTACTCCAATATCCAGTCATAACACTGTAATTTAAAAGTACTTTGCAATGATTTCTATCCCAGGACCTCACATTCTTTTTCTTAATTAATTTTGTTCATTGAAACTGCTCTAAGGGCCAGATATGTTTATGGCTCTTTTGCAGAGAAGTCAGGTTACATGCAGGGAATTCCCAATTACACACGCTAATAATAGAAGAAATCAGGAATGAAGATTATTCCAAACAGTAGATAATCCCCAAATTCTCTCTGTTGGCCCTTGGAAGGTGTGGAATTATTTGTTGTTGCTGCTTCTTTCTTGTTGCTATTTTTGCCATGAGATACTTAGCAGAAGAGCAACAGAATGGATCACAATGCCAAATTGACCAAATGCTAGTTGGAAGTTGGCTCAGGAATAGTCTCAATAGGAAAAAGAAAAAGAAAGAAAAAGAAGGAAAGAAAGAAAGAAAGAAAGAAAGAAAGAAAGAAAGAAAGAAAGAAAGAAAGAAAGAAAGAAGGAAGGAAGGAAGGAAGGAAGGAAGGAAGGAAGGAAGGAAGGAAAGGAAGGAAGGAAGGAAGGAAGGAAGGAAGGAAGAGAGAGAAAGAAAGAGAAAGAAAGAAGAGAAAGAAAGAAAGAAAGAAAGAAAGAAAGAAAGAAGAGAAAGAAAGAAAGAAAGAAAGAAAGAAAGAAAGAAGGAAGGAAGGAAGGAAGGAAGGAAGGAAGGAAGGAAAGGAAGGAAGGAAGGAAGGAAGGAAGGAAGGAAGGAAGGGAGAGAAAGAAAGAGAAAGAAAGAAGAGAAAGAAAGAAAGAAAGAAAGGAAGGAAAGAAGGAAGGAAGGAAGGAAGGAAGGAAAGGAAGGAAAGAAGGAAGGAAGGAAGGAAGGAAGGAAGAAAGAGAGAGAAAGAAAGAGAAAGAAAGAAGAGAAAGAAAGAAAGAAAGAAAGAAGGAAGGAAGGAAGGAAGGAAGGAAGGAAGGAAAGGAAGGAAGGAAGGAAGGAAGGAAGGAAGGAAGGGAGAGAAAGAAAGAGAAAGAAAGAAGAGAAAGAAAGAAAGAAAGAAAGAAAGAAAGAAAGGAAGGAAGGAAAGAAGGAAGGAAGGAAGGAAGGAAGGAAGGAAGAAAGAGAGAGAAAGAAAGAGAAAGAAAGAAGAGAGAGAAAGAAAGAAAGAAAGAAAGAAAGAAAGAAAGAAAGAAAGAAAGAAAGAAAGAAAAAAAGAAAGAGGAAGAAAGAAAGAAAGAAAAAGGCAGGAAGGGAGGAAGGAAGGGGAAAAAGAAACAACCTGATATAATGCATGCAATCAATTGAAGGAAAAAAACCCACATATAAATCTTAAGTTTGTGTTGTAAGCAAGGAAAGCACAGATCTTCCCATTCTTTCTTTACTATATCAGTAACCTGGCTATGAATCTATTTTAGGTAAAATAAAAAGACAATTGAATACGAACTTGCATTGCAAATTTGAAATGCTGAATTTTTAAAAAATCTCTATAAGGTGTATAAAAGTAGTCAGGACACGGTGACTCATGCCTGTAATCCCAGAACTTTGGAAGGCCAAGCCTGGCAGATCACTTGAGGTCAAGAATTCGAAACCAGCCTGGCCAACATGGTGAAACCCCGTCTCTACTAAAAATACAAAAATTAGCCAGGTGTGGTGGCAGGCACCTGTAGTCCCAGTTACTGGGGAGCCTGAGGCAGGAGACTGACTCACTTGGACCCTGGAGGCGGAGGTTGCAGTGAGCCAAGATCAGCCCACTGCACTCCAACCCAGGCGACAAAGCAAGACTCTGTCTCAAAAAAAAAAAAAAAAAAAGTTGATATTTTTTAATCTGATTGAGATTATTACTTAGGAAATTGTTTTTGCTGATGTTTTTAAGTGGGGCCAGTAACTAATTAACTGGAAATAGACTGTGAAGTAAGAGAGTTAAGATATGTATTATAGATTTAGTTCAAAATATCCCAAAACTTCCCAGGTATTCATATGCCCTGTCGTCCCCACAGGAAACATCTTTATTTTGTCTATGTATGTTCTAAACACAGTTAGTTCATCTCTATATTACTATTCTCAAAATGGATGCATCCACAAGTGTACAGTGTGTCTTCCAAAACCAAATCACTGTTAAGACAGAGATCAAGAGCAAGAAAATTCCATTCATTCATCCCTCCATCCATCCACTCATTCATTTACCTCCTATTTACAAAACACTTTGTTGGATAGGAGAAGGCTACTGAATATGGGTACAGCACAGATTCACTCTGACCATGCAATCAACTTGGCATTATAGGATATTTATAAAAGATGAAACTAAGCTTTTTGGCAAGGAAAATTACAATAATATGTAAGTTCTGCACATCAGTATGAAGAGTGATTTTTTCTTTTTTTGGTCAATCTTCTGTATTCTATCCGTGAGCTATATACTTACTTTAACTTTTTAAATTCTCACAACACTCCTATAGAGGAAGGTTTTCTTGGTTCCTTCCTGCTGCCATAACAAAATAACTGAGAGTAATTATAAAAACAGACATTTATTTCCTCACAGTTCTGGGGGCTGGAAACTTTAAGATCAAGGCACAGGAAGGTTCTTGTCTGTTGAGGGCTGCTCTCTGCTTTCACGATGAAGCCACTTGCTGTGTCCTCACATGGAGGAAGGACAAAAAGGTATTACTGTGCTCCTTCAACCTCTTTTATTTGAGCACTAATTCATTCATGAGGGTGCAGCCCTTAGGATTTAATCATTTACCAAAAGCTCCTTTTTTTCTTTTTTTGAGATAGGGTCTCACTCCGTTTCCCAGGCTGGAGTGCAGTGGCATGGTCACAGGTCAATCTCCTGGGCTCAAGTGGTCCTCCCACATCAGCTTCCCTAGTAGCTGGGACTATAGGCATGCACTGCCGTGCCTGGCTAATTTTTGTATTTTTTGTAGAAATTGGGTTTCACAGTGTTGGCCAGGCTGCACTTGAACTCCTGGGCTCAAGTGATCTGCCTGCCTCGCCTCCCAAAGTGCTGGGATTACAGGCATCAGCCCCTGGGCTAGGCCTAAGGCCCCACCTCTTAATACTATCACCTTGGCGCTTAAGTTCCAACATATGAATTTTTGGAGGGACACATACATTCAAACCATAGAAAGGTATTAACCACATCCTCCAAGTACAGAAAGTGATGCTCAGTGAGGGGCTATTTTCAGACTAAAGTTCTAGACCAGGGCTCTGGAGCTTCAAGAGGGTGTTCCAGGCCCCAGTGAGAAAAAGTACAGTGGGTAAAGGAAGGGACATGGATAGAAATGTAAGAGAAAGAAGTTGCCTTTGTTGGGGAGAAAAATGTATAGTTTTAATATGAGGCAAAATATTGAGAGAGAATTTTCAATCACAATAACTTGAGGGAAAATAAACAACAAATACTGTGTGGACATTAAATTAGACTGTAAGAGTGTAGGCTGCCTTATCTTTGTTTCTAGGCTCATAATCTAAAACCTTGCATCTCTGAGCCAAGGTTTCTTCATCCGTTGTTCAGGTGACCTCACGGTTGGCTGAATAGTGGTTCACACTGGCTTCTGTTTTATAGCTGGCAGGGTAAACTTAATGTCTTAAATAATTAGGCAAGTACTTTTATTGAGCATATTCTTATAGCCATACCGAAATTCACTAAGCCAGACAGCTTTAAATTAGAATAAGCCACAATTGTTCCATAATGTAGTTATACAGCTGGCATTGAGAAGCTTTAGTCCATCAATGACAGCATTAAAACGACTTTTGTTAAACCCATTGTCCCACATTATATGATGCAGCTGTTGAAGAGTTACAGTTGCATATTCCTATTTTGTATCATATATCTGGGTCCAAAATCCTCTACTAGTCCATAGGCAATGGGTTGAACCTATTGAATTTAACTGATAAATGAAGACAGAAGAGCTAATCTACTTACTATTCTTTCAATACTAAAGAAATAGGAGATTTCACTTAAAAATATGAACAAGAGTTGCAAAATGATTACATTGCTTTTCTAGGTTTAAAGATCTTAGTACAAAATTTTGAGTCAGTTTGTTTTTTGAAGTTGCAAAAATGTTAAGAACTTTCTTCATGTATTTAACCTTGCTAGCCACCCTCTGCATGATGCAACATCAAAGAAATTCCTTTGGGAAAAACTGGATAATCAGGTTTGTCAGGAAAGAACTTTCATATGCTATCATCATTACTCACCAAACTATAATAGAGTATAATTTTGTAAGCAAGGACGGATCAAAAAAGATGACAGAAATTCTTTTTAGCCAGGTTTTTAAAACTGATCCAAACAACGTTAGATTTTTTATCTCCATGACAAATCAGGTGTCAAGGTGAATTTTGTTACTTCCATTGAATAAGCTTCTCAATTAGATGACAACTGAACGATATGCTCAAGCTGCTATAATTTAACAATATAGAAATAAAGGGCTTTAATCTCTCTGATTTCCCTCAACAGTCCCTCTGTTCATTTCAGCATTAGAGAAAGGAGGAAACTTGTCATGAATGCTTTTGAGAACAAAGCATAAACCTTTTTTTGTTAGACTGTGAGTTGACCTTATTTATGCATGCCTCAGTCTCAGGTAAACCAATGTCTGGTTTTTTTTTTCTTTCATTCCTATAATACTTTGATGCTTACAGCAAAATGTCACCATCAAATATAAAGACTACCATGGCTGCCAAACTAGTTGGAATAGAATTTGATCCCTGCTGGGTGAAGATGCTTATGGAGAAGGTGATATCTTTTGTCTTTTCAGACCTGATGGTGACTATCTTACAAACTTTAAAAGCATCTACAAACACATACCCTACCTTGTTTTAACTGCTTATAGTTCATCTGAAATTGTGAGATTTTTAATTAACTTCTATATATTATTTTTAATAACCTGTTTTTCCTTTTTGTAGTTCTCAAAGAAACTTTAACTGCATTATCTCTCTTTTAATTACTACAATAGTTCTATGGGATTGTTAGGTATATGCTATAAATCAAAATGAAAGCAAAAAGAAGAAACAGACCATGAATGTCTTAGAGACGCTTTCTGAATCTTATATGCAGTAAACATGGCAACATCAGAAACAGAATTTGGAGTGTCTGTTAATTTGTCCAGAATATTTACTACCTATACTTTCATTTCTTGAATAACAACAATTTATGTATTTGTTTATTATAAAAATCAACAGCTATAGAAATGGAAAAGGTTGGAATATAGTTTAATTGCATTGATTAATAATATTCTATATTTTAACAGACATCATTTTTAACATTCATGTTATTTTTCAGTGGTCATCACTGGTGAGATATACAGAGCACAGAGGATCTAATTCTCATTCATCTTACTATTAGAAGGCCACAAAAATGCCTACATACTTATTAGAACTTTGGCAGAAATGAGGAAATAGAATAATAACAAATGCATGAATGCTGACCAGATCTCAGGGACACTGAGTAAAAGATTCATGAACATAAATAAAATAAACACCATGAAAGTTACTTTGAAAAAGGGTAGGGTGCAATTGGGTGGAGAAAGGAAGATGGTGTTGGAGATAGCAAGGAACTTATCTGGATGTAAAAGATAATCAGAAGCTATTGGCTTCTTTGCATTTAAGAAGGTTAAAAAAAATTATTAATGGCACCAGGTGATCTCCCTCCCCTTTTCTCATTTCCCAATTTCTGGGAGAACTTGTTATAAGTTAGTCAAAACTTGAAATGAGGCATTTCAAACGTTGAAATGGCATTGTCAGGGTCCAGCTCTATTTGGATCCCAAGCAGAGCTGTGCTCACAAAGGACAGACCATTCTAGTGAGCTGTAGCTACTTAAGGCATGGTCAGCTGAGATATAATATCATGAGAGGAAAAGGATAAGGATTATACTCTAGGTATCATGAGGACCCCAGAGAACAATAATAAAAGTAGTAAAGTGGGATTGATACTGACAGGAGATAGGCAAACACTGGGTAGAAGAGGGTGATTCCTAGGCAAAGTCCCCACCCTCAAGCCTGGATACCCATGGCCCTAAATGAGGACATTCCTGCTTTTGTGCCCAAAAAGTTGCCTTTTGTCCTGCCACACCCCTATCCTGTACCCATATAAACCCCAGACCCCAGGCTTCAGAAGCAGACAAGGAGATGAGGAGACAAGGAGATGAGCAGATGAATGGCATAATAGTACAGCAGAGAAGGAAAGAAGAGAAGGACCATCTGAATGCTGAGAGGAGTTCATCTGGGGATGACTGGAGAGGAGATCAGCCGCTGGACAGCCAAACTTCCCACTCTATCCCCTTTTCAGCTCCCCATCCATCCCACTAAAAGCCACCTCCACCACTCAATAAAACCCCTGCATTCATCCTTCAAATCTGTGTGTGACCTGATTCTTCTGGGACGCTGGACAAAAGCTCGGGACACAGAAAGCTGTCACACTGGCCCCCGCCCTTGCCAAAAGGCAAAGGTTCCACTGGGCTGGTTAACAATGAAGTCATCTGCAGATGGCAAGGCTAAAAGAGCACACTGTGACACATGCCCATTTGGGTTTGGGAGTTGCAGGATCCCACCCCTGGATGCCACTGTAGGGTTGGAGCCCAGGAGTGCTCACTCTGCCTTCTGCACCTGTCTGTCTGCATGCTCCCCCTCCTGTAAGGGATTTGAGCAGCAGTGGCAACCGAACAGACAAGCCACACCCCTGTTGCACATTTTGCAAGGGGGTCAGGGAGCTCTCCCATTTCAGGACACTGGGAGACAAGCAGTGCCAAGATATGTTATCAAAAGTAACAGCTACTTAAAAGCAATACCTGTAGCACTCAAGATACAGAAAAAGAGAAACTTCTGGGGAGCTTAGAAACCAAATGATTATCATAAAATACAGTTTTTTTTTCAGTGTCTGATTTACTAAAAAACTAAAATGCTAAAAATTGTTATTATGTGTTGTTTGTTTGAGATTGAAATGCCATAAAATATTCTAGGATTTTTGTGTATGATTAACTCACTTAGAGTTATTTTATGTATGATTAACTCACTTAGAAATTCACATACAGTGTTTAAGCACATGAAATGAAGACAGGTAGATGAGTTTCCTTCTGCTCTAATATGTATTAACTGGGTAAAGATGGGTAAATTTTTAATTTTTTTACCTCATTCTTCTCATCTGTTAATCAGATTGTAATACCTTCTTTGTAGGACTGTTGGAAAGATTCTGTTACATGATAAATGTAACTTTTAGCACAATATTCAATGCTAGACTGAGCTTAGTATATAATGGCACTAAAGATAATGCAAATTAAAAAGTAAAAATATTAACATCACAAAATAATTAAACTTTTAGCAGCATTGTACCCAAGTGACCAATGTTTTTAATCTTGAAATGATTTCTTCTCTTGACTTTTGTAACATGTGGGTCTCTATTTCCTTTTCCTCTACTGTTACCAGTGGAGGGTGTCCAGGTTCTGGGCGTCTTGAACAAAGAATCAGACAAAATGCACAAACAAAGCAAGGAAAGAATGAAGCAACAAAAGCGGAGATTTATTGAAAATGAAAGTACACTCCGCAGGGTGGGAGTGGGCCGTAGCATAGGGCCTCAAGAGCTCCGTTAAAGAATGTCCTGGGGTTTAAATATACCCTCTAGAGGTTTCCACTGGTTATGTGGTGTATGCTCTATGTAAATGAAGAGGATGAAGTAAAGTTACAAAGTCATTTACTTGGTGTATGCCCTACGTAAATGGAGAGGATATTTCCTGTCATACTTGTAGTATTTCCATTTGATTTAGTTCTAGGAAGTCAGCATGAATCAGTCTTATGTTCCCTGCCTCCAGACCCTTTTCTCATGCCTCACAAACAGTAGCCAACTTGATGTTTTAAAAATGCAAAAATAGATCATGCTATTCCTCAAAGTGAGGCTCTCCCATGTCTTCCCATTGCACTCACAATATATCTAAATCCCTTAAAATGGCCTACAGTTTGTGTACTGACATCCTCTCTCACCTTTTCTTTTACTTGCTCAAGATAGGTTTCTTCCCATTCCTCAAGCCCATTAAATATGTTCTTGTTTGAGAATATTTGCAATGGCCGTTTCCGCTGCCTGGAATGCTCTTCCAGCAGGCAATTCAAGGTTGGTTAATTTCTGCCATATTGATTGTAGCTTAATGCAGAGTTTCTCAACCTCTACACTATTAACATCTTGTGCTGAGCAATTCTTTGTTGGCAAAGGTGGGGGTGGTGGGGAATCTTGTGTGTTATAGACTGTTCAGCAGCATCCTTGGACTCCACCCATTAGATGACAGGAGGACCCTTCCCTACCACACTCTCCCAAATTGTAACAAGTAAAATGTTTCCAGACATTGCCAGATGTACCTTAGGGGACACAATCACTTCTCTCCTTCCATTGCCCACCAACGTATACACCCCATTGAGAACCACTGACTTCCTGTCACTTTTCAGAGGGTATTTTGTCATTTCTCCATCAGAGGTAACTACCAAGTCACTGTGTGTCACAAAGTACTTTGATTACCTAATATTTTCTTAATGATTTATCTAATTATTGTTTATATCTCTCAATATAGTATAAGTGTTCTGAGAGCAGAAACTATGATTGAGTTAAATATAGTAAGGATGTGATGAATATATACATGTATATGAAATTCATATTAGTTGAACAAATGGATTGATGGAGAAATTAGTGCAGTGCCTGAATTTCAGCTTACTTTTGTAAACCTTGACCCTAAACATAAATTAATGTTAGTCATTTACAGAGCAAATATGATATTACAGCCGTTCCACCAATATTGACGGAGCCATTCCTATGTCAGAAATTTTCGTAGTTGCATGATAATACAATAATCAATAGGACAGAAAAGGTTTTCATTGGTTCTCAGGAATTTTAAGGTTGTAGGGTAGAAAGACAAAAAGAATACTTTTTATTAAAGTGTACTTGTTGCAGGTATCATATGGTAGGAACAGATATTGTCTGTTCTTCTTATATTCCTTCTACATCCCAGTCTTCCAAACCTGGAATATTTCTAGCACTTTTCCATATTCAGTCCCAAAGAATTGGATTTGCCTTTCCAAATCCATTTGAAACAGCATTATTTGTGATTATTGGTAGGTAATGAAGTACCCCCACTTTTCTAAGAGATAGTTTATTTTTCTCTTTCTTCTTTTCTCTTTCCTCCTTTTTCCCACTTCCTACTTAGCCCTTCAGAAAAGCAAATATAGCCTTTTACGTCCTCTTCACCAGACACTCCTTACTGGGCAAGTTCATCTAATTATGTGCATCTAGCTACCTGCTCCAGAAAGGAACTCTCACCCACAAGGAGGTTGCCTTGAGAGATAACAGTCAATTTACAACACAAAGTATGCCTGCCTGTGAAGAAGGCAGCAGTCACCAGCTTGACCACCCAGTAGATAAGGCACCTAGCTAACACAGACTCCCCACCTGCTTACTTCCCCCCACTCTGTGTGCTCACCTCCTGCTCCAAAAGCGAAGCAGTGCCCTTAAAGTACAAAGCTTGCACTTCTTCCCTTAAGCTAGCTTTGAAATAAAGAGTTACCTTCTTTACACCAGACCTCGCTTTTGTTAACTGGACACTGCAAGTGGCAAGCAACTGAACCAATGTTTTGGTTACAGATATATATGTATGTACATATATGTATCTATACATGGAAATGATTAGAATAACTCCTGGAATATACCTGCATGATATAAATATGTAATTTTTTTACATATGCGCCTTATGTAAGTAGAATCATATTCTAAATACTGTTTTATAATTTGCTTTGGTAGTGTGATAGTATATGTCACAGAGTTTCTGTATTAGTTTACATAAATGTACATTGCTCTTTTAAAGTTTTTAATATAATTTGATATTATGGATGTGTAATGTATACTTAGTTTTTGCATAATTTAATTTTTTTACTTGTTTTTATTTTTACAAGGTTGCAGGCCATATATTTAACTGTGCTATGTGCTACTGTATAACAAAAGCAGCCATAGAAAATATAGAAACAAATGAGAGTAACTGTGTTCCAACAAAACTTTATCTACAAAAATGTGTGGCTGGTCCCTAGGCTGTCGTTTGCGAACCTCTGTGATAGACATAAAAGTGTATATGAACATAATAGCAGTAACCTGGAGAATATCTTCTGAAAGATGATAAATAAGAAAAGCCAGGATAAAAGTATGTCTACTCTGTGATTATACTTATGAACAAATTGTAGATGTAAAGAATGAATAAAGAACTGTAAAAAATATAAAACTTTTCAGGGATAAGGTTGTTGATTTATGGATTGTTTGATTTTAATTTTAAGTATTTACTTACTCTCTGTGCCGAACAATGTTGTTCAATAAAAGCAAATATTTGGTTCTGTAATATCTTCCTCTCAATCTCCTTAATCTTGCTTCATTTGGAATAGTCAGTACTCTTTCCAAAATGTGTTATACAACTTATAATGAAATTATTTGTCACTCTTTACTTTTTATATATGTTGAGTGATTTCTTTGGAAATATACTCTTAAATAATTTAAGAAATAATATTTGCTTATCTATTTCTAGGTGGTCACAGCATAGTGTTTGTGAATGCAAAGTGTCTTCCACCTGTTTATAGTAGAGATACTAAGGAGTAATTTCTGAATGGGAAAGCTTATTGTTTATAACAAATATCCTCTTCTCATCCTTAAGATGTGAGGTCAAGATCAGGTATAAATTATACCCCTGGTTCATTCTAAGTAACTTCTCAGAGTCCAAGGTCAGTTGGCATTGTTCTGGGTGAGTTGGGTCACAGCTGCTTGCTCCCCACATCTTTTACCCATTTCTGACATAAACAGGACACTCATTGAGAAAAGGCACTTCCAGACTTCAACCTAAGAAACATAAATGGCAGCAAGTTACAGAGAAGTCAGAAAACATTACTTTGTTATTGAGAACTGCTTGATCTAAAACCAAAGCAACAGAGATGTAGAGTCAAAGAGAAACAAGCAAGCATGTGGGATGCTCAGTGGCCACCTCAGGCACATTTTCATTGAGTCTTTCAAATAATGGTCATCCCAATTGGCTAACCTAGAACAGTTTGCCCAGACTACAGGTGCTGCAAAAAATGTAATTCCACTGGAAGGCACCATTGTAGTATTTGAAATAATTTTTAAAAGGCTATATGGATCATGCTCTATCATCTTCCTTCAATCTCTCATCCCACATGATCCCCTCAAAACACAATTTTAATGACAAAAATCAGAAGAAATGGACACCATACACACACCTAAATCCCTAATACATTTTTTGCCTCTGGTTCTATAAAAATGTGTGTTACCAAACATAAATAACAAGAGAAAATACATTTTATAAATGCTAATTTATGAGGGGAATATGAAAATGTGCATTAACTTGAAAAAAACATATAATAACTTTAAGAAAACAAATCTAAATTATAAGAATTTAAATTGTGATAGAATACTTTGAAAAAAGACTATGTTGTTATAAAAGTTTCAAAGATGTTCAATTTAAATATAATTTTGTTATGTAATAAAGATATTTAAGGCTTTTGATTGGGTGACTAATTTTTCAAAGCTTAACATAAAAATGAATGTTTTTAGATGCATAAAATATCTTCAATTAAAAATTATTTTTGCTAAAATATCTTGTAAATAACACTATGCTTTATTCAAGATCAAAAACCTTAATCACAAACTATGTCTGGGTTAAGAATAAGTTCTCCATCAGCTAGACCCCAAATGATATTTTATAATTTATAATTATAATTTATATCATAGTTATGATATGATTGCTGTAATCATTATTACACCTTTAATAACTCTTCATTATATCTACCTGTATCTTGAGAATAAGTTAAATTAACGTAGTCTTAAGATGCTTAGGTTTAGTCCTGCACACCCCTCTACATCCTATGATATACATATGTAGATATGTGGACTAAGTATTACTCTTCAAATTTGTTTGTGATAACCATCTTAAAGTATCAGTAGTGGGGCTAAAAGAACTGGTAACCCATAGGTACCTGTAATTATCTATCCATACTAGACTTTATGTAATAATGTTAAAATGTAAGAAAATATGAAAAAGTAAGAAAAAGTAAGAAGGGGCAGAGTCAAGAAAGAGTATCAGAACTATGTTAAATGTATAAGCCATAAAGTTAGAATAGAATTCAAATTTAAGTGGACAGGAAAATCTGTGAAGTTTTCTGGAAAGCAGAATCACAAATCTAGAAAGCAAGTGAAATTAGAAGATCAAGTGCGTGAAAAGAAGACAAAAGCATTCCATTTAGGATGGAATAAATAAAGCTGAAAAAAATTGTCTTTACAACATAAATAAAGTCAAACTAAAGACATGAAAAGAAGAAACAAGTTGTGTTGTAGGAGTGGAGCAAAATAAAATTAAGAGCATAAACTTTTAGAACTAAGATGGTTTGATCCACTAAATAGCCATGTAATAAAACATAGTCTCTACATCTACCTCATACAATACAAAAAAATATTTTGAAATTAATCCCAGGCCTCAATGTAAAAAAAAGCTGATTCTATAAAACTCAGAAGAAAGCATAGAATACAATCTCTATAATCTTTGGGTAGGCAGAGATTACATACACAGGATCATAAAAAACCAATTCCCTTATTCCCCAAAACAGAAAAAAATGATAAATTCTATATCACCAAAATTAAAACTTGTACTCTTCAAGTACACCAATAAGAAAATGGAAAGGCAATCAACAGACTGGGAGAAATTGTCATATATATTTCCAAAAATTTTTATATCCGGAATATGTGGAGAACCCTTACAGTTCAATAATAAGATGTCAAGCAATCCAAACACCATCTCACAGTCTTCCAATAAAAGAAGCTAGAGTTCCTTGACATGGTGGTTGTACCAGGACTGCTGTCAGAAAAATTCAAGATGACCTTGAAATATTTTGTTTTGTCAGAAAGTAAGAAAATGCTCAATAATAGAAATGTGGCAGATTGAAGGAGTTTCCTCTGGTCATATCTAGGACAAAATAAATAATGAGAGTATGAGAATACAGCCCATCATATACAATGGAAATCCATGACTATGCACTGATATAAATAATTGGGTAAATATATAAATGAGGGAAAAGGAAGGATCTTTCTTACAGCAAAATGCCAATTTCCAGTATGTAGAAGTTAGGATGGAAATGGATATTTACTCTTGGGCAACTATCACAGAGTCAGTTAATACAAGCAGTGACAAACAGTCAATGGATGCTATGGATGTAGATTGAATGCTAAAGCTGTAGGCTGAAGGTATGATGAAGAACAGGATGTTAGTGAAATGTCTGAATATCTTCCCACAAAACAGCAATCCAAAACACAGGGGAAAGAAAATTATGACTTTACATTGCAGAGATCTGTCAGGCATCAACTTGATTAGGTGATCAAGGTTACCACCACTACTGGGGGGATGTGTTGGAATGTTCTTAGATATGATGCTTCATAAAGAGCAGCATCTTTTCTGTGGTATTTCTTTTTTAAAAAATTTTATCATTTCCATAGGTTATTGGGGAACAGGTGGTGTTTGGTTACATGAGTAAGTTCTTTAGTGGTGATTTGTAAGATTTTGGTGCACCTGTCACCCAAGCAATATACACGGCACCCAATTTGTAGTCTTTTATCTCTTGCCCTCTTCCCACCCTTACCCTTGAGTCTCCAAAGTCAATTGTGTCATTCTTATGCCTTTGTATCTTCATAGCTTAGCTCCCACTTACGAGTGAGAACATAAAATGTTTGGTTTTCCATTCCTGAGTTACTTCACTTAGAATGATAGTCTCCAATATCATCCAGATCTCTGTGAATGCCATTAATTCATTCTTTTTTATGTCTGAGTAGTATTCCATTGTGTGTGTGTATATATATATATATATCACAGTTTCTTTATCCACTCATTGATTGATGGGTATTTGAGTTTGTTCCACATTTTTGCAATTGCAAATTGTGCTGCTATAAGTATGTGTGTGCAATATATGTGTGTATAATGACTTATTTTCTTCTGGATAGATACTCAGTAGTGGGATTGCTGGATCAAATGCTAGTTCTACTTTTAGTTCTTCAAGTAATCTCCACACTGTTTTCCATAATGGTTGTACTAGTTTACATTCCCACTGCAGTGTAGAAGTGTTCCCTGTTCACCAAATCCATGCCAACATCTACGATTTTTAAATTTTTTTTTATTATGGCCATTCTTGCAAGAGTAAGGTGGTACTGCACTGTGGTTTTGATTTTCCCTGGTCATTAGTGATGTCGAGCATTTTTTCATATGTTTGTTGGCCATTTGTGTATCTTCTTTTGAGAATTGTCTATTCATATCCTTAGCTCACTTTTGATGGAATTGTTTTTTTCTTTCTAGTTTGTTTGAGTTCATTGTAGATTTTGGATATTAGTCCTGTCAGATGCATAGGTTGTGAAGATTTATATCAAAAGTGTAGAGCCTGAGTTTGGTCATGAGGAAATATTAGAGAGACCCTGGTTAGTGTTAGCCTAAAAAGTGAAATGCCTAAATACTTAGGATTGTTAAGGAAATAATAAATCAAAAAACATTGAAAAACAGAGAGCAGCTGCACTAGTGCTGAGAATTGAATGAATATATCAGAGTTCTTTTAGTGCCGTGAGATGCTAACCTTTTGACCTAGGCAGAGTAGAGATATTCCACAGAGCTCATTGGACATTCAGTTTAGACCTCAGAAAGGGCATACTGTAGGAGTAAGGACCACACTCTAATGTAAGAACTTAACCCTTTGACAGTGGACAAAATTGAAACAGACCTAATAGAGCAAATGATAAAATCAACCGGGTGAAAGAAAATTCAGTACCCTTTACAGGAGTACAACATAATGCAACCTTTCTACAATTTAATATCCACGAAGTTTACCATACATTCAAACATACGAGGCATTTGAAGGAGAATGGACATGTGATCTAAAATCAAGAAAAAAAATACAATCAATATAAACAAATCCTGATATAATCCAGATATTGAAATTAATAGCTGCTATGAATACGTACATGGACTAAATGTAAAGGAAATATAACAAGTGAACATATGAGGAATCTCAGCAGAGAATAATGCAAATTGCATAAAAGAACCAAAGGGAAATTCTAGAGCTAATAAGTACAATTTATGAAATGGGAAATTTTTACCACATAGGCTTAGCAACAAATGGGAAAGGATAGAAAGATCAATAAGCTTGTAGATGAATCAATAAACATCTTCCAAACTGAAGAAAAGATGAAAAAAAACATTGAAAATAATGACAAATTTTTAATGACCTCTGGCAAATTATCAAGGTAATTGGGAAAAGCGAATTGGGCAGACAAAAGTATTTCAAACACAATGGCCAAATTTTAAAAATTCAGTAGAATTTATCAACAGGTCCAATAAAATCAGAAAAAAAACCCTGCAAATTAATACAAATAAAAAGAAACTCAAAGTCACAACACAGTCACACTGCTTAAAACCAAAGATAAAAAGAAAAACCTTAAAAGTAACAAGAGAAAACATATTTCACACAGAGGAACAGTAATAATGAAATAATGGTTGACTTCTTATCAGTAATAGTTAAGGTCATAAAAAAACAAGGCCATCTTCAAAATGATGAAAGAAAATCTGCCAATTCAGAATTCTATATTACATTTAAAATCTTTCAAAATTAAGAAAGAAATATAGAATATTTCAGATTTTTTCCTTTTCAGAAATTTAATTTGCACTTATAAACCTTCCCATGAAAAAGGCTCCAAGCTTAAATGTTTCTTTGGTGAATTTTATCAAACACATAAGGAAGAAATAACATTAATCCTATACAAATTCTTTCAGGAAACAGAGAAGTAAGGAAAACATATCAACTCATTTGACGGGTTCAAAATAACCCTGGCATCAAATCCTAAAATTTCAAGGAACAAAATCTTACTGATACCCCTAATAAATATTAGTGTTAAAAATGTTTAACAAAATATTAGCTAATCAAAGCCTAAATATATGTAAGTATATATAAATACCTCAAGATCAAATAAAGTTTATCCCAGGAATGGAAGTTTGATTGAACATTCAAATTAAATTACATTCTATTTAATATAATTCATTATATTAACATAATAAAGGAGAAAACCATAGAAGCACCTCAATAAGTGTAGAAAAACACATTTAACAAAATTTAACTAACTTTCATGAAAAAACTCAGCAAAATAAGAAAATAGGAATACAAGAGAAATTTCTTAATTTAATGGCACTTATGTAAAGTCTACAATTAATTTAATGGCACTTATGTAAAGCCTACAATTAATTTAATGGCACTTATGTAAAGCCTACAATTATCATCATTGAAAGTATCATCATTGAATACTTTCATTGAATACATCATTGAATACATTGAACATTCAATGAACATTGAATACTTTCCCCTAAGATAGAAAAAAAACCCAGGATACCCCAATATCGCCTTTTCTATATGACCATCTCCATTGTTCTCAGTTCTAGCCAGTTTACTAAAGCAAGAAATAGACATGAAAGGCATGCAGATTGGAAAAGAAGAAATAAACTGTCTTTATTTCACAGACAACATGATTGTTTGTATAGATAATTTCAAATAATCTACATAAAACTCGTGGAACTAATAAGTGAATTTAGCAATGACACAGTGTATGAGTAAATACAGAGAAAAAAATCACATTTATATACCACTTCACAAAACAAAAGGTAACATCAAAATATTTCTGTATTAGCATAAAAATATACAAAAGGCATATGGGGTTTCTAACTAAAAACTATAAACATTAAGAGAGAAATAAAACCTAAACAAGTGGAGAGATATACCATGTTTGTGGATTGGAAAGATCAATATTATTAAGATATCAATTGTCTCCACATAGATCTACTGCAATTCTAACCAATATCCCAACTGGCTTTTAAAAAAAATTAAAAACTGACCTTAAATGTATATGAGAATGCATAGTACTTAAATACCAAAACAATGTTGAAAATGAAGAATAATTTTACCTTTAAAATGTATTTGCCTGTACCAAGCTGTTGCCTCAAAGTAACTAAGCGCATGACTTTCTATAAGGACAAGTACTAAGATCTGTGCTAATGAAGACATACACATCATTGGTCTAGGAAGAGTCTGAAATTAGTGAAATTATTAGATAGCTCAAAAATCAAACAGGCTACAAAGTCTGAACAATGAATGTGCAAACAGAGCAGTATCAGATGGTGACACTAACATCTTACACAGTGAGATGTGGCAAATGAACAGTTAACCACTGATATTGCCAGGATTTCTACAACCTACACATAATTTTCAATGAGAATATTTTGGGATAATTAAATCTATTACTATAGTGCATGCCAGGAAAGCAAGCGGTGAACAGTTCAGTGTTGTGTGTGTTAGTAGGTGCAACACGTGCAAACAAAGTAGGAGGTTTATAAGACACATACTCGAAAAGTTAGTGTTTCTTGAATTTTAATATCTCTATAAATCATCTGGAAATCTCATTAAAATGCAAGTTTTGATTTAGGAATACTGGCGATACCTGAGACTCTGTATCTTCACGCATTTCCAGGTGATACTGATGCTGATTTGAAGAGCAAACTTAGAATAGCAACAGTCGATATTTAGGGTAGCTGAATTAAGCACAAAGTTACCTTATTCAAAGACTTTCTGAAACAAGTAAAAAGATAAACTCTTTAAATAATGTTTCTTGCTATGGAATAATATATGTCTATGCCCTATATATCCTAAATATACATTGTCTTGTTTCATATTTCCACACCGAATTTGTAGGTAAATACTTAGAATTTATACTGAAGTAATTTTTAGTCATCCAAATGCAAGAAAGCCAAGTAATTCAGTTTATTAAAACAGAAACCACCATTGCTTACTTTGTTATACGTATTGTTCATCCTATCTTGATTTACTATAATATATACATCTATTCTAAATATTATATCATTATTGGACATTTGAAGATTACATAAGGAGGTAAAGATTTCATGTGCAAAGCAGTGAGAATGAAACAGTATATTGTGGACAGGGAAATATAAAGAGTTTGACATGTTGAAATACTTGATCTGAGGAAACAGCATGTGAAAAGAGGCTGGAGAACAAGGCACAGGCCAGGTCAGGAATTACCGTTAGCATGTCCAGTGGAGTTTGGGCTTTATAACATAGGTAGGGTGCCACTAAAGGAAGAAACAAACTCAGATTTGTTATTTCTGAAAGAGGACTCCACATAGAAGGAGGAGAAAGGATTAAAAAGGAAATATACTGTAAGCAAGTATATCAGTTTGGGGATTTATTTTTAGTGAAGGTATGAAAGAAGTGTGTGAATGAAGGCGGTTTCCATTGAGGGAAAAAAATATTTAGGAGCACTCTTATTGTGATTTTGTGAACCAATGGGGTAAGAGAAGTAATAGAATTAGATTCATATTTGAATCAGATGTGTAGTGCTTCCATGATCAAAATTAGATTATTTTAGACATGTTGACATAGAAATGCCAGTAAAATGTGGGATGCTTTTTATTGACTATGGAAAGAACACAGCATAAAAAAAGCAAATATTTTTATCTTACAGCCCAACCGATCATTGCTCAAAGAAGTTATAAGCTAAAAATGCTATTTTGCTGCATTCAGGTTTAGCAAAAAATAGATACATGTAGATTTTTTGTTTGTTTTCTATGGAATTTCTATTGCCCTTTTTAAAAAAAATTATCTTCCAGGGAATAAAAAATGAGATATTAAGGTAGAGTTAAGATTGAAGTAAATGCAAAATCAATAACCCAAATAGACAAAAAAGCTATATTTTATGGTATTCATGAACTCATCTTTTTTGTAAACTGATGTATGTATTCATGAATTATTTTTCTATGAAGTAGTTCTTTATCTTTATTAGACTTGTTCATATACAATGAAAATATTTCTAGTTTATCATCTAGCCATAACTGCAAAAACTTTATGAACAGTAGCTGAATGGGAAAGCTGTGAAGAAAGCTCATGGAAAGATGTTTAAATCTTCAGAAAAGCATTTTGGTAATAGTGTGAAAATGTTTAATATTGAATATGCCTTTCACACAGAAATTCAATTCCTAGAACTGTAACTGAAAAAACAATGACAGACATAATATGCAGATTTAGCTACAATGAAGTTTACTATAGAATAACCTGATTTTAAAACTTTGTATTGAAGTAATATGTGCAGTTTTTAACTAAAAATACCAAATGGCTCTTAAGAATATAAAAAATATGCCTTTGCCCACATTTCTGGTCTCTAAAACCTATTGCTGTTTTTACAACCAATGGTTGCATTTTTTCTAAATAATTAGTTCATATTGCTATTTTTAATTTAAAATACTAATTCATTATTTACTTGAGATTATTAAGTTTTAGGTTGAAGAAATAATAGTATTTAGTTGCATTAAATAATACAAGGGAAGACTCCCTTTCTTTCTTGTTTCTTTAATTGGTTATATTTGTACCTCTGTAATTTTAAAAGATTAATTTTAACATCTTTCTTTTTTCTAGCAATAATAAGCAGAATTTCCTTATGCTTTTCTAAGTGTATAAATATCCTATAATTGCTTCTGTTATATTTTATTAAAGTATTTAATCAATTCAACAAACTAGAAATTAAGTTATAGTATAAACATTTTTAAAAGAATCAGTTGAACTGCATCTTATACATATCAAGTTCAATTGCCAACTTGAAGCCAAAGGAATGAACAAAAGACATTTATAACACAGAAAAGATAGGTAAAGGAAGAAAAGCATAAAAGAATAAAGCAAAAGAAATATTTGAAGTAATAATGGTTAAGAATTTTCTAAAATTGATTACAGACATCAAACCAGATCCAGGAAGACTAGAGGACAGCAAACAAGACAAATACCAAGAAATCTACACATAGGCATATATATTCAAACTGCAGAAAGACAAAGACAAAGAGAAAACCTTGAAATAAGCCAAAGAGAACCTTACCTATAGAGCAATGGTCTCCAACTCCCAGGCCGCGGGCAAGTGAGGGCATTACCACCTGAGCTCCGCCTCCTGTCAGATCAGTGGCGGCATTAGATTCTCGTAAGAGCACAAACCCTGAACATGCAAGGGATCTAGGCTGTGTGCTTCTTATGAGAATCTAATGCCTGATGATCTGAGGTGGAACAGTTTCACCCCCAAGCCATCCCCTGCCCTGCCTCCCTGTCTATGGAAACATTTTCTTCCACAAAACCTCTCTGGTGCCAAAAAGTCTGGGGACCACTACTATAGAGGAACAAGCATGAGAATTATAATGAGTTTCCCATAAGAAACTATGCAAGCAAAAAAAGAATGGAGTGAAATATTTAAAGTGTTGGAAAGAAGAAAAAAATAAATATTTGACTAAAATTTTATATTCAGTGAAATTAACCTTTAGAAACAAGGAAATAAGGACTCTACCAAACAAACAAAAACTCATGGAATTTATTACCTTACCAACAGGTCTGATCTAAAAGAAATTTAAAAAGAAATTTTTCAGAGACAAAAAAGATTATATAGGTTAGAAATTCAGATCTATGTTAAAAAAAGGCAGTGTCAGAAAAAGAATGAATGAAGGTAAGGTAAATTGTTTTATTTTTAATTAATCTAAAAATTATGGATTATTTTTAAAATAACAATGTATCGAATGATTATAACATATAGGTAAGTAAAATAAATGACAATAAGAGATGGGAAGGAGGAATTGGGAATATTCTGTTATAAGGCACAGGTACTACACATGAAAATAGTGTTATCTGAGGGTATATTTAGATTCATTAAAAATATAAATTGCAGAATCTAGGACAACCAGCAAAAAAATTTTTATAGAGGTATTATTAGCCACTGATTGAAACTGATAGCATTTGCCCGGGTGACTCAGAGTGACTCCTGCGAGTTGGCACTGAGACTTTCAATCAGTTGGGCTCTCTGCAGCAGGAGATCTGAGTGGTGTGTTCCCATGGCTGCCACATAATGTGTATGTGTCTGTGTGTGCATGCGCGCACGTTTGCACATGGGTGTGTGTTTATGCAATAAATGTTGCTTTTCAAATTAGTGAAGAAAGGAAGACAAGTTCAATAAATGGCACTGAAAAATATTGGCTAGTATAAATGCTTCCTGACAGCAGCAACTGGATCATATTTTTACCTGTATTTCCACCACCTAGAACTATGGCTAGTACATTACAGTAGAAAGTAATGGGAACAGGGTAATGTCCTAATATCGGTTGTGGCGATAGACTCACAACTCCATAAATATACTAAAAACTATTCAATTTTACACTTTAAATGGGTGAATTGTGTGATATGAATTATACCCTAATAACGCTATTAAAAATATAATCTAAAACAATGTTATGTATTTTCTGTAATGGCATATAGATGCACATAAATTAACTGAAAAAGCTTACACATCAAGTTTATAATGATGTATCTGAGGAAAAAGAGGGGTCAGAATTAACAATATTCTTAAAATGGACTTTAGCTGTATACTTATTTCAATTTTTTAGGTATTGTGTGTTTGAGTACTATTAGTGTAATTGATAACTAATTCTCAAGTTATTTGCCTAATAGAGGGTTTTTCTGCATCAGACCTATTGAAGGACTTCAGTAAAGTGAGGTTCAGATTTCTCCATCCCTCTTCCCACTCAAATGTCTCACCACCAAATCTTGCAGAAAAACTGGGTATGTTGGAATGGTATTCTTGTCAAGTGCAAAGTAGAAATCTTTTCTGGAGGGGATGGCAGGGAGGGAATCTCTCTTTGTCACCCAGGCTGGAGTGCAGTGGCACAATCTTGGCTCACTGCAACTTCCACCTCCTGGGTTCAAGAGATTCTCCTGCCTCAGCCTCCTGAGTAGCTGGGATTACAGGTGCCCACCACCATGCCCGGCTAATTTTTGTATTTTAGTAAAGATGGGGTTTCACCGTGTTGGTCAGGCGGTCTTGAACTCCTGATCTCAAATGATCCACCCGCCTCAGTCTCCCAAAGTGTTGGGATTACAGGCATGAGCCACTGCTCCCAGCCTAAAGTAGAAATCTTGAGAAGTGCATTAAAGTGCTGCCCAAAATGCTACCCTTCCACTGAGCAGCAACTTGATCTTCCAGTAATGTAAGGTGGCAGCCCACAGCCCATGTCACACTCACTCCACTCATATTCAGCTGTGCATTCTATGAGGAGTGCTGTTCTAGTTTATGAGCAAGCTAAGAAAGTTGCTTCCATCATGCCTGGCTTACTTATTTTATCTTCACCTACTCTAGCTCCTTCCACCTTCCCCACACAAAACCCTGAAATAATGGGCAGGGTCAAATTAATAATAACTAAACAAAAATATCAACTTGAACTCATTTTGCCACATAAAAGATATGCTACTTAATGTGTGACAGGCCTGAAATATGTAAGAGATTAAACAAAACAATTTTAATATCAAAAATCTGAAAGAACAAACTACTCAGCTAGTAAGCCACACAGTAAAAATTTACTGCTGTAAATCCACATAAGAAGTTTCAGCTTAATGAACATATTAAGATTACAATGGGCAGTTTTTCCGCAGTTTATAGAACAACCAGAAAAGCACTTCAAATATTTTCCTTCTCTTCTAAGATCTGTAGAATTTAATTTACAACATCTTGAATTTCCAAATTAAAATCACCTTTAATGATAGAACTTCAGCCAGCCATAGAAACAAAGAATGTTACATTGTCTAGGTATAAGTAATTACATTTATCAAAGCTATATCTATATTTAAATGGCAGATCTAAAAACAAACAGGGTTTCTGTAAGCCAGAAAGTAATTAGTCTCAGGTGCTTTCTGTTAATAAACTAGGATAAACTTAGGGGCAGACTTGCAAAATAATTTTGCTTAATTGAAAAAATCAAGGGTTTAATGTTTACTCTCTTTTCCCAAAGGTGATGTGGAAAACTGTGTTCTCTACTAAAGAAGAGAATGTGATTTCATTTATCCTTCAAGCTTTGAAGTATCACTTTATTTTTCCAAATAACCAGGTGGATACTGAAATAATGTAAATTAGGAAACTGATAAACCAGAGCTTTCAATCAACTATTAATTATTGACCATCTATTTTGTATATATGACTCTAGGAGCCAGGGTCCAACACACTATTTACTAAACATGTATCTTGCCTCAGGATATTTCTAATCTAAACTAAAATATATGAAACAACATGTGTCAGTGGTATTTTGTGGGATACACCCTCTATGTCTGATTAAATGGTGAGTAAGTGTAGTAATCATATTTATGGGGGACTACTGTCATAAGGAAATGAGAATGGAACTGGAACTTGGAAGATGCCTGGGAGATTCAGAGGTGAAGAGGATAAAGAAGGATGCCAGGCAAGTCAACCATCAAGCCAATAACAGAGGGTTCAGACTGAGGAGTGTGATATGCTCAGTGATTTAAAAAAGTATTTTCTGATATAAGAGAAAGGTGTTCATAAAAGAACAGAGGAAAGTAGGTAGGACAAGTAGAGTAGGATCTGGTTAATAGAAGCCTTAAATCCAGGCTGAGGAGCCTAAACGTACCTTGATAAGAAATAGGGTATATGGAAGCTTTCAGAGTAGAAGACAGACCTCATCAAAGTGGTGGGTCAAGATCAGGTTGGCTCTGATTTTGCAAGAGAGAAATCCTCTAAATAATTTTATTATAGCATTATTATCTAGATGGAAGTAAAATTGGATTTAAATTTTTAATTAATGTTAATTTTCTTTAACTACTTACTATTGCAAGTGTCAAAGAAACATATGAATAAAAGATAACTTCTGATATTCAATCCCAGGTAAGCATAACTGATGGAGAGATGCAAGATGGAGAACATTATGAGTTCACATGCAAACACATTCACTTGGTGGTTACAGCAGGGAGCTCATGTTAAAATCTCAGGAAACATATATATATGTATAGAACCAGAACTTAGATGAGAATTATCTGGAAATGGATATTTGAAACTCATCAGCATAGTTGGAAAGGAAGTATACAGAAAAAAAAAAACAGGACTGAGGTCCCAAAACTGGAACTCAGTAGTATCAGTGATTAAAGAAGAGGAGCCAGCTAAGGAAACAAAAAAGCACTAATCAGAGAAGCAGGAAGCCAAACAGGACATTAGGACATTATTTCATGGAAGCCAATGGAGTAAGACAGTTCAGGAAGGGTGGAGTCACCAATTTTGGATGCTACAGAATCATCAAAGAGAATGAGAACAAAGAAAAGGGCCATGGGGTTTGCAATTATACACACACACACAAAAACATAAACATGTACGTCATTGGTGACCTAGAAAGAATACACATGGTGAAGTTTTTTAAACTGCATACTAAAAAGCACAAAATTTGATTTACACTAGCATTTAAAATGCTGTTTCTATTTCTCCCTGAAAGACAAAAAGCTAGTTTATCTGGCATTTGCACTATTACTCAATACCTCAACACAACTGCAGCTCTATAAAAAGGGATTTATAACAAGAGGCCTAAGATATTTAAAGTGATTTTATATGATAAAAACGTTAGTGGAATATAGCACTATACACAATTACCTCGTATGTTATCAGTGTAGATGATATAAAGGGGTACCTAATGTAATGACAAATTCCACGTCATAAATCTTCAAGCTCACTCCCAACAAATAGTCAAAAGTAAGTATCAAAAATCTGCAAATGCCAAGATCAAATATGCTGTTTTAGCTTTAATGTAACTCACTACATTATCATTCATTTTGTCAAATATGCACTTCATATTAAAAAGGCTATATGATTCACCAAACATAGTACCCTAAAGAGTTAACTGTGGTTGGAAAAATGTGGAGAGTAAGTGAGAAATCTATGACTATTAACTTAATTACAGAATGGCTTTCACAGGCCTGTAATTTTTTCCTACTTTTTCTAACAAAGCTAAATTGCTTTATCTCCAACACCACAATAACATCATTAAAGTTAGAAATGAAATTAATAATATTCCAGGAAAATGGCTCTCTTGCCCATAATAATATTTTATCCTCTTTTGAGCAAGAAAATGTAGTCCTGTGACAAAAAGCACTATTTTGGCAGCAAACTTGGCTTCTCCCAGTAGCATTGCTATACCACCTCAGCTAAGTCCCTTAACTTCAGTCATTAATTTTCCTGTCTCTCAAATACAAATAATGATTCTAGCACTATTTACCTCATAGAGTTTTTATGAAAAAATGAGAAATTAATGTAAAAATATTAGCCCTTATAGATTCAATCCATTTTTTCCAGGCTAAAAGTAATGATTACTTACAAATATTAAAATGTTAAGTGTTGGTTTTGTGAAAACAGGCAGCTCTGCTGCCAATTTTTGCACAATGGAAGCTTTAGACCAATTAATTATTAAAAGAATAATATAGGTTTGATTTTTTTGTAGCAGAAAATGCATGGTCATTGCATTCTAATTTACTCTTGTCACATGAATTGTAGCATCTAGAAGGCTGAAAGAAAATATACCATTTTTTCCCTGTTTTAGGCTTGATCATCTTTATAGCAAGCTTATCTTCTGAATTTTCTTTCTTTCCATAACTGCATTAGAATGTTTATGTTAGCTGTCAGAGGGGGAGTAAACCCTAAAGCCATAAGCAGTCTGGCTAGCTCAAGGGAACGATGGCAGAGCTCCCATTAGAGGGTTCTTATTGTTGGCGAGAGTAACTGTTCACAATCATACTTTAAGACTCCCTGTAACTAAAGGGTTTGTTTTGTATTTGTATGCACTCTAAGCATCCTCCTTACATGAAACATTACTCATCAATGCATATGGTCCATTAACATTTGACCGCTGTCCACATGGCAAATGCTGTATACTCCCTAGGAGCAGGCAAGGGGTTACACAAAGGCTGTAGTGAGTTCTAGGGTCAATAGATCTTCCTAACTGACTTAATTAGGTACTAATTAACCATTAAGAATAAAAGTCTCATTCTGATCAACATTTACTAAACAATTAGTTAAGTCAGTTTGATTTTTGCATTAAGCAACTACTGCTGTGTTATCCCCCTCACCTTTTTAAATAATCCTGGGATGTTTCAGAGAATTACTCAATTATTTTCATTCTTCCTGGGTATTCTCCCCTCAAGAGTCCTTCAAAATGTTCATGCAGTTATCACCATATATATTAATTGCATGCATTTAAATATTATGGGTTATAACATATTATGCTTTACTTATGCCCTAAATCAGGTCAAACTTTTTTTCAAATGTTTAGTTGACCTCTACCAACTCCTCATTCCTTTTTCAATCAATGTTTCATCCATTCCAAGCAGTTATTAGAGATAGCAATTGCTAAAAACCTAAGCAGAAACCTCAAATCCACTGCTGTTCTGTTTTAATTTTCAAAATCTGGAAGCATCTAAGGTATTTTATTATTGCCACATATCATTAAATCTACAGATGTATTTCAAGAAAATATTATTTTAAAATTCCAAACATAACTACTTAACAATCATTGAATCTTCTGTTAGCCTATTGTTTATAATCTATATCAGGTTTTGATTAGTAAGGTATCTAAATAAATTTGGAAACAAGCTTTTATTCGCTTATATAGAACTGAGCACAGAATTGCTGTTTAGTTATAATTTTAATTTAAATACCCTTATATTCATTTTCTGCTACTCTGTAACAAATTACCATAAAACAACACCCATTTATTATCTGAGAGTTCTGTAAGCTAAAAATCTGGCCCCAGCTCAACTGGGTTCTCTGCTCAAGGTCTTATAAAGCCGAAATCAATGGATGAGCTATGTTCTCACTTAGAATCTTGATGAGGGAATAATCCATTTCCATTTCCTTTCAAGGTGTTGGCAGAATCCAGCTACTTGTGGATGTAGGACTCGGGTCCCAGTTTTCTTGCTGGCTATTGACTAGAGTTGCTCTCATCTCCTATGGGCCACCTTTATGTCCAAAATAGCTCTCTTCACAACACGGCAAATTGCTTCTTGAAAGCGGAAGACAGTGAGAAATAAAAATGCAGTTCTAAGCTCCCCAACCAACTCAACAGATCCCTTCTTGGCAAAGAACTCCTGAAAAAACTTAAAATCTGAGTTCCTGGTCCTGACAGGATGGAAGGTGGAACAGGCCTCCTTATACCTCCTCCCTTACTAACTGCCATTCACAGCTGATTTCGCCCAACAATCTGACTGCTGCCCCTCTTTTTTGTGGTTTGGACACAGCCACTGACCAGCATTCCTTCCTGATAAAAACCACTGACCAGGGAGTGGCTCTGTTCAGTCTATGAAAGCTGCACACAGAGGGCCTTCTGGGCCTCTGCTCTACCATTTGATGTATAGAGCCTGATTGCAATACATTTAAATGTTAAATCTCTACCCAAAGTGAACATGGGGCGCATGTTGCATACATGTTAGCCTACTACGCATGTGTGCACCTCCTCTTCATGAATATTCAGAGATCCTCCTATAATCTGTTGAATATGTATGTTAGCCAACCCATTCAGCATAAATTCCTGTCTCATTCTTCCCTCCCTCAAAGTGCTCCTCTCTGCTTTTGCCAGAGGCTGTGCTTCCTAGCCTGGGAGAGAGCCAGACTGCAGGCTACAACCCTTTATGAGAAATAGTACTCTTTTTTCTAAATTTATGAACCACCTCATTCTTCAGCTGACAAAAGTATCTGCAGCTGCTACTTCAAGTCTTTCAAAAAAAGCTCACTTGATCAGGTGAAGCCTACCCAGGGTAATCTTTCTTCTGATTATATTAACATTACCTGATTACATTTGCATATCCTTTCACCTTTAACGAACATAATGTAATCACGGGAATAATATTTGCCAAATTCATGTGTTTTGTCCAGAGTCAAGTGGAGGAGATAACTCAAGGGCATGGGTGATATAGGGCAGGAATCACATGGCCATCTTAGAATTCTAATATACTCTAATTTTAAAAAAATTAATAATTAAGACAATGCTGATATTGTTGTTGATGTTACTGTTTTTATTTTACTGGCATCTACTTGAAAAATGACCTCAACTCTTTAGGGAATTGCAAGAAATATAACGGGAAACTTTTGCTGAAAACATCTAACAGTCATGATGGTAAGCCATATTTATGAAGATTGCCTGATTCCTCTTGATATTCTAAACATTATCTTGAAACAAGATTGTTTGGGAGTTGAGACACATGCAGCACATTGCTTGGTCCCTCAAAGTTTTGAATTTATTATTTTTCACTTTCCTATTACCTCTCAGTCTACATTGCTTAGAATAAACACCCCTGAGAATGGCATCATAATGTTTGTGATATGGTTGATGCTCACTATATAATATGGTAACATCTTTATGAAAGAGATTTGCACCAGGCACAGTGGTGCATGCCTGTGGCCCTAGCTACTTGGGAGACTGAGGCAGGAGAATCGCTTAAGCCCAGGAGTTCTGGGCCATAGTGCCCTATGCCAATTGGATGTCCACACTAAGTTCAGCATCAATATGATAACCTCCTGGGAGTAGGGGACCACTGGTTGCCTAAGGAGGGGTGAACTGGCCCAGGTCAGAAATGGAGCAAGTCAAAACTCCCATTCTGATCAGTAGTAGGATCACACCTGTGAATAGCTACTGCACTCTAGTCTGGGCAACATAGTAAGACTCTGTCTTGAAAGAAACAAAGAAAGGGAGAGAGAGAGAAACAAAGAGAGAAAGGAAAGGAAGAAAGGAAGAAAAAAGAAGAAAGGAAAGAAAGAAAAAAGGAAAGGAAAGAAAGAAAAGAAAAAGAAAGAAAGAAGAAGAAAAAGGAGAAGGAGGAGGAGAGGAAAAAGGGAAGGAAGGAAGCAAGAAGGAAGGAAGGAAGGAAGGAAGGAAGGAAGGAAGGAAAGAAGGAAGGAAGGAAGGAAGGAAGGAAGGAAGGAAGGAAAGAAGGGAGAAAAGGAAGAAATATTTGCCTTAGGTTTCAGTAGAAGGAATAAGTGTATGTCTAGGTTTCAGTAGAAGGAATAAGTGTATGTCTTCTGGAAAATTAATTTGTATTATATGAATGTTGACTCATATAACAGATCAAGATTCCAGTTTTGTCTTAGCTACCAGGAAGCATAAAAGTAAATTTATAACATACACCTAGGAAATACGAAGACATTTTGGGTACAATCTTTATTCTAATTTTAATTTATTTTCTTACCTGTGTTTTCTTTTTCCTTTGAACTTCTCTGCTTATTTTTTTAATCTCATGGTTCAACAGGTATCTTTACAAATTCCCTTAATTTTTTTCTGAAATAATCAATTAATATTTATCAAGCATTGTAAATTGAGCAATTTTAAGCACTGCCGCAGTGCTTAAACACTAAAACACACCTTTTAATTTATCCTTGAAAAAAGAGATTAACTAATGGGTTTGTGAAATAATTAAGAATGCACATAAAAGAAAATTAGAAACGTGTTAAAAGTAACATAGAAATTAGCATGTGTATTAACCATTATAGCATACAACAGTATAACACTTTATAGTATAAATGCTCCTTTTGAATAAACCAAATGCCATCAGGCCTTACTTGTAGTACAGATGAAATCATATGAATTCTAACAAGCACAAATTCCTCATCTTGCTTCTATCTGCTCATGTAATTTCCTAATTCTATTGACAATGTCCACTCCAACTATTTTGAGGAGTTCCCCAAAGGTTGCCTCACCTTCAACCTAGTCTGTTAGCCACAGTCACCATTTGAAACATGTTTTTGTGATCTTCTATTTCTGATCTGGCTCCTATTTTTCAACTCTTGTGGGTTACATAGTATCTTAAGGTGTTTCTTGTGATGCTTGGGATATCCAGACAAGCAATGATTTCTTCTAGTCCTCCTAATCTGCCTTTTTAAATATGATCAAATTGGTTCTGAGGTCATGAAAAGAAATGAAAATTACTCTTTCTAAAACCCTGGGCCATGCTTTCTCACCTGGACAACAAACCAGCACAGCTTTTACTTAGGGTTTACAATCTTAAATTTTCTACTCTACCTTCTGGCCCTCTCTCTCTAAATATTATGGCTAAAATCCTTTTGATAAGATTATGTGGAGGATTATTCTTACTTATGCTCCTTCATCCTTACCTTCTTGCCCCTTGCCTTTTTGTAAACCCCTGGCCCAACAAAAATACACATCCTTCTTTCTCCAGAAAAAGAAAATCTAGCAAGGCATGTCAGCTCCTGCCTATAGTCCCAGCTATTCAGGAGGCCAAGGTGGGATGATTGCTTGAGCCCAGGAGTTTGAGGTTGCAGTGAGCTATGATCAGGCCACTCTACTCCAGCCTGGGCAACAGAGCAAGACCTCATCTCTTTAAAAATAAATTAATATATATGTATAATCTACTATCATCATTATCTTCATTATTGAGGGTGCACTAAATGGTAAACACACCAAAAACAGTGATTTACAGAAATAGTGAATGCACAGGGAATTAAAAACTTACCCACATTCATTCTGCTAGTAAGTGGAGAGAGGAGCTGAAACTCAAACCTAGGTAGTCAAACTCCACAGCCCACATTCTTCTTCTGATAGACTATATCAATTTTTTAATGTAAGTCAGTAGGTGCAAGTGGGGTGGTGTACTCAACCCTTAGTTCCTCTTCAGCCTTTCTAAATATCCAGTTAAATTCACAATCTCTGGGCAGTGATAACCCCATAAATCATCCTTTTTTAATGAAAAAGAAAATAAGATTCAGAGAAACAAAATGATTTTTCTAAGGTTTAATGCTTAATACCTGGTAAAGGTAGGATGCATTGCCCTATTGGACCAGAACCTTGAAGTCAGATACTCATCTTCACATCTCCCACACTTGCGAAAGTAGCAGCATTTAGAATGCCCTCAAAAGAATGTTGGTTGGATTAACGAGTGAGTAGTGAATAAAATTAAGAACATCTGATTCTTAATTCAATGCTGTTTCTTTATACCCCAGTGGACCCCACGATGGCAGTGGTCCAAAAGAGAAGTGTCTCTAGTTAAAGTAGTACTCATCTAGAAAAATATGTTTTTGATTCAGGTTTTGAAATCAATGAAGAGTGTATTTTTAAAGTGGAAAATAAATAAATCTTATATGGGTGCAATGGCATGTAAGAAGGTGTGTGGGAAACGTGTATCTGTAAGCGATGTTAAACGTATTTGATTGGCTAAGATCTCGATTGGGTTTAAGTGAGGAAGAACCAGTTGAAGGAAGCCCAGTTTTTTCTAGTTCTGCTTGCATTTATTTATTTATTTATTTATTTATTTATTTATTTATTTATTTGTATTTTTAGTAGAGACGGGGTTTCACTATGTTAGCCAGGCTGGTCTCAAATGCCTGACCTCGTGATCCACCTGCCTCGGCCTCCCGAAGTGTTGGGATTAAGACATGAGCCACCGCATCCGGCCTCTAGTTCTGCTTTTAAACATTAAAATGTGTTGGGAAATTCTGAAGACAATATTATTTTTATTAAGTACTTTTAAAAATATGTGCATAAAACATCATGAAACTAAACAAAGAACAATGACATGTTAAAGTCATGCAGATATTTCAGTAGAGAGTCACTGTGTGTTTCTAAGTAGGAAAGGCGCGTGATTTAAAAACATAAAAAATAAAAGCCAAACCTCTGTTTTATGTGTGTAAGGAAGGGCTTAGATTTTATTTAAGGGGATTAGCAGTCTACCACTGTTGATTTCACCTTATAAAAGTAATTGTTCATAATCTTATGAGAAATATTTAGTTTAGAGTCGCACACAGTTTCAAATCTATCAGCCGATTAATCTTTTCAACAGTACCAGTTTTTCAGAGTTCTTTTCCACCAAAAATACTACTAGAGTGCTGTAAGCCTCCTCTTTCTTCCAGCATATACTCAATATGAAGTATTTTAATAATATAGCATGTGATCCGTTGTTACTCTCAGTTCCAAGCAAAAGAAACCAGCACTGGACCTATTAAGCAGAAAATGACTTGTGATCAAAGCATTGGATAGTTCATAGGCTCTCCAGGATGACCAAAGAGAGGACACACAGCCAGAAAAAAATCCCAAAATAATGCTGTGTAATTAATCAAAGAGAAAACTCCTCTGCTGTTGCTGCCAGTGTGACTAGGAGTCAGCTTTACCCAAAACAGTGACATCACATACTTGACCCTGAATAATGCTGCGTGTTTACTGTTGCCTGTGGAGATGGGACAGAATTGCCATCATCATATCTGCTCTTATCTTTGGGTGTCATTAACTTCAGATTCAAATCTGTGGTGTCTTTGGCAGAGGCTAGAACGTGTCTTCCCTAGGGAGTCTCCACTGCAATTCCCTTATCAGAGCTTACTTCTGGCTCCATGTGCATCCTGCAAACATTTCATGAACCACCAGCTCCACTGGATCTTAAGGGCCACATGACAGAGTTTCCTTCCTTTGGGCCTTACTCAAAGTGTCTAGCCTTTTGGGTCACACAGAAAACAGATTTGTTTGTTGCCCCTAAATTCAAACTCACTCATCAAATATTATATCCCTACCTAGTGCTGGGGAATGCAAAGTGCAGCTATTGCTCTGCCATTTTGCAGAGACTATCTTGATCATCTTAAAAATCCCTGGGTCTTCACAAAGCACACTTAACTAAAGTGACAGAATTCTGTATTTTCCTGCATTTATCTACTGTCTTCTGGCAAATACTAACAAGCTTATACTTTCCTGGTACTATCAATGTCATTTTGTGAAGATAGTGGGCCCACATGATATTTTGAGAGATAGTGAAAAGATCAAGTCCTCTGCAAACTATATAGTAGTGTATATAATCAGATACAGCATATCTCTTTGGCAAGATATTGAAGGTATTCTTTCTATGCCAGATAAAAACTATATGAGTGTGTGTGTGTAAATATAGACATAGATATAAAATTTCCGTATTATACATGTTGCTAGAATTATGTTGATATGACCCAGGATAGGAATCACATCTGGAACTGCAGCCACAGTTGGAATTACTTATTACTAAAACTAAAGGACAATTCAACTGTTATTTTCTGTACCAGACAAGTAGATGAGTTTAATGTGGACACAATGGCAGTCACCAATGCCTAAACCTTTAGGTTTTCAATAGCAGGTTCAATTTCTACTATTTTATCTGAGCTTCTGTATTGCTTTTGTTTTACTGTTTGGGTATGGAATGGGAGAGGTTCAGGGTTTTTCATTAGCATTTTCTATTATAATAATTCTTATTGTATGAGTACAGATGGAAAGTCTGCCAGTTGCTTACAATATTAACACCATTTGAAAAGTGGAGAATAAAAACTAGGTTAGGTTGGGGGTTTTGCTGAGCCTAATATAAGATAAACATGGGTGAGATTTTCATTTATCTCCTGACTCCCCTGAGTCCCTTTATGGCAGATACAGTGATAAGTCTTTCCAGGATCCAGCTTGGACCCAGTGTCTAAAAGTCTCTGAAAGTTAGAAATCATTGCCTTTCCCAAATACATTACTATTCTGATAAATAGACACAGTTCTCTTAGGGAAAGCATTAAGAGGGAGGGCCACAGTACACAGTGATGATACTATTAGAGTTCAAACTCAGATTATGTATTCTTCTCTTGGTTCAAGGACCACTAGATATTTGAACTGACCTAGGTCTAGAAATTGAGCAAGGAAATATAAATTTTGGTTGCTTGACTAAGCCCTCCACTTACTACATCTAGAATTTATTCATTTCTATGTTCACATCAGGGATCCTATGATCAATATACCCACCATTAAATATCCTCATAGGTCCTATCATTCTGATCTCTTTGCTGGTCTTGCTGCTTATTGTAGTTTCCATGACCCTAGTCGTCTAGCAGTTATCTGCCATTCCTTATGTTCTGGCACCCTGGGATCTAGTATAATGCTGAAATAAGGGAGGCCTGTTTAGCTGTATTATCAGGTACAGACATCTCTTTTCTTCAGGGTACACCCCATGTGGCACGTTTTGGAGATGCTGGGACTCACCTCACTGCGGTATTTCTCAATGCCTGAGATGACATATACTGGGCACTCTAGAGAATATAATAGGGATAGTTGCACAGCCCAATGTGTTAAATCCTCTTCAGGATTTTTTTCTTCTACATTATACCAAAAAATTTGAGTTCAAGGTAAAGTTAATCAAACTGAAAAAAAGAAAGAAAGAAAAACTACATCAAATTGCTCAAGCTACCTCAGTGGCACAATAAACCAAGCACCAATTTGGTAAGACAGTGAGAGAGAATGAGATGTAAATACACAAACCTTATGGAAAAAAGTAAATTACTAAATTAGTCATATTGAAGCAAGTTTCTTTCCAGATTTAATTATTTCAAAATAACCTGTCTGATAAGTGAACCATTGTTCCTTTCATGGTATCATTGACTTTTTGTTTCATAGGTAATTTATATGATGTCAGAATATTTTAAAAGTTAAAAGCATTTTCAAATTCCTACACTGTGTGTGTGTGTGTGTGTGTGTGTGTGTGTTAGAAAGAGAGAGAGAGGAGAGTGTGTGTGTATGTGTGTGTGTATTCGTCTTTAGGAACTCAAAATGCACATGTACGTAAAGCAAATTGTTTAAAAATAATTGAAACTTGTTTTGTTGCAACACTTCAGCCTGATAGGAAATAAAGTTAGACAGGGCACTTGGAGTGAAAGACCTGACATGAGAAGAATAAGACTGTAGTTTATTTTAATTCTAAAGTTTCGTGATGTGAAACTTTCTTTTCTTTTTTGTTAAATTAGTGTTATCTACTAACAGTTATATCATTTTTCACATTCTTTTCTTGTGAATTTATTATCTCATGCAGATAATCTTACATATATGTATATGCATGTATGTATACATGTATATATGTTTATATATGTATAGAAATTCATTGATTTATGAGAATCCAGTAACATTTCCATAAAAATTTTGTCTAAGCTGAGCATGGTGGCTCACACCTGTAATCCCAGCACTTTAGGAGCCCAAGCCAGAAGGATCGCTTAAGCCCAGGAGTTTGGCTTGGGCAACATGGTGAGACCCTGCCTCTAAAAAAATTAAAAAATAAAAATTAGCCAGGCACGGTAGCACTCGGAGGCTGAAGTGGGAAAATCACTTGAGCCCAGGTGTTCAAGACTGCAGTCAGCTGTGATTGCACCACTGCACCCCCGCCTGGGTGCTGGGTGACAGAGCAAGACCCTGTCTCCAAAAACAAAAAAACAAAAAACTCAATTTAATCAGTAGTTGTGTACAATATTATATGCTCTATAGTTTACTAGATGCTATAAAAAGAAAGGAAGGAAGATACAAAAGAAATATTCCTTGTGGGGTATGTGAGGGTCTGATATCAGGAGTTAGGCACATTAAGTTATTAGGAAAAACATATTAAATAATAGTAAGTGACTAGGTGCAAAACGTACTACAGACAGGAGAGATAAATGTAAGCCAAAAAAGTTAAGCAGCATTTTGGGGGGACATCAGGATTTGAGATGGAATTTAAAGGGAGAAGGAGTAGGACTATTCAGAGACTACAGAAGAAAGCCTTTAATTCAGAAAATGAATTTATAAAAGAAATCCAAATATGTAGACAACCATTAACCTAATAATGATTAAAAAACCAATTAAAAACAGTTTATGTCAGTGCTAATGTTTAGTTTGTTAACACCTGTGACTAATTTAAGTGGCCTTAGGGCTTGTAGATAATTTTTTTGGCTACAATTGAGTAACAACTTAGTCTCTGATGTACACAAACAGAACAACCCCAGGGAAAATTTGGCATCATCCTTAGTGCACAGTAGGCATTAATAAATGTCTAATCAATTAGACTAAAGATGAATAGTAGTTATAAAGCATATTTGAATAAAATAATGCTTGGTTTTAGAATTCTTTTAAATATTGTATTATTAGAATGTGAAAGGCAATTACTAGACTGTCACTGGAGAATTTTTATATAATCCCAAAATAACAATACTTTAAGAAAAATAAAACATTTTTGTTCATTAGCTACAGGATTCTAGAGTTGGTATTACATTAAAGCAATGTTATAACAATTTTGATGTCCACCAATGATCATGGCTCTGTAACTTACACAGTTCATAGATAACGTTCAGCTTATTTCAAATTGCTTTCAGGTGAGGCATTGGAATTACAATGCCTAGTTAATCCTATTTAGTGGTCTTCAGATACGCCTTTATGTGCATGGACTCTAGAAAGGTAATAAGTGTAGGACTATGACAGACAGTACAGCTGTGTAGGTTGTGATGAGTGTATCAGTGGAATGTCTTTGAAAGTATAAACTCTCTAATAGAGTCTCGAAATTTTTGTCAGTGTGCTCTCTATAGATAATTCACATACAGCTTCACTGAAAACCTTTACTTCAAATATGCTAGGATTAAATTCACACAGGGAAATGGAAAACATTAAAAAGTATGCATGCCCTTGAAGTAAGGTTTTCACAGATGTAATGTCTCCTAAGTAATGACCTATGGTAGTAACACTCATGACTCAATGAAGTACCTCCTTATAACAGGTTTGAAAATCTTTCCCTCTTTAGGAGAAGTAACTGTATTCTTTTACTTTTGTAGCCACATTTTAATAGGTAGTACTATGTTTCTCTTTCCGCTTTGATGTAAGATACTTCAAAGTCATCTATGTCCAGAAACTGAAAGAAAAAATGTGACAATCAGCTCTGGCCTTCATGTTTATCAGAGAAAACAAAATAGACCACAATACAACAAATGACATGTTCTACAGAGTAATAAATGAAGTTTTGTCTTAAAGCCAGTTGGTGGGACAGTGTAGACATGTGAGCAAAACAATAATAATTTTGAAAAATGAAAAGCTATTTAAGTAATGAGTCTCAATGGACCTGTCTCCCTTAGCAAGGTTAGTAGATCACCAACTACTAATTAAAATTAGAATAACTGAACGAAAGAAGATTTACCTAGTTTAAAATCTAACTCTTTTAAATTAGGCCATTCTAATAAAGTAGATCAGGTGATACATAAAGGGAGCCACAGTTAGGAATAGATGGGAAGATTACCATATTTGAACAACTATTTAGGCATCAATATCTAGAGAAAAAACCTAAGCAAAAAATCTCAACTTAATGAAATCTCATACTCATAGATTTTTCCTCCCAGAGGTGCAGTAGGATCATTCAAAATTTTGTAGTTTCTTCTATGCTAAATTGAGTTTGTCTTTTTCATGTCAAGACTGACTACACACCAAAACATAGGTAATCATTTCCATAGATTCTTAGGAAACAAACATCTGGCCCATATTTTCTAATGATCATCATGTTTGTATGTTACCTCCAGACTGGGCCTGGCATGCAGGTATAGTAATTTGGGGTATTTTGATGGCTGCTACCACCTAATGGAATATATGATGTTCCAGATCAATTGTTAAGACACTTGAAAACATCAGATGGTACAATCTGTGATGCTTGAGATATTCACTAATAACAATTTGCTTCAGTCTGCATTTAGAAACATCTTACATGGAGTTTCTCATGAATAATCCTCAAATATCTAAAGTAGATTAACCTAATAGAATGAAGTTAGAAAAATTTTCTTGTTCTTGCTGGTGGGTGTTAATTTGGGTATATTAAAAAGACCAACACGTTGCTCTAAATACTCTGAAGCTGACTATTAGACTAAAAGATAGATAAATTGACCCACAAGAAGAAAGGGAGATCTGCCTTGTTTTCCTGACAACTTTACCCAAGTGAAATGTTCTTCCTGGTATGAAAGGATTAATCCTTGAGGGAAATTATTTCCCAGGATCCAAAGCATATCAGATAACAGAGCATAACTTTCATTAACTTAACGCATTACTATGTGTCAGATTTTACACAGCATCTGCCATCATGCATGAGAATTACTTCCCAACTAATGGAAGATTGACTTTAAGCAATAAAGGGCACAACTTCAAAATAGTTGTGTCATTCATTGTATAGAGAATGGCAAATGAGGCCAGGTGCAGTGGCTCACGCCTGTAATCCCAGCACTTTGGGAGGCCGAGGCGGGTCACCTGAAATCAGGAGTTCGAGACCAGCCTGACGAACATAGTGAAACCCCCTTTTTACTAAAAATACACAAAAATTGGCTGGGCGTGGTGGTGCACACCTATAATCCCAGCTACTCGGAAGGCTGAGGCAGGAGAATTGCTTGAACCTGGGAGGCGGAGGTTGCAGTGAGCTGAGATTGTGCCATTGCACTCCAGCTTAGGCGATGAGAGTAAAACTCCGTCCCCCCAAAAAAGAAAGAAAATGGCAAATGTTCTAATAACACACATTGTTCAATGTCTAATTTCTATAAGCAATTATATAATAAAATATAAATCTTAAAATGAGACCCAAATAATTTTGGAGAAAATTTTAAGCTATTTAAAATAAAAATGAGGGTAAGCTCTCTTGCATAAGCAACAAACACTGACAAGGAAGAGTGAAAAAAAAGTTCAAAACAGAACAAAACCAAAATTGAATAAGTGACAAAAGAATTAGTGTAAACTCCTACAACAAAACCTGAACCTTCATTTATGTTGGAAATAAATGAAAAGGAAGCTTAGAATTAAAACCTGAAGGAAAATAAGGTTAGAATTTATGGAACATAATACCACAAATACTTGAAAGAAGAAAAGTGTGATGAATATAAGTAAGAATTATCCCATTTAGCTAACATTTATTAAGTACTCTTATGCATCTGGTATTGATTTTAAGAAAATCACAGATTTGACGTAGAAACAGTGGACACATATTTTTATGTTTAAAGCCTCTCAGATTTTCTCCATTGCTTTATATGTTTGTCACACTACAAATGAGGAAATATCTGCTCAGTAAAACCTTTAAAGTATTATTATATTATGCACAAACACTATTCAGCATTTTACAGAAATGTGTTTAAGGATGCTCCACAACACCTCCCCTCTGAGAGCCCCAAGTGGCCACAGATCACCCAGGGTTGGTAACTCCCCTTTGTGCTTGTTGTATGAATTCCTGTGAACTCCTCAATTCCTCTCTCACAATTAATGGGATAATATGCCTAAATAAACAAGAAAGGGAAGACCTTTAAAAGCTCTACTACTTCAATAAAAGGACTTCATTTTGTGTTATTGAACCTCAGAGTTGACAATTTACTATGACTGACAGAGTAGACATTTCCCTCCCCACTTACATGCCCCTGGTAATGACACTCACTTCACCATGCTTTGAGAGTTTTCATACATTTGCAGCTAAAGTCATTTGGCCTTTGGCCTTGTGCCTTCAGGGAGGCATTGACTTAGGAGGAAAGATTAAATTAACCATAGCTAGACCAAAGAATAACTAAACAAAACAAAAAAGCAAAAAGATAAAGGAATGAGAAAGCACATTAGATGATCAAATGAGGAAGTCATTAAACAAATGAAACCTTAGATTGAATAATTGGCAGAATTTTCTGAAACAAAAGGGCTCTTAAACTCTCAAGTACTGTTGTCCTGTGAGCAAAGTGATTGAGTGGCCACTAGGGTCAGGTAACACTAGATTGTCGTCCCATGGCAAGCTGAGTTGGATTAACAACAGAAAACAGACCAGGAAAATTCTTTTGGTCATTAATACTCAGCTGTGTTTATGGGAACAAGTCAATGTTACTTCTTTCTCACCCTTGAAAAGTGCAAAGAGGTCCAGGTAACTGTACCCATGATCAATCCTCATTGTCCTCTGGGTAGAAATTTTGCTTTTACATTTCAGAATCACCCAGACCAATGAAGAGTTTCTTCTATCCTCAATGTCTGGAATAGTGCCTTATCCTTAATATTTGGAATATTGCCTGACTCTGTAAATGTGAATGGTATATGAATACATTTGATTAAAAAAATGCCAGGACAAATTACTTTAAAATAACCTCTGGATATTTTCTAATTTCTGATTCCAGATCTTTCTGATTTCATTGCCTGTGTTTCTGGAAGAATGATTCAAAGGACTGTGGTCATTCATAAATGTTTATTGCTCATTAGATACTTAAGTTTCACTGTGTCTCACCAAGCATAACGTTTTCCATGCTGTGCAAAATTTAATAAGTTACATATATTTAGTCTATGTTTGTTTCATCTCCAAGCCCATCGAGGTGCCACTTCTCGAGTTCTGTGTTGAGCACTAAAGTGCCCTTAATAAATGAGTCCAGATGGAGTGTGTGTGTGTGAAATAAGGTTGGGTGAGTTCGTGAGATACAGGCCACAAAGTGTTATACTCAGTCACTCCATAATATTCCACATAGCCTGGAGTAATTTTCCATAGCAAAATCTGAATAATGCTATTCATTTGCTAGTGGTCTAAATGTCATAATTAGGACATGTTGCTGCTATAGAACTCTAATTACTAATAAAAAGCAACTTTCATCATGACTTTCTCCCGTTTAAGGCAAATGATCATTATATATAACTCTAGCCTTTCAACTCCTTGATCATTCCAATAAAGTATTTCTGAAAATGCCAAACACATTGCTTAGTTTGGGATTGTTGTTCTAAATGGAGACTAATGATTTATGTCTTTTTCAAATCTCATTCATTTGGAATTGTTACCAGGTGAGAAGCAAAACAGTGAAAAGTGGATATCTCAGCAGCCATTACCCATGCTGCACTACTATTGCTGACAAGACAGGACATGTTTTCCTTCTCTTTTACTGTGTTACATGAGTGCCTTTGCCAAGCAAGTCAAAGGAACATAATCTAGTCAGGTTCAACTGCAGCATCTATTGGACCCACAGGATCTCTCTGCAAATATATGTATCTGTACATAGAGATGTACATAACATCAGGTTAGGCTAGCTTTTAAAGCGATAAAGTGGGCTGGGCAGCGGCTCACGCCTGTAATCAAAGCACTTTGGGAGGCTGAGGCAGGCAGATCACGAGGTCAGGAGTTCGAGACCAGTCTAGCCAATATGGTGAAACCCCGTTTCTACCAAAAATAAAAAAATTAGCCGGGCATGGTGGCGCATGTCTGTAATCCCAGCTACTCAGGAGGGTGAGGCAGGAGAATCGCTTGAACCTGAGAGGTGAAGGTTGCAGTGAGCCGAGATCATGCCACTGCACTCCAGATTGAGACACTGTCTCAAAAAAAAAAAAAAAAAGAAGTGGTAAAGTGGGATGCCTCCATGATATAATACAGAGAACAGCCCTGTTTTTTTTTTTTAAGAAAAAAAAAAAAAACCTCCCTGTTGTCTATTACAATTCCTGAAAGTCCATTATCAGAATTGCTTTAAACTCTGATGTGTTCCCAATGAAAATCAAAATACTTTGAAAATAAAACATGATAACACACACCAGCTAAAATCTTGATTAGCTGAGAGGAAGCTACAAGCAGATCATCTGAGCAAATTACCTAACCGAACCTGGGTCCACTTGTCCGGTACATCCACACAGAGGTTTGCAGCAAGACAAAAGAGGGTATTTATTTGCAGAGTGTCAAGCAAGGAGAATCAAACAGCTCATGCCTAAGATCTGACCTCTCTAGAAGTTCACAGGCAATAGTTTTTAGAGGAAAGGGTAAGTTTCAGGAAAACACAAGCTACAGGCAAAATCATAAATCAATACATGGAGGCTATACATTGGTTTGCCTCAAAAAAGTGAGATATTTTGAAATGGGGGCTTATGAGTCATAGGTGGATTCAAACTTTGATTTGTGATTGGTTAAAGAGGAAATGCTTTGTCTAAAAACTTGGGTTTAGCAGAAAGGAATGATAATGCCTGGGCTGTGGATATGTCTCTCTCTAGGCCTCCAGGAAGAAATTTAGAATAAAGAATGGCAGTCAGAGTTCATTCCTCAGTTCTCTCTTATCTGAGGTCTACAAGCCAGCAGATAGCATTTTCCATTTGGTGAAGGCTTGGGCTTTTGAAAAACAACTCTGAGACACATATTAAAATGTTATCTGTAGTTTCTAAAGGAAACAAAGCATCTTGTGGTTCTTACTTCCTTGACTATTATTGTAAGCTTTTGTTACCTTCTTGCTTATCAAGTTGCTTATTCACTTCTGAAGGTTCCTTAGATGCCTGGAATTTCTGTTGAAGGAACTCAAGATTCTTTTTTATTTCCATGCTTGGAGGATGGGAGAGCAGCAGGCTAAGAGAGATCCCTACTCTGTCTTAGGTATGCAATAGTAATAGCGTCTTAGAACAGTGAATAGTCATTCACTCATTCATTTGGAAAACAACCACTGACAGGGCACCTATTTTATTCTAGACAATAATACCATTTGGGGACATAAAGATGGGTGTGATTCCTGTAGTCCAACAGATTAAAGTTCACTGTAGGAGACAAGCTAGAAATATGGCAATCAGTATAGGGAAAGAACCATGACTGCAAAAGACAGAACTGCAGAAGTGCCTGGGAGGGGTACTAATCCCAGAATGGGTTTGAGATGCAGCAGGAAAGCTTCCCAGAGGAGACCAAATATGAGTGAAATCTTAAAGAAGTCAGCCTGGAACATAGCCTTACAGAGTTTCATAGTCACATGTTATATTAATAAAAAAAAAATACTACAGTTAGCATGCTTGACTCCCAGAAAGTCAAGAATAATTTTTGTGGCTGTTCAAAAAGTGACATCCTATATGAAAGTGGTTTTATTATAAGTTGCAACATGACCCAAATTAACAATCAGCAGACATATACCATTTTTCTTTCTTTCTTTTTATTTATTTTTTAATTTTCTTTAAGTCTGTGTAGGGGTGGGTTGCCCCTCCACACCTGTGGGTGTTTCTCATAAGGTGGAACAAGAGACTTAGGAAAGAAAAAGACACAGAGACAAAGTATAGAGAAAGAAATAAGGGGACCCGGGGAACCAGCGTTCAGCATATGGAGGATCCCGCCAGCCTCTGAGTTCCCTTAGTATTTATTGATCATTTGTGGGTGTTTCTCGAAGAGGGGGATGTGTCAGGGTCACAAGACAATTGTGGGGAGAGGGTCAGCAGACAAACACGTGAACAAAGGTCTTTGCATCATAGACAATGTAAAGGATTAAGTGCTGTGCTTTTAGATATGCATACACATAAACATCTCAATGCTTTACAAAGCAGTATTGCTGCCCGCAGGTCCCACCTCCAGCCCTAAGGCGGTTTTTCCCTATCTCAGTAGATGGAGCATACAATCGGGTTTTATACCGAGACATTCCATTGCCCAGGGACAGGCAGGAGACAGATGCCTTCCTCTTGTCTCAACTGCAAGAGACATTCCTTCCTCTTTTACTAATCCTCCTCAGCACAGACCCTTTACGGGTGTCTGGCTGGGGGACAGTCAGGTCTTTCCCTTCCCACGAGGCCATATTTCAGACTATCACATGGGGAGAAACCTTGGACAATACCTGGCTTTCCTAGGCAGAGGTCCCTGCGGCCTTCCACAGTTTTTGTGTCCCTGGGTACTTGAGATTAGGGAGTGGTGATGACTCTTAAGGAGCATGCTGCCTTCAAGCATCTGTTTAACAAAGCACATCTTGCACCGCCCTTAATCCATTTAACTCTGAGTTGACACAGCACATGTTTCAGAGAGCACGGGGTTGGGGGTAAGGTCATAGATTAACAGAATCTCAAGGCAGAAGAATTTTTCTTAGTACAGAACAAAATGGAGTCTCCTATGTCTACTTCTTTCTACACAGACACAGTAACAATCTGATCTCTCTTGCTTTTCCCCACAAGTCTGGGGATACATGTGCAGAACATGCAGGTTTTTTACATAGGTATACATGTGCCATGGTGGTTTGAGGCAGCTATCAACCCTTCATTTAGGTTTTAAGCCCCACATGCATTAGCTATTTCTCCTAATGCTCTCCCTCCCCTTGCCCCCCACACCCCAAAAGGCCCCAGTATGTGATGTTGCCCTCCCTGTGTCCACGTGTTCTCATTGTTCAGTTCCCACTTATGAGTGAAAACATGCAGTGTTTAGTTTTCTGTTTCTGTGTTAGTTTGTTGAGAATGATGGCTTCCAGCTTTATCCATGTCCCCGCAAAGGACATGGTCTGATTCTTTTTTATGGCTGCATAGTATTCCACTGTGTATATGTGCCACATTTTCTTTATCCCATCTATCATTCATGGGCATTTGGGTTGGTTCCAAGTCTTTGCTATTGTAAATAGTGCTGCAGTAAACATATATATGTATGTGTCTTTATAGTAGAATGATTTATAATCCTTTGGGTATATACCAAGTAATGGGATTGCTAGGTCAAATGGTATTTCTGGTTCTAGATTCTTGAGGAATTGCCACACTGTCTTCCACAATGGTTGAGCTAATTTACACTCTCACCAACAGTGTAAAAGCATTCCTATTTCTCCACAGCCTCACCAGCATCTGTTGTTTCCTGATGTTTTAATAATCACCATTCTGACTGGCGTGAGATGGTATCACATTGTGGTTTTGATTTGCATTTCTCTAATGATCAGTGATGATGAGTTTTTTTTCATATGTTTGTTGGCCACATAAATGTCTTCTTTTGAGAAGGGTCTGTTCATATCCTTTGCCCACTTTTTGATGGGGCTATTTGTTTTTTTCTTGTACATTTGTTTAAGTTCCTTGTAGGTTCTGGATATTAGACCTTTGTCAGATGGGTAGATTGCAAAAATTTTCTCCCATTCTGTGCATTGCCTGTTCACTCTGATGATAGTTTCTTTTGCTATGCAGAAGCTCTTTAGTTTAATTAGATCCCATTTCATCATGCTACCTGACTTCAAACTACATTACAAGGCTACAGTAACCAAAACAGCATGGTACTGGTACCCAAACAAATATATAGACCAATAGAGCAGAACAGAGACCTCAGAAACAATACCACACATCTAGAACCATCTGACCTTCAACACACCTGACAAAAACAAGCAATGGGGAAAGGATTCCCTATTTAATAAATGGTGTTGAGAAAATCAGCTAGCCATATGCCGAAAACAGAAACTGGACCCCTTCTTTACACCTTATACAAAACTAACTCAAGATGGATTAAAGACTTAAATGTAAAATCCAAAACCATAAAAACCCTAGAAGAAAACCGAGGCAATACCATTCAGGACATAGGCATGGGCAAAGATTTCATGACTAAAATACCAAAAGCAATTGCAACAAAAGCCAAAATTGACATATACCATTTTTCTAACTTGGCCCTGTTTATGGAAATACTAGCAAGTACTGTGTCCTTTTTGTGACTTAGTTTCCTCATTGATGAAATGTGTAGTTGGCATCTCCAGTCCTAATTTGTTCAGGGTATCTTCCCCAGGTTGAGGTTGGGACTGGTACATTGTCCACATTTGCTGGGATAGACAGGGTCCTGTCCTTGCCACCTTCAAAAGAATAAGGGCTTGAACATAGATGTTCATAACAAATTTTATTATACTTACTTCAGCATTTCGTATAGTGCCAACCAAATCTTTTTGTCCTTAGGAAGTAATTCATTATATTTACCAGCACATTTTTAAAGTTTTCTTTAGAAACCTACTTTTTAAAGAACATTATCTAAAGGAAAAAAATACATTAAATACTACAGTTACTAGAACTCAATTTAGTTAAAAATGTGAAATATAGAATATAATTATAAAATGTCTTTAAACTTTCTTTTAGCAGGCTCTAATGTACAGCATATCTTTAAGAAGACCTAAAGAAAAAAATAAGCTATTAATGTTAGATTATATATATGTACCTTACTAAAAGTATTTCTTTTTCAGAATTATACTCTCTGAATAATGAGTCAAATTTCCAAAGGAAAAAATCTATATTAATAAAAATAGTATTGTCGGCCAGGAACAGTGGCCCATGCCTGTAATCCCAGCACTTTGGGAGGCCGAAGTAAGTGGATCACCTGTGGTCAGGAGTTCAATACCAGCCTGGCCAACATGGTAAAACCCTGTCTCTACTAAAAAAATACAAAAATTAGCTGGGTGTGGTGGCAGGTGCCTGTAATCTCAGCTACTTGGGAGGCTGAGGCAGGAGAATTGCTGGAACCTGGGAGGCGGAGGTTGCAGTGAGCCGAGATCGTGCCATTGCACTCCAGTCTGGGCTGACAACAGCGAGACTTCATCTCAAAAAAAAAAAAAAATAGCATTGTCAAAAGCCCATTCAAAATATATATATTTTTTCATATATGTAGCCTTTGTGGAAGAATAGGAGTTTAAAAATGTTATTTTTCCTTTATAATTGTCTTTGTTTATCTTATGAGGGTGAAATTAGAAATCTGAAGAGAATACACACTAATAAAAGCATGTGTTCCCAAGGGCATTCTTTATATGAATTTTTAGGCTAAGTCAATCTTCAAAATACATAAGCAATATTGAGAGCCATGAATCTGGGTAAGAGATGTAACTAAGAACAGGACATCAAAAAAATTGTTAAATTATCATGGATAAAGTAAATTACTTCTTAAGATAAAATACATCAAGTGGTAGAAACAAACATGATCAAGTTGTTTATTTGAAATAGACTAGGAATGTATGACCTTCCTGGAGCAGTTAGTTTCCTTTGGAATAATATAAATGTGTTTGATGCACAAATATTCGTAGCAGGGAGTCTGTTGTGATCAGTAAGAGTAAGGGTGTGTTTATGTGAAAGCTTAAGTATTGCTCTGAATACTTGTTTAGCTAGTACCATAACTGAGAGAAATGGGCTGTTTCATAAATATGTTTGTATATCATAAGCAGTATTGAATATAGCAGTCCTTCAATATAACTAAGGTCATGGTAAATCTGGCCATTTCAGAGGACAGATTAGTTTTGTTATTTTAATAACAGATTAATAAATAATGTATTTCTACAACATGTTCTATCCTTTTTTAGAAACTACAACTAGTTCTTTAAATATTAAGGTTTGATTAGATTCTCTTTGGCATTCATTATTTGGAAGAAGCTAGCATTGTGTAGAGAACTGTAAATCTCAAGTTGTTATTAGTGATTATAAAGCCCTTTGAATTTTAGAACATCATTACATTAGATTCTAATGATAAAATATAGGCAAATGAAGATTTTCTATAAAGTTAAGAAGAGTAAGCTATAATTATGACAGCTATGGTTTTCTTCACTAATTGTTCTTTATTAAAGCTTAATATTTTATTTATATTTATATTTATATTTATATTTATATAAATATTTATATATACTATCTATATATTTATATTTATATAAATATTTATATATACTATCTATATATTTATATTTATATAAGTATGTATATATACTATTTATATATTTGTATATATATATTTATAACTATATAAATATAAATGTTTATATAACAAATATTTATATGACAAAATCTATTAATCTAATTCACCATATTCATAAGTTGAATGACCAAAAACTAAGACCATTTGGTAAAACTCAACATCCATTCCTGATTTTTAAATAAATCTTAAATAAAATTTGAGTAAATGGGCAAGTGATTAAATACTAGAAACAACTGCAATCGTTTTGGAACAAAACAAGTACTATTAGTTATCAATTGCTGCAAAACAAACTATCATAAAGCTTAGAAGTTTAAAAATATATATTCATTATGTCATAGTTTTTGTGGATCAGAAATTAAGTATATATAAAATGTATTTATAAATATATTTAAATATTTTATATTTATAAATATAAATTATTTATATTTATATGAATAAAAATAATTCATGTAAATTTAGAGTATTATCTATTATATATTTATACTGTATATAATATTTTATATCATTATAGTAAATCTTTGTCATTCATAATGAATCATAGAATAATTAATGACAAGATTTGCAAACTATTTCTGCACTTCATTGAATTTGAAAATAGTCTTCCTACAAATCATTCTTTCTCATCATTAGCTGTCATCTCATAGTGCCTAATTTCTTTCTGTTCTGAAGCTGGAAAAAGAGGAACAAAACTAAGAATTAATGGTAATAAAGCTTTAATGAATTTTGTTATGGAGCTGCTGAAAAAGTTTTTCTACCTGGGCATGTAGCTAGTTTGCCTTCCCCTAGTTTTAAACAATGGGACAAGGATTTCAGTGCGAATAGTTTACCTGGGAGGTGATTCTTTAAAATACCAGGTGGGCATTGGAGAAGAGAGACAGTATAGGGAAGCAAGTCCATAAAAGATACAATGTCAAGTAGGTTCCTGCTGTAGTCAGCTGGGCTTCATCCACATAACAAATTATGGGAAACTCAGGATTATTCCACCTGAGTGTGGAAGAAGCTGGGGTATTTACCTCTAATTCGTAATACTTTTATGGATAAAGGATGAGGCCTGAGAATGTAGAAATAACCAGAGAGATATCCAGAAATGTTAAAGAAATATAAAAGTATTTTGTTCAACAACATAAAATTATTAAAACATAGATATCCTGTAGATAATTTTAGACAATATGAAATATTATCATAGATTAAATATAAAATTTAAACAATTGTAGAATTGAGAGAATGTTCAAATATTCACTTCTAAAAAACACCAGCCCTGGTTGGAATCATAGGTGAAGTCAATTCAGCCCTCCAAAAATGGAAAATGTCAATGCTTCTTATACTTTTCCATGGTATAGACTGACAAGACTTTTCATAATCAAAATACATACAGATACATCATTTTCAAATGTAAATGTAAAATCCTAAATAAATCATATAAAACATAATTCTACAATATATTTAAAGATTAATGTAAATTCCTGGAGTTTATTCCAGGAATATAAGGATGATTCAATATTACAAAATCTGTTAATATAATTCACCATATTCATAAGTCAAATGACCAAAAACTAAGATCATTTGGTAAAACTTACCATCCATTCCTGATTTTTAAATAAATCTTAAATAAAATTTGAGTAAATGGGCAAGTGATTAAACACTAGAAATAGTTGTAATCATTTTGGAACAAAACAAGCACTATTAGTTATCTATTGCTGCAAAACAAATTATCATGAAACTTAGAAATTTAAAAAATATGTATTGATTATGTCACAGTTTCTGTGGAACAGAAATTCAGTAGCAGTTTAGCTGCATGCCTCTGGTGCGGGTCTCGCATAAGGCTACAATCAAGGTGTCAGCTGAATCTGTAGTTATTTAAAGGCTTGACTGTGGGGAAATTCTACTTTACTACTTATACCAAAATAAAATTCCAGTGATCAAAGATTTAAACATGCGCGCGCGCACACACACACACACACACTTACACACACAGTAAATATGTTCTCTTTTTTCTTTTTCGATCTTTGATAGGAAGTGCCTTTTTAAGCAACACTCAAAACCCAGAATCCAAGAAAGTAGGTACACTGTAAATACATTCAAATTTCTTTGTAATAAGGACACTATAACAAAAGCACAACATAATATAAAACACACAAAAACGCAAACTTAGAAAATACTTTCAATATACATCAGAGTAAAGAAGAGCTGATTTCCTTAATAGAGAAAATGTCTTACAAATAAATAAGAAAAACTAAAATTTTATTAGAATAATGTACAAAGTAAATAGATTCGTAAAGAGCTCAAAATGGCTCATTTGCATGAGGTCGTCAGACTTAATCATCATTTATACAATCTCAGTATTTCTATTATTCCTCTGTCAGATTGGAAATAATTTTAACATGTGAGAATTATGTGGCAAGGATATAACTAAACATGCAATCCCCTACACTGTTAGTTTAAATAGTTTAAATTGTTATAATTGCTTTTGGGTTTTGTTTTGTTTCGTTTTGTTTTATTTTGTTTTTTGAGACGAAGTTTTGCTCTTGTTGCCCAGGCTGGAGTGCAATAGCGAAATCTCGGCTCACTGCAACTTCTGCCTCCTGGATTCAAGCAATTCTCTTGCCTCACCCTCCCAAGTAGCTGGGATCACAGACACACACCACAACACCCATTTAATTTTGTTTTAGTAGAGACGAGGTTTCACCATATTCATCAGGCTGGTCTCGAACTCCTGACCTCAAGTGATCAACCCATCTCGGCCTCCTAACATGCTAGGATTAGAAGCGTGAGCCACCGTGCCCAGCCTCTTATAATTGCTTTTGAAGGTAACTTTTTTTTCCACTTTTATTTTAGGTTCAAGGTACACATGCAGGTTTGTTATATAGGTAAACTTGTGTCATGGAGGTTTGTTGTACAGATTATTTCATCACTCAGATACTAAGTCTAGTAACCCAGTAGTCCTTTTTTCTGGTCCCCTCCCTTCTCCCAAACTCCAGCCTCATGTAGGCTCCAGTGTCTGCTGTTCCCCTCTTTGTGTCCACGTATTCTTTTCATTTACCTCCTACTTATAAGTGAGAATATGTGGTATTTATTTTTCTGTTCGTGCATTAGTTTACTAAAGATGATGGCCCCCTCCTCTATGCATGTTCCTGCAAAGGACATGATCTTGTTCTTTTTCATTACTGCATAGCATTATATGGTGTATATGTACCACATTTTCTTTATCCAGCTACCATTGATGGGCACTGAGGTTGATTCCATGTCTTTGTTATTGTGAATACTGCTGCATTGAACATACACATGCAGGTGTCTCTGTGGTAGAATAATATATTAATATATTTCTCTGGGTATATATCCCAGTAATGGGATTGCTGGGTTGAATGGTAATTCTGTTTTTAGTTCTTTGAGGAACTGCCACACTGCTTTGCACAATGGTTGAACTAATTTACACTCACACCAACAGTGTATGTGTGTTTCCTTTTCTCTGCAACCACACCAGCACCTGTTACTTTTTGACTTTTTAATAATAGTCACTTTGACTGGTGTGAGATGGTATCACATTGTAGTTTTGATTTCCATTTCTCTAATGATCAGGGATAATGAGCTATTCTTCATATGCTTATTGGTTGCAGGTATGCCTTCTTTTGAAAAGTGTCCTTTACCCACTTTTTAACGGGGTTTTTTTTTCTTGTAAATTTGTTTATGTTCCTTATAGATGCTTAATAGTAGAACTTTGTCAGATGTATTGCTTGCAAATATTTTCTCCCATTCTGCAGTTTGTCTGTTTACTCTGTTCATAGTTTCTTTTGCTGTGCAGAATCTAAGTTTAGTTAGATCCCATTTGTCAATCAGAGATGACAGAAACAAGTGGAAAAGCACTCCATGCTCACAGATTGGAAGAACCAATATTATTAAACCAACCATACTGTGCAAAGAAATTTACAGATTCTATGCTATTCCTGTCCAGCTGCCAATGACGTTCTTCAGAGAACTAGAAAAAAACTATTTTAAAATTCATACGGAACCAAAAGAGTCAAAAATAGCCAATGCAATCCTAAGCAAAAAGAAAAAAGCTGGATGCATCACGCTACTTGATTTCAAACTATACTACAGGGCTACAATAACCAAAACAGCATAGTACTGGTGCAAAAACAGACACATAGACCGATGGAATAGAAATAAGGCCATGCAACTACAACCATCCGATCTTTGACAAAGCTGATAAAAATAGGCAATGGGGAAAGACTCTATTCAATAAATGGTGCTGGGATAACTGGCTAGCCATATGCAGAAGATTGAAATTGGATTCCTTCCTTACACCATATACAAAAATCAACTCAAGATGGATAAAAGGCTTAAATGTAAAAATCTCAGACCATAAAAACCCTGGAAGACAACCTAGGCAATAAAATACTAGACATAGAAACTGGGAAAGATTTCTTGATGAAGACAATTTTTAATTAAACATATGCCTGATATTTGACCCAGAAATTACCTTACTAGAAATCTATCCTAAAAAAATTTCTGCCATCTGATATATCTATAAGTTTATTTACTTCTGCTTTGCTTTTAATTGCAAAGAGCTGGAGCAATCCGAAAGTCTTTCAACAGATGACTAGTTAAATAAGTAATAATATATTCATACAATGAAATATAATGCAGGTCTTAAAAGTGAAACAAATCTTAGTATACAGCTAATACAGAGATATCTAAAGATTCAATTAAGATTATTTTTAAAGGGGGCAAAAGAGTGATTATAGGATGTGCCTAATTATATATCTATATTTTAAAAGGTATAATTAGAAAACATAATTGTGTGTATATGTGCATATTTTTGGGAAATAGAATTGAATATTAGGTTGGGAAAGAGACTAGCTTTTCATTCTATCTGCCATGTATGGTTTGACTTTGAAAATTGTTAGATGATTTTTCATTATTTACTTTTACTAAATACATAAATTACATTACAATAATTAAATCTGAATAATTCTATTAGAATTATACAATAATATACTTGAAAATTAAGAAAATAGTGATATATTCAGTAATTTTTGGAACAAAAGTAAAGGCCAACTTTTTCCAAAGTATGTTTTGTAGAAACGTAATCTTGGAAATGATGTTAAAACAACAACGAAAACAGACATAACAACTACAACAAAAAAGTGTTCTTCAGTCAAAATAATTAGAAACACCAGAAATTCTGCCTCAAACAGCAAATTATGTGTATTCAAATATTAAAGCCTCTTACAAATCTTGCAGTAAAGAAACTTTTCTGGTTAACCAAATGTATTAGTCCATTTTCATACTGCTGTAAAGATACTATCTGACACTGGGTAATTTATAAAGGAAAGAGATTTAATTGACTCACAGTTCCACATGGCTGGGGAGATCTCAGGAAACTTACGGTCATGATGGAAGGGGAAGTAGGCACCTCTTACATATCGGTAGGTGAGAGAAAGCGTGTGTGAAAGAACTGTCAAAGACTTATAAAACCATCAGATCTTATGAGGACTCACTCGCTATCATGAGAGCAGCATGGGGGAAACTGCTCCCATGATCCAATCACCTCCCACCAGGTCCCTCCCTTGACACGTGGGGATTCTGGGGATTGTAATTTGAGATGAGATTTGCGTGGGAACACAGAGTCAAACCATATCGCCAAGAATTTTCCAAACATGTATTCATCTTTCATTTGTCACCTATTAATATCTTACAAATCATACTTGTAAAATCCATTTAGAACTGTACCAGAGGCAATGAATGCAATCATTTTAGCTATGTTTAAGAATGGTGCCAAAATACTCATTTCAGACTAGGCTGTCAGAAATTCTGGGAGTAAGGCAGCTTGGCCACATCCCTAGATGCCATGGTCCTTCTCTGTCTCTCTGGGAAGTAATCTAATACTGAGAGGGGTGTGCTGACCTCACCTGGAGGATGTGTATAAGGATAGAATTCTGAGATCTGTGCTTGAGAGAGCAGTAGCTGCTACAGGACTTTTCTCTCTTTGGTAACAAGCAAAAACCAAGATACTTTTGGTGGATAAGGATTACTTTTCCCAGAAGCTGGGCAAAAGTCTTATTTGAATACTTCAAGTTGCAGAATCCTTTGGAAAGGGGCTGCCCTATGGACTTGCTTTTGGTGGCATTGTTTGTTCATGCCAGTGCTGTTAGAACTAGTGGGTCACTGCTCCACTGATCTGAATTGTTCCCAGCTCCTGCAGTTGGAAGAGATGCAGTTGGCATGCAGGGAGACCTTGGAGAATAGAAACTTCTTCGACAGGAGTTTCTATCAACAAGGGTTAGGGTTCATAGGTTAAAGACTTTCCCATTTATCATTTTTTCTTTTTATTTTTCTGGCAGAAAACACCTGCATATTTACTTGTGACAATCTAATAAAACTAGGAATCAAAAATAAAATGTAACATATTGGAAATTAAGAAACAGTAATGAGTAACACCTGAATTAAAGAGAAACTGAAAATAAAATTTACTATAAGACATTCAAAGGTTGCATTTATGAGAAACTTTATAACCTGAATGCTTAAATTATTTCAGAATTATGGGGGATATAATTGAATAGTAAAGACAAATGCCTGCATGTAAGACAGGTTTGATTTTTTTTTGTTCTACACAATTATCTCTCATAAATGAATCATTATATATTTGAGTTCTTACAAAGTATCTCAAATTATGTGTCATGCTCTCAGTATGTTTTAAGCAATGATTATCTAGTTGAGGAGGACATATTAGCCTTAAATGATAGCCCTCAAGGCAGTTTGGGATGCTTTGGGATGCTTATCAAGTTTACCTGACAGGGTTGACTAACGAAGATAGCAAATAAATTGAACAAAGATTTGGTAATTATTCCAGTGCAAATTATTTTGTATTTATAGGTTTTGTATTTAATGAGAAACATGAATTTTTAGAATTGTTCAGAGTGAAAATATACTGGTTACATTTCCGACATAATAAAAAATATGTTTTTAGAGGAAATGAGAAAAAAACTGTCTTATGCCATGCAAACGAGATTTAACTGTGTGAGGAAACACCAGGGACCATGAGCTGTGGATTGAAAAGGTGCTGCATCTTAAACAACTTAGGCCATGTGAAGATTAAGTGCATTATGAAAAAGTACTCAGTGACTCATCAAGTGGAACTAGTGGCAAAAAATATTGATATCAAAGATGCATATAAAGAATTCAAATAAAATTGCTTCAAAAATATAAGAGAAGAGTGATATTCCTAAACAAATACATGTTTCTAACTCCTGTTAGACAAAATGGAAACCTAGAATTTGTTATGGGTCCCTCCCTTACCCCTGCCATGGGTATTTCACCAAAGAGGAAAAGTTATAGGTTAAAAAAAAAAAAAAAAACACGCCAATTTTGCCAAGCCAAATGAATGCCAAATGAATGCCAAATGAGAGAAGGAATTCTTAAACAGGACACAAAACACACTGTGAAAAAACAAAGCATGATATATTGAACAATAGTAAAATTAATTTTAATCAATTGGCATTTTCAGAATAATAAAAGGGCAAAAAGTGAAAAAAGAGGATATTTGTGACAAAAACTGACCAAGCACTCATATTTAAATATTCAAGGAATGTTTACAATTCAATAACAGATGACCCAATGTAAAATGGACAATAAGCACTTCAAAATAAAGAAAATATCTAATAACAATAAACTTATGAAAATGTTATCAAAATTAGAGAAATGGATACTAATTTAATGTAATTTTCCAAGATGAAAAATTACTACACACTCTCCAGAATGTCTAAAATTAAAAGATAAAAAATACCAAGTATTGGCACGAATTTGAGCAACTGGCAATCTCACATGCTGCTGCTGTAGAATACAGTAATCTGCTACAATCTGCTGCTGTAGAATACAGCAAACTGCTACAATCACTTTAAATTGTTTTGCATTATCTTCTATATTTGACTACTATATATCGCATAACATAACAATTTCACACTCAAGTAATTATTCAGCACAAATTCATGAACATGTACCTAAAGCATAGATATAAAAATGTTTATACTCCCAAAGCAAAAGCAACCCAAAGTCTGTCAATTATAGAATAAATAAGTAGTGTTTTAGTCACACAATAAATACTGTAAAACAATTAAAATGAACAATCTACAACTGTGTTCAACCACATGGATGAATTTTATAAACCAAAATTTTAGTGAAAGGAGCCAAATACAAAACAACACATACTCTATGATTCATTTTTGTATAGTTGAAAACAGACAAAACAAGTCTATTGTGTTAGAAGTCAGTGTAGTGAGTAACATTTGCTTTGGAGTACTGGGGTGCTGATTTGGACAGTGCAGGAGGAGGTGGTGGTGATGCTCAATTTCTTGAGCAGATTGATTGTTACCTTGGTTAGTTCAATTTGTGCTCATGATTTATATACTTTTCTCTTACTTTTCATCTAAAAAATTAAAAGTGGATTAAAACCTAAATGAATATAATAAATCTTTAAAATATTTAAAAGAATATGTAATTTTTGTAATATTTAAAGATACTTATGGATAAAGGTATAATAACCAAAAAAGGGTACTTAGAAGCCACAAAGGAAATACAAAGCATTCTTTACTAATAAAAAATAACTTTTCTATGGCAAATATCTCTATAAACAAATTCTAATGAAACATGCTACACCAGGGTATTTGTTCCACACAAAATTAAGTCTTACTCTTTCTGATGCATATAAACCACAAAGCCTAATAAGCTAATCATAGAGCCTAACAGAAAAATGGACAATAGAAAATGGCAATAATTCGTGAAAGAAATATTGCAAAAGTCAGTAAGCATAAAATATTTCTCAACCTCACTGATAGGAGGATACAAATTAAACGGTTCAAGAAGAAATTACAGTATAATTTGGGTAGTAGTAAATAATCTTTTGATATTTATTAAGAGCAACACATCTATTCTTTGACCTTGCAAACACACTTTTGAAAATCATAAAAAGTAAAATCATAAAAATATGTGTTCAAGTGTTTTCATTTCAGCACTGTTGCCTGTGACAAAATGTTGTAGTGGACAGAACCCCTGAATATCCTCCTCTGTCTCTCTTTTTCTGTCTCTGTCTCTCTCTCTCTCTCTCTCTCACACACACACACACACACTTGAATAAATCATACTTATAGAATACTATGTAGCTATTAAAACAAATGTGTTAATCATCAAGCTGACCTGGATGGTTGTCAGGGATACATAGTCTACCTAAAAAAGCAAATTGCAGGAGTCTTGTTTTATTATGAAAAAAATTTAAGTGCAGCAACAGAAAAAATTCAAAATGCATATATGCGAATATATGTTTGTAAATACTTATAAGCAGACATAAATATGTGGAAGAAAACACATCAGGTTGTTAGCATGATTCCCTGAGATAGGGTTTTTTTATTTTTAATTTTTTTTCCTGTGACTCATTGGTGTCTTTATGAAAGACTAATGTGGACATTTGGAATTGATAAATTTTATTATCATCTAGAAAAACATATCATATTTTGAAGAACTCTTTTCATAGCTGTTGAATCTTCTTGATGACAGTTTTACTTTATTTGGTATGCTTGATGCTACATCTACTTCACATTTTTATGACAACTTTTTAATAAACATCTTTGAAGCACTTTCTTAATCTTTCTCAATTCTTGCTGGCTTGACCAGAAAGAGCACTTTTTCTGGAAGTGTGAAATCAGACACTTACTTAAGGAGGTGTATTTTGGTGATAATTTCTTTTTGTCACACAAAAGTTGTGATGGTTAGAGATACCATATAAATGCCTTGTCTTTCAATTTAAATAAAAGTATAATTAGAACCAATGTCATTTTAACAGTTTTAAACAGGCGTATTCTGTTTGTTATCTATATCTATTTAACCATAAATTAGATCCATATCACTTGTGGGTTTTCAAAGATTTTTTTTTCATTCTTTTCATTCTTTGGGCAGCTAAAATCTAGGATGGTGTTAAGTTTCTTCATTTTGTCAATTATATATAAAAAATTAGAAACAACATGAATCTGCATTTCTTGGATGAGATAGTTAATAACAAACTATTTCTCAATATTTGTATACTAAAAACTAGTGAAGGTGTTATGTGTTTCAGTATCTTATCTCTTATTTGAACATGGGTTTCTGAAAGGAGCCTATATAATAATATAAATGGTATGTAGTAAATGAGGCACTGTCTTGGCTGGGACTGCTATAAAAAAATTACCATAGACCATTGACTAAACCACAAACATATACTTCTCACAGTTCTGGAAGTTGGAAAGCCAAGATGAGGATGCCAGTATGGCTAGCTTCTAGTGAGGGTCCTCTTGCAGGTTGCAGACAGCCGGCTTCTTGGCTCCTCACATGGCAGGAAGAAGGTGCGCAAGCTCTCTGGCCTCTTCTTACAAGGGCATTAATTACCTTCTGAAGGCTCCACCTCCAAACACCATCACATTGCTGACTGGGGGGACATAAACATTCAGTTCGTAACAGGTACCCTTAACTGTTTCTTGTAGCTTGCATTCTAATTACGATCATCATCATCACCTCAACGTTTGATGACAGGAAGAAACTTTTCCTTGGTTGAAGAATTTATCAACAGTTCAGAAGTTACTAATAAAAATACTATTTTACTTGCAATTTGATCTCTTTCAAAATGGATCACGTTTAGATCACAGTCTTCAGAATTATTAACATGTATGCCTTTTTTAGAGAGTTGATTTTAATGCATTAATAGATTTTAAATAATATATATGTATTTACTTATTTCGAGTCATTGATAAATTTGCAAAATTGTTTCTTAGGGCTTAGGATTCAAAGTATGGTAACAAAATAAAGCTGAGCAGTACAGTAAATGCACATTGGGTGATATTTCACTAACTAAACAAACCTTATTTACTACTTGTATTGCTTAGGTTTAAACACAAGAACATTACAAATGGTTTTAAAACTCATAATGATTCAAAATCTTAAAAGGAAAAAAAATGCACAAACCTTCCATTAACTTCCTTGTCATTTTTTAATGTTTTTCTCTTCTTATGTTTTTCTACTGTTGGGCAAGGTGGGAAATGTGTATTCTGACATATAGACTCTAGTGGTAAAGAAAAAAACATTGCTATTAAAAAAAAAACAGAAAAAAAACAATAAAAAGAAAGAAAAAAGAAGATCATTTTTGTTAATTTGTAGTATAAGTTGAATTAAATGTGCTACCCAGTAGCATACAAAATCAATTTTTAAAAATTGAGCACTAGAAATACAAAGGGAAATAGTTCCTTCCAGACTAGGACTTTAGATTCAAAGACAATATCTTTAAGCATACTGATCTCATATTACAAAGAACATGAAGGAGTTATTTTAAGAAAAAAGAAATAAAACTGTCAATTCCTTCACAAAGGAAAAATTTATATGTAATTTAAAAACAAATTAAACAACTACTTTAAAATATGCTATTTGTTCAATCTCAAGCCTTTTTAATCCAAAAAGGGTTTTGAAATCAGGTGAATAAAAATATATATATATAGAATATATAAACAATGCAGATGTTAAACTGTAGGACAATGAAAGTTTAAAGAGTTAGAGAGACAGGAAATAAACATGGTAATAAACACATTACTAGAATATTCATCTTAAAGATACCTACATCATTGTTCATGAAGTTGACCTTCTTAGTTCTTTTTTTTTTTTTTAACTTTCATTTTAAGTTCAGGGGTACACATGAAGTTTTGTTATATAAGAAAACTCATGTCACAGGGGTTTGTTGTACAGATTATTTTATCACCCAGGTAATAAGCCTAGTACCCAGCAGTTATTTTTTCTACTCCTCTCCCTCCTCCCACCCTTAACCCTCAAGTAGACCTGTGTCTGTTGTCCCTTTCTTTGTGTTCATGAGTTCTCATCATTCAGCTCCCACTTATAAGTGAGAACATGAGGTATCTGGTCTTCTGTTAGTTTCCTAAGGCACCTTAGTTTGCTAAGGTAACATGAGGTATTTGGGCTTCTGTTAGTTTGCTTCTATTAGTTTGCTAAGGATAACAGCCTCCACCTCCATCCATGTTCTCGCAAAAGGCATGTCTTATTCTTTTTTATGGCTGCATAGTATTCCATGGCACATATGTACCACATTTTCTTTATCCAACCTGTCATTGATGAGCATTTAGGTTGATTCCATGTCTTTGCTATTGTGAATAGTGCTGCGATGAACATAAGTGTGCATGTGTCTTTATGGTAAAATGATTTATATTCCTCTGGTATATACTCAGTAATAGGATTGCTGGATTGAATGGTAGTTTTGTTTTTAGCTCTTTGAGGAATTGCCACACTGCTTTCTGAAATGGTTGAACTAATTTACACCACCACCAACAGTGTGTAAGTGTTCCATTTTCTCCACAACCTCGTGATGATCTGTTATTTTTTGACTTTTATTAATGATAGCCATTCTGACTGATGTGAGATGGTATCTCACTGTTGATCTTCTTACTTCTACTAAATATCTGAGGAATTATTTTAGGTCTCCAAATCATGTCTGTTATTCTTTCAGCTGCCAATAATAGCAGCTAACTTACTATGCTTCATTTTAATAACTAGATAATTGGCCTCCTGGAATAATATTTAACTGGTCCATTTTAAGATCCATTGTGAAGTCATTTCCAGTCATTTCGAAAGTATAAACATTTGCTCACTTGTAAACTTCTTCAAAGCTTGGGCAAGAACACCAAGCATGTCAAAGTTCTTGTTTCTTCCCATCTCTGACTTCAAAAACATATAAAAAAAAAGATGGGAATTAATATTCAGCATGACTTGGGTGATATTTAACCTCTGAATCAGTTTAGCTTCATTTGTTTAAGTTTATAATAATACAATAAGCATAAAAGTTTCAGATCTTAACCCAATAATCTTTAGTGACATTACACTTCATAGTCTTGCTTCAGCTCTTTATGTAATCATCTCGTATGATTTTCTTGTATTTGTTTTCAAAATATTATTTGGCAACCCAAGCCTCTTGCCTAAATAACATATTTTCTATTTAGTGCATACCATGGAAAAAATGTCTTTAAAGATCAAAGGCCAAAAACTACACACAAAACAGTAATAAATTAAAAAATAATTTTACAATACTCATACCCTAGAAAGACAAGCTCACCTGATTCACAGATTCAGGTGAATTTGGTATTACAAAATAATTATTACTATTCTTCACTTGGCTGTAGTTCTGGGGGCAAGACCCTATCTGGCAATTGTTCCAGTACAAAAGGGGAATGGTAGCAGGTTAGGGGATGGGATAGATGTCACCAAAACCAGAGAAATGAGCAGATCCCAGAGTGTGTGAGTAACTAAGTCCAAAAGCTTGGAAGGAGATGTTCACCAAACCAAGTGGGTTAGAAACAGATGTAGAAATTGAGCTAAAGTGCCAGAAATCCAGGAAATCAGAGGATGATAGTAATTGCAAGCAGGTCCAGAGAGAAAACAGAGGTTTTTGGTGTAAAATGGCGTATGGTTTGCAGCCCATGATCCAGCTGGGCTCAACTTTTCACAAACATATCTGTGAAGGCACAGGAAGATCACAAAAGTCAGAACGCTGTAAACCAGAACTGACAATTAACCTTTTGCAAGTATCTATGAGAAATTTTCATAAACTAGAAAGTAAAAGACTTGAGTTGAAAATTGCGATAGGTATTTCAACCTTGCTTTACTTAATTAGGAGTAGGTAAATTTTTCTCTTTCCTGCTATTTCCCTGGTCCAAAAATAAATCTGCATCAATCAGAAAACTAGGCAAATATCTTTTTACTCTGGGGAGCTATATTTTGAAATTCATCTTCCTGCCCCTTAACCCATGATTATTATTACCATGACAACCCCTTTTCATACATATGTTTGGAGATTACAGAAAACAATGTTATAAAGTGTGTGTGTGGGGGGGGGGGGTGAGGAGTTGTCTAGTGATGATGTACAACATTCTAAAAGGTATAATCCACACAAATTAAGTGTTATGGAAATATAGTAATGAGAAAGAACTGAGAACATTGAACACTCTAAATTTTGAAAGCACTTCATTTATTCTGAGTGCTGCAAAATTAGGCAAAACTAGGTACCGGAGGCCCTATCTCTGATCAGTAGCACATCACTGGCTATCTGTTAATGGATATTGGGCTAAGAGTTATGTACTTCAGCATGTGTTTTGGTTGTAGATGTGGGAGATAAGCATATGTTTGCAAGTACATAGAGCTTAGGGTCAATGGCGCTCAATCAATGAAATTTGGGATATGCAAGATAAGTATATGGTGAAAAGAATATTTTTTTCAGTAAGGCATTGACTGGAGTTACTCAAGTCACCTCAATGAGGCAAGGTCCCATATAAGTTTTGCAACTATTCACAGCTTTCTAACCCCCACTAAGAATGAGGTATTTGAGGCAAAGGACCCTCTGTATCACTTTCCCTAGGCCACTGTTGGTATTTTGAGAATGTGAATGAGGCAGCAGTCCCACATTTTTATTTTAAATTTTCTGATTGCCACAAAAAGTAGTAGCTAATTAATTATTTTACTTGTATTTGAAATAATGATCAATGTAGGGGTGAGATTTGGGAAGCAGAATGGACAAGCATAAGCATAGATTCAGCCTGTCTTCTCCACGAATAATATTGATCTCACCATGTGGTTTAAAGGTGGACGTGAAAACAATCTTTTTCCAGATATTTATTATTTTCTTTTTCTTTTGTCTTTTTTTTGCTATGTTTAAGGTCTACAGTAATGTTTTGATATACATAAATAGTAAAACGATACCTACGGAAGCAAATTAACATATCCATAACTTCACATAGTAATTTTTTTTTGGTTTGGAGTGAGAGCACCTAAAATCCATATTCTCTTAGCAAATTTCCATTTACACAAAACAATATTGTTGACTATATCCTCATGCTGTGCGTTAGATTTCCAGATTTACTCACACTATGTAACTGCAACTCTACCCTTTGACTTATCTCTCCCCTTTCCCTTCACCCTGGTAACCACAGGTCTACTATTTCCGCATATTCAACTGTTTTGTTTTGTTTCATTATATTTTTATATTTACATATATAAGTGAGGTGATGCAATATTTAAAGCAATTTTAACAAGAGGATTTCAGAACTGTGCTTATTAACAGCAGCCTCAATAGATTAACTTTGAGGCTTGATCTGAATGTATATGATTTCAGATATTTGCTAAAACACCAAACACACATAAACTTACTCTTGATATTTCATAGGCATTGCTTGTAAAAGAAGCATTTGTGAAGGATCACAGGGCCCTGCATAGAGTAACCTTTTTTTCTTGTCCCTCAAGGCTTTATGCCCAAGTATCTTTCTGTTGCTAAAATCATTGATTTGGGTTTTGCCACTTACTTAATCTTGGTCCTCAAATCGAGTTGCCCAAGCACATTGCTGACTTTACCCTATAGCATCTGCCTGACTTTTGTTATCTTAGTTGAACTTTTTGAGTAAAACTTTGGGCCCATTTACTAGCCTCCTTCCTATTTTATCAGCTTTTCTTATGTCATCTGCCCTGTGGCTGCACAAGTCCTAACATGATCTTTATCTCTCTCAATTAAAATGAGACTATCACTTGCATTGACAAATTTAGTTGGTTATTGTGATTATATGTTGTCAAAAGCCCAAAGACAAAACAAATTAGTAAATAATCATGCTGTTTGCAGCTTTCATTTCATATATACCTTACTTGATTTCCAGATGGAGAAATCTGATGTCTGTGGAAGGCCAGAAAGCTAAGAAAGTACTGAGTTCTCTTAGAGAAGATAAGAATGTAAACAGATATAATTAAAAGATTACAAAAGTTTTTCAAAAGTGTAAGCAGACAATGGGTCATAATACTGCCAGATATATTCAAAGCTAATTTATTTGGGAATGCTTAAGGTACTTTTATTTTTAAGTAAGAAAATGCTTATTGCTGTATATTCTGAAAAAGTGTTGTGCATTTGTTCTCTGCATATTGAGAGGATTTTCAGCGGAAGCGTTACTGCTTTTGTGTGAGTTTAACTCTTCACACTTAAATCTTTGCATCTGGAGAAGTTTAGGTTTAGAAGATCTTTCAACTGCTCTCCAACCAACTTCATTGCACATTGTATATCATTCTTTTGTGTCTTTTCTCTCTTCAATAGTGCACATGGCTCAGGTAAAGAGTAGATGTAAAAAAACATAAATACACCCTGGAAGTTTCTTGATTCTTCAAACCATCTTAAAATAGAATTTGTAAGCCTAAATTCACATTGAGTCTCAAAGTTTGTATATGGTTAATTTACTGTTCTATCTGTCTTGATGCTGAACCAATGTTTTTGTTTGTTTAATGTGAGTGGTCTTTCTAATCCCATTAAGTGGAAACAAAGTTTACAAATGTAAATCCATTTTACTTTGATTTAGTACTTTTGCAAGACCAGGCTTCACAAATCAAGGACTGAACTTTGACAGCAAGAGTAGTTTCAAAAGGTGTTTTTCTCTCACCTTTGAGAGAAAAGGAGTAAGATCTTTCTAGGGATTTCTTTTTTTTTTTTTTTCCTCCAAAGATAAACACTAGTAGTATGGGAGGTTGAGGGGATTGGACTTGGCAGAGCCCTTTTGTTCAGAAGTAAATGTTGAGCCTACGCTGAGATCCTGCAGATGGAATACAATCTGTGAGATTATTCCTGTTGTTTTTCTACTACTATGTCAATTATCATTCTTTGAAGGGAAAAATTAACAGGGCCTCTGTTGGGCATTGAGGAAAAAACTCTGGACTCTGGGTCAGAAGAAAGGAAACAAGCCATAACCACTTGGAGCCTCACTTCTCATATGTATAAAATAATAGCAATAGTGGTTAGTATTTATTGAGCAGATGGAACTTCTACTTCTAATCCTCACAATAGCCCACTTGAGTTTCTGGAATAATTTATTTAGTCAAATTTATGTGAAAATGCCTGCCATACTATATACTATTGTTCTGAAAATCAAATGGGGCAATTCATATAAAACTATCTGAAAATTAAAGTTACAATTTTCAATAGGAAGGACTCTTGTCTATCTTTCTTGAAATCATTTTTATAGCTGTTTTGCATAACTCAGTTGCTGTCAGAGAAAAAGAAGTTGTATACAAATTCCAAATAATAATTTGACACTAATAAGCAATGTCAAAATAAGAACATAGAGTTAAACACTTTTTCCCTTGAGTAACAAACAACTTTGAAAAAGTCAGTGTAATACTTTTGACAGATATTATTAACAGGAAATTGTGGAATTAGTATACTTAAAGTCTAGGGAGAAAAAATTTATATTTTTCTCAGGAACTCTAATAAATATATCATTATAGGAATAAATATGAATCTAAAAAATAACCTAGTTAATATGACCAATAAAGAGTAATAATGGGTGGGAGATAAGTGTTTTTCTAAAATATGTTTATACTTTCATTTCAAAAGTTTATACAACAAAATTATAATTCTTTTTATATTTTTGAAACAGTGTTAAAAATTATATAGCAAACATGAGACAGAGAGAGAGAGAGAGCTAAGCAAGTAGGAATAAACTTTAGTCCTCAACCTCAGGTATGCAAAAATATATATATATTTTAAATTTTTCTACAACTTCATTTTTGATGCTGAGACTCCATGCTATCCATCTGGTAAAAAATTCAATTGTCTTCATTACTGGTGTCCTTCCTATCTTGATCCCCTGGTTCTTTTCCAGTGCCAAGGCATTGGGGGATGTTCATTGGTATAACTATTTAATCATCCATTCCTCTGTTTGCACAACGTCTTCAGGTCTCTGTTGCTTCTATGCCAGATGATTTGGTTTGGCTGTGTTCTTACCCAAATCTCATATTGAACTGTAGCTCCTATAATTTCCATGTGTCCTGGGAGGGACCTGGTTGGAGGTAATTGAATCATGGGGGTGGGGCTTTCCCATTCTGTTCTCATGGTAGTAAGTCTCATGAGATCTGATGGTTTTATAAATGGGAGTTCCCCTGCACACGTTCTCTTGACTGCTACCATGTAAGATGTGACTTTGCTCCTCATTCATCTTCTGTCATGATTGTGAGGCCTCCCCAGCCATGTGGAACTGTGAGTCAATTAAACCTCTTTCCTTTTTAAATTACCCAGTCTCAGGTATGTCTTTATTAGCAGCATGATAACAGACTAATACACCAGGTTTTGATGAGAGAATGTTTTCCTATTTAATCTCATTCACATCAGAGATCTTGCTGCTTTCCTGGTTACACTGCCAGAAAACACAGATCTTTTTCTCACCTCCTTCACAAGCTCAGGGGATCTCTATTCTTGAGCGAGGGTCTCCCACCATCCATGGTATGATATTTTGAATAGATAGTTAGTCTTCAGCTCTAAAACTCTTGCAATCTCCAGATTGATAAAAATGTATTCTGTATGTTAGTGAGATGACTGGTGGCTGACCCCTAAATAGCCTCAGAATGGGGGCTTGTCACCAGAAAGACAAAGTCATGATTACAGGGTTGGGACTTTCAGCCCCATCTCCCAACTTTCAGAGAGGGGAGAGGGGCCAAAGGTTGAGGTGATCAACAATGGCCAATGATCTAATCCATATAGCCATGTAATGAAGCCTCCACAAAAAAACTAAAAGGACTGGGTTTGGGGAGCTTCTGGATAGCTGAACAAGTGGAGATTCCTGAAAGGTGGCACCCAAAGAGGGCATGGAAGCTTCATGCCCCTTCCCACGTGTCTTACCCTATCCATGTCTTTATCTGGCTCTTCATGTGTGTTCTTTGTAATACCTTTGTGATAAAAAAGTAAACACAAGTAAGTGTTTTCCTGACTTCTGTGAGCTGCTCTAGTAAATTAATCAAACTGGGAAAGAGATCATAGAAACCTTAATTTATAGTCAATTAGTCAGAAGCAAAGATAACAACCTGGGACTTGCAACTGGGGTCTGAGGTGGGTGCGGTCTTGTAACACCGAGCTCTTAAACTGTGGGAGCTGATGCTGCCTCCAGGTAGATACTGTCAGAATTGAATTGAATTAGAGGACACTCAGTTTGCTGGAGAATCTGGTGTCAGAAGTGTGTTGTGGTATGTGAGAGTAGAAAAAAAGCAAGCTTTTTTTTTCCTTTTTTTTTTTTAATATGGACACTCCTATCCTTGTGTATGTCCAGCACATACTGTCTTAATCTGTGAGTCTTCTTTTACATGCTTTAAACTTCCTTAAGACTTACATGTTTATAAAACAAAAGCCAGAAATATTTGCAGTTTATTTCTGATTTCTGCCTCTGCTTCTATCCTCAAAACTGTTTCAACTGACAATTTTCTTAAAACAGATCAAAGGAGAGAGAAAAAAATGTATAATTTAGTGTAATATGTATAATTTTAGTATGTATAATTTAGTATCTCACTGTGGTAGGATGAATAATCACCCCCAAAGACGTTCAAATTCTAATCACTAGAACCTGTGAATGTCACCTTATATGGAAAAAGATGTTTTGAAGATGTGAGTAAATTAAGAATCTTGAGATTAAGAGATTATCCAGGTGGGTCTTATAAGATCCTTGTAACAAGGACCAGGAGAAGATAGAGTCAGAATAGTAGCAGGTGATAAGTTGATGGTAGCAGATACTGGAGTGGCATACTTTGACAATGGACCACAAGTCAAGGAATACTCTTATAGAAGCTAAAAGGGAAGGAAACTGATTCTGCCTCCAGGTCCTCAAGATCCCCAGTGAAACTGATTTTTGACTGCTGACCTCCAGAACCATAAGAAAACAAATTTGTGACGTTTTAAATATCTAAATCTGTGGTGATTTGTTACAGCAACAGGAAACTACTAAAGTCAGAATCCTCTCACTTAAATGCTAAAAGTTCTCGAAACTCAAAGCTTGATAACAAATTCTTTTCTTACCTGTTTTCTCTTAACTGGAAGAATTAAGATATTCTTAAATACTTTTCTCTTCCATGTGATATGTTAAATTATTTCTCTAAAGATTTCATATTTTAATATTAACAAACCTTGTTTTTCTTTGCAAAAATTACTATACGTCTTCAAAAAGCATTTAATACAAGGACAAAGTTGGTCCCCATCCATGAAGTGCTCTGATAGTTTTAAATAGATTTGATCTTGATAGTTCCATATTTATTCATTAACTCAGAAAGAATGACAAACATTTATTGTTAACCCACTGCATTTTAGACCTTTTATCTAGTTCCTGTGGGCATAATGATAAATAGAAAGAAATAATCAAAACTACAAAATTATTAGTGCAATAATAGAAATATATGAAGAAAGCTCTGATGTTGCAGGGCTGAATCTTATGTGAAACAATGAACCAGTCCTAAGGTATTTACATTGTCCAAAATTGAGTGTAATCTCCTGAATTTACTTAGTTTGACCAATGGGGTATATGCAAGCATAATTCAAGTAGAGACTTGATGCACACTTGCTCATTGGAGCTTGTTGTTTAGTAAATCTTGCTCCTGAGATCCAGACACCATGTGAAGAAGTTCAAGCTAGTCATGTGGAAAAATCCAAATAGAGAGGGAAAGAGTTTCCACACTATTAAGGCATAGCACTTGGGCACTATAAAACTCATAGACAAAAGACTATCTCTAAGATATCTATTTGCATGGCTTTGGATCCTGCTAAAGAGCTATATATGGAGGAAGCTGTCTTGAATGCTCCAGCTCCAGCCACCATCTGACCACAAGCAAGAGCAGCACAAGAATGGTGCAGCTTAGCCCATGCCAACCTATAAAATTCTGAGCAAATAAAATGGTGGATGTTTTAACCCACTAAGTTTTGGACTGTTTGCTATGAAGCAATAGAAAATTGAAATAGAAATTAGTATCTGAAAGTAGGATACCACTGTAATAATAACCGAATACAGGGGTAGTGGCTTTGGGACCGGACAGTAAGGAGATTGTTGAAGGAAGCTTGAAGTGCAGGAAGGAGATTGTTATTAAAAGGTGGAGGGGGTAGATAAAACCACAAAGATGGGAAAAAACAGAGCAGAAAAACTGGAAACTCTAAAAATCACAGCGCCTCTCCTCCTCCAAAGGAACGCAGCTCCTCACCAGCAACGGAACAAAGCTGGATGGAGAATGACTTTGATGAGTTGAGAGAAGAAGGCTTCAGACAATCAAACTACTCCGAGCTATAGGAGGAAATTCGAACCAATGGCAAAGAAGTTAAAAGCTTTGAAAAAAAATTAGACGAATGGATAACTAGAATAACCAATGCAGAGAAGTCCTCAGAGGACCTGATGGAGCTGAAAACCAAGGCACGAGAGCTACGTGACGAATGCAGAAGCCTCAGTAGCCGATGCAATAACGGGAAGAAAGCCAATGCAATCAACTGATGCAATGAACTGCAATCAGCGATGGAAGACGAAATGAATGAAATGAAGCATGAAGAGAAGTTTAGAGAAAAAAGAATAAAAAGAAACGAACAAAGCATCCAAGAAATATGGAACTATGTGAAAAGACCAAATCTACGTTACATTGGTGTACCTGAAAGTGATGGGAAGAATGGAACCAAGTTGGAAAACACTCAGCAGGATATTATACAGGAGAACTTCCCCAACCTAGCAAGGCAGGCCAACATTCAGATTCAGGAAATACAGAGAATGCCACAAAGATACTCCTTGAGAGAGCAACTCCAAGACACATAATTGTCAGATTCACCAAAGTTGAAATGAAGGAAAAAATGTTCAGGGCAGCCAGAGAAAAAGGTCAGGTTACCTACAAAGAGAAGCCCATCAGACTAACAGCTGATCTCTTGGCAGAAACTCTACAAGCCAGAAGAGAGTGGGGACCAATATTCAACATTCTTAAAGAAAAGAATTTTCAAACCAGAATCTCATACCAGCCAAACAAAGCTTCATAAGTGAAGGAGGAATAAAATACTTTACAGACAAGCAAATGCTGAGAGATTTTGTCACCACCAGGCCCGCCCTACAAGAGCTCCTGAAGGAAGCACTAAACATGGAAAGGAACAACCAGTACCAGCCACTGCAAAAACATGCCAAATTGTAAAGACCATCGAGGCTAGGAAGAAACTGCATCAACTAACGAGCAAAATAACCAGCTAACATCATAATGACAGGATCAAACACACATAAAACAATATTAACTTTAAATGTAAATTGGCTAAATGCTCCAATTAAAAGACATAGACTGGCAAATTGGATAAAGAGTCAAAACCCATCAGTGTGCTGTATTCAGGAAACCCATCTCACATGCAGAGACACACATAGGCTCAAAATAAAGGGATGGAGGAAAATCTACCAAGCAAATGGAAAACAAAAAAAGGCAGGGGTTGCAATCCTAGTCTCTGATAAAACAGACTTTAAACCAACAAAGATCAAAAGAGACAAAGAAGGCTATTACATAATGGTAAAGGGATCAATTCAACAAGAAGAGCTAAGTATCCTAAATATATATGCACCCAATACAGGAGGACACAGATTCATAAAGCAAGTCCTTAGTGACCTATAAAGAGACTTAGACTCCCAAACAATAATAATGGGAGCCTTTAACACCCCACTGTCAACATTAAACAGATCAACGAGACAGAAAGTTAACAAGGATACCCAGGAATTGAACTCAGCTCTGCACCAAGCGGACCTAATAGACATCTACAGAACTCTCCATCCCAAATCAACAGAATATACATTCTTTTCAGCACCACACCACACCTACTCCAAAATTGACCACATAGTTGGAAGTGAAGTACTCCTCAGCAAATGTAAAAGAACAGAAATTATAACAAACTGTCTCTCAGACCACAGTGCAATCAAATTAGAACTCAGGATTAAGAAACTCACTCAAATTCGCTCAACTACATGGAAACTGAACAACCTGCTCCTGAATGACTCCTGGGTACATAACGAAATGAAGGCAGAAATAAAGACGTTCTTTGAAACCAACGAGAACAAAGACACAACATACCAGAATCTCTGGGACACATTCAAAGCACTGTGTAGAGAGAAATTTATAGCACTAAATGCCCACAAGAGAAAGCAGGAAAGATCTAAAATTGACACCCTAACATCACAATTAAAAGAACTAGAGAAGCAAGAGCAAATACATTCAAAAGCTAGCAGAAGGCAAGAAATAACTAAGATCAGAGCAGAACTGAAGGAAATAGAGACACAAAAAACCCTTCAAAAAATTAATGAATCCAGGAGCTGGTTTTTTGAGAAGATCAACAAAATCGATAGACCGCTAGCAAGACTAATAAAGAAGAGAAGAGAGAAGAATCAAATACACACAATAAAAAATGATAAAGGGGATATCACCACCGATCCCACAGAAATACAAACTACCGTCAGAGAATACTATAAACACCTCTACACAAATAAACTAGAAAATCTAGAAGAAATGGATAAATTCCTCGACACATACATCCTCCCAAGACTAAACCAGGAAGAAGTTGAATCTCTGAATAGACCAATAACAGGCTCTGTAATTGAGGCAATAATTAATAGCTTACCAACCAAAAAAAGTCCAGGACCAGATGGATTCACAGCCAAATTCTACCAGAAAGAGGAGCTGGTACCATTCCTTCTGAAACTATTCCAATCAATAGAAAAAGAGGGAATCCTCCCTAACTCATTTTATGAGGCCAGCATCATCCTGATACCAAAGCCTGGCAGAGACACAACAACAAAAAAGAGAATTTTAGACCAATATCCTTGATGAACATTGATGCAAAAATCCTCAATAAAATACTGGCAAACCAAATCCAGCAGCACATCAAAAAGCTTATCCACCGCGATCAAGTGGGCTTCATCCCTGGGATGCAAGGCTGGTTCAACATACGCAAATCAGTAAATGTAATCCAACATATAAACAGAACCAAAGACGAAAACCACATGTTTATCTCAATAGATGCAGAAAAGGCCTTTGACAAAATTCAACAACCCTTCATGCTAAAAACTCTCAATAAATTAGGTATTGATGGGATGTATCTCAAAACAATAATAGCTATCTATGACAAACCCACAGCCAATATCATACTGAATGGGCAAAAACTGGAAGCATTCCATTTGAAAACTGACACAAGACAGGGATGCCCTCTCTCACCACTCCTATTCAACATAATGTTGGAAGTTCTGGCCAAGACAATCAGGCAGGAGAAGGAAATAAAGGGTATTCAATTAGGAAAAGAGGAAGTCGAATTGTCCCTGTTTGCAGATGACATGATTGTATATCTAGAAATCCCCATCGTCTCAGCCCAAAATCTCCTCAAGCTGATAAGCAACTTCGGCAAAGTCTCAGGATACAAAATCAATGTACAAAAATCACAAGCATTCTTATACACCAATAACAGACAAACAGAGAGCCAAATCATGACTGAACTCCCATTCACAATTGCTTCTAAGAGAATAAAATACCTAGGAATCCAACTTACAAGGGATGTGAATGACCTCTTCAAGGAGAACTACAAACCACTGCTCCATGAAATAAAAGAGGACACAAACAAGTGGAAGAACATTCCATGCTCATGAGTAGGAAGAATCAATATCGTGAAAATGGCCATACTGTCCAAGGTAATTTCCAGATTCAATGCCATCCTCATCAAGCTACAAATGACTTTCTTCACAGAATTGGAAAAAAGTACTTTAAAGTTCATATGGAACCAAAAAAGAGCCTGCATCGCCAAGTCAATCCTAAGCCAAAAGAACAAAGCTGGAGGCATCACGCTGCTTGACTTCAAACTATACTACAAGGTTACAGTAACCAAAACAGCATGGTACTGGTACCAAAACAGAGATATAGATCAATGGAACAGAACAGAGCCCTCAGAAATAATGCCACATGTCTACAACTATCTGATCTTTGACAAACCTGAGAAAAACAAGCAATGGGGAAAGGATTCCCTATTTAATAAATGGTGCTGGGAAAACTGGCTAGCCATATGTAGAAAGCTGAAACTGGATCCCTTCCTTACACCTTATACAAAAATTAATTCAAGATGGATTAAAGACTTAAATGTTAGACCTAAAACCATAAAAACCCTAGAAGAAAACCTAGGCAATACCATTCAGGACATAGGCATGGGCAAGGACTTCATGTCTAAAACACCAAAAGCAATGACAACCAAAGCCAAAATTGACAAATGGGATCTAATTAAACTGAAGAGCTTCTGCACAGCAAAAGAAATTACCATCAGAGTGAACAGGCAACCTATAGAATGGGAAAAAATTTTTGCAACCTACTCATCTGACAAAGGGCTAATATCCAGAATCTACAATGAACTCAAACAAATTTACAAGAAAAAAACAAACAACCCCATCAAAAAGTGGGCAAAGAATATGAACAGACACTTCTCAAAAGAAGACATTTATGCAGCCAAAAAACACATGAAAAAATGCTCATCATCACTGGCCATCAGAGAAATGCAAATCAAAACCACAATGAGATACCATCTCACACCAGTTAGAATGGCAATCATTAAAAAGTCAGGAAACAACAGGTGCTGGAGAGGATGTGGAGAAACAGGAACACTTTTACATTGTTGGTGGGACTGTAAACTAGTTCAACCATTGTGGAAGTCAGTGTGGCGATTCCTCAGGGATCTTGAACTAGAAATACCATTTGACCCAGCCATCCCATTACTGGGTATATACCCAAAGGATTATAAATCATGCTGCTATAAAGACACATGCACACGTATGTTTATTGTGGCACTATTCACAATAGCAAAGACTTGGAACCAACCTAAGTGTCCAACAACGATAGACTGGATTAAGAAAATGTGGCACATATACACCACGGAATACTATGCAGCCATAAAAAATGATGAGTTCATGTCGTTTGTAGGGACATGGATGAAGCTGGAAACCATCATTCTCAGCAAACTATCGCAAGGACAAAAAACCAAACACCGCATGTTCTCACTCATAGGTGGGAATTGAACAATGAGAACACATGGACACAGGGAGGGGAACATCACACACCGGGGACTGTTGTGGGGTGGGGGGAGGGGGGAGGGAGAGCATTAGAAGATATACCTAATGCTAAATGACGAGTTAATGGGTGCAGCACACCAACATGGCACATGTGTACATATGTAACAAACCTGCACATTGTGTACATGTACCCTAAAATTTAAAATATAATAATAATAAAATTAAAAACAAAAAGGTGGAGGGGTTTGGAGCTGTATATTGGTAGAACAATTGGGAGGCTATCACTTGCAGTAAACTGAAAGTGACTACCAATCTGTAGTCTAGAGAAGGTGATTTTCAAGAAGAATATTGCAGGTATAAATGGTCTTTTTAAAGTATTTCAAAAAAGTGAACTAAAGAGGGAAATGTTCAGTTTTTGAACATAATTTAGAGGAATTGTTTACAAATGAGAACTTGTTGTGTTGGAAAGCAAAACTGTTCTTCATTCCTAGACTTTCCAGTTGGCAAAAGGTTTTTAAGGTAAAAACAGGTCTCAGTGCAAGTATCAAGCACAAGGTGATGACAGTAAACCGTGATTTCAAATAGTAAAAAGTCAAGGAAGGGTACAGCTATAAGACCTCTTTTAGAGAACTGAGAAATATTTAAGATGGTGCTTTATAAACTTCTCAGCCATGCAAAAGACTTATAGGATGTTAAGGGTATGTGTTTTATACTCTTATAATTTGATACTCAGGAAAACCACAAAGCTTTGAAAGGAATTATATTAGTTTGCACTAAAAGGAACAAAGATATTTAAAGCAAAAAAAAAAAAAAAAGATTTCTAAATCCTACAGGCCAAACATAGCCTGAGAAAACTATTCACATGCAAATGCAGGATATTATCATAGAAAATAAAGACCCCAGAGGGTGGAACAAAGAGCTGCAAAACAAAACAAAACAAAAACACTCTCAGAGAGTAGCACTGAGTTCTAATGAACACACTATTTTTGCCCCTAGAAAAATAAAGAGGGCTAGATTCCAGAATTTCAAAATTAGTGACTGTTAGGTGCCTCTCACCACCATACAGATCATTTTTAAAGAAGATATTATATTGTGGTTCATGTATCCCTATCTCACCATTATATGTCCCTATCTGAACCTCAGCATACAATATGGGTAATAGATAACTTCAGTTCACAGATCTACAGATCAGGGATAACTGCACCAGAGGAGTCTTATCCATTATTTGAATATCATTTCAGCAATGACATTCTGGACTCTATGCCTGAGCCTAATGCCATAAAGGAATGAAGCTTTAGCAGTCTTCTGGGAGAGGCAAGTAAGTATATTTTATATACATACACTCCCGTGAACAGTGAAAAATGAGACAAGTTAGCCTACCATGGTTTCACTGATGCTGTTAGAAGACTTAAAACTCATGGGTCAGAGCAGAAAGATAGACTATTCTTCTTAAGAATAGAAGTATCAGAGCATTTGCATTTTTGTGCTAGTTGCACAAGTCTCACTTCTCATAGGGTGAGGTGAAGAGGGCCACATTCCACCTGCACATGCAGCAGGTTGTGTTACAGGAGATGAAACCCAAGTCTAGGGAGCCCAAATCTTTCATCATTGGCAGGATGCTTGCTTGCCCTTGCTCTAGATACAGACATCAATTTTATTATACTGGCCTTTTGCTCCAGATAGAGACACTATGTTTACTTCAGAGAGCATCTGTTATACAGATACTCTCATAAAGAGAGTCCAGAACAAAGTCAGCTGGTGCATCTACTTGTAGGAAGTACAGAAATGCAAGACAATCATGGGGATTATCTCCCAGCAATTACTTTCAGTTATTAGCAAAAATTTCTGTTTGTTTGTTTTAGTACTAGACATATTTCTTTTTATTTTAAAAACTTTAATCTTAATTCAGTTCAGAAAGGATCCCCTTGCCTTATCTACCACAGGCTAAAACCTTGCCTCCTCAGCTCTTGGAGTAAGGTGGCAGAGAAACCTCATCTTCTTCCGTTTCTTGGCATTTAGTTTCCACAGTAGGGACACTGTGGAGAAATGAGGGTGGCGGACAAGTATTTGTGGTGGAGAGATTCTCTGACCTCACTCCGGTTTCAATTGGTCTCACCTTTTCTCCTAGCGTCCTATTCATATGATGCTTAAGTGCTACACAGACTTATTTTTTTTCACCTTGCCCCAGGCTCTTTGCCTCCTCCAAAGTACAGTCTTGACTCTCTTTGACAAGTCAAAGGTACAAAATCCCCAATCCTTTCTCTAATATAAACATCTAATCACTTGACCTCTATGGCCTCTTGAGCAGCTCTGCAGCTCATCCCACACCACTGACCCCCATGGTATCCTTTCTTACACATTCCCATAACCCTAAGGGGCCCTATTTTATTCCCAGACACATTACACTATGACCCTTTGAAAACCTGAAGGTGTATCCCATTCCACCAGACCTCCAGGCCTCAGAAATCTCTATACAAGGAGAAGCACAAATATCTATGTTCAAATTGCAGAGGGTACATGTCAAGTTCTCCTAATTTTTCTCATACCTGAATAAAAGCAACCGAAGAGAATAGTGTAACATACTCTGAGATTTCACATGTTTATTCTGAGGATACTCTCACTAAAATCTTCCCTAGCATTGGCCTGAGTTGAGATTTTAGTCTCTGCATCTCAGCAAGTCTCTAGTTGGGAAAGACAAGACACCAAGCATCTCTTTCTGCAGGAATTCCCCAGTCTCTATGAAAGATTTACTTACAGTGCCTAACTTTGTTTTGGGGAGGCAAAGCAACATTGCTCATATATATTTATCAACTGAGGGGCGGCAGTAAGACTGCTTCCAATGTCTCTTGGCAAGCCCTGCAGCACTGTAGCTAGATTCTACTCTAGGCTACTTGGAGACATCTTTCTGAACCTGCAAAGTAGGGTGCTAATGACCCTTTGTTTTCAGCTTTATCCTTTCCCTACAATTTTGAAACAGAAAGAAAAGTCACAATCAATATTTTGACTGAAAAGACAATTCACAATATAAATTACATTATGATAATCTATTCCTATTGTGTTAATGTTGTATCATATTTTTGTTGATATTCTTATAACATACCCCAAATATTTATTGGAAAAGTGGATTACAAGAAAATTCCACCCATAAAACAGACATCTGTGTATATAGTATGCATACACTATTTCTGCCCTCCTAAGTTTTCTTGTTTATCTGAGCTGCTTCTGGATTGGAGGTTCACATGACAATCATAATCACAATAGTAGACCCAAGGTGGAAAACTGAGGATGAGCTAGAATACTATGTATTCCAAGTATATTTTAGACAACTTCTAGTGATTTTTTGGTTCTCTTTAGAAGTCCTTTATTTTCCCAGGCTGCATCGATTCTCTACTCAATTTGTCACCATAATGATGTGAAGCTTTTTCAACTCTCCTCCAACCCAGCTCAAATCCAATATTAATCACATATTGCTTCCTTCACTTATACCTCAGGATCTTTATTTTTAGTGTAAATAAGGACTACCTATGACCTTTGCTGAAATTCAGATTTACAAATCTCTGGCATATAAATTTTATTAGCTCAAGAATTTAAAAATTTTAACAGAATTTTTGCATAATTTGAATGTAAGTGATACATTGGGCCCTCTATTTCCCCACCCATATAAGGGGTGGCATTCTTCAAAGTATTATAAATACTTTGGAAGCAGCATAATCTATTAGATGAAAGTACTGGCTTTAGAGTCAGCCAGGTGTGCATTCAGATCCTGGCTCCATTATTCATTAAAGCTTTCTTCATTTTTGAAGGAAGATAGAACTTTGTTGACAGCTAAGGGCAATAGAAGGTATAATTGCCTTAAATATGATAAACAGAGTGTGAAACACTTCTGCAAAGAGTGAGATAGTAAATATTTTCAGCTTTTCAGTAAATATTTGGGCACAACTACCCAACTCTGCCGTGGTAGCATCAAAGCAGCCATAGAGAGTACATCAGCAAATGAGAGCAGCTGTGTTCCAATCAAAATTTATTTACAAAATCATGTGCTGAGCCAGATTTGGCCCACAAGCTATAGTTTGTTCACTTCTCTAAAAGAACATGAAAATGATAAAATCACATTTATGAATGCATTGATTATAAAATATAATTCAGCTATCATTTTGTAATCCTTTAAATAAGCTGTCTTAAATGATAGAAAATGAAAACAAGACTAGATTATGGGGTTATATTGTGGAGAGATTGAGCGCTACTGTGCCAAATTTTGTATCTCTAATTGCTACACATCTTTCCAATGATGTGGTGGCAGTTATTTTAAAAACGAGATTTGAGGTAGAGTGCATTACTTTTCTATCTGCAGTAATTGAATTATAAACCTATATTCTTTGGCATGTAGCTTTCAGTGCTTTCCTATAGTTTGTGGAACAAATTTTCCAACCCCTTGACTGTTTTTTTTTCATGTGACTTTCTTTCACCAGTGGAATATTAGCAGACGGGACATGAACAGAAGTTTATAAAGCTACTTTTGAACCTATGGTAGCACAAGAAGGATATGCTTAGACTAGTCTGCTGGTCCCACAGGAGGATATGCAACATGTGAGGCAGAGCCATGCCCAAGTGAACTCAACTGGTTCCAGAGTATGAATGAGAAGACCAGTAGAACCATCCATGCAAGACTGACTTGGACAAATGTCAGCCAATCTGAAGATCTGTTGGATAACTGATTCAGCGTTTTAAGCCACTAAGTTTTGGGATACTTTTTAATGCAGCGTTATTTTGGTCAGAGTTAAGTGGTTAAAGAGTCAATATTCTTATACATATTACACACAGTCAGATAGACAGACCGATACACACATGTGCACACACACAGAGAATAATATAGGTCTAATGGCTTAGAATTTACACTTTAATTTCCTTCTATTACTTGACACATTCTTTATTTTTCAGTTTCCATTGCTGGTTTCAGGAAATGATGCTAGAGAGGTAGGCCAGAACCAAATAAAATAGGATGTGCCAAGAAAGACAGAACACAAGTAGACATAAGAAGCCACTGAAGGATTTTAACCAACATCTCATATTTATACTGTAGTTTAAAATTGTCATATTGTCAACCAGGTATGCATAAGTAGAGTTTTATTTTTCATAAAAGAATTATTTGTACATACAGCTTCATATCTGCTAATGGAGAAAATAACTTAAACTTGGCCCTGCCAGGCAACCCATTTTCTTCCAGTTTAAAACTTAGTCTTTTTCAGGTTAGCTAGGCCAATTCCAGGTGCTCGTCCTACCTTCTTTCTCCCATTTCTACACCACCCTTCTTTTTTGTCTCTCCCTGGGAGATATCTGAGCTTAAGGAAAAATTCGTTAAGAGTGGGGATCGGAGAGACCTCTGTTCCACTAGTTGCCTTCTGGACATTTTCTGGTCTCCACTGTTGATGTATCCATCCCTTCTGGCCTTTGGGTGCACTGAGGCATCTTGCTATTGTCTATGGTTATGCCATAGCTCCTAGTCAAAAGGCTCACATTCTTTTTTATTATTATTTTTTTTTTGACAGAGTCTTGCTCTGTCACCTAGGCTAGAGTGCAGTGGCGTGATCTCAGCTTACTGCAACCTCCGCCTCCAGGGTTCAAGTGACCCCAGCCTCCCAAGTAGCTGGGATTACAGGTGCCCGCCACTGTGCCCAGCTAATTTTTAGAAACGGGGTTTTACCATCTTAGCTAGGCTAGTCTCGAACTCTTGACCTTGTGATCCACCAGCCTCGGCCTCCCAAAGTGGTAGGATTACAGGCGTAAGCCACTGCGCCCGGTCAAGGCCCATGTTCTTAATACTTTCCTAGTCTCACTCCCATGTGTCTTCGGATCTGCTTTATCACATTTACATGCCCTTGGCAAATAGGAACTTATGAATGTTTCCCATTCACATGTATGCTGTAGGGAACTAGAATCAAGGGTTATCTTGAGCCCATTCTTTCTGCTTAAATACGTTGCATACATACAGGTGTTCTTTGAGATGGTACTTCCCTAAAGGTCGAAAGTAAAGGGAAATACAAACCCACTTTCAGCTGGGTTTGAAAGGTAAGAAGAAGACAGAATCTAAGGTAATGCCTCTCAAACTTTAACAAGTTATGAATCATTTAGCAATCTCTTTAAAATGGAGACTTTTATTTAGTAGGTCTGTTTTGGGGCCCAGAATTCTGCATTTTGAACAAGTTTCCAGGTAGTGCTAATACTTCTAGTCCATGGACCACACAATGAGAAAAAAGGATCTCAAATTCTAAAGCACCTGAAGACTAACTGGAAAGCAGAGTTAATGTAGAAGAAAGGGCTTAGGATAGCTTACCACCCTCTCAATTGGCCTTGCCAACTCTTTAGAACTGTTTGACTTCCCTCCTCAGAAATCCTGAAACCCACCAAATTTACTTTCAAAGTTCACATTCATCACTCTGTATTGCAGCTGCTTTCTGTTACCCTAATTAAAACAGTTTTCTGTGCCTAATTCTTTTGGTACTGCTTTTGCCTAATCCAGCTGAGCACAGAAGATTCTCAATAAACGTATGAAGAATAGTCTGTACTCTCAAATTAAAAGCTATGGAAAATATTCCAGTATCTTTATCGAATATCTTCATAAGTTTAAACACAACAACAACAACAAAACTTCATCAACTAGTTTACTTGTACTGATAATGTAGAGTGAACAACCTAATCACCCACTTTCTGGTTATTAAATTTAAAAAAAAAAAGAAAGAAATGTATATGAACTTTGGAAAACTGAAGATATTATTGAGATTTCCCTTTCCCTCTCTTTTCTTCTCCATCCCCATCCTGTACTTCTTGCCCTATAATATCCATTGACTAAGTGTTGGAGCTCTAAAACTAAAATATTATAATCAATCTAAGATTGAATTTTGCTATATAAGATTGTAATTCATCTCACGTTTACATACTATTCCTCTTAAATGATTAATAATATAAAGTAATATACATATAATGTGTATTATATATTGTATTCATCTGATTTACACTGCTGATAAAGACATACCCTAGACTGGGAGGAAAAAGAGTTTTAATGGACTTATAGTTCCAGATGGCTGGGGAGGCCTCACAATCATGTTGGGAGGCAAGGAGGAGCAAGTCATGTCTTACATGGATGGTGGCAGGCAAAAAGAGAGTTTACGCAGGGAAACTCCCCTTTTTAAAACCATCAGATCTCAAGAGACTTATTCACTCTTATGGGAAGAGCATGGCAAAGAAGTGCCCCCATGATTTAATTACCTCCTACCAGGTCCTTCCCACAACATGTGGGGATTCATGATGAGATTTTGATGGGGACACAGCCAAACCATATCATATATTATGGAAAATTTTCTAAGATAATGCTTCTAGAAGTCTTTTTCAAAATATAAAAATAATTATTATAGTATAATCTGTACAACATTCAAACAACCAGTTGGTGAGGTTGTAAATCAAATGAGAGAGGAGGAACTGATCCGGGTAGCAGGAACACATTTCCAAGTAAAATTTGCAACAGAGCATGTTGAGATCATGGTTTTAATTTATGAATGGCATTATTATCTTTAAACTATTATTTTCCAAGCTCATATATGGCCTTTTTGAAGGTTTTCTGAATGTTACATTTGATTTTAAGATCTAATCCAAAATGAAATATAGAATGTGCTTTGTTTTCTATAAAAATGCCAATGACTATCTCTTAAATTAGTCAAGGAAAGACAAATTACCAAAATTCAAACTTATTTGAATTATTTTTAAGTGATTCCAGGCAATAAATACATAGAACCCATGGAAAGTTTTAGCTTCAAATCACAAAATTGCAAAAAAAAAAAATTGTAAATGGCTAAACATAAGGGGGGTTATGGAAAATATTTGGTCACCTTAATTATAGGTTTAAATGCCACAAACAATATAATAATAGTTTTAACTTACTTTTTTTGATTACTAAGCAACTAAACCAACTTTACAAATGTTAAATTCAATAAACTCAATATCTCTTTAAAGCAGGATTTCTTTCTCTCCCTGGGCATCATTTGCTGATAGATAAAAACAGAGTAATAAATAAGTGGCTTCCTGAAGGCAGGTAAGGCAACCTCCATGCCAGACCAGTTCTCAATACAGTGACCAAAATTCCCCCCATTTTCTTGCTTTTACTCTCTATAACTGTTAATTATAATAAACCATATGGAAATGTTTTCCTTAAATGATATTCTTGCTCTATTGTATTTTCATTAATATTTTTACTTTATTTCATTTATTAATATGAGGATGAAACAGTTTGGCATCTCTTTTTCCACCACTCAGTGTTATTTTCAACAGATTGTTTTCTATTATTTGACAGTTTTCTGGAAACCACCTACTCATTCATGTTCGATGTGGTCAGACCACTGTGGTGAACTGAAGACTGAAGACCACCATTACTATTTGTTTAATGTTTACATTTTGTTTAATAGGGGCTTCCTATTTGAGACTACTTTGGGAAATGCATCTCAGATAATTATGGCAGGAAAACAGTGGACAAAAGTATAAATGATGCAACCCTAGACTGGAATTCTCAATCTTGTCTTCCAGTGAAGAAATATGTTTTTACTACATTTATGTCTTTCTGTGCACTATTTCTTAAGTATAGAAATATTTTGTAAGGTAGACAAGAGAATTTATGTGTTTAGTCCTTACAGATTTTATTTTTATTGATTTCACAAGTTGTGACAATATTTTGCCTGAAAGCTCAGTTATATTATTCTTAGATTTCATTTGTTGGCAGCCACTATTAGTTTATTTATTTAAAAACTATTTTACGTAGAAAAAGGTGCTGTGGCTGTATCCTGAAACCTTAGATGTTTCTCCCATTAGACTTATCTATTTTGTTTGTGACATGATAGCTTAGCAGGGCACAGTAGACCATTAGGAAAATAAGCAAATTCTTATCTGGTAGTCATTAGCTAGAATCACTCATTCTCATTTCTCTCTTGCCTGAAAGTTGGTTCTTTTCTCATCCTGGAAAATATTTTGATAGAGAAGTAAGTGCTGGTGAAAAGTGAATATGTGGCAGATGGACTGGAACGGAGAAGGGACTAAAACTACATTTGTCTATGTAATCATTGAGGGGGTTAACAAAGACAAATCAGTGACTAGCTGCTGGCATTATCATATTTCAGGGCTTAAGTTTTGATGTAGAAATAGCAAACTATGAAACACGTTCATCGTCAATCTCTTCTGCTTTTTTGAAGGGACTTCTAAGCTCTGTCAGCTAATAGCTTTAGATAACAGAGTTTTAATACACCGTATTGATAACAACTATTATTGTTATCAATCACGAGGACCTTCTATTCCTTTATCAATATCAAGGACCTTTTATTCCTTTTACTAAAAATGTCCTAAACATTCATCATTGCTGACGTTAAGTATCTTCTGAGTGACAAAACCGGCAGAGGAGGGGTTTACAGTAGTTTCTGTTTAGTCCTGTGAATTAGAAAAATTAAGAATAACATGTTCTTTTTATAAAGTCAATATCACTGAAATTAAATTAAATTACAGAAAACTTAAAACTTAAGAAAACTTAACAAGTACTTGCTACTTACAAAAGTAATTTAAGTATTACTTGTCAAGCTTTAATAATGAGCAGATTCCTTTTAAAGGGAAAAAATGCTCTCACAGACCAGTGAATAAGAGATTCATGAATCCAAATTTGAGAGTCCTCAATTTAAGAAAATATCTTTCAGGTGTAAATTATCAAAGAGAAAGAAAATATTTTGGCTTTAAATATAACAAAACAAAGTTTTTAAAGATTAATTTCAAAACAAAACCAGAGAAAAGTCCTATGGATCTTGTAGATCCCTAAATAAGGGCTCTAACCTGAATTTCTGGATAAAAACCTAGCAAGATACTTGGGAGCATATGACTTATTTAATAAATTGCTGAAAGAATTTATACATTTTCTAAAATTGCCTAATTTAAAGTTGGTAATGTCACAAAGCCTGTGAGTGAATATGACTCAATCTGCATTTCGGAGAACTCAGTAATATACATAATTTGTAATAACATATTTATGTAGTAATTATGACATGTTCCAGCATCATCATTTTGACAGAGATCAGTGGGAGAAAATAATTAGATTATATTGTCAGTGTAGAGGAAATGGTCACTGAACCACAGCCAAGTTTTATCGGGGCAAAGTATCATAAGATATGGGCCCAAATGATTACTTTTTATGGAAAGATTAATAAGTGTGGATATTGGCCATGGGAGGAGAGTCAGTGACTCTTTAGTTTAATAACAAAGTAATGAGGAATTCGTCATCTGAATTCTTGCTGAGCTAGTTACTTAAATGCACCCATGGGAATGAAATGAGGTAATGGTGAAAGCCTTTTGAAATCCCCCAAATTGTCCTCATTTAGAAGAAAAAGTCCAGAGACCCTAATTTCAATTAACTATTTTCTAAAATACTGAGGGAAGAAGGTGTGGTTTGTTATATGGAGGTTTTTATTTTTCTCTAGCAAGTCTCAGTTTTCTGAGAGCCCCAAATTAAAAAAGAAATTCCAAGTTTAGTGTAAGAGGCAGTGAGGAGAGAAGCAAACGGATATTTAGCTACCTCCTTCCCTCATAATTCTATGTACAAACCAGAACCAAATGCTATTACCGCCACATTAAAGAAAAGAGGAAGAGTGGTTGGCCATGCTAACAGAGCTTCTATCAGACATTAACCCTGTGTGTGGTGGTTCCAGAAGCCAGTTCTCTAATTCTTGACAATTTTTTCATAAGCACTGACTAAGGAACACAGAAGGGGCCAGATATTGTGATATCACTGTAAATCCATCACTCGGTTTATTTAAACATATCTCAATTCTATGTAGACAGAAAGTACAAACATATTTGCAACCTGTTTATTAGTCATCATATTTGATATATTTTATGGAATGCCCTTGGTATACCAGGTGCTATGCTAAAAGGCTTATATATCTCATCTTAATTAAACCTTACACTAATGCTAGGAGCAGGTATACAGCCAAATATGTGCGATATAGTACATGAAAGATACAAGATTTGAAACCCATCTGTTTCTTATTCCTACATTCTAAGCCACTTCATTATTCTACTCTTCCATTGTTTTTGCTTCTATATAGCCATTTAAGACTAGGTGATATATTCCAAAGGAGTTTGTTGACTCATAGGTTCATTTAGATTATAGGTTTTAAATCTAGATGGTAATTCACACATTTGGGATTTCAAGTCCAGTCGCAACTGGTCCGCTTCAGTTGTTTATTTTTAAAAATCCAGCAAATATGATTTTTCCTTTTCCTGTGCTATGAATAATCATGTGGACAGTTTCCACACGAATAAGAACTCATTGTATGAATAGTATATACAATGACTATATGTTTTATATGTTTTAATACATATATATGTATAACATATATATATGTTTTATATATTGTATATTATTGTATAAATAGTATACTTACTATTTATACAATGAATATATACTGTAAAAATAAATATATAAATATATATGCTATAAAATATATATATTGTGTTGCAGTGGTGCGATCTTGGCTCACTGCAACCTCCACCTCCAAGGTTCAAGCGATTCTGCTGCCTCAGCCTCCCAAGTGGCTGGGACTACAAGCACGCACCACCACGCCCAGCTAATTTTTGTATTTTTCAGTAGAGACAGGGTTTCACCATGTTGGCTAGGATGGTCTTGATTTCTTGACCTCGTGATCTGCCCGCCTCGGCCTCTCAAAGTGCTGGGAATTCAGGCATGAGCCACCGCGCCTGGCCGACACATTTATTTTGCTACTTAATCAGCCATAACCTAGATGTCATATCATTGCAGTTCAGTGTAAGGCTGGAGAGGTAGATTTTGGCCACACACATAAACACACACACGTGTATACACATACATGTATAAATGCACACATTCATCAGACCAGTGGGAATCTGGGTCACGGTATTTCATGGGCAAAAGGTTTGGAAAGATTTGATTAATAAAGTAGGTAATGACATTAGACTACAAAAATTATTCTGGAAATCAATGATCTCAATGTATTCTTGATTCCTCCAACTATCTGTTGTATCAAATTCCAGTTTGAGCATCATATTTTAAGACTATTGCAAGATGATGGGGACCTAAAATTAGTACTAATATTAAGATGGTGAAAAACTGAAGGTGAGTTTAAGAAAATGAAAAAGATGCTTAGTTAAATGACAATTTTCAACAAGTATTTAAAAGGTTGTTATGTAGAAGCAGGAAAGAACTTAGCTCTATGTGGTTCTTAAGAGCAGAACTAGGACCAATGGCTAAAAGCTACAGGGAAGCTTTTAGACATCAAGTTCAACTCAGGAAAAACTTTCTAGCAATTAATACTTTTCAATAGTTAAACAGGTGAACCTAAATTCTCACAGAATGGGAAAAAATGAAAAGTACCCTAGAACTCTTTTAGTCTTGTTTCTTAATTTTATGGATGAGGAAATTGGGGTTTGGCAATAAGTGATTTGATGAAGGTGATGAAAACTAACTGTGGATCCAGAGTTATAACTCTTTCTCTCTTGTTGTACAAACTAATGTTTTGGGATTTTTTCCTTTTTTTAATACTCCATGCCATCTCCAAAGCAGTGAACTTGTCGTTGTTTTTCATTTATTCATAAAATGTTTAATAACTAATCACATGCAGTCCAGTAGGGGCTTTGTAAAAACATGATAACTTTGAGCAGATTTTGTTGAAGGAGACTTACTCAATTTTTCAATTAGAGATGACTAACACAGAAACTGGCATGTAGCTATTGTTAAATCAATTGAACAAGACTGAATAAAATGGAGGATTATTCCGTACACTCCCCAAATCCTTCTGACTCTCAGCCTAATAGCATATGAACTAGAAAACAGAATTGGTTCAGAAACAGAGGTCTAAGAGTGAGACTATGGTATAGGCAGGGTCAGTAGAAGAGAAATGAGGGGAAAGAGAAGGACTCTAGAGAAAGCAGGAGGAGTAAAAAGCAAAATCATAACAGAGTCAGAGTTATGGGATCTGCTTTGGAAATCAAAACTTACATTAAGGAAGGTTTAAAGATAGGCATGCTGGAAAGTAGGGGGTTAACAATAGATTTCTTTCTAAGTCACATGCAAAGTAATTTTTTAAAATATTGTAGTGAAAAGGTAACAAAAAATAATTTAACACTCCCATTCCTAAGCTATTATTTGGGGATAAGACGAATTCTAGTCCTTAAAGCATCTTCTATGATGCTCTTTTTCATCTTATATTAAATCTTTTCTGGAGGAAATGTTCATTAGTTCAAATAAAGCTATTGTTCCTGGTTAAAAGAGTAATGCCAACTCGGAGTGGTTTTGTGGGTTTATTCTCCACTTGAGAATAGAGGCTTCAACTTCGTTAGCAAACCATATTGTTTTAAATTAAATTTTCAAATAAATATACTTGGGTGTGAATTCAACTGAAAATATTTTGCAAAACTAAAAAAAAATTCCCAAACTCTAAAAACATTCCAGTGGTTTTGAAAAACTGAAACATGTTGAGGTTTAGTTATTGCCAAGGATTTTAAAATAATGATTTCTAACCACACCGGCCCCACAAAACCTAGCTGCTGTTCAAGGCAACTTTCCCTCCCATACATATGTTAACAGTGACATCTTGTGGTCAGTTTTTACTTAAAAAATATACAGGCAAAGTACAGAAATACATACTTTCATCATTACAAAAATATCCAATTTCTCCTTGCTCTTCCAAATATTTCTATGGTACTTATCCATTATACAAATACTCTTTTATATTTTTAATTTTTTTAGGTACATACTAGATGTATATGTTTATGGGGTACATGAGATATTTTGGTAAAAGCATGCAATGCATAATAATCACATTGTGGAAAATTGGTGGATAGCCATCCCCTGAAGCATTTATCTTTTGTGTACAGACAATCCAATTATATTCTTTTAGTTGTTTTAAAATGTACAATTTAATTATTACTGACCATAGTCCTCCTGTTGTGCTATCAAATACTAGGTCTTATTCATTGTTTCTATTTTTTTGTACTCATTAAACATCCTCACCTCCTCCCATTCCCCCACTATGCTTCCTAGCCTCTGGTAACCATCCTTCCATTCTCTGTCTCTGTGAGTTCAATTGTTTTGATTTTTAAATCCTATGAATGAGTGAGAACACACAATGTTTGTCTTTCTGTGCCTGGTTTATTTCACTTAAATAATGACCTCCAGTTTCATCCATGTTATTGCAAATAATCAAATCTAGTTCTTTTTTTATGACTGTACATATGTACCACATTTTCTTTATCCATGTATCTGTTGGTGGACACTTAGGTTGCTCCAAATCTTGGCTATTGTGAACAATACTGCAACAAACATGGGAGTGCAGATATCTCTTCGATATGCTGATTTCCTTTCTTTTGGGTGTATACTCAGCAGTAGGATGGCTGAATTGGATAGTAGCCCTATTTTTGGTTTTTTGAGGAAACTCCAAACTGTTCTCCATAGGGGTTGTACTAACTTACATTCCTACCAACAGTGTACAAGCGTTCCCTTTTCTCCACGTCCTTGTCAACATTTGTTATTATTGCCTGTCTTTTGGATAAATGCCATTTTAACTGGGGTCAGATGATATCTCATTGTAGTTTTGATTTACATTTCACTGACAATCAGTGATGTTGAGCAAATTTTTATATGCTTTTCTGACATTCGTATATCTTCTTTTGAGAAATGTCTATTCAAATCCTTTGTCCATTTTTAATCGATTGCTAGATTTTTTTTCCTGTAGAGTTGTTTGAGCTCCTTATATATACACTGGTTACTAACCCCTTGTTGGTTGAGGAGTTTGCAAATATTTTTTCCAGTTCTGTGAGTTGCCTCTATGTTTTACTGATAGTTTCCTTTGCTGTGCAGAAACTTTTTAACTTGATGTGATCCCATTTGTCCATTTTGACTTTGGTTGCCTGTGCTTGTGGGGCAAGAAATTTTTTCCCAGATGAATATTCTACAATGTTTACTCATAGTCATTTCATAGTGAGAGGTCTTAGATTGAAGTGTTTAATCCATCTGATTTGATGTTTGTGTATGGTGAGAGATAGGGGTCTAGTTTCATTCTTCTGCATGTGGATCTGCCCTACAGGATATACTTTCATAATTCTAAGTGGTATATACTGAGTGTTGTAAGTGAAAACTTTCCACAAATATGAAATTGATATGTGAGTGTTGAAGGAGAGTGGGAAAATCATGTCTGTTAACCTCGTTAAGATGAATGAAGCTAAAATCTTCATTTTCCTGATCCCTTGATCTTTCTTATCCTTACGACATCACAGAGTACTAGGTAAACGTAATAAACATAATAACAGTTAAAATTTGTTGGACAGTCATGATGCATCTGTTACCCCTCTAAGCACTTTGAAGTGGTATTATTGCATTTAAACATAACAACACCCCCATCAAGCAGTTACGTCGTTATTTCCATTTTAAACATGAGTAAAGGGGACACAGAAAGGTAAAATGACTTCCCCAAGATGGCAACGCTAATCATTGGCAGAACTATCATTTGCCCAAGGGAATCTGACTCCACTGGATGTACTTATCCACTAATCTGAAAAAGAGATGCTGCTGGATCAGAACACATGGGTCATTATCCTCTAGCTAACCTACATTGCAGAGTGAATCATCACCTTAGGTTTTATTCCTAGTGTTCCCTGATAATCTTAAAGGCCACACTCATAAAAATTCCACCTCTCTTTTTATACGAAGTCACTGTAGTCATAGTGATATTTTCTAATTAATTCAACATGCAACTAATTTAAGAACTTGAACGCAACAGACTGATTTCAAATCTCAAGAATGAATGGAGAAAATAAACTAGTTTTTCTCGTAGATCTCCAGGTGCTATAAATTCTAAGGATCTTTCTCATTCATTTCTTGAACTAGAAATTGAAGTCTCTTCTCTTTTGTGATGCACTAAAGTTCAATTTCTCTATATAAACACATTTTGAGGTATTAATAATTAAAAAATAATGTACAAAAGCCAATCATGAGAATGTTGAGGGCTGCCTGTGTGTGTACATATATGTGTGTGTTTGTGTGTGCATGTGTGAACTTATAAATACACACCCATAGACCCTGTTTTTATGCAACCCAAACCCCATTGTGCATTTTTCTAATAACTCAGTCTATAAACCTTACCCTCTCATCTTCTCTTGATGTTTTGCATAACCTTCTGGGATATCCCTGTCTCTTCTACTTCACTGCTGGAAAAAAAATTAAGCATTCTCTAGATTTCTGTCAGTAAATTTAAGTTTCTATACTTGGCTACCCTCTTAGCAATACCTAAGCAGAGTTTAATCTAGAAATTTAGAGCAATAAAAACGTTTTAATACAGGAAATTATTTTGCTGTACAATATAGGCAGACAGTTTGCCTTCAGAAATTCAGAAATGCAGCTTTTGAGGGAGGTCAGCATCATTGGTCTCAGCTACCTGCAATACAGAAGGAAATAATTTATTTCATAGGGAAAAACATGAAAAAGACTTATCTCACACCACACACAGAAATGAATTCCAGCTGAGCTAAAGACTAAAATGTGAAAAAAGACAAAATTATTAAAATTTTGGAAGATAATATATCATAATGTCGATTTGTGAAATATTTAACCAGGTTTTTTTAAATGAGCAAAACATAAATATGATCACATTGAAGTTTAAGAACTTCTCTTTATCAAATGTAATACTGAAGAAACTGAAAAGTCAAGCCACAAGCTAGGCAACATATTTGCAAACTATTTTAAAAAAAGATGAACAAATCCTGAACAGGCATTTCACAGCAGAGGAAATAAAAATGACCAATAATTGTACTAAAACAAGCTCAAATTCATTAGTAGGCATGGAAATGCAAATTAGAACCACAAAAAGATGTCATGTTACCCAGTGAATGAAAACTTAAAAGTCTGACAATAACAAGTGTTGCTGATAATAAATTGCTAGTAAGTGAAAGAGCTGTTCAAAATTGACATATAATAGTTAAAATAAAACACTTTTAGAAAACAGTTTGACATCTTACTAGAGTTGAAGATGATTCAGCCACTTTTATTCCAGCCACTCCATTTCTAGCATACACTACAGAGAAGTGTATATTTAAAGAGGCCTGTTTAAAATAGGTCAAAATGAGAAGCAACGCAAATGTTAAACAATAGGAGGATTATCTACTGAGAACTATCCATGGAATGTAATACTATATAATGTAAAAATCATCAAACCACAGCTACAAAATTCAACATGGATATATCTCATAAACTTAAAGTTGAATGACCAAACCCATTACAGAAGAAAATACAAAGCATGCCTTCATTTATATAAAGTTCAAGAACATGCAAAACTAAACCATTGAAAAGCCATACAAGTTGTTCACTGTGAAAGTGAAACATATGTTGAACTTTTAACAAAGTAATAATAAACATAAAATTGAAGACAGTGGCTACCTCTGGTGGAGAAAAGGAGGGATAGGATTGGAGTAACAGCGGACGGGGAACTCTTCAAAGCAACTGGCAATGTCCTATTTCTTGTGTTGGAAGGTAGGTATGTGATTGTTTATTTTGTTTTATTCTTCAAATTTTACAAAAATTTATCAATGTCATATCTGTTCAATATTAAATTACAAAATTTAAAAGGACTCGCTGGTTCCACTTCCTCACCTGCATAGCCTGGCCTCTCCTACTATTCTTCACTACCATCTGAGTTATCTCATATGCAAACATTTCTCTGCTCATAGTTCTACAATGGTTGCCCATCCCCTACAGGAGTGTATGTAAAATGTATGTAGCACACAAGGCTCTGCATAAAGATACAGTCATTAAAATATCATTAATTTTCCAGTTTATCCTTTCTAAATTTGAACTTGGGCACAGACTATTAAACTTCAGTGTAGAGAATCAGTACAACCAGAATTCGACTTTGGAATCTGTACATGATCAGGTTTATTCAGCAAGTAATTGTCCACTTGATGGAATAATATATAATGCATGTATTCAGATTCTGGTGAAACATTACTTTTCTTCCACATTTCTTACATCTAAACCAAGTTTTGTTCTGATTTTTAAAAGAAATAAGCTGACGGGCACGGTTGCTCATGCCTGTAATTCCAGCACTTTGGGAGGCTGAGACGGGTGGATCACCTGAGGTCCGGAGTTTGAGACCAGCCTGGCCAACATGGTGAAACCCCATCTCTACTAAAAATATACAAAATAAGCTGGGTGTGGTGGCAGATACCTGTAATCCCAGCTACTCAGGAGGCTAAGGCAGAAGAATCGCTTGAACCCAGGAGGCGGAGGTTGCAGTGAGCCGAGATCATGGCACTGCACTCCAGCCTGGGCAATGAGACCGAAACTGTGTGGAAGGGAAGGGGAAAGGGAAGGGGAAAGGGAAAGGGAAGGGGAAGGGGAAGGGGAAGGGGAAGGGGAAGGGGAAGGGGAATCTGTAACCAGTAAAGATAAATTAGAAATTACAAGGAGGAAAAATACCAATAATCCCATCATTTGCTTTCATCTTTTGTTAATATTTTATTGCACTTCTTTCCTGGCTTTTTCCGTGTCATTATGTGTGTATTTCTTATCCAATCATGTAGTTTATACATTTTTTTAATCTTGGGTTTTAAACTCATCTTTATTTCAAAACTATTTTACTATTTCAAAAATGTTATTTTAATGGTTTCATAGTAGTCTTAATTTAAATATACTACAACTTATTTTATCAGTCCTATACTATTAGGTAGATATATATCGATATATCTATATATATAGATATATCTAATGTATATATATATCTATATATATATCTATATCGATATATATCTATATATACCCCTCACAATGATTATACAAAATCGGGCCTAGAGGAAGGGGAAGAGGCAGAGTGGTGACTCAAATGCAAGGGAGAAAGAAGTTTAGAGGAACAGGGTTTCTTTCACTAATTGTGAAGAGAGAGAGAGAAAACTATTCTGGACAGAGGACTAGGAAGCTGGATGGAAGAAACTCACCAACCAAGTGGTCATAGAAAAACGACTGCCCCTGCCTGCAGGTCAACAGCCTGAGTACTTTCAACCCTCGTGACTGGGAAGTAGGGACTTAGATCTGCTGGAGATTGGGTGGAAATGATGGTGCCATGTTTGGTGAGCTTCTAGTCCTTGACCTGGGCAAAATTAAACTTTTTCCAGAGAGTAGAAAAGCAACCCACTGTCACCATTAAAAGTTGAGTGTGTGTGTGTGTGTGTGTGTGTGTGTGTGTGTGTACTTAATATGTTAAATTATATTGAGTCACTCTGATTGACTTACAAATTTTTTCCTCAGGGTCAGAAGTAATGGACATTTTAACAGACTGAACTATATCACCAAAATACTCCCCAGAAAAGTGGTAACAATTTACTTTCCAATTGTGAATATCATACTTTTGATGCCTATACATAAATTCTTTAAGACTATTTTAACTACTTGTGTTATTTTAGAAAAATATTAATTTTAGGCCAACTTAGATCAACATAAATTTGAAGGAAATATATTGAAGAATGAGAGGAAAATTATTGTTTTTCTCCTATGTCATCTTACAGACAAGTTTTCATTAAACTGGGATGACTTCACTTGCCAAAGACATTTGATATATCAAATGCAGCCATATGTTCTAAATATAACGGATTACTGCCATGTGCATGAGTTAAGGAACATTGTATTGTGTATTGAAAGAACATTGTATTGAAAGAACATTTAAAATATATGGTTAAATTTCAAATAATTCATGTTGCAGATGTGTTCATATTTTAATGACAGAGAAGTAGGAAAATACATAGCCTGGTGTTTGGGGTATAATCAGTTTGATGGTACACCTAAGCCATATTGAAATCTGGTCCTATCTCCAAAAGAGTATATTTAAATTCACAGGTAACTCCTCAGAAAGTCTTTGTTAGGGAGGAGGAAGCAGAAACTACAAATGGATAGAGAGAATAGGATGCCAGGAAACTCATCGGTCTAATATTCAAGGAAGCATTGTGTGCATGACCTCTTGGTGCCTCACTTATGGACTGTGAATAGATTATGAGTGGATTAGCATTTCTATTGATCCTAGTTTTATTCTGTTTTTTATGATTTTTGGCATTAATTTTGACTTTTAAATATATTATATTTTTAAATATATTTTATTTTATGTTGATTATTGAGTTTTTAAAACCCCTCCTTAAGTTTTGCACTGGTGGCAAGTAAGACACTCAAATTACTCCTGTCTCAGTAGACATGCCCCTGGCTACCTTTTTCTTCCCTTATTTGTCCAGAAGCTTAGCATAGTCATGTGGCTACTGAAAGTCAGAATTTTTTACTATATCTTCCAAGCCAGACCTTTCCCCTGTGGGCTCTTTTTTATGCTTCAAAAGGCCTCCCTCTTTCTTATCTCACAAACATGAAAAGAACTCTTAAATACATTCTACTCCTAGGTGTTCTTATCCTAGCTAGTTGTAGACAATATAATAGACAATACATTGCACATGAATGTTGAAGGGTAATTATATTACTATTGCTAGGGTAAATGTATGTGTTAAAAAGAATCTACCTAGAGATAAACTCTTCTTATCTATTTTGACAAAAATATGTATGCTTCTAGTGGTATGAAGATGGCTGTGAACAAGACATATAAGATTTCCATTCTCATGGGATTTAACTTATGGAAGATATACAAGCATAAAGATTTGATCAGGATTGATGACATCTCATGCACTTTGGCAAATAATGAGGAAGGAATAATAACAAAAATGCTGGTAACAGAGTCAGTACCCATAGGTACTGACTTGAAAAGATAGGCTTGTCTGATCTGGGTAAGATGGCAGAAAATGAGATAAATGTAAACTGTTGAATTTGAGTTTTAATGATAACTACAGAGAAGGGGCTGTAGCTTAGTCATAACTCATACACTTTGCTACACAGAAACTCAGTATGAATTGACAGTTTGAAATGGTTCCACCCCTAATTCAGATAATATGTAATATGGAGGTGGGTGTTTCCAGGGTTGTTGTTTCAGGGATGCAAAATCATTCTTAGATTTGATGATTTGCTAGGACTCACAGAACTCAGAAAAGTGGTGATATTCATGGTTATAGTTTTTTACAGTAAGTTAATACACATTAATATTAGTAAAGAAAAAATGTGCATAGGGTAGAGTCCTGGAGAAAACAGGTGCTACCTTCCAGTTGTCCTCTTCTATTGGAGTTACATGGACAATGCTTACTTCTCCCAGCAATAATATGTGACAATTCATACAAAGTGTTGCCAACTGAGGAAGCTTACTTGAGCATTTGTATCCAGAGTTTTTTTTTACGGGTCAGTCACATAGGCACAGAGTGCTTGCCTGACTGACTTTAGTTACTTGTTCTCTAGTCTTTTCAGAGGCCAATCTGATAATATGTGTTCCAAAGCCCCAGGTATACAAAGATACTCTCATCAAGCAGGATATACCAAGGGACTAGAAGTTATCCCTCAGAAACCCCAGGGCCAGTTATTTTATTTATTCATTCATTTATTTATTTTTGTAATGAACAGAATTTTAACACTCTGAGTCTGGCGAGTTAATCCTTTACTGCACAGTTGCTTAATTCAGCAGGACAAAAAATGTCATAAAGGAACCAGGATCATCTTTCCATTCTGTCATTCTTGGTGTTCCTGTGATGTCTCTTTGCATGATTGTAAATGGCTAAGACAATTCCAAGCATTACATGAAGATATAACAACTATTGTTGAAGATGATGGGGGTACCTCCCTTTATCAAACTGGAAAACCCATCCAAGAAGCTTCAAGAAAAATTGCCCTCAACCATTGTAACGCAGGCTAATCATGATATACCCCATGGACTAAGGGGACTGTTACCTTTCCTGAGCACACTGGAGAGTAAATGCCTGAACACAATTCAGGTTCTACTAGTCAGGAAGAAGAGGACAAGAGAATGGTCATTGGATTCCAAAACGATCTGCCACAACCAATCCATGTTTTCACAGGAATCAAAATTGAATAAGTCAGAAGTTATAGGAATATTAAGCTCAATTTGGTGTAATGAAAAACACTGGATTCACACACTGCTTTTTATGTATTCTTAATGTAGTACCTATTACATTGTATTCAAATTATCTTTTCATGAAATGGTATTTACAGCTATGCTTTGCGGTCCTCAAGAACAGGGACAAGTCATATTTCTATGCCTAACACTTAACATACATTAAACATTAAATAAATCATTGATGAGAACATAAATGAATTAACAGAGTAGTCCAAAAAATAAACAGGGATACTCTGGCAGTAGGTGACTTCATCATTCACTTGATAAGATACAAGAAAGAAGTCAGGTATTAAAATGGGTGCTGATACAAAATAACCTTTACATATGCTTCCAATACTAGATATTTTAAAAATGAAATTGCTATATCATGAGAATAAATTGGTTTCTAGTGCTAATAATGTACTTCCTCTTCTTGTATTACCACCCCCAAATAATAATATTAATAAGAACATAATGCTTAAAGAGCATTTTATTTAGTGACCCTGTGAGAAATCAGGACAGGCAATAATAATCCTACATAGATAAGAAAATTGAGGCCATGAGGCCTTAAGTAACTTCTCCAAACTCACACAACTTATTAAAGTAGAGGAGCTGTTACAGGAAAGCAGTCCTGATCCAGACCCCAAGTGAGGGTTCTGAGACTTCACACAAGAAAGAATTCAGGATGAGACCATACAGTAAAGTGAAAGCAAGTTTATTAAGAAAGTAAAGGAATAAAAGAATGGCTACTCCATAGGCACAGCAGTGGCATGGGCTGTTTGACCAAGAATATTTATAGTTATTTCTTGATTATATGCTAAACAAGGGGTGAATTATTCATGAGTTTTCTGGGAAAGGGTTGGACAATTCCAAGAACTGGGGGTTCTCCCTTTTTTACGCCATATAGGGTAATTACCTGACATAGTCATGGCATTTGTAAATCATCATGGTGCTGGTGGGAGTGTCTTTTAGCATGCTAATGCATTATAATTAGCATATAATGAGCAGTCAGGAAGACCACAGGTCACTTTCGTCACCATGTTGATTTTGGTGGGTTTGGGCTGGCTTCTCTACCACAACCTATTTTATCAGCAAGATCTTTGTGACCTGTATCTTGTGTTGACCTCCTATCTCATCCTGTGACTAAGAATGCCTAACCTCCTTTGAATGCAGCCCGGTAGGTCTCAGCATTATTTTACCCAGCCCCTATTCAAGATGGAGTCACTCTGGTTTAAACACCTCTGACAGAGCCAGGAACATAACCCAAATAACCTGATTCCAGAGTTCTTACCCCTAACCACTACACTTTACAGTACTGACTCACTCTTTCTTGCCCACGTTCTTTGCTTCCTTTCCCTGGGCCATCAAGACATACTTCCTGAAATCTTAAAGACATAATCTCTACTCTTATTTATTTATTTAGAGACAGAGTCTCACTCTTGTCACCAAGGCTGGAGTCCAATGGCATGATCTCAGCTCACAACAACCTCCGCCTTCCGGGTTCAAGCAATTCTCCTGCCTCAGCCTCCCAAGTAGCTGGGCTTACAGCAGCCACCGCCACGCTTGGCTAAGTTTTGTATTTTTAGTAGAGATGGGGTTTCACCATGTTGGCCAGGCTGGTCTCAAACTCCTGACCTCCGGTGATCCACCTGCTTCAGCCTCTCAAAGTGTTGGGATTACAGGCGTGAGCCACCACACCCAGCCTAATCTCTACTCTTAACAGATAATTATACATAAAAAGTCTTTCAAAAATCTCCACTTCACATAACTGCTAGATTAACTCACACACTCCATTATTCTGTAAGACCTACAAAACTGTAGGAGAGAAAAAAATAGTTTTCTCTAGCCTTCATAATTCTTAATTGAGACTTCCCTGTAACAAAAGACAGATTAACAAGATGTGAAAGGAAAATTAATATTGGGACCCCAAAATCTCTAGGCTAAAGGGAAAAGTCAAGCTGGGAACTGCTTAGGGCAAACCTGTTTCCTATTCTACTCAAAGCCACCTCTCTGGTCACTGAGATAAATGCATATCTATTACCTCCTTTGGTGAGGCAAATCAGAAACTCAAAAGAATGCAACCATTTGCTCTTATCTACCTATGGCCCGCAAGTCCCATCCCTGCTTCAAGTTGGCCCACCTTTTCAGATCAAAATGTTCATCTTATATACGTTGATTGATGTCTCATGTCTCCTTAAAATGTATAAAACCAAGCTGTGCTCTCGTTACCAGAAAGGGGTCTCGATCCACACCCCAAGAGAGGGTTCCTGGTTCTTGCACAAGAAAGAATTCAGGGTGAGTCCATAGTGCAAAGCAAAAGCCAGTTTATTATGAAAGTAAGGTGGTGAAAGAATGGCTACTCCATAGACAGAGTAGGGCATTCTTGAACACACCAGGACAAACACGTCCACCCTAGGTACAATATTTGTTTATATATAGGATAAAAAAGATATGGGGAGATGAGCTCTGCTACAAGAATTTGTGATAAAGGATTTATTTTCCTAATTACTATATTTTGCAAGAATTGATATTATTATCTTTAAAGCAAAATTAAGAATGCTTCTGTTCTCAATATTCGGGACATCAGGACACTCCTAAGTCTGGGTCTGTTTAGTAAATGTTATCAATCTGTTCCCTTAACCATGAACATCTAGAGGCTAGGGATACCTAACTTTTTGGGAATGCAGCCCAGCAAGTTCCAGCCTCATTTTCCTAGCCCTCACTCAAGATGGAGTTGCTCTGTTTCAAATGCATCTGACATATTTCCCCCCCTCCCTTTACAAGAGGACCCTTAATGCTAAGGGTTGCAGAGAGATGAAGATCTGTCTTCTCTAATTTCTTCAGGCTGAATAGAGGTGATAATATTCCTGCCTAACTACTGGGTCTCTTGCATTCAGGGTAGAGAGGGGCTCAGTCAGAAAGCATCAGTATGGTGAGGGCTATTCATAACTCTCAATTTCAACAAAAGGTGATATCTGAAAGATTAATAAGTGTTCAATTTAAGAAAACATTGAGTAAGCCTGTCTTGCATTCCTACACACAGAGTACAACCACAATACATTCCAAAATAGCAAAGCAAATTAAGTAAAAGTATCCCAAGTAAACTAAATTAGAAGGCTTTCCATGAACTGGGCAATTGTTGGAACCAAGCTGATATGGGGTTGCTAGCTGATTCCAATGTGCCCAGAATTAGGATATCAATCCAGATTTTTACATTGACCAACCCTCTTATTTCTTCTCAGTAGCAGCCAGAGATCACTGGTTGGTGCACAGGAATAAGCAGGGTTAGTCTAAATTGCAGAGAAAAACCTCAAAAACAACTGAGGAGACTAGAACCTAATAACAGGTGTACCATAGTTCTTGAAACACAATTTTTTCCTCTCTTCAGTATCCCATTTTTATTAAAGACAAATCACGATAAGACTGATTTGCTTTATTATACTTGGCCTGATTATTTGTGTAAAATGTAGCAAGAATAATTATTTTTCACTTAGACTTTTTAGATTGGCTTTGATGGAACTCTCTTCCATAGAAGGAATCTCAGATAAGACTTTTTTAAAGTCAAGCCCTGATATGGGATTGTATCCTCAAATACCTATGAGTTGGGTAAATGTCTCTCCTTTTGAGGTCCCAAGATAACTTAGGGCTAATCAGCCTGTCAGAAAGTGATATTCTTTACTTAATACAGGTCAGGAATCCTGTGCAGGGACTGTGTAGACAAAGTATGAGGCCAGATTTCCTAAGGGGCTTTTGTCGCCTCTATATGTCAAGTTTAATTCCTTAAAGGAAAACACACCATTCCAGTCAAGTCCTTGGTAAAATAACCAGTTTCTCCAACTGTGTATTGTTGCAAAAGAAAATTGATTCTTATTGCACTTACACAAATAATTATACTGACATAAATTAAGAATACTCACAACTAGTTCCAAATTCTGGAGAAATCAGTTAGAGAGAAACAAATATGTTCCAAATTTTGTTCACAGGAGTATACTTTACTCAATTGCTAAAAGCTGTAAATAGCTCAAAAGAAAAGCTTCCTTGACTCTGAAAAAACAAAACAAAGGATCAGCAACATTTTAAGCAAAAATATTACTTCAGTCTTCTTCAGTTCGGTCCATGCAGTTAACTCCTATTTGATATCCATGAAAATTTTGACTCTCCATGAGTCCTGAAAGTTTTTTTCTCTAATGTCATAATCTTCAAAGTCATCAGAAACTTGCATTTAAGAACATCTGTCAAAGTCCTGCAGCTGATTACAAACCACCTTTTGAAGAAGATTAAAACAAAACATCAATTGTCTGTGGATGATAAAAAGTCTTAGGATAGCCACTATCAAAGCCACAACTGATAAAAAAACTTGGTTACTTCTGTGGCATACAAAATTTTATGTAATAATTGTAATTATCAGTGATAAGCACACTAAGTTATATTAGGATTATTGGAGTTTCCCATAATTCTGGAACACATACCAATAACATATTTATACAAATATAGCCCAAAGAAAGCCAATTTTATATGTGACAATGTTTCCTTTACGATTTTTGTACTAAATAAACCAAACTTCACCTTTACATTAGCATACTGTTAATGTTAAACCCAAGTCCTAATAAAACCTAATAAAAATATCTACCCAATTTTAATATTTGACAAGGGGTAAGATTCTCATAAACCTCTTATAACCCTTCAAAATTTTTTGTTAAAGAGCAGATCAGCGCTCTAAGAAAAAGTATGCTTGTATTCCAATGTTTAATTTACAGAAAAACTGAATACTCCTTTAACTTTGGCCAATATGTTCACACATAGATAATTTTTTTAACAAGATTAATTTTTCACAAACCTTCCACAACTTGTTCAAACATTCAGCTTTATCCAAACTTAAAACAATCATTAACCCTTTAATCTAGGCAGAAACATCCACATTCCCATGCCCTCTTATAATCTTTTACCAAAAACACATTTCAATTTCTTTACACACCTTACATGTAGAACTGTTTCTATTTTCCAAAGATTACTTAAGTCACGTGACCTAAAAGACATTACACTTTTAACTTTCCTGACAAAATATTTGATTTAAGCTTATATTATTATTAAACCAATTAATCAAAGCTGTTTTAGATACAAATATCACACACCCAACACATATAAATACGCAGACAGAAGGTAAAGGACTCATTCCCTAAGCCAGGAATTGAACCCTGAACCCCAGCCGCCATTGTGATGAGGGAGACCAAGAGAAAGAACTGCCACGTGCTTATAAGGTCAAACTCCTGAGGACATACAAAACAGGAGGAAAACCTCATCCAGTACCCCCCCACCCAGGGACCTGCAGCAAAGTTTATAAATGACCAGTTTGCTGGGCTATCTTGAACAGTGGGCTTATGGGTTTCTAAGCCCATGTTCTATCCTGAGGTACCCCTCTTTATGATAGAACACACAAGGCACACCAGATTCACTGCAGCTTAAGATAAGCCTCACAAATCCTTTTTTCCAATAATCAAAACTTAATGAAGGAGATAAACAGTAATTTTTACCATTCAATGAACCAGTTTGCACAGAGAGAAAGAGAGAGAGAGGAAGCATTGCCTTGGCAGGGTGAGGAAGGCAAAGACTCAGGGAGGTCAGAGAAAGACCCACCAATTGCTCAAAAGTTCAAGCAGCTGCTTCTCAGTTGTTGGGAACAGGCCTCCCACCATCTGGCCGTAATCTGGCCCCAAAACTGGCAATAAACAAAATCTCTGCAGCATTGTGACATGTTCATGACGGCCATAATGCCAATGCTGGAAGGTTGTGGGTTTACCAGAATGAGGACAAGGAACACCTGGGCCACCCAGGACAGAAAACCACTTAAAGGCATTCTTAAACCACAAACAATAGCATGAGTGATCTGTGCCTTAAGGACATGCTCCTGCTGCAGGTATCTAGCCCAACGCATCCCTTTATTTCGGCCCATCCCTTCGTTTCCCCTAAGGGATACTTTTAATTAATCTAATATCTATAGAAACAATGCTAACGACTGGCTTGCTGTTAATAAATACGTGGGTAAATCTCTGTTCAAGGCTCTCAGCTCTGAAGGCTGTGAGACCCCGATTTCCCAGTTCACACCTCTATATTTGTGTGTGTGTGTCTTTAATTCCTCTGGCACTGCTGGGTTAGGGTCTCCCTGGCTGAGCTGGTCTCGGCAAGCAGCATCCATTGTGGGGGCTCTAATCCAGGTCAAAGGGTCGTTAGAGCGACGGTTGGAGAACATGGAACTAAGCTGGAGGACACCTGAGTACTCTTAAAGCAATCCCCGTGGTAAGTAAGAAGGGGAGCTCGGAAGCATCAGGGTAACAATGGGACAAGTGTGGGGTCTGGTTCATTCTGCCTTGTAACTTTTTCACACTGATGATGAGGAGGAAGGAGAGTATAATGAAATAACAGAAGAGGTTACAGAGCAGGTTTGTTTGCCAGCTAAAGCTAAAGTGGCAAAGAAGGGAGAGATTCATCGCTACCCTTCTGCACCCCCTCATTGTTATTTTGAAGAAAAAGAGTGGCCTGACTCTCCAGATCTTTCTTTTCCGGAGGACACTGGGCGAAAAGTAGTTGCCCCAGTGACTGTTTGAGCAGTGCCTCGAGCGATCACTCTTAGTTCTATTCAGGCTGGAATTCAGCAAGCTAGACGTGAGGGTGATTCAGAGGTTTGGCAGTTCCCTGTTAGAATACACCCCCCAGATCAACAGGGAAATATTACAGCTACATTTGAGCCTTTTCCTTTTAAATTCGGGAAAGCACATTTAGTTGATTATATCAAGGCCTGTGATGATATCAGAGGTAATCTGCATAAGGCTACTCTGCTAGCACAGGCAATGGCAGGACTGAGAGTGGATAAAGGAAATACTCCATTTCCTGGAGCTTGTTTTAACTGTGGGAAGCATGGTCATACGAAAAAAGAATGTAGAAAAAAATCAGCAAGTCAGGCCGACAGATAGGGGAAAAAAGAAAACTGCTGAGCCCAAAATATGTCCAAAATGTAAAAAAGGAAAATATTTGGCTAATGAATGTCACTCTAGTTTGATAAAGATGGGAACCCGATTTCGGAAAATGCCATGAGGGTCCCGTCCTGGGCCCCATTCTAAACTGGGGCATTTCCAGCTCAGGCCATTCCCTCACCCCTGTACAATGTCTGTCCCCCACCACAACTGGTAGTGCTGCAGTAGATTTATGCTGCACAAAAGCTGTGAGCCTTCTGCCTGGGGAACCCCTGCAAAAGGTCCCAACATGAGTCTGTGGACCCTTGCCAGCAGGTATGACAGGGTTACTTCTAAGAAGGTCTAGTTTAAATTTAAAAGGGGTACAAATGCATACAGGAGTAATTGATTCAGATTATAACGGGGAAATTCAAATTGTTATGTCTACTTCTGTTCCCTGGAAAGCAGAGCCAGGAGAGCGTGTAGCACAGCTCCTGATTGTGCCATATGTGGGAACGGGGAAAAGTGAAATTAAATGAACAGGAGCATTTGGAAACACAAATAAACAAGGCAAAGCTGCTTATTGGGTAAATCAAATTACTGATAAACATCCTACCTGTGAAATAACTATTCAGGGAAAGAAATTTAAAAGTTTGGTAGATACAGGAGTGGACATTTCAGTCATTTCTCTACAGCACTGGCCGTCCACATGGCCAATTCAACCCACTCAATTTAACATAGTTGGAATTGGTAAAGCCCCTGAAGTATATCAAAGTAGCTATATTTTGCATCGTGAAGGGCCAGATGGACAACCTAGGACTATTTAACCAATTATAACTTCTGTACCTATAAATTTATGGGGAAGAGATTTATTACAACAATGGAGAGCACAAGTTCTAATTCCAGAACAATTATATAGCCCTCAAAATCAACATATGATGCATGAAATGGGGTATGTCCCTGGTACGGGACTAGAAAAAAATTTGCACGGTTTGAAAGAACTGCTTCAAGCAGAAAGACAAAGTTCCCACCAAAGGTTTAAGATATCATTTTTGATGGTGCCCATTGTTAAGCCTCCAGAACCTATACCTTTAGAGTGGTTAACAGATAAGCCAATTTGGATACAACAATGGCTGCTAAGTAAAGAGAAACTGGAGGCTTTAGAGGAATTAGTTACTGAACAATTAGAAAATGGGCACATGGCTCTAACATTTTCCCCTTGGAATTCTCCAGTTTTCGTAATTAAGAAAAAATCAGGTAAACGGAGAATGTTAACTGACTTAAGAGCCATCAATTCAGTTATACAACCTATGGGAGCATTACAGCTAGGATTGCCTTCTCCTGCTATAATTCCAAAAAATTGGCCTTTAGTAGTCATAGATTTAAAAGACTGCTTCTTTACTATACCTTTAGCTGAGCAAGACTGTGAATGGTTTGCATTTACAATTCCTGCAGTAAAGAACCTGCAGCCTGCTAAGCATTTTCATTGTTTCACAGATGGGTCTAGTCATGGTAAAGCTTATTATTCTGAATCAAGAGGTAAAGTTTTCCAGACGCCCTATACTTCAGCTCAAAAAGTGGAGCTTGTAGCTATAATTGAGGTATTGACTGGTTTTAATATGCCTATTAATGTGATTTCTGATTCTTCATACGTGGTTCATTCCACACAGTTAATTAAAAATGCTCAGTTACAATTTCACACAATGAACAAATGATGACAAAAACAAAAAAGGGGGAGAAACAAGGATTATGGGACAGCCCATACACAACTGACTTTAAATTTAAATAGCATTATTAACTTTAAATTTTTTTGAGCCTGCCCAAAGGCCAGACGTTATCAGCAGCTGAACAGCATCTACAGAAACCAGCTGCAAAGACAGAAGCAGAACAGGCTGGTTTGCTGGAGAGATCCAATAACAAAAAGTTTGGAAATAGGTAAAATAATAACTTGGGGTAGAGGTTGTGCTTTTATTTCTCCAGGCCAAAATCAACAGCCAATTTGGATACCATCAAGACACCTGAAAACTTATCATGAGCCAGATGCCAAGGAAGAGATTCCAGGAGGATCCCGAGGACCCCCTGGTTGCAACCATGTCAAGGCTGATGCTGAGGAGGACCCCATCTGTCATGAACAACACCCATTCAACACAGCCATCCACCTGGGGACAGATCAAGAAGCTGTCACAGATGGCGAAAGAAAACCTGAGGAAAGCAGGACAACCAGTCACAATGAGTAATTTAATGGTAGCTATGATAGCAGTTATCACTACTGCCATGAGTATTCCTTCAATAAGGGCTGACACAGAGAACAATTATACTTATCAGGCATATTTAGCAATCTTGGCTAGCAATAATGCCTAGATGTTATCACTCTATGACGCAGTTACATATGCTTTCTTATCTCAGTATTTACCATAATAAATCTGCTCCTATAATTGAGGCATACCGCCCTCAAAAACTTATTTGTAAACAAAATTAAACCTGGACAGGAAAAATGAACGTACTTGTTTCGGAAGATTGCACTGCAGAACAGGCAGAGGTGCTGCACAATGATTCCTATGGAATCATTATTAACTGGTCCCCTAAGGGGATGTTTAGCTTGAATTGCACTGCTCAGCGTGTGTGCCATGGCCATACTATGTTCAGATGGTCTGAACAAAAAGGTCAGATGGTAGAAATGATAAGAAGTACGGCAAGAATTTCTATTATCTGGAACCATGGCGGTATAGTGGCACCTCAACCTCAAATGATATGGCCTGCTGTAGGAGCTAAATATAAGGATTTGTGGAAACTATTAATAGCTCTTAACAAGATCAAAGTTTGGGAAAGAATAAAAAAGCATCTAGAAGGACACTCTACAAACTTGTTTTTGGATATTACAAAATTAAAAGAACAAATACTTAAAGCATCCCAGGCACACCTAACCTTAACGCCAGGAACTGGAGTGCTTGAAGGAACTGCAGACAGATTAGTAGCTAGTAACTGAGTAAAATGGATAAAAACACTTGGAAGCTCTGTGATTTCAATGATGATTGTGCTTTTAATCTGTGTTGTTTGTCTTTGTATAGTCTGCAGATGCAGATCCTGACTCCTGTGAGAAATAGCTCACCGTGACAAAGTTGCTCTTGCTTTTATCACTTTGCAAATCAAAGGAGGGGGACATGTTGGGAACAGGCCCCCCCAAGATCTGGCCATAAACTGGCCCCAAAACTGGCCATAAATAAAATCTCTGCAGCACTGTGACATGTTCATGATGGCCATAACGACTACGCTGGAAGGTTGTGGGTTTACCGGAATGAGGGCAAGGAACACCTGGCCTACCCAGGGCAGAAAACCACTTAAAGGCGTTCTTAAACCACAAACAACAGCATGAGTGATCTGTGCCTTAAGGATATGTTCCTGCTGCAGATAACTAGCCCAACACATCCCTTTATTTCAGCCCATCCCTTGGTTTCCCATAAGGGATACTTTCAGTTAATCTAATATCTGTAGAACAATGCTAATGACTGGCCTGTTGTTAATAAATATGTGGGTAAATCTCTGTTTGGGGCTGTCACCTCTGAAGGCTGTGAGACCCCTGATTTCCCACCTCACACCTCTATATTTCTGTTGTGTGTCTTTAATTCCTCTAGCGCCACTGTGTTTGGGTCTCTCTAACCGAGCTGGTCTCTGCAGTCGGTCACAAAGTGATCTTTTCCAGGTGTTCCATCAGCTCTCAAGCTTCCCCTTATATGGAGGAAAAAGCTCCCCATGTCCCATGATCCTTTACATACCCTGTCACCCACAGCCATCAGCCAAGAGGGCAAGGCAGAATAATCCAAAGAGAATAGCAGTTAATATCCCATAGTGCAAAACCTATTCTTAGCTGAGAGAGACTTTACTGAGAGGGGCCTCTAACCCCCTAAATCTTAGGATTCCTAAGTTGGCCTCGAACCCAAGTTCAGTCAAGCATCCTTGCCTTTTACTGAGAGGAGGCTTTAACCCTCTCTGTCTTAGGAAAGACTCTAACTCTACTAATTTGGGCCTGTAACCCAATCCCATCCTTTACCTGGGTACCCCACCATGTACACAAGTTGGGCAATCTGTGCTGCAGTCTATTTCCTTCCTTCAGGTCAGGGAGTTTCTTCAGTATCATCCCTTCAGGGTTTGCCAGAAAGGTATTACAAAACCCCACCACTTAGCCAAATTTAGCCTTTTGGTTGGGGTTTTCCTTAGGATCATTGCTTTGTAGTCACCAGGAAGATGTTACTGGAAAGGGGTCCTGACCTAGACCCCAAGAGAAGGTTCTTGGATCTTGCACAAGAAAGAATTCAGGGCGAGTCTGCAGTGCAAAAGAAAAGCAAGTTTAATAAGAAAGTAAAGTGGTGAAAGAACACTGGAGTAGGGAATCCTGAAAGTAAGAGGAGGAATGCGTCCACCCTAGGTACAATACTTGTTTACCTACAGAATATAAAAAGATCATGGGGAGATGAGCTCTGCTACAGGGTTTGTGATAAAGGATTAATTTTCTTAATTACTATATTTTGCAAGAATCAATATTATTATCCTTAAAGCAAAATTAGGAATGCTTCTGTTCTCAAGATAGTGGGATATCAGGACGCTCCTAAGTCTGGGTCTGTTTAGTCTGTTTATCAAGCTGTTCCCTTAGCTGTAAACACCTAGAGTCTAGGAATACCTAACTTTCTGGGAATGCAGCCCAGCAAGATCCAGCCTCATTTTCCTAGCCCTCACTCAAGATGGAGTCATGCTGGTTCAAACACCTCTGACACTCTGGTCACTTTGGGCATATTTCATCATGACCTCCTGAAACTGTTTCACAGGCATGCATCCTCAACCTTGGCAAAATAAACTTTCTAAATTAACTGAGACCTGTCTCAGATATTCAGGGTTCACAAAGAGAAAAACAAACAAGTTTTTTTAAACATATATATTGCAGATATATGTGAGAGAAAACCTAGAGAAATGAGTCCATTTCTAGAGTAGGTCACAAATAAAGGGTTTAAACGTCATGCTCAAATTTCATTTGCTAAAACAAAGAAAGAAGGGTGTGGGGAAAATCCACAAAAACCCATCTATGGACAGATGGCCAGGAAAAGCACAAGGGTAAGATATGTTTTGCAGATTTAAGTCTAATCCTTCTCCATTTATTCATTCCTCTCTTCCTGTTGCAGAGAAAGGGAGACATTCTCATAAGTGTAATTTCCTTTATAGATATAAATTTCTCTTACAAAAGGGTAACTTTTCAAAGTTAGTCCTGTGCCTGCAGTTTCTCAAAATAACTAGCTCAAAATAATCAATGTTCCAAAGAGGCATATTTTGGGGTCATATTCTGGCCTCCTGCAGTCATATTTTGGGGTAGTGTATCCTGAGCCCCAGTAGCATAATGTAGAGCAAACACAAAGTACCTCTGCTTCCACTGCCCAGATGTGCTTATCAATTTCTTCTCAAACATGTTATATCAACATAATTTATTATTGAAGAATGTAGTTTAGCCAAAATAACCTAAAATGATAAAGAATGAGTATAAAAAGAAAGAAAAGCAAGCTTTAAAATTATGTAAACTAAGCTTTAAAAAATCTGAGAAGTGTGGGTCATCCCAAAACAATTACTGTTGAATTAGATGGGTCTGAGATTGTGGTGAAATATGGGAGCAGGAGGAGAGAAATGAATAACAGTCTAGAAAAAAGTCTGTATTCATATTATTTTGTGCTGCCAAGTCTGTCCTGCAGACTCTGGCTGAGCGATGGATGAAAGAAGTACGCTGACACAGGTATTTTGCCTGAGAGCACAGCTAGGGGACTGCACCCCTCTGCACCACTGACAAGAGTGCAGTGCAGCCGCTGAGAGACTGCAGCCCCAATAAGCTAGCCCTGCTCGCATTTATTTAGTACAGATTTAATGACAAAGGCTTGGAGCAAAAACAATTTGTGGATAATAACCATTGTCAACTCCCCCACCCCCCCAAGTAGAGAGCAGTCCTGCATGCAAATGATCAAAGGTTGGTTTCTGGAGACAGGAGGAAACAAATTTATCTAGATAAGTCCCTTTACATTCCCTTATTATTTACCCTTTGCTCTCAGGCTCTGGATAAGAGAACTTGGCTGTCTTCAGGCAAATTTACTTTTGAAGCTTTTGCAAAACCTCCTGGCCTTCCAAGAAGGTTTGTGTCTTTCCCTGTAACTTTTATACCTTTTCCCACCACACTGACTGATTTCCTACAGTTTTGTAAATGTAGCTCTAGTTTTACATTAAGTAAACTAAAAATGGAAATCATAGATGGTAAATTATGCGAGTGGCTTATTAAAAAAAAAACATGGGGATCTTAATTAGGAGACCATATTTGTAGAGGAGGGCTTGGTACTACATCAAAAACTGGCAGTAGTTCCTATAATTTTCATTTATTATTTAAGATAATTTTAATTTATTTATGTAACTACCTTTAAGACCAAGAGCCATTACAAATTCCAATCGTTGGTGAGAAAGGTATTTATGTTCTAGAGACATCTGTATTTCAACAGGAATTTCTGGAGACAGAAAAGTAAGGACTTTTCTCACAGAAGAATTTTAAAACTAGGGAAAACGGATGGGACCATTTTAGGTCTGGAGCTTTTCGACACACTGAAACACACTGAACACACATTCACAGAGTTGCGAATCTGAATGCTTTCCTCTAGAAGATATTCAATGTGACAACGAGAGAGTGATCATTCCTTGTGAGTGGCCAGCTCTGTTTATCTCACAGAGTCCTGGCAAATGCCTGTTTTCTCTCTGAGAGAGTACAGAGTTGTGATCAGTGCAGTGGATCCCAGCAACCAGAGGTCGGGCCAGATGTTTGAAAGACAGCTTATTTTATCAAAAAGACATGGTTTCTCTTGATTTCCTTCTGGATTAAGTCTACTTAACTGAATACAATACAAGCTAGAAATGTTTCAAAATGCCAAATTGCTATTAAAATGAATTCAAGTGGAATATTCATAAGAATATATGCTCTTTAATTAATGTCAAATTGGCTGAATATTTCCTATCCCAAATTTTTCTACCCCTTTCTAGTATCTCTAACTGAATTATGATATGCATGAATAAATAAATGGCAGAGAAAAAAAGGACCAAACTTTTTCTAATCTTTTATTTCTCAAAGATTCAATTCTCTGTATTTCCCACCATTATCTGCTTCACAGCAGAATATCTAAATATCTATGCTTCTTGTTAAAAGTAATAGGAAGATTAATGTGCACTCGAAGACAACACAGCCTACAAGGCTCTTTCAAATGTTCAGCTCAATTAACACTTGAAATTCTACTAGACAAGTAAAAAATGTGCATGGGAGGAAAGACAAGTAGGTAGAATATTAGTTACACTAGAAAATCACTTGACAATTGAAATATTACACTTGGAGAAAAGGAATCAACCCAAATTGAGAAACAGGAGATTTTAGGTGTTATTTCTTAAGCTTCCTTTAGAATAGGGCAAAAAAGTAATACAATATAGCAAATAAAATTGGTCAATATGTGAGTGTCATTAATACAGATTGCCTTTAAAGTGGAAGAGAGTTGTGAATCTGAATGCTCTCCATTAGACAATATTCAGTGTGACATCAATGACTTTATCCTGAATTGTACATTGACAAAGTGGGACATGGTTTAGGTTATAAAAGTGCAAAAAGTAGATGGAAGCTAAAAGAAGGATATGATTCTTCTGACACAAGTTCCAACATCATTGTGCTGCTGGTCAGAGGCAATGTACTTGTGGTAGCCAGAACTAAAAGGACAGTTGGAAGAAGCATTTTATCTATATACCCAAAACATATACCGAGGCAAAATTTGAGACCAATATTTACTAAAAATCAGCATGCAGTTGATGTTGAACCATACGAAATCAAGTAAAATGATATATAGCCATACTGAGCCTATACATTAATTTTAGAGTTATTAATGCCTGAAACATCAAATGTATACATAGTCACATACAAACTGAGATAGGAGTTTGTTAGGACTTGTTTCTCAAGAAGAGGTCACAAAGACGACACTGATATAACAGGATGTGGTAAAGAAACTGGCAGAAACCAGCCAGAATCAAGATGGGGATGAAAGCAATGTCTAGCTGTCCTCCCTGCTCATTATACGCCTAGCATGCTAACAGAAACACCCAAAAGTGCCATGACAGTTTACAGATGCTATGGCAATTCCCAGAAATTACACTAGATAATCTAAAAAGGGCAGGAACCCTTGGTTCTGGGAACTCCCTACTCCTTTCCTGAAAAACTCGTAATTGACCCCTTGTTTAGCATATTATCAAAAATAACCATAAAAATAGCCAACCAGCAGTCCTTAGGGTGACTCTGCTATGGGGTAGCCACCATTTTATTCCTTCACATTTTAATAGACTTGCTTTCACTTCACTCTTGAATTCTTTCCTGCTCTAACCCAAGAACCCACATGGCCTCCCAAGCTGAATTCCAATTTTGGGGTTTATCCTGTGAGAAGCTGACCTCCTCTTGCCAATTCAAAGTCAAATCTAAATCTATTTAGACCTGCATCTACTATATACCTCCAATCGTGTAATAATTGGAATGTTTCTCTTAAATTTTATCATGCATAATCCAGTTGCACTATTCTTTTGTGAACTCTAGCACATTTAAAAAAATTTAAGAACGACTGATGCAGATGGAATAAATAAAAATCTATTTTTTTTAAGTGAACGATCTTCTGTAGCAAAACAGGAAACTAGAATTATGACTCTGAATTCATAAAACTTTTGTGCAGCAAAAGACTCCAAAAACAAGTAAAAAGATACATTATAGATTACACAAAATATCTGCAACCTTTGTGACATATGTAAGGTTAACAAAACTAATATTAACAATAGACAAAGAACTTCAAGGAAAAAGGCCCCAAAATAAAAGCGAATGCCAACAAATACATTAAAATAAGAGTCCTCAAACCCCAGGCCACAGACTGGTAGCAGTCTGTGACCTGTTAGGAACCAGTCTGCACAGCAGGAGGTGACTGGTGGGTAAGCAAGCATTATTGCCTGAGCTCTGCCTCCTGACCCTTGTCAGTTCAGCCAAGGCATTAGATTCTCATAGGAGTGTGAACCTTATTGTGAATTGTGCATGTGAGGGATCTAGGTTGCACACTCCTTATGAGAATCTAATGCCTGATGATCTGAGCTGGAACAGTTTCAACACAAAACCATCCGCAACCCCCACCTCAGTCCGTGGAAAAACTGTCTTCCATAAAACTGGTCCCTGGTGCCAAAAAGGTTGAGGACTGCTGCATTAAAAGATACTCAATCTCACTTGTAGTCTGATAAATAAAAGTTAAAACAATTATCCAATATATTAAGTTAGGCTGAAATTATATAAGATTTTTTTTAAAACTGCCAATAGTATTGGTGAGAATGTAAGAAAATGTGCACTTTATGTAGTGTAGTAGGAATATAAGTTGTTGGTAATATGTCTACAAATAAGGGTACATAACCTACATCACAAACGTTCCACTGCTGAGAGCTCAGCCCACAAAATAAAAGCATCAGCACTTAGCATTTTTTTTCTTTTGAGATGGAGTTTCATTTTATTGCCCAGGCTGGAGTGCAGTGGCACAATCTCAGCTCACTGCAACCTCCACCTCCTGGGTTCAAGTGATTCTCTTGCCTCAGCCTCCTGAGTAGCTGAGACTACAATTGTGTACTACCACGCCTGGCTAATTTTTTGTCTTTTTAGTAGGGATAGGGTTTTACCAGGTTGGCCAGACTGGTCTCAAACTCTTGACCTCAAGTGATCTGCCTGCCTCACCCTTCCAAAACGCTGGGATTACAGGCATAAGCCATTGCACACAGCCTTAAAAATGTTTTTTATAGCATTAACTGTATTGTTAAATAAATAAATGAATAAAAAAGGTAACATAATTAACGTGAATGTCCATCTAGAAAAATGTCTAAATACCTGGAGGCATTTTGATATGCAGCTATCAAAAGAAGTGTTAGATTTTTATCTATTGACCTGGAAGACTATCTGCAATATGTATGAGATTCTGTTATGATTTAAAACAAATTCTCTCCAAACAACAACCAAAAAAATAAGTGTTTGGCATCCACGTAAAATATCAATAGCTTTATGAGCTTTGTGGGAAGCACTGACCATGTCTGTCCGCTACTCTGAAGCCAAGAGTAAGGGGGAAAGACTGAAGAAAAACAGAACTGTAACAGAGCAATGAACCTGAATTCTTGATTTTTTTTCTCCACACAAAACGAAAGTCTAGAAACAAGCACCAAGTCTAAAGAATGGCTTAAAGAAGACATAAGTATTTCAGATACACCCATCTTTCTGCTTCACCATTCTGAATGGAGTGTTTGTCCTGATGGCTTATGGTGTCTTGCATTTGTGTTCCAGAAAGAAAGGTAAAAGGGTGAGGGGCAAACAGCCTCCACTTGTGAGGTTTGTCATTTTATTCAGAACAGAGCGCCCTCTCCAGGGACTCAGTAAGACAAAAGGTGGGGAAACGGGTGATTTGATTGCTCAACTATTTGTATTGTTATAAAATGACAATACATGCCAGTGGGTAATCAATGCCCATACTAGAAATAAAAAAATATGACTCAAAATTTACAATAGGAAGGGTGCAGTGGCTCTTGACTAACTCCAGGGCTTTGAGAGGTCGAGGTGGAAGGATCACTTGAGGCCAGGAGTTCAAGACCAGTCTGAGCGATGTAATGAGATCTACCCATGCAAAAAATAAATAATTAGCCAGGCATGATGGTTTGTGCCTATAGTTCTAGCTACTTAGGAAGCTGAGCTGGGAGGATTGCTTGAGCCCAGGAGTTCAAGGCTGCAGTGAGCTATGATTGCACCACTGCACTCCAGCCTGGGCATATAAAAATATTTGATTCTTTGATGATTTATCTAAAATGATTTTTATAAAGAATGCAGATGTATCTCTTTCTCTCTCTCTTTCTCTCTCTATATATATACAGATATATACATATATCATATGTATTGTATATATTCCTAATTTTCTATATATGTTATCTCTCAGCTCTCCTTCTCTCTCTTTCTAGATAGATAATAGATAGATACACAGTATATAACTATTTATGTTTTATTTTCAGCAAGAGAGCAAGAGTCCCAAAACACTAGGTGCCAATCAGTTCCATATTTCCAAGTAAGGTGCCAGACTACCCAAGAAATAATTGCAAATGAGTTTTTAAATCATGGTTTATGAGATATGATTTTGTATTTCTTGACTCTCCCCTGCTTCAAAAGACATGAGGCTGAAAAAGAATACTGAGAGCCTATGCTAACCAAACCTCATTATTGAGAGGACAGAAGGAATATTTTTCCAACATCTCAAGCCTAGCTATGAAAAAGCGCCTTCCAGTAGCACCTCTGGAAGGAGCTTGGTATGGGTCTCCTGAGGACTGGGGACACAGTGGACTGGTGTCACATTCACAACGTGAAACAAGGAGAAGTCAGTGACAGCCTAATGAATGGGAGAGAAGCCTAAGTAGAGAAACACAGGACGCCCATTCTAGCCTCTTCGTATAGCAGGCAACCTGTGTTAAGTAACAGTGGAGAGAAGATAGAACTTTAAAGCTGACAGCATGTTTTTTCTTATTGCACTGAATTGCACATGTAATTACTGAACTGAGATGTTTTCATGACTAGAAGATGGACCTAAGATCAACTAGTAAAGTGACAAGATTTGCCCGAGATTTTTTCCAAATGTAAGAAAGAAACAGTTCTTCAGAGCAGTTTTTAATAGGCAGTCAGTAAAAAGAATAAAGCTTGTTATTTCTTAAATAGTATCTCACATGTCCTTTTGAGGGTGTACATACATGTAAATATTCTTATACAGGAATAGAATTCTGTAGAAAGATACACAAGAGAATAGTAACAGTAATTGCCTATGGAGAAGGAAAAGAAGGGATAAGATGGAAGAGGGATCTTCACTGTCCATTCTTTGGACTCCAAATTGTTTACTTTGGGCATTTATTATTTAAGAAAAATTGATTAGGTCACTGGCATTCTGCAGCAGCTCTGATGTTTCTTTATAAACATCAATTATAAATTATGTAATCATGTTGAAAAGTAGTGAGTTCTGATCAATAGAATACTAATAAAAGGAGCTAGTTGGAAAGTTTGAAGATCCTGAATTTGCATTTTCTTTGAAACCTGAAATGTTATCTACTTTTTAATCAAACTTATCTAGGGGATTGAAAATTGGGAAAAAAAAAAGTTATCATGTCACAGATTTATTTTGTGGTTGAAATTTCCTGTCATGAATACAGCTAACATATAGATTTTGCCAAAACAAGAGTTTTACTTCCACTCACTTATGCTATTACGTAACTACTACCAGTACCACCAACAGTGACAAATACAGACAGACAGATACTTTTCAGGTTTACAGGAGGATACTTTACAGATTATTTATCCTTGACTTACTCTTACTTAAACTAACAATTAACCTGAAAGTTCCATGCTGTGTTATAATCATGATACAAAATATCAGTCAGTAAGAAAAGTACCCCATGTTTTTCCTACAAACTTTTGCAAAGCACTGGGGTACAAAAATTGCTCTGAAATTATATGAATTAATACATTTTGCAGTTTTTTTCTGTAAACATATTAAATTTAATTCATGGGAAATTTTCTGCAACATTATACTATTGATATGCACTGGAAAAATTCATCCCAATTACTGTTTTTAATTTAATGAATTACTCTTGCCATGACTATATTTTGTCGTTATTTTGTTTAGGTTTATAGGACACTAATGCCTCAGGGTTGTTCGCCCACAGTGGAGGACTCTATCTTGATTATCAAAGTTAAAATGCTCTTACTTCTTAGAGTCAAAATAATAGATAAAAATAATTTACTGATATGGCAGTCAACTTTCTCCATTTATCCACAGAATCTATGTCCTTTTGAGTTGACTTTAATTTTCCTCTGGAATAATGTCCACCTCTGTTTATAAGAATTCCATGGTGATCTCCTGTGTTCCAGGGATTAGCAAACTAATAACCCTGCCTAATCATTGCTAATGTTGTCCTATTATCCCCATATCACCAAGATTTTTTTCAGCTTCCCTCATGTTGCTTACTTCTGTGAAGGAAAAATCATGGACTAGTGAAAATAATATACAAGAAATTCTGAAATATTTTCCTTTATAGCAAGTGCATATAAATGAATTTCATATTTTCCCAATTTTAATTATTACTGAATTGTGCATACAATCTTAAGATGTTGACTCATGATCTTTCAAGAGTTTTTGCATCCCTTCAAGATCCAAGGTTCTAGGTTACTGAAACCACTGGTATAAAAAACATGGGCTTCATGGTCTAAGATCATGGTTTCATGCTGGTCTGGCACTTAGGAGCTTGAGCTAATGTCTTAACCTCTTATGGCCTCATTTTCTCATCTACAAAATTAGGGTCATATGCCCTGATTTAAAGTATATTGCTGAGAGAATGAAAACCAGTGGCACGTATAAAGTATTGGTGTTCAGTAAATGTTATTTTGCATCATTTTACATATGCACCTCATTAAATCCCCATAGCAAACTTGTAAAGTGGGTACTATTAGTCTCCTAATTAAGAAAAGCGAAAGTGGCAGAGCCTGGCTGGATCTCAGTTGAGTTTATTGAGCTTTCAAATTAGTACAGAGACTAGTTTAGGAAACACAAAGAGTATACTTCCGTGGATGGATATAAGCTGTTACATGTTGAACCTGTGGGAAAATAACATTCATCTTCATTTTTTCCTCTCTAACTATAAATGTAAACTATATTAAACGTTCATAATCCTATCAGATTCTATGCCCTCTTTTACAACAGTAGTTTATAGTTTGCAACACTCCCTCTAATATCCCAGAAATAAAATCTTCAGATAACAGACTGAAACCATAAATTCAAAAAGTATATCTTTATATGATACCCCACTGTAATACAAAGGATAAATTTTAAAATGTAATTATTAAAGTAATTTGTAGTTCAAGATAAAATGCTCAGGTTCCCCTATTTGTACTATTTGTAGAATCACTGTGATTGTGACAGCTACCGATGCAGACCTACTGAAGACTACTTAACCTGAAGCATATAATGGTTTCTCCCTATGTCCAAGAACTCTACCTCATTTGCTTTTATTTTTTAATTAAAATTTTATTTTAAGATAATTATAGATTAACAAGCTTTTGCAAGAATAATACAGCTAAATCTCCTGCACCTTTCACCCAGTTTCCAGGAACATCTTGCAGAACTATAGTAAAGTAATACACCAGGATTGACATTGATACAGTTAAGATAGAGAACATTTCCATTACCACAAGAATCCCTTATGTTGCTCTTTTATAGGAATTTTCACTGCCTTCCCATCTCACTGACTCCTTAATCTCTACCAACTATTAATCTGTGTTCCATTTCGATAATTTTGTTACCTCAAGAGTGTTATATAAATGAAATCTTACCATATGTAACCTTTTGGTATTGGCTTTTTGTAAATCCAGTGTAATTCTCTAGAGATTTATCCAGATCTACCGTATTAATTGTAACCATGCACCTGTTCAAGAACATCTGCTTGTTTGTTTCCGATGCTGGGCTATAATGAATAAGACTGTATCATGAAGAGGTTTTTGCTTGAAAATAAATTTTCATTTATCTGGGATAAATGCCCCAAGAGTGCAATTGCTGGTCAAAACTTACCAAGTTTTACGTTTATGGATCATGCTTTTGGTATCAACTCTAGGAACTCTTTGCCTAGTCCTATATCCTGCAGTTTTTTTCTCTTATTTTTTGGTAATAATTTTATGCTTACATTGAAATTTGTAATCATTTTAATTTTTCCAAAAGGTGTAAGAGATAGATTGAAGTTTATTTATTCATTTATTTATTGTCCAATGGATGTCCTATTGTCCCAACACAATTTGTCAAAAAGTCTATCTTTCTCCATTGATTACTGTAGCTATACATTAAGGCTTGAAATCAAGTAGACCTATCCTCCTATTTTATTCTTCTTTTTCAAAATTGTTTTAGCTAATCTTCATCTGTTGATGTGTACAAGTTTTACGACTTTCCAGACAAAAAAAGTGGGGAGAGAGGGAAGACAATATTTACTTTGAAAGGTGATTGTGACTATGTGATTATGCAGGAGATTTAAATACATATGAAGTTCTTAATACAGTAGCTGGCATATAATGTAGACACTTAGCTTCCTTCCTATTATTTCCGAACCAACTATCAGAAACCCTTCAAAAACAAACCAAGCACAAAACTGCACCTTTCTTTCCCCAAAATATTTTGTTCTCAGTTTTACATAAATTTGTTATATATACAACTGGGTAAGATATCTGCCTTACGTAGGAAATATATGTGAAAGAAACAAAGCTCAAAAAGAACCAGCTGCAACTCCCACTACATCTGTTGGTAGGAAATAGTTTCTGTTTCCTTCTCACCTCATCAATTTGATAGTGAAAAAGCTCTGGTAAAAACTACAGTTGATTGGGAAAGATTGGTCTTATTCAAACATCAACAGAACTGTCTGATGCCCAACTAAAATTGATCAAGACAGATACTCAATAACAAAAACTACTGTGGTTACAAATATTATCCCACTCATCAGAACCTGTTTCTGAAGATGGTAATTGTGATTATTGGAAAAGTGTTCCATTCCACCTTAGCTGTACTGGCTTCCTTGTTAATCCTTTATCCCCTTCAGGTGTTATTCAAATGTCATCTTCTCAAGAAGGCCTTGTGTGATTAGTTTATTGAAATTATTCCACTCAACTCCTATGTCTAACACTATTCAGTCTCCTTTCCTGCTTCAATTTTCTTCTTGGCTCCTAGCACCATCTAACTTGGAACATGTATATGTGACATATTTGGCTAGATTATTTCACCCATTAGCATGTAAACTCCACGAAGGCTTTTATTTTACTGCAGTATTTTCTGCACCTAGAACAGTATTGGTATATAGCAATCACTTAAATATTTGTTGAATGAGTGATGTAGAGAAGGTTCAAAAAGCCACTGGAGAATGTCATGGCTTGACCGGTTTGAATTGTAATACTTTAAATCAAAGATCAATGGAAACATTAATAGGAAAGATCTTAACATCAATTTTCTTCCAGGAGAATTTAAACATAAACACATACAAATAGATAAGCACATGCTTTAGAAACTCTCCCATTCCCTTCTCTAAACCTCAACCCACTCTCTCTACCACCCTTCCCTAAAAAAATGAGAGATTAAAGAAAAAGTAAACACACTGTGTCCATGGGCCTTTTTCTCTCATCCGACTGCTCAGATCCTAAATTTTAGAGTCTTTCTCGAATCATCTTTTTCTCATTGCTTCCCATTGTCTCCACTGCTATTATCCCTTTAAGCCACAATCAGTTCTTGCCTAAAATATGGCCAATTGTCTGCTAACTGGTTTCCCTCTTCCAAATTTGACCTGCGACAATCTTTATTTCCAAATCAGCTACAATGCAATGGACTGGATTGTCTCCCTACTAAATTCATATGCTAAAACCCTAACCCCTAATGTGAGATAGGGACTTTATAGAAGTAACTCAGATTTAATGAGGTCACAAGGGGAGGGCCCTGATCTGATAAGATCCTTATGAGAAGACACAGCAAAGATGTTGTTTTCTCTCCACCCTATGAGGACACAGGGAGAAAGTGGCTGTCTGCAAGCCAGGAAGAAAGCCCTCACCAGATTCTGACCATATTGGCATACTCATCTTGGACTTCCAGCTTCCAGAACTATGAGAAAATAAATGTCTGTTGTTCAAGCCACCCAGTATGTAGCATTTTGTTATGGAAGCCCAAGCCAACTAACATGCTGAGAAATTCTTTTAAAAACCTAAGTCACACCATGACAATCTTCTGAGTAGAAGCCTCCAATGGCTCTCCAGTCTTAATCCTAGCAATTGCCTTCAGGAGCCTTTAGTTTCTGGCTCTTTTCCTTTGTAGCCGCATTTCCTACTACGTTCCCCACCCATCATTCCTTTCAACCACACTGGCCAATGACCTAATTCTTGAACCCATCAGGCATGTTTCCATCTCAGGGCCCTGTACTAGCTGCACTTTCTAGAATACCATTCACTGATACTGGTATGGTTCACTCCTCACTTCCTTCAAACCTTTGCTAGAAGAATGTAATCCTTTCAATAAGCATTGCAAACAACACTCCTCACCTGCCCCCACCCCCACCAAATACATTGCACTGATGATCTTCACTTCTCCAGCTGTTTTTTTCCCCCGTGTGCTTATCCCCTTCTAACACATCATATAATTTACTACTATGATTATATTTTATTGTCTGTCTCCCTGTTAGAGTGCAAACTTTTGTTTGCTTTGTTCATTAAGTATCCTGAGCACTTAGAACACAGCCTAACATATAAAAGGCAATCAATAAAATTCATCAAGTAAAACTGACTGAGAGGCCAGCAGCCTGGATTCCAGTCCCAATACTGCCCCTACCATGCTATATAACTTTGGCTTTATGTCTGTTTCCTTGTGTGTAATATAAAAGCTTTGGATCATATTAGATAGCCTACTTTCCATGGCTCTGACTCAGTCCTTTCTCATCCGTAGGCTGTTTTGTTCATTGCCAGTCTTACTCCACCTTTCCTCTGGCCCAGACTGCTCCACCCTTGATTAAGTATACTCTCTTTCCCACAGCCTCCTTCCTTGGTTCATAATGTTGATGATCAGTAAGTATTGAATAAATTGAAGTTATTTTGATTCACTCACAAAAAACCATAAAGGCACTTTCTGACAGGATTATGTCTTTTGGTGTTAATTGGTCTCTAGCTCTAATTTCTAATCCTAAAATCTATGCTGTAATACTATAAGAATTTAAAAAATATCAACCTAGGATTTCTATGATACATTCTCAAACAGCGTATTTATTACTTATTTACACAAAAAACTGTCACTTCAACTTAGATAAAATTGAGCACCTCACTTTTTAAATATTGAATATCGGTTTAAAGATCTCAAGTTTTTATATCCTCCTTTTGTTAACAATGTAGAAAGGATATTTTAGATTCCACTAGCAACTTCTCACAGAAGATATTATTAATGAAACTGAAGTATTGCATTTTATTTCTAAAGGTCAGTTTAATAGACTTGCAATTTCAAAGTTTAACCGTACCATCTGTTTTAACTTAAAAATATAGTTATAAATTCTTTTTAGCAACATTTGTGTTTTAATACCCTGAAGAATTATTACAATAAATCCAAATTAATATTCTGGTCCCTAATTACAGAAGAGTGAATCAATAAATTAGATTACCCGAAATGAGACTTTGGTGACTTCTTAGCAGATATTTAGTGAGCACCCATTATGCACAAGTATTGATTTGTTGCTGAAGATTAAAAATTAAATCAGTCCCTTTTTAAGAGGCTCACAGATTAGTAAGAACTCGTGTTTAATTTATAATGGGTTTTAATACAAGGCAAAATTTAAACACACTTCTTTGATAGTTTTATTTCCCTTTTCTTTCTGTCTTCCCCAGTTAAATCCAAGTAAAAATACACCCCCCTTTCAAAATAAATATCATTAAACAAATTGTCTGTATTTAGCACAGATAAATATATGGAATTATTTTCCCAAAGATGAATAGTAGGTCACGAGTGATGCTTGCATAATTTTTAAATATAATCAAATATACTGAAAAACATGCTAGTACTGTATTTCCAAAAGTAAGTTTCTATTCCTAGAACTAAAACAGAAAAGAAGTGTTGTGAGATACATAAATGAAGCCAATAAATTTAACCAAGGGCTTACCATTTTCCTGCAGGATGTTTATAAATAGTTCCTGGCAAAGGAGGTTGCCGTATAGGGTCCTACAAGTAACCTAGGTGGCAGCATCTCCTCCCAGCGTCAGGTCTAAGCACACAAGTTCTTCCTTCCATCTACAAACGCAGGAAACCACGACTGGAGAAGTTATATGATTGGCTAAACCATGAATGACGCAACATAACCCACGCCCACTGAGAATCGTCCTTTCCCAGACTGGCTCAGATTCCGCTTTCCGATTGGTCCCTACAGCAAGAGGGCAAGGACAATTGCTTAAGTTGACCTCTGGGTCCGGAATCGCGGGCAAAGATGGCGGCGGCCAGGTGTTGGAGGCCTTTGCTACGCGGTCCGAGGCTTTCATTGCACACCGCGGCTAATGCCGCCGCCACGGCTACAGAAACGACCTGCCAAGACGTCGCGGCGACCCCCGTCGCGCGGTACCCGCCGATTGTGGCCTCCATGACAGCCGACAGCAAAGCTGCACGGCTGCGGCGGATCGAGCGCTGGCAGGCGACGGTGCACGCTGCGGAGTCGGTAGACGAGAAGCTGCGAATCCTCACCAAGATGCAGTTTATGAAGTACATGGTTTACCCGCAGACCTTCGCGCTGAATGCCGACCGCTGGTACCAGTACTTCACCAAGACCGTGTTCCTGTCGGGTCTGCCGCCGCCCCCAGCGGAGCCCGAGCCCGAGCCCGAACCCGAACCTGAACCTGCGCTGGACCTCGCGGCGCTGCGTGCGGTCGCCTGCGACTGCCTGCTGCAGGAGCACTTCTACCTGCGGCGCAGGCGGCGCGTGCACCGTTACGAGGAGAGCGAGGTCATATCTTTGCCCTTCCTGGATCAGCTGGTGTCAACCCTCGTGGGCCTCCTCAGCCCACACAACCCGGCCCTGGCCGCTGCCGCCCTCGGTGAGCCTTGGATTCCGCCCCAGGGCGGAAGGGAGAGATGGGGATTGTACTGGGTTACTCTGCCGCAGATTTACCCCTCGTCATTTCTTTCTCTCTGCTTCGTTCATGTTTTCCTAGTCCTTTCGTTCCTATCTGGGGTGGCCTGGTTTTGTAACAGTCACTGCGTTAGGAATCTAGAGACTAGGTGTGTGTGGCTGCGCTAACACCTACCAGCTCTTCAACTCTGAAAGCCTGAGCTCTCCAGGATTCCAGTCCTGGATTCTACTTTGTGAGTGTTCAGCCAAATGGAAGAGCAGTGGTGATGAAGAGAAACGCCACTTAAGAGAGTGGGGCGGGCCAGGTTTCCTGTTGGCTGTTCCACCACAAAGCTGTGTGACCATGTGTCACATGGCTGAGTAGTAACTTCTTTTTACCTTAATTTTAAATTTAGTATGTCTTTTCTTTTTCTTTAGTAACTTTTTTGCTTAATTTTTCGCGTTTTACGGTAGTAGTTCTTTGTTGTAGAATTGTGAAGATTAAATGAAGTATTAACTAAGATACCTAACGTTTACTCAGTATTTATGTGCTAGGCCCTGGTTCTAAATTTTATATGTGCCAACTTATTAATGCTCACAATAACCGTTCACGATAGGTAGCAATGTTTTGGTAAATGAAAAAAAGACAAAAACGTAACAAACTGAGGCATAGAAACGTTAAATGTGTCTGCCTGACACCCTATAGCTAAGAGATTAGGGGGTCAAACTTCAAACTCCCATTCCAAGTTCCTAGTAAAAAATCAGCAGCTTCCGTGTAACTGTTCAGGGCGGACATGAAAAGTAATTAACGTATAAATAATTTTAAAAATTATTGTTTTTGACGCATTCATTATTTTATATCTTCTACCAAGTGTATGTCTTAATATTTATTGAAGTAATGTTAGGACTGTAGATGTGTGCTCAACCTAGCCTTGTTGTGTGCATGTTTTTTCCCTTCCCCAGTTGAGAAAGAAGTGGTCTTGAGGAAAGCGTCATGGACTTAGACTACTCCTGATGGATGGCCTAGAAAACCTGTTTAACTTTGTCAAGACCCAGGTTCTTCTCCTATAAAATAGAGATAATGAAAAGTATACATACCTTTGGGAGTTATTGTGAAAATTGAATTGGATGTTCATAAAATAGCCCTATTTTTATTTATGGTGAATGATATTCTTGTTAATCTTATTTTCTTTTATTACTCCTAATGAGGAATCTCTTTGGTTACTGTTCATTGTAATGATGGCACAAGTAGACAATAAATGTTTGAATGTTATATTTAAGTCATAATAGTTAAATTACCACATAACCCAGACTCTTACCTCAATCATTCCTAAGTTATCATTTGCTAAGTTAGTACTCTTTAGTGTTCTAATAGTAACCAAATTTATTTAGATGATCAGATGAAAAAAATTTTGAATATCTTTTTGATAGATTATAGATGCCCAGTTCATTTTTACTGGGTGCGTGGTGAAGAAATTATTCCTCGTGGTCATCGAAGAGGTCGAATTGATGACTTGCGATACCAGATAGATGATAAACCAAACAACCAGATTCGAATATCCAAGCAACTCGCAGAGGTAAGGATTTATTGCGATTATGTATCTATTGATATCTCGTGTAGGATTTGTCATAGGCAGGTTGAGTAATAGTCTTAGTAGAATAAAATGTTTCAGGTGGATCTCTTGCCTTTCAAGTTTCCTTTTTGAAGACATCACCTCTCAAAAATCTTTTTAGCTTTTTAAATCTGCTTTGGTATACTCCATAAAGGTCAGATAACCATTTTAACAATAACGGGTTAAAGTGTCATTTTGCCTGACCATACAGATCTATATGTTTCTCTTAATATAAAAATTCTGAAATAGTTTACGATTGTAATTTGTGATTGTAATTTACTAGACTAGTCATAAATCAAGGAAGTTTAACAGTTATCAACTGGGCCATTTTACATATTTGCAGTTCTTTTGGAGAAAAACAAGGATATTTTGAGTATTGTCTATGCTTTCATGTCAGGGGTTGACACACTTTTTCTGTAAAGATCTGGATAGTTAATATTTTGGGCTGTACAGGCCGTAAGTCTCTGTTGCAAGTGTTCAGCTCTGCTCTTAACAGTGCAAAGCGCCATACACAATTTATAAATGAATATGTGTCGGCTGTGTTCCAGTAAAACTTTACTTGTAAAAACAGGTGGCTTGCTCGATTTGGCCCATCATTCGATGATAGTATTATCAAATCATTTTGTGAAATCACCTCATTTTAAGATTTTTAAATCTAATGAGTGTGAGTAAAATACATACTAATGTTGCTGTGAATTTAGTATGTCTTTTCTTTTTCTTTAAGTTTGTGCCATTGGATTATTCTGTTCCTATAGAAATCCCCACTATAAAATGTAAACCAGACAAACTTCCATTATTCAAACGGCAGTATGAAAACCACATATTTGTTGGTAAGTTTCTCTTTTGACATATTGTACCATAAATGTGTTCCAAGTGTCGTATGCAAATTTGGAGTATTGACTACAATGAGGAATTAATTCTCGAAGACCGAGAGGTTTACATAGTCTATGAGCAATATAATTCGTAATCTCAGGTTATTACAACATGCATAAACACTGGAAAGAAAATATTAAGTTCATTATTTGAAATTTTACTTGTTTCTACCAAAATAGAAGTATTTAACTTTAGAAAATAGGCTTTGTTGACTTATTAGATAGAAAAATTAGTGTTTTTTTAAAAGTAAAAACTTTTAGAACTGGACTTGAGATAGCAATTGGCTTTTTTAAGTGTCCTATTTGTGCCATGCATGGTGGTAAGATAAGGAATTCACAAATTCATAATGTCTGATGTCTGCCCTCCCTCATGCAGCTTATTTTTTTGCAATTTTTTCTTCCTTTGTTAATTCCTACCCAATGTGAAGAAGTCTTAAGAAGGTTTTATACCAGCCCTCCAGACCTATTTTATCAGCCTTTTCTCAGTCACTGTGGTCTTAGGGAGTGACCTGCAAGGAACTTTTTGTTGAAAAGACTACCACTAGAATCAAGAATGTCAGCATTTCATGAAATGTTGCTACTTATTTTTTTTTTTTTTACTTAGAAAAGTAGTGTAAAAATGATTTTTAAAAATTAGGAGCAAAGTGTGTAATTATTTCATTAAATAAGTTATTAAAGTCTTGAAGTGGCTGTATCCTCTTAGTTAATATGACAAGGAGACAACCATAGCTAATCATGACTAAGGGATTTGAGAAAACAGATCATAGAAATTTTAAATAACTTGTCTATATATTCTTTCAACTTCTTCCATGTTATGATGGGCTTTATGATAGCTAGCAGATTGAGAAATTATGCTTTCCTGTGAAATTTAATTTTATTATGATCCATAAGATATATAAGTAAACTAATATTCCTACTTATGTATTTAGAGTACTGAGAATATGATGTATAAAGAAGGAAAAAAAAGGCTCAAATACTAAAACATGTGCTCCACATGTTCTACATGTTTGTTTCATCTGAAATGTTTTTATTTTGCTCTTCAGGCTCAAAAACTGCAGATCCTTGCTGTTACGGTCACACCCAGTTTCATCTGTTACCTGACAAATTAAGAAGGGAAAGGCTTTTGAGACAAAACTGTGCTGATCAGATAGAAGTTGTTTTTAGAGCTAATGCTATTGCAAGCCTTTTTGCTTGGACTGGAGCACAAGCTATGTATCAAGGTAAAAATTAATTTTATAGCATTTTCTTTGAAGGTATTTGTAACATTCTAAGAATATAATGGTTAAAATTTTTTCTTTGGGTTAAAACATAGGTTGAATCTTAACATTTTTAAACTTTTGCATTGGCACAAAGTACAGTTGTTTTAAAATCCTCGTTTAAATACTATACATTTGAAATCTGACACTGAGGTAGTTGTTTTTGTCTTTTACTTTGACCATCTTCTGTGTGAATGTACTTTTGCACACATTCCAAAGACTGTAGCCAACTAAGTCAACCCTTTCTAGATAATAGCTTTCTGCAGGTAGAAAAGGTAATGATTTTGTGGATTAAATATTTATATTACATCAATGGCTATCCTATATAATTTCTTTAAAGGTTATATCCAGGATTTGGATTAGGGGATTGTTCATTCATTCAGTAAACAGTAACTGCTTTTTTATATGCTATACTCTGTTCAAGATGCAGTGTTGAGTGAAACAGATCCTGCTTTCTTAGAGCTTATATTATAGTGGGGGTGTGGGGTGGTAAAAGATAATAAGCATGTAATGTTTATAACTAGTGGTAATACTATGGGGAAAATACTTTAGCCTAAAGAGTAGAATGATTTATAGGGGGGCAGGTATAAATGAGGTATGGAGAAGAATCTATTTTTAAAAAGTCATTCAGGAGAGGTCCCTAAAAATGACTTACTCTAAGACCTGAATGGCGAGGAGCTGCCTATGCACAAATCTGGGTAAAGACACTTCCAGGCAAAAGGATCAGCAAGTAAAAGTCCCTGAGGTGGGAACAGGCCTGAAATATTTAGGAACAACATGAAGGGTAATGAAGAGTGGGACAAGGAGAATGATGTAGAAGGAGACAGTGGAAGCCAGAGGCTATATCTTCCAGGACTATTAGAGCTCATTGTGGGGCATTTGGATTTTATTCTAAAACCTGAAGTAATGTAATATGAAGTAGATTAACACTATGTGAATATCCAAGAGGAATTTTACTACATATTTGATTACTAGGCTCATCTTTTTTTAACATATATATGTATTTTAACCTTATACTCAAAATTGACTTAGATTTATATAATAGAATTGAATAGAGGAAGTGGGAGTAGGAGTAGATGGAATTAGACAAAGTAAGAAGTAACTTTCTTGAAGATGGTAGAATGGCACTGTTTACTTTTGAAAGATAAAGTACTTCTTTTTACAATAAAATAAATTACATATGTCAACAGTATTACTCATTTGCTATCTCCATTAAAGATGACATAAAATACGTGTGGAGAAATAAAGTTACTACTTGGCCTTGGTAATTGGGTAATGACATAGTACCAGATGTAGAAAGCATCTGTGTAGATAAAGCTTGCTGCTCTTAGATGAAGTAAATAAGACTGATGTTGTTGAAAAAGATTAATCATGAGATTGAGGATACTAGAAGGGAGGAAAATATTATTTGTGCAGAAATAAAATATAGGGTTAGAATAGAGATGATAAGGAAACTTTGAGGTCTTCAGGGATTTTGTTACATAAAGTATCTAAGTTGTAGGAGGTATTTGATACCCTCTAATGTCTAATGTGATTGTTTTGTTTGGGTAAGATATATTCTATGTGTAAATTTCAGCATAACTTTCTTCTACAGGATTCTGGAGTGAAGCAGATGTTACTCGACCTTTTGTCTCCCAGGCTGTGATCACAGATGGAAAATACTTTTCCTTTTTCTGCTACCAGCTAAATACTTTGGCACTGACTACACAAGCTGATCAAAATAACCCTCGTAAAAATATATGTTGGGGTACACAAAGTAAGCCTCTTTATGAAACAATTGAGGATAATGATGTGAAAGGTTTTAATGATGATGTTCTACTTCAGATAGTTCACTTTCTACTGAATAGACCAAAAGAAGAAAAATCACAGCTGTTGGAAAACTGAAAAAGCATATTTGATTGAGAACTGTGGGAATATTTAAATTTTACTGAAGGAACAATAATGATGAGATTTGTAACTGTCAACTATTAAATACATTGATTTTTGAGACAAATATTTCTTATGTCAACCTGTTATTAGATCTCTTACTCTGCTCAAATTCATCACTGAAAGATTTAATTTTAGTTACCTTTTGTTGATTTAAAAATAATTGCATTTGTATATTGCTAACTGATAAGACAAATTGAGTTATTGAGCTATTAAATGCACATTTTAATATAAATGCAGAAATCCCAAATAAAATGCTAACATACTGAATTCAGTAATTAAAAGAACCCACTGCAGCTGGGTGCAATGGCTCATGCCTGTAATCGCAACACTTTGGGAGGCCAAGGTGGGTGGATCGCTTGAGTCCAGCAGTTTGAGACCAGCCTGGGCAACATGGCAAAACCCCATCTCTAGTAAAAATACAAAAATTAGCCTGTCCTGGTGGTGCATGCCTGTAATCCCAGCTAGTCTGGAGGCTGAGGCACAAGAATCACTGGAACCCGGGAGGCAGAGTTTGCAGTGAACGTAGATTGTGCCACTGCACTCCAGCCTGGGTGACAGAGCAAGACTCTTGTCTCAAAACAAACAGAAGAACCCACTACAGCAGGGTAGAACTAATCCATTCAGTAATGGACTAATGTTAGGAAGTAATGCTAATACAGAACATTAGTTGTTCAAAGGAGAAAAATAAGGCTTTGATAGAATTCTCAATCTTGGTTTTAAAAGAAAAGAAAAGATAGATATTAATAGGACAGTATAATGGTGAAACGTAAGGGATAACCCCATTGAAATCAAAGTAAGCTTTGAACTTCATATGCTTTATTTGCTAATCCATTCCAAGTGCCTAGATTCATAGAAGTAAGAAATCAATAAATGTTTGTTGAATGGATGTGAATTAATGAATTTAAGGTAGTCAACCTTTTTAGTTTGAGATCTAGTATATCTTCTCATTTATTTACTTTTTTTTTTTTTTTTTTGAAACAGTTTTTGCTCTTGTTGCCCAGGCTAGAGTGCAATGGCACAGTCTCAGCTCACTATGACCTCCACCTCCTGGGTTCAAGCGATTCTCCTGCCTCAGCCTCCTAAGTAGCTGAGATTAATTACAGGCATGCACCACCATGCCCGGCTAATTTTTTGTATTTAATAGAGACGGGGTTTTGCCATGTTGGTTAGGCTGGTCTCGAACTCCTGACCTCAGGTGATCCACCCACCTCGGCCTCCCAAAGTGCTGGGATTACAGGTGTGAGCCACTGCACCTGGCCTATTTACATCTTATTTCTTAGCAACGTTTAGAGTTTCTTTTATCTCCATGCATTTCCTGTGTATGCCTACATTTTTGTGTAATTGGAAATGGACTTTTTCTTTCCAATTATATACTTCTTTATAGTTTTTAAAAGTGGCTTTATATAGGTGATACTGATAGCTATATATTTATCTTGTAAAAGACCAATTTAAGTTGTTCATTAGAGCCAATAATTTGTCAGCTGATTCTCATGAGGTGTATATAACCAATCTGATTTGCGTTCTTCTGAAACTGCTTATCAAATAGATGGCCATTAGCCCCTAAATGGCAAAATCCACTGGACAGTTTTCTGTATTGTACTCAGTAAGGTCTGACATATTTTGCATGTTTGACCGCTCCTTCATTTTTAAAATAGTTTTTTTATTGCCTTCAGTGAAACATGCTCTTGGTTTTCCTCCTATCTCATTTGCTGTTCTGTCATATTTCTGTTTGCTGTTCTTCCTCTCACTTTTCTTCAAATATTGGTGTACTTTTTTTTCTTTTCTAGACTCCATTTTTGTTTAACCACACTCTCCCTAGATGATTTTATCAAATTCCATGGATTTAAATATATTTGTAAGCACATTCAAAATTAGTTTGATTTCAACCTTGTGTTTTGTATCTGAATGATAAGCATCAGCATTATAACTAAACAGACTGTGTGGTTAAGATTATGGACAGTTTTTCCCTCTAGTTATCTAATTTTCATAATTACCCCCAGAACGTGAGAACATTATTTTTATGATCAGAAAGTATTTTAAGAAACTAGTTGAGTGGACTCTAATATGGAACCATCAACATGTATCAAATTCCACTTAATTATAAGCAAATTCATTATGAAATTATATTTAAAAAGGCATTTCATGATTACATTTGTTATTTAAGAAAATGTTATTTAAAGAAATTTACATAAGTTTCATTATACATGTATTTTAGCTTACTCATTCTGGAAATGGAAAACTTAGATACTAGGCAAGAAGGCTTTAGATTTTTTTTATGAGATATTTTAATAGACCAGTACTTAGGTCTTAATATTTGTGTTTTTCAAAAATTTATGTTAAAATCCTAACCCCCATGACTATAGTATTAGGAGATAGGGCCTTTTGGAAGGTGACTGGAGAGGGGCAGCACCTTCAGGAATAGAATTAGTGCCCTTATAAAATAGACCCAAGGGAACTTTTTCATCCCTTACACCCTGTGAGAACATGATGAGAAGGCACCATGTATGAGCCAGAGAATAGATCCTCACCACACACTGAATCTGCTGGTGCCTTGATCTTGGACTTTCTAGCCTCCAGAACTGTGAGAAACAAATTTCTGCTGTTTATAAGCTGTCCAGTTAATGGAATTTTGTTATTGTAGCCCAAATATACTAAGACAACAACCAATATAGTTAAAATTACTATGCATGTTCTACTTTATATTAAGTTCTAGTGTACGTTGTATAATGCTTACATCAAATAAAAGGTAAGGTTAATTTACATAAAACATGTTTAGGTAGGATAATTGTAAAAATTATTTATTAGAGAAATTGGTAAAATTGTGGCTTTGCATAGAGGCAGGAGAAAGAAAAGAGCAAGGCACTAGTGAGAAAAATTGCTATGGAGAATATTGAGAATAGATACAAGGAGACCTACAGGTTTACAACATTAATATTGGCCAATACTTGATTGGACAGTTTAAATTTTTCAACCTGAAAGGCCTTTGTGCCCCAAAGTTTGGTAAGGAGATTTTGTAAAAACAAACAACAATAGCAATAAAAAATCAGGGAAGATTAAGAGATTTCATAAGGAGCAAGAATTTATAGGTAATACTTAAAAGGTATAGGTATGATTACTATTTTGGTGAATAATAGGCACATGGTAGACTGAAATTCGGCAACAGCTACTGTGCAAATAAGCATATCTGTGATTATGGCTTATATCTGGTTGGGGACCCCTGTTGTAAGCCATTCTTTTTAGTACAGGTTAAGCTCCATTTCTCAATCACAGTTCTGTTATTTTCATCTGTGGGAAATAATGAATTCTGTTTCAGATTTTGATTGTCTTTTGTGTTCTTTGTCATCCAACAGAATTGCACATTTCACTTTGTAAAATTTTTATAACTAGTGTTTGACACTTGAAACTGGCTTTTGAGTCTTCTATAATAGTTTGTGCAGAAGTCTGAGGTTTAATGTTATGATGGCCTTATTCATACTGTAGAAATATATACTGCAGCAATATGCACCCAAATGGTCAAATGGTCAGTAAGCTTTTTAAATGAACTAGCTAGATTTTTAGTTTTGATTTTAATTCTTGGTTTGAATTGCTAAAAGCTATCTTGACCTTAGGAAAATGAAAGCTTACATGAGGTTTAGCCACTTAAAACAAAGTATTTCTTTGTGTCTCCAGTTCATGTGAAACCTGACTTTTATTTACAATATTTATGTTAGGAGCACTTTTATTAGGATCTTTTGAAGCCTTTCAAGAGTTTTCTTTCAGTTATTATTAATAGTACTAATAAAGAAGGTGAGCAGGATTTAAAGCTGAAAGGAGCATCAGAGATAATTGAACTTTGTTTATGCCATTCATTGTTACCCTATGCAATGTCTTTTGTTTGTTTTTAATTAATTGCCAATATTTAAGAAGAGGGTCATAGAACAGTCATTATTCCAGATTCTCTTGAAAAACTGGAAGATCTGGCAACTACAGGTTTATGTTCTTGCATGTTAACAATATACAGGGGCTGGAATTAACCTGCTCTGAGTCCCTTTAGATGTGCATACTCTCTCCGATTTGCCACAGTTCCCACCAATTCTTATTTCTCCTCTCTTTACTTGGCCCACATCATTGGGCCTATCTCATTAATTTCTATTAAATATTTTATTACTGAGGCCATTAGTTTATGACCCCTGAGGCCAAGACAGCTGTTAAGAACTTGCATTACTGGTGGCAAAATTATACCTTTACGATTACTTACTAGGTTTTAGAAATCTCACTTTTCTAACAAGAGGTATTATGGTAATCATAAGTTCAAAATAATTAAAGTTCATTTGAGATAATTAAATCAAAACCTCTAGTCTGGGTTGGAGGGTGATAAAGTTATCTGGCGAAATATATGAACTTCTGTTACCTTCCTCTTCTGCTAAATGAATGGTAAAATGAATCCTGATTTGTTTAGGCAGTTTACTTATGAAGTTGGGAGAATTTTTTTTTTTCTTTAAAGGACTGAGTCTGGCTCTGTTGCCTAGGCTCAAGTACTGTGGATCTTGGCTCACTGCAGCCTCCACCTCTTGGATTCAAGCAGTTCTCCTGCCTCAGCCTCCCGAGTAGCTGGGAGCCACCATGTCCAGCTGATTTTTGTATTTTTAGTAAATGAGTTTTCACCATGTTGGCCAGGCTGGTCTTGAACTCCTGACCTCAAGTGAGCTGCCTACCTGGCCTCCCAAAGCTCTGGGATTATAGGTGTGAGCCACTGTGCCAGGCCTGAGGTTGGGAGAAATTTTGTCCATTTCTTTAGAACCAAAATTGGCAACCAGAGAGTATTTGGATGTTACACAAAATATTTAGTTTCCCTTTCTAGCCTAAATTGGGTTGTTTATAGCACCCGTCTCTCCATTTGAGAAAAATGGTTAGGATGCTGGTGCAGGGATGAGGCCTTATTAAAACAGAGAAGGTACCCAAATGGTGGTTCAAACACAGGCTGGCTAATAAGCTGTGAGGTGACTTACCAAAAAACAACAACAACAAAAACCCTTGAACTTCTGCTTTCAACTTCTACTTTATGCTAGATTATTTGGTCCAATCTTCCTGGTCTAACACCTGGCTACATATAACAACAAACATCTGCTTGAATGTGTTGGAAAGGTGATGATTAATTGCCAGGCTGATATATTAAATAAAATGGAAATCTCAAAAGTTGAACTTGCTATTCAGTCTGCTTTTGCTCTGGAGGGGGGATTTGTTAGCCAAGAAGAGGCTGAAAACATGAGTAGTGTACTTTGGGAGACTAGAAGGACGAACGTTAAAAGTATACGACCTCCAAGGTTGTGACTCTGGTAGAATTCTTTGGTTAGAGATCCTGAAGGACAGCATCCTAGGGATAATGGTGAAACAGAAGTAGACCATTCACATAGAGTGTAGTTTAGCATTAAATCATCAAGGTGGATTAGTAAATTGTGAGATTTTGGAAGTGGACTAAGGTGACCTTAGGTTTCTAATGCCCCTAGGAACCTGAAAGATAGAAACCTGGAGGAAGAATATTTTCCTAGGCCTCAAATTATTTGGGTACTTTTTCAAATACAGTATCTCCACATACCCTGGATACAGGAGGAGAAAGGCGGAATGAAAACTGGCAGAAACAGTAGACCCAAAGGGGCACCAAATAATTGCATTGTGAGGTAGACTTTAAGTATGTTTACTGTATTCAAGGAGATAAAAGATGGAAAATTTCCATATAGAATTGGAAACTATAAAAAAGTCACTGCAGATTTGTTAAAAAAAAAAAAAAGCCAAATATAAATTTGAAAACTTGAAAAACCAAACAGTGAAAATTAAGAACTCCAAATGTGTTAGTTATCTATTGCTGTGTAACATACTGCTCAAACTTGACTTAACATACGTTTATTATCTCAGTTTTTGTTGGTCAGGAATCCAAGCATGGCCTAAGTGGGTTCTCTGCTTTAGGCTGCAATCAAAGCATTGGTCGGGGTAGGGTCTCCTCTGGAGGCTGAGCTGGGGAAGGATCTGCTTCAGATTTATGTAGTTGCTAGCAGGTTCTTGGACTGAGGACCTCAGTAGCTTCCTGGCTGTTGGATGAAAGCATTCTTCAGTTCCTTGTCCCATGGACCTCTCCTTTAGGACAGCTTACAACCTGGCAGCTTGCCAGAGGGAACCTATAGAGCCCATAGAGTGAGTCTGCTAACAAGACAACTGAAGAGAGAAATAACCAAACTGAAAATGAGAAAAAAATATTTAGAATTAATGTCTTTGTAAACTTTGACTCTATTACTCTGCCATCACCAGTAAGGGGGAATTGAAATATACCCATGCTGGGAAACAATGGAAGTAGTGTGGAGAAAAGTATTAAGGATATATTTTAATTGAATGTAGGAGCTTAGAAATAAGGACAGTATTAGGGAAGAATGGATTATTAAACTAGATATTTAGGAATCCTCTTCATACTTATTCAGGACACCAGTGGGTACCCAATCTGTACTGGTTTTACTGATCTTTGTGCAATTTGCTGCTCAGCAGATATTTTCAATGCTGATTGGTAATATGTCAGTGGATAACCAGTGGAAATGCATGTCTATTAATTACTATTGCACATAATATTTATCTTGTTTTTATATTTTGCACAGGATTTTCAAGGTGCTGGTATATTTCTGAGCACTGTAAAGTTTTCTTTGAGAAATAAGTGTTTATTTTTAAATTGCGTTGTCTCATGGGAGGGTAACATTTGTAAATATACTTCAAATTAGTGTTGTTCCCTCTGCTTTCTTTTTCCTGACTCAGAAACAGAGTGCTTTGACTGCTCTATGTTGGGGCCATGTTTTCCGCAGACTTGAACCCAAGCCAGGCCCTTGAATGTTCCCAGGCACGGATAAACTTGTTTAGACTGGCTGAAACACCAAAACATCAAACGTGTTGCTAAACATGTAAATACTAGCCCCAACCCTGAACCCAATTCCTTAAGCCCCCATATAAACTCCATATCCGATTCCCCATATCTAGGTTAGAACGTCTCTTTTCTCCCTGTCAATCATGAGGACTAATGCAGCACACAATGTATACAGTACTAATAAAGGCTTTGGACTTACCACTTCCTTCTTTGAAATCCCAACTGGTCGCATCTTAGGTTGGTTTGGGGCAGTCCCTTGTGGGAACTCTCCTGCTATTCTGTCTGGTTTTGGGCCTTACTGCAGTTGTGGTTTTGGGTGGTTGGAACAAGCATATATTTCAATAAATACGTTTTTTAAATGTCCAAAAAACAACATGACACAACTGCGGGTCGAGAGCCAGTTTTAGTTTGTCCCATAAGCTTTCTGTCTTTGTTCAGTTTAGTTACAATGGAGAAAACCTCTTTAATGTTGACAGGATTTCTTTAGAAAAAAACCATTGCTATATCTGAAAGTCCAGTTTCAACTGGCAAAATTGGACAAAAGCAGCAATTTGAAAAACCAAGCTACTTATAACTTGATAAAGTCCTCTATAAACTAAGTCATTATATTTCTCCTTTTAAATAAACCATTGTAAATTTAATGTTCATATCAGTTGAGTATTAGTTTCCAGCTGGATTCATGCTGAATAAAGTCCAGAAACTTTCTTTGTGATTCAAATAGATGCACAGGAAGCTGGGAAGGAAAAGAAAAGCATATGGTGAGTAAATTTCTTAATGCCAGGTATTACATTAACATGAAAGCAGCCAACATTCAGCATTCCTATTCATTTGGAACTCAATGAGAACGTTGAGTTACTTATCACTGACTACTTAAGGGGACATTTGCCTATTTATTTACAATGCTTTGCAGAAGTATCCAGTAACATTTATGAATTTATTTGTATATATCAAATATTATCTTATGTTCTAATGAATTTTATCCATTTCAGGTAGAGAATGGATTATTCTGAAAACTAGATTTTCATATAATTTTGTTTTTAGTTTCATTTTCATTTTTAAAATATAAGATTTTTGTTATTGCTATAAAATACATGATCATTACAAAAAATCTGAAAAACAGTAGGGAAGATAATCTCACGCTGTTAACGTTTTGGTATATCTTTTATCTATAGATTTTTGTTGATATTTTGTTTTTCAGGTCATACTATAGATAAAGGTTTTTACATTTGTATTTCATAATCACTTTTCCTCATTATACATTTCAGTATTCCATAAGTAGTCTTTGGGGGTATTTTGTAGATAATTGAATATAAAATTATTGTAAAATTAAACACTAACAAATACATAAACATGAAATTTTCATCAGTTCACACTCATTACAGGGAGAAAAGGAATCACAACTTTTTTCTATTATTAAAAAAACCCAAGCATGATAATTATATAAGATTAGCTAATGTGGGTGTAAATATATTTCATGTTGGAATAGTTCACAAGTACACAGATGATTAAATCCTGACTTCCAATATATTTGCAAGATTTCCATATCTTACCACCTGGGTGTGATTCATAATCAGATAAATAAAGGATCTGTGTATTTGGAAAGCCTTAAAAGAAGGAAAAAATATCTATATAATTATCCTCTGGTAAAGTATACTTTGTTTCAACCTAGAGTTTTAAATGCCATTTGAAAGAACAATTCTAGAAGAGTTCTATCAGTCTAATTCTCATGTTACCTGAAAATATAAACAAGTTTAAAGTCAGTTTGACAGTTGAATCTGAAAGTCTAGATTGAAGTCATGCTTTAGTCATTAGCTAAGTGACTTAGGACCAATAAATTTTTATTGAGTTTAGTTTCTTCATCGAATATATTGAGTGGATTGGATAAGAAGATATTCTAAATCCCTCCTAACATGATGAATCATTCCTTCTAAGCTTCTCACTGCAGATGTAATTTGCCATTAACACTAATTTTTTAGCTTTCTTTTTTAAAACTCCTGTTTCCAAATGACAAAATAATAATATTCTTAAAGAGCTAGAGAATTAAGAGAGGTTAGCGTGCCCTTTCGCTGAATTTCCTCAGTTGCGATATTTTTCTTTCATACTGTTTTCCACCATAACAATATCCCCTGAGGCTAGACTCATATACTTTTAGAATAAAAGGAAATTTCATTATCAAGTGGAACGAATGATTCAATGCTCAAATGTCCTCTCAAACACTTGCACCAAATATTCAGTTCCCTCTGTGCTTGAAAGATAAAGATTTATTACCTCCCAAAGCTGCTACTTTTCCGGTTTGAACTATACTGATTATTAGACAATGCTTACTGTGAGTTGAAATCTGTTTTCTGGTAGCTTCTCCTTCATCTTAGCTATACCTCTTTTTTTGTTGTTGTTTTTTAATTAAGTTTTAGGGTACATGTGCGCAACGTGCAGGTTAGTTACATATGTATACATGTGCCATGTTGGTGTGCTACACCCATCAACTTGTCATTTAACATTAGGTATATGTCCTAATGCTATCCCTTCCCCCTTCCCCCACCCCACAACAGGACCAGTGTGTGATGTTCCCCTTCCTGTGTCCATGTGTTCTCATTGTTCAATTCCCACCTATGAGTGAGAACATGCGGTGTTTGGTTTTTTGTCCTTGCGATAGTTTGCTGAGAATGATGGTTTCCAGCTTCATCCATGTCCCTACAAAGGACAAGAACTCATCATTTTTTATGGCTGCATAGTATTCCATGGTGTATATGTGCCACATTTTCTTAATCCAGTCTATCATTGTTGGACATTTGGGTTGGTTCCAAGTCTTTGCTATTGTGAATAGTGCCGCTACAAACATATGTGTGCATGTGTCTTTATAGCAGCATGATTTATAATCCTTTGGGTATATACCCAGTAATGGGATGGCTAGGTCAAATGGTATTTCTAGTTCAAGATCCCTGAGGAATTGCCACACTAACTCCTACAATGGTTGAACTAGTTTACAGTCCCACCAACAGTGTAAAACTGTTCCTATTTCTCCACATCCTCTCCAGCACCTGTTGTTCCCTGATTTTTTACTGATCACCATTCTAACTGGTGTGAGATGGTATCTCATTCTGGTTTTGATTTGCATTTCTCTGATGGCCAGTGATGATGAGCATTTTTTCATGTGTCATTTGGCTGCATAAATGTCTTCTTTTGAGAAGTGTCTGTTCATATCCTTTGCCCACTTTTTGATGGGGTTGTTTGTTTTTTTTTTTGTAAATTTGTTTGAGTTCATTGTAGATTCTGGATATTAGCCCTTTGTCAGATGAGTAGATGGCAAAAATTTTCTCTCATTCTGTAGGTTGCCTGTTCACTCTGATAGTAGTTTCTTTTGCTGCGCAGAGGCTCTTTAGTTTAATTAGATCCCATTTGTCAATTTTGGCTTTTGTTGCCATTGCTTTTGGTGTTTTAGACATGAAGTCCTTGCCCATGCCTATGTCCTGAATGGTATTGCCTAGGTTTTTATGGTTTTAGGTCTAACATTTAAGTCTTTAATCCATCTTGAATTGATTTTTGTATAAGGTGTAAAGAAGGGATCCAGTTTCAGCTTTCTACATATGGCTAGCCAGTTTTCCCTGTACCATTTATTAAATAGGGAATCGTTTTTCCATTTCTTGTTTTTGTCAGGTTTGTCAAAGATCAGATAGTTGTAGATATGTGGCTTTATTTCTGAGGGCTCTGTTCTGTTCCATTGATCTATATCTCTGTTTTGGTACCAGTACCATGCTGTTTTGGTTACTTTAGCCTTGTAATACAGTTTGAAGTCAGGTAGCGTGATGCCTCCAGCTTTGTTCTTTTGGCTTAGGATTGACTTGGCAATGCGGGCTCTTTTTTGGTTCCATATGAACTTTAAAGTAGTTTTTTCCAGTTCTGTGAAGAAAGTCATTGGTAGCTTGATGGGGATGGCATTGAATCTATAAATTACCTTGGGCAGTATGGCCATTTTCATGATATTGATTCTTCCTACCCATGAGCATGGAATGTTCTTCCATTTGTTTGTATACTCTTTTATTTCGTTGAGCAGTGGTTTGTAGTTCTCCTTGAAGAGGCCCTTCACGTCCCTTGTAAGTTGGAATCCTAGGTATTTTATTCTCTTTGAAGCAATTGTGAATGGGAGTTCACTCATGATTTGGCTCTCAGTTTGTGTTATTGGTGTATAAGAATGCTTGTGATTTTTGTGCATTGATTTTGTATCCTGAGACTTTGCTAAAGTTGCTGAAGGAGATTTTGGGCTGAGACAATGGGGTTTTCTAGATATACAATCATGTCATCTGCAAACAGGGACAATTTGATTTCCTTTTATCCTAATTGAATACCCTAAGTATTTAGGAATCTTCTCCATTTCTTTTTATCAGGTCAAAGTACATAAGTACATATTTTAGGGTCTTCTGTTCTTGAGGGTTTTTTTTTTGTGTTTTTTGTTTTTTCTTTTCCTATTGGAGGTTTGACACCTATATTTTTCTCTGACATTTTGGAAATTTGCTTCCCAAAGTCAAAAACATAATGCCTAACTTTTCCCGATTTGGCCAACATCAACTTTAAGATTCTGTGGTTATCTTTTTACCAAGAGATTTGTCAGTTTTACTGCCCCAGTCATTTCCTTTTTACTGATTAGAATTAGGCCTTTGTGTAGCTGTTCACCTAATTACTTCCTCTACCTTGTGAAAAAGAGCAGGGACGCTAACATTTGCTGGGTACCTACTACATGCCAAAAGTACTTAATCGTATGCAGTAATGTCATTTAATTTTCAAAACAACTCTCCAAAGGAAGTGTCACTCTCCTTGTTTGATTTCTTGCTTCCCAAATGGAAGGTCCTTTGTATTAATAGTATCTGTCAAATTTCATACAATACTTAAATATGTTCTTGATACGTACTTCAATATAACCAACAGAATGAGGCAGTATTCGATAAAGTAAAAAATAAGATGAATATTTCTAGTGATTTATAAGTTACTTGAGGAAATCATGCTGTTTATTCTTTTCCTTTTTAGGTATTCTTTGTGAATTTGCTATTTGTGTGTGAATATATCTGTTGCGATAATGAATAACCATATGAAATGGATAATTGTATGAAAATTCATTTGTAATTCAATAGATTGCCAGGGATTTTAGGTTGGTTATGAAGGTTTGTTTTTTTTTTTTTTTTCTTTTGGAGAGTGGGGAGATTGGCATACAGTTTCAAATTGTTTATGTGGAAGTTGGAAGTGTGACTAAGCTCGAAGAAAGGAAGAGAGGGACAAAGAAAGGGAGGAGGTACCCCTAAGTGGGAACCTACCAGGACATTCAAAGCAAGAGCAGTAAGTTCTGAATGTTCTGGGACAACCTGGGTGATATGCATGGATATGGGCTGTGGAGGCTGAGCATTTTAATGATAACTTAGGGAAACGAGGCATGGCCATGGTGTAAAACTCTCAAATCCCAAGCCCTAATCCAACCTTAAAATCCGAGTCTTCTAAAGGGCTGTTTTAACCATGAAAGGACCATAAGAAAGGCAATTCACAGAAAATGAAGCCATGTGGCCAAGAAATATAAGAAAAACAGTAAAAGCCCTTAATCTCAATAGCAATAGAGTGGATGCAAATGAATATAATGAGTTGCCATGTCGTTCTTACTGGATTGGAAAAGAAATTAGAATGTCTAAATAACATGTATCATCCAGGATGTGGGGAAATGGGAGCTCTTGTACCCTGCAGGCAGGCATTTAAATTGGTGCAACCGCTTTGGATTGCTGCTTTGTAGTATCTGGTGCAACTGAAGATGAACATGCCCTGTGACACAGCAACCGCACTTCTAGGTCAATACCCTAATTATATTCTTACTGTGGTTCACAAGAAGGTATGTAAGAGGTCATTGCCTGAGCACTGTTTAGAATAGGGGCAAACTGGAAATCCTCTAAATGTCTGTCAATGAAGGAATAGATAAATTGTAATATGTTCATATAAAATGCTGCATAAATAAGTGAAATTTATAAATATACTAACGAATGAATCTTGAAAACAGAGTTGGGAGATAAAAGCAAGCTGTTGAAGAACATGGTCAGTATCCTCTCACTTATGTAAGTTAAAAACTCCAAAGAACATTATCTATATTGGTAATGGCATAGACATGTGTGGTAAAATATAAAAATATTAACTAAAAGTTCTATACGCTTCAGGATATTGTTAGTATAATAAGGCAGGAAGTGGATAGCATTGGGGTGAGACAGTGGTTTGGTGGTTATGTTTGGTTACTTTAGTTATGTTAGTAACATTTTTTTTTTAAAGAAGGATCTGGAATAATTATGGTAAAATAATAGTATTTGCTAAGACTAGATGATTGGTGTACTGGATTTCATCCGCTATTTTCTAAGTTTGTTATGAACGCTTAAAATATATATGTATGTAGTAAAATTAATGTAAATTTGTACAAATAAAAATAAATGGCATGTGATATATGGCAGAAGCTGTGTGTGTGTATGAAAAGCAAAGGCAGGCAGGGCAAGTTTCTGGGTAGCATAAACATGGAACAATCCTAGGAATATGAAATTGACCTAAATATACCAGCTTTCTGGAGATTCCACAGTCCCAGATGATTGATGATCTAATACAATTTTCTAGTTTTATTGATAATAGGAGCAAGAAGGGTTAAGTGACTTTCTCCAAGTTGCACATACATAAGTGGTAGAGCTCAGTCTAGAATCCAAGTGTTCTGAGTCCTGTCCAGTGTTGTTCTTCCTACATTGCTGCAAATGAGTCCTTCATGTATAGCTCATGACTTGCATAAGGTAGATAATTTTGTGAGCTGTTCTTTACAGATTCCCTTTTATTTTATATTCTACGAGGTCTATCTATAGCAAAAGGCATTTAGAAGTGGTGTTAATATTAGCATGCCCAAAGTAACTCTGAGATGATATCATTTACTTCCATATGGGAATTTTCCAGTTAGTATCAAGCTTGAGATTCAAGTGGAAATTAGCTTTCAGGAATTTTTGCAATATAAAATTTATTATGTGTTGACCTACTTCTGTGTACCAAGCCAGGCTCAAAGTAGTAGTACAAGTATGTTGCTATTACACCCAAAAATAAGTTATCTAAAAGTTCTCCTGTTGTCTGTATTAACTACCTGATCTTTTGGATTAAAAGATTGATAGACAGTATTGTTTCTTTCTAACTATAGTTAGGAAAAAAGGAAGTGTTCAAATTAGTTTATTACAATCCAGATCATCTTATCTCTTCCTGACAACCTAGATAAATCTATTTGTGACTAGCAAAATGGAACATTTTTAGTGCTGTCAGATATTTTGTAGAACCACATAAATTTTGTGGAGAAGTGGTTATATTTTTAGTAAGGGAATTATTTCCTCTGGAAAAAAGCACTGAACATGGAAGCATTAAAACAAGTGACAAGGAATGGAGGTCATTTATTGTACCCATCCTCTCTGTCCTATATAATCACTAAGCATTCCTAGGGGATAGAGTACAAATCTGGGTATTGGGAAATAGATTCTTGCTATTTTGATAATTCCACCTATATCAGTTATTTACAATATGTTATTTCTGCATCTGAAAAAATTGATTTTAATAGTAAATAATCCAGAGATACAGAGTGAGTTATTAATTAATGCTTATTAAATATAGTATCTACAAGTCTTCAGTATTAATGTTTCACAATTTATAATGGTAAGATGTCTGCAATGGAGAGATATTGGACATGGGGGAAAGTAACAAAACATTTAAGCAGGAACTGGCTTTAGTGGGTAATTGGGATCAGTATTGAACCTATACAGTGGAAGAGTGACATAGCTTGAATGATATGATTTGGAGGATACAAAGGCCTCTTGAAGGAATAGTTTGTTTCTGTTCCATAATGTCTGGGGTCTCAACTGGTAAAACTCAAATGCTGGGAGTGACTCCATACCTAGGGGCTGGGATCATCTGGAGCCATCTTCATTCACAGGTCTCCTATTGATACTGGCTCTTGGCTGGAATCTCAGCTAGGGCTAGTTGACCAGAGAACATACATGTGTCCTCTCCATATGGCCTGGGCTTTCTTATAGGATGGTGGTATTAGGGTAGTTGGACTTTTTACATGGTGGCTTAAGACTCCAAAAGCCAATGCGTAAAAAGATCTAATGGGGGTTGCAAGGCCTTTTCTGACTTAGCCTCAGAAGTTTCGTAGCATCTCTATTGTAATCAATTCGTCAAAGCAATTACAAGCCCACCAAGATCCAAGAGAAGGGGTATAGACCCCACTTCTTGATGGCAGGAATATCAGAGAATTTTGGATGCATGTTTAAACCAACATAAGCTACGTGGGTTGAAAGTCACCAAAATCAGAAAGGCACTGTCTGTGAAAATCACTGCCTGTGAAAGGAACTTAGCTCTAACTAAACCGCGGCTGCTGCTGGCAATCCAAGTGTTGCTCTAGAGATTTATCTGAGGTTCTGGCTCTTGTTTCAGGAAGCCCTCCTGAAACATTGATACCATTACATTAGCAGGGACAATAAGGACCCTCACCTCAGGCTCATTACAGGCTTTCCATTACCACCTAAAAGAGAGCAGCAAAAATTAGGGGCTTCCTGCAAGCTTACTTGCTTGTCATCACATCAATCTACTAAAATATTCAATGTCAAACTACTCAATTATCAATGTATGAAAAAATTTTTCAGGTGTAAACACTACTTTTAGTACAATTTTAAGGAATCTCCTTCCTTAATGTAAGTCTTGTTATATAATATGGTCTTCTAGGAGTACTATTTTTGCTTATATGTATACCAATGTCTTCATGCTTGGCAGTAGGAGAAGAGAAGGGAAGTTGGGGCGGAAAAGAGTAGTGATAAGAGAAGATATAAAGCTATTTTTAGTTTTAAATTAAATCCACAAAGACTAAATTTGATGAAGGTGATGGGGTGTTTGGAAACATCCAAGACATAATGGTTTTTCAGAGGATGGTTTTCATATTCTTTATATTCAAGTTTACTTTTTCCTAATAATAAAAAACATAAAGGAGTCAAATATTTTTAGATGCCTGTGGATTTTGAGAATCTTACCTCACTCCAGGTTTATTTCTGAGCTCTATTATTCTTTTCATGTATATGAGGCAAATACAATTAAAATTTAAACATAAAATACAGTGTTGCTGCTTTTGCTGTAACACATAAAGTAAGCATAAATGAGTCTCAGTTACACAAACATAAAAATAATCATCCATCCAGGAAAGTAATTTAAAACAAATTATAGTCAGGGAACTGAAACTGATACTTTTAACTGTTGATATAAAATGTGAATTAGATTGTAAAAACTCAAGAAAATAATTATTATAAACTAGGTATATATGTGTGTATCTGGAATGAAAATTTGTAGAAATAGATAAAAAGCCACAAAATCCTTTTAGTCTTAGAAATAATAATCTTAAAATGCTTTTAGTAAATTACAAAGCTTTTGTTGTCAAAAAGTACTACAGTCTGATTAGGAATTACATTTTCTGTGATCTATGCCATAGACCTCTCCACATGTGCTAACTTTTCCTGAAATGTAAATGAGCAATGTTTATGAAAATAGCTTATTTTATTAATATTTGAAGTTATAAAATTCATAATTTCTCAGTTTCTTGAATTTGAACAAAAATATATAAAACAACACATCAGCATGGGATCATGGAATTTTCTGTTGCTAAAATATTTAAGTAGTCATGTTCACTGGGGATATGCTTTCCTTTTAATCATTGGTAATCTGTGGATAGAGAAGTCAGAGTTAGCTGAGGATTCGTTTCAAACCGTAGCCTCCAAAGTTTTGAAACTGCGCCATCTCTGAGCTTCTCTGCAAGATTGAAAATCCTGCTGTTCTAAGCTTTTGATACCTGGTAGGAGTATGTCACATTTCTGAGATGTTTTAGAAGAGGAAAAATGTTTTACGAACCATTGCTTTTAACAAACCCTCATATGTTAAAATCTAGATTTACATTACAGACAGATAGGGGTACTAGCTTTGCTAAGATATTCCAAACATTTTGCATGTTATTACAAGGCTTCAATGGACATGTGTACCTGAACAATATTTCAGCCTCTCTCTTCAGCCAGAATTTGCTCCTGAGAGGCAAATTCATATCTCCAGACATCTCTACCTGAACATCCCAAATATGCTCATAATCAACATGCCCCAAACTGCATTCATCAGCTTTTTGTCCTTTTCAATATTCCCAAACCAAGGGTTGGCACTACTACTTGCATAGTCTTTCAATCTAGACACCTGGGAGTCATTTTTTACTTTCATTCTTCCCTTCCCATACTCAGTCAGTCACCAAGTCTTGCAGATTCCCAAAGATGTTTCCAACTCCCCATTCATTTCTTCCCTTATCAATATTTAACTTATTTCAGATCCCCATCATGGCTCCCCTGGACAATTCCAAGGGTCTTCTAAGGTTCCTTACTCACAGTCTCATTACCCTCTAGTCAGCCTTCACAATGCAATCAGAAAGATCCTTGTGGCATACAAACCTTTTCCCCCTGAATGAAATCCATGCTTCTAACCAAGCCATGCAAGACTTCTTGTTTTCTTTCTAGCCTAAAGTCTTGTCATTCTTTACCTCCTATGATTTAGCAATCGTGATGGAGTTGACTTTCACTAAATGCACCAAATTAGCTTTTAGCTTCTTTCCTTTTATGTTTGTTTGTTTGTTTACCTGCATAGAAAATTGGTTCAAGCATAGCTTCAGTTTTCCTTGATCTGTGATCAAGGCTCTTCCACATAAATTGAGACTCTCCTCCTGTTTATCCCATCATATACTCACTGTATTGTACTTCTTTGTTCCTAGGTTCCCTGAGAGTATGCATTGTGTTTGTTCTTTGTTCAATTGGTAGCACATTTATAAAATGCTTGTTACATAGTAGTGCTCAATAAATATCTGACTAATGAATTAATATATCCCCTCAATTAGAACTCCAGACACAATTAAAATATACTTTACCATGCAATAATTCAAACTTTCGAGTTACAAATATATTGAATCTCCTACTGGCTTCACTCATAATCAATAAGAATAATTTTAAAATGTAATTTTGTCTGATTTAAATATATTCATCTTCTGGGGGAAAATGCAGTTTGGAATTGTAGCAGATTATCACATAGTTGCAGGAAATTGTAGATATCAACACATTTATTATCTTTACTGTCTATTATGTGTCTTTTCCCCCTACAATCAGCAGAATGCTTTGTATATCATATTTGTTCTCTTTTGCAAGGCACTGTGTGTGGGTGTTCTGATGTGTAATTTGCCCATGCAAAAAGAAAAATGACTGCTAGAGGAAAATGTAGGCGGTGTCTGTTCTTACCTTTGGAAAAAAAAAAATTGTTATATAACTGATCCCAAACTCTGAAAAAATTTTCTATCTTAAGGACTTCTTTTTTTCCCTCCACATGATTGTGACTGCAATTGATATAAGACTTCTAGAATCCTCTTCATTCATTCAGTGAGTGTTTATTGAACATTTAGTACTTGTCAGATATTGCTCTGGATGTTGGGGTTAGTAAAATGAATAAGACAGAATCCCTATCGACACAGTGATTGTAGCCTAGGAAGAAAGGCCAGTGAGGAGACAATACAATAATAGATATTATAGTATTATAGTAGGTAGCCTGAACAAAGCTAAACTATTACCTGGCCCATCTCAACAGGATGTTGTCCCAGAGGGTGTGGCATGCAGGAGGAACTCAATCCAAAAGTGAAAATCAACTTATTTTTCTGTATTTTCTTCAAAAATGCCAACAGTGATTAGTGCATGATGCACTGCAAAATATCCTAAAAATCTGCTGTGCACACCCACCTCCCATAGTCAATCATCACAGTAAGGGCCCCTGCCTGGGATCTCGCACCTAGTTATTGGTTAATTTGCCCCCTCCCCCTTTCTCATTCATTGTCTCTCCCTCTGCAAAACTTTCTATGAAAATTCAGACCACTCTTAGTCTTTTCTATTTCTCCTTTTCCTCATTTTTTTCCAAGTCTTTTTCCCCCCAAGCATAGAATTTGCCGGTCTTCATATAAGTAATATAGTTTTGTGGGGGTTTTGTTGGCTCTGCCACTTCATACCTACTTATATCAAAATCCTGACTAGTAAAATGACCAATGCAATGAATTGCTCAGAGCCAAGCAAGGATAGGGAAGTGAAGGAAAATGTGAATATTTATGCATTGTTATTTTTCCCAATCCTACTGAGAAATTATGGCAGCCCATCATATCTTCTTTCCAAAACTGGGATTCAATGAGTAAATATAACACTTTCCAATTGACACAAAGTAAACAGGAACCATAATTATTAAGCTCTCAACTGGGTGTGGTGGCTCATGCCTGTAATCCCAGAACTTTTGAAGGCTGAGGCGGGAGGATCACCTGAGGTCAGGAGTTCGAGACCAGCCTGGCCAACATGGCGAAACCCTGTCTCTACTAAAAATACAAAAATTAGCCAGTGTGGTGGTGCACGCCTGTAATCGCAGCTACTCAGGAGGCTGAGGCAGGAGAATCGCTTGAACCCAGGAGGCAGAGGTTGCAGTGAGCCGAGATTGTGACACTGCACTCCAGCCTGGGCAACAGAGCAAAACTCCGTTTCAAAAAAAACAAACAAACAAACTGTTAAGCTCTCTAGACCTAAATATGCTTATGAAAAACACATTTTGCTGCTAAAAAGGAATGGGACAATAACAAAAAAAGAGAATTCTAGATAAAACTTGTTAGAACAATTTGTCTTGGGAAATTCTGAAATGAAAACCTTTAGTCCTTGACTAAAGAGGTTTCCATCTTTGGAAAATATACCAAATTCAAGATAGGCTGGAATCGAGTTGTACTGTGCATTTGGGTCAGTATGAGAGTCTTGTGCTGATAATTTGTTCCTCTCCTAAACACGGAAACGTTTTATTAAGTCTATCCAAAGGACTTTTGCAATTTTCTAGTCAAATCTCTTCCACGAAGTGTTTGATAAACAGCCATTGACCCTCTTCAGGGTCAATCTGGAGGAGTAGGGAAAGGTGGGAAGTGTGGGGGAGGGTTTCCCATGAAGAAAGCATCTGACCTATGTCTTAGACATAGAGTAGGGTGCCAGTGGATGGAGAAAGGAATGAAGGACATCCCTGGTTAGTTGAATAGCACAACATATTGAGAGAGATGATTGAAACATATTGTGTTTGCAGAAAATCCAGTAATTTTATATTGTGGGGACAAAACTTAGGAAAAGATGTAATGGGGGATAAAGATAGGAAATATATTTTGGGAAAGTGGTGAATTTTCTGCAGGCCACCACAAGGAATTTGAAGTTTATTCTGAAAGCAATGAAGAGTTCAATCAAGCTAATAATGGGAAGCCTCCCACTATTCTTGAAGTTTAAATAAAATTTTCTTTCCTCTGGAGACAGATGAATGAATGAATGACTAAAGGAATCACTGCCACAAGTTTCTTTATTTTTTTAATGCAAAAATAATTTTATTATTCATTGTTTCCATTTTGCACACTGCTTGGGAAAGGGATCCAGGATGAAATGACCCATGGGGTCCAGAGGCTCCTTGTGCTGGAGAATGAGTCTTTCAAAGAGGTATTCACCCAGCCTGCTTGTGGAGGAGGTTAGCCAAGTGGTCATCCAAAAGTGGCCCACACCCTCCAGGGTGACATCTTTCCAGTGGAAATAGAAGTCCAGAGAAAGGTGTAAGAAACCCGCGATGCTGGGGACCTGGTGGTTAACAGTAGTGACCTACACTCTGAGTCAGAGTAATGTGTTGCTTGTGGTGCTCATGGTTGGTTGGTAACAAGGAACTGATACACATACACACACACCCCATAACCCCATGAATACAACAGCAACACAAAGTAAAAGGCATTAACTGATCCTGGAAGCTAGGCCTTAGATGAGAAGATGGTCCTGGAGGTTGCTACTGGAGAGGAGATTGGAGCGTGGTTAGAGATGAAGGGTCAGAGTCCCCAGAGTCTGTGGCATGCAAATACTGTTGAAACAAACAGTGGATCCACTGGACCAGTGCATGTCTTGTGCCTTTGCACACTTTTTTACATGCACGTAACCAAGGATGGCTTCAAGATCATGGCCCAATTATTAATCGAGAAAAAGGGATACATAAAGTAAGAGCATGATGGTGCTTATCCTAGTGGAGACTTCTCCCTTGGTTGCCATAGTCATTGACTAAGCACTTCGTGGGAATAAATGTTCCAATAGCAGAGACTTCCACCATTAGCAGAACCATCAGCTCATATTTATTTCACTGCATATTTCACTCGATTACTTGAAAAGACATATTTTTAGAGATAAACTACACTGGGACAGATATCATAACACCGTAGTTTTTTTTGCTAATTCACATATATTATTTCTGGCCTTTCCAGATATAAAATAGAATAATTATGGCAAGGATAATTGCCACAACTTTAAAGAAAAGGAAACCCGAATTTAAGAGGGATTAAATAATTTGCTTGAGGCTACATAATAAGGGGAACCCAAACCCAAAAGGGACACAAACCCAAATGTTTCCAGTTCTGAGCCCATCATTTTTTCTAAAACGTTACAATAAATCCTAAATATATTTTGATTAAAAATTATAAATGTATATTTTGACAAAATGTGGTCCATCAGAACAGTGAAAGAATGCTGTGCACAGTAGGCAAATACGTTAATTTTTTCCAAATCTGTATTGATACATCAGTCAAATGCATGTAGGAGACAAAGCAGCCTATAATGTTTAACACAGCCAGTGTGGAAAGACTACCTAAAAATGCTGGGAAAATTATTATTTTACTAGGAAACATACTCTTCACCTCCATTTGTCTTTGGAGACATAGCACAAGAAATTTGCCTGAGGAGCAATTTTGTGAAGCAAAAGATGCAGACAAATTTTAAGGAAGCCACAAGAGGCTAGGGAAGAAAAATGCCCAAGGAAATGTCAATAAAACAAATGTATTTAATCTCTGAATGGTTATTTAAATGGAACTTTTCTTCTACTTTGAAGCTTAATAACAGTTTATTGTTTTAAAAAATCTATCTTGATTATGCATAATGACAGGGTATATATCTTTGTTCAATTTCCCTCACTAGGCTCTGGAGGTTAAATCACCCCCATATTCTTTACAATAGTATTTCTTGGTTCAATTCCCCTTTCCCCACAAACAGGGACATTCATAGTGCCATGTGTGTAAGAGGTACCCATGAAATATGTGCTACTGATCTGAAGTCTGACTTAGCTTTATTATCCTGGCAGCAACTGTATATGCCATGAAATGGACAGAGAGGAGAAGTAGCAAACAAACTCCCAGATAATAAAAGACTTCATAATTAGGCACTGAATAGTTGAGAAATATTTGAAATTAAATATAGTTGCCTACAAATATTAAGCTAATTAGTCATGTATTTTTATAACATCCACAATTGTTAACCACAGGCTGAAACAAGTGCTCTATGTTATCATCTTTTCATTTTAAGAAGATTAATCTTTCCTTTTTCTTCCTTTTTTTTTTCTTCAGCACAATAAAGTCTTCATATAAGATGGGGGTAATAATAGAACCTACTTTTTGGTGTAATTTTGAAAATCAAGTGAGATGATCCACTAAAAGTGCGTACCATGTTGACAGCAATGTCAGCGTATTTTGTGGTAGGTTGTTCATATTGGATCCTTATCTTTACCAGGCACTGGCCTAAGTGCCTTACCTAAATTATCTCTTTTTATCTTGACCCGCTTATTTTGGATAGGGTTCATGGTCACAGAGCTAATTAATGTTAATGACAATATTTGATCCTATGTTGTCTCATTTTAGTTTCTTAATTCTTAATACCATAGTGCTTCTCAGTTTGGATATCTGTGACTTGTTCTACTTTCTCTTTGTAAGCAGCAAGCTCAGCTCTGCTGTGTTTTATAACAGTGTTTTATAACATGATTTTCAGATGTAGAAAACACTTAGATCCTTCGAGTTACTTGAGTGAAGTCCTTCAGCAATAAATCATCAATGCAAATATCTCACATTAATGTTAAAATTTGATATGGTTTGGCTCTGCATCCCCACCCAAATCTCACCTTAAATTGTAATCCCCATGTGTCAAGGGAGGGACCTGGTGGGAGGTGATTTGATCATGGGGGTGATTTCCCCCATGCTGTTCTTGTAATAGTGAGTGAGTTCTCATGACAGCTGATGGTTTAAACATGTTTGGCAATACCCCCTCTCCCTTTTGCCACCTTGTGAAGAAGGTGCTTGCTTCCCCTTTGCGTTCTGCCATGACTGTGAGTTTCCAGAGGTCTCCCCAGCCATGTGGAACTGTGAGTCAGTTAAACCTCTTTCCTTTATAAATTTCCTAGTCTCAAGTAGATCTTTATAGCAGTGTGAAAATGGACTAGTACAGAAAATTTATGCTGGGAGTTTGGGGCACTGCTAAGAAAATATCTGAAAATGTAGAAGTGACTTTAGAACTGGGTAACGGGTAGAGATTGGAACAGTTTGAAGGACTCAGAAGAAGACAGAAAAATGTGGGAAAGTTTGGAACTTCCTAGAGACTTGTTGAATGGTTTTGACCAAAATGCTGATAGTGATATGAACAATAAAGTCTAGACTGAGGTGGTCTCAGATGGAGATGAGGAACTTACTGGGAACTGGAGCGAATGTCACTCTTGATATACTTTAGCAAAGAGACTGGCAGCATTTTGCCCCTGCTCTAGAGATCTGTGGAACTTTGAACATGAGAGAGATGATTTAGGGTATCTGGCAGAAGAAATTTCTAAGCATTGCATTCAAGGTGTGACCTGGTTGTTTCTAAAAGCATATGGTCACATGCATTTACAAAGATGATCTGAAATTGGAACTTATATCTAGAAGGGAAGTGGAGCATAAAAGTTTGGAAAATTTGCAGCAGACCATGTGGTATAACATAAAAACCCATTTTCTGGGGAGAAATTCAATCTGGCTGCAGAAATTTGCATAAGTAATGAGGAGCTGAATGGAAACCACCAAGACAATGGGGAATATGTCTCCAGGACATTTCAGAGACCTTCAGATAGCCCCTCTCATAACAGGCTTGGGGGTCTAGGAGGGAAAAATGGTTTCCTGGGCCAGGGACAGGCCCAGGGCCCTGCTGCTCTTTGCAGCTTCGGGACATTGTGCCCTGTACCCCAGCCACTCCACCTCTTGGCCATGACTAAAAGGGGCCAAGGTATAGCTTGGGCTGTTGCTTCAGAGGGTGCAAGCCCCAAGCCTTGGTGGCTTTCATATGGTGTTGTGCCTGTGGGTGTGCAGAAGACAAGAGTTGAGCTTTGGGAACCTCTGCCTCAATTTCAGAGGATGTATGGAAACACCTGGATGTCCAGGCAGAAGTCTGCTGCATGGGAGGAGCCTACATGGAGAACCTCTACTATGGCAAGGCATAGGGGAAATGTGGGGTTGGAGTCCCCACACAGAGTCCCCACTGGGGCACTACCTAGTGGAGCTGTGAAAAGAGGACCACTGTCCTCCAGACCCTTGAAATGCAGATCCACTGACAGCTTGCATTGTGCACCTGGAAATGCAGGCACTCAAGGCCAGCCCATGAAAGCAGCTGCAGGGGCTGCACCCTGCAGGGCCACAGGAGTGGAGCTGCCCAACTCCTTGAAAGACCACCCTTTCCTTGTATCATCATGCCTTGGATGTGAGACATGGAGTCAAGGGAGATCATTTCAGAGCTTTAATATTTAATGACTGCCCCACTGGGTTTTGGACTTGCATGGGGCCTATGGCCCCTTTTATTGGTCTATTTCTCCCATTTGTAATGGGAGAACTTACCTAATTCTTGTACTTTTATTGTATCTTGGAAGTAACTTACTTGCTTTTGATTTTATGTGCTCATAGGTGGAAAGGGACTTGCCTTGTCTCAGGCGAGACTTTGGACTTATACTTTTGGGTTAACGCTGGAATGAGTTTAGACTTTGGGGGACTGTTGGAAAGCATGATTGTATTCTGAAATGTGAGAAAGACATGAGATTTGGGAGGAACCAGAGATGGAAATGATATGGTTTGGCTCTGTGTCCCCACCTAAATGTCATCTCTAATTGTAATCCTCATGTGTTGAGGGAAGGTCCTGGTGGGTGGTGATTAGATCATAGGGGCGGTTTCCCCTATGCTGTTCTCATGATAATGAGTGAGTTCTCAAGATCTGATGGTTTAAAAGTGTTTGGCAGATCCCCACCACCACCACCACCTCTTCTGCTGCCTTGTAAAGAAGGTACTTGCTTGCCTTTTACCTTCCACCATGATTGTAAGTTTCCTGAGGCCTCCCCAGCCTTTTTTCTTTATAAATTACCCAGTCTCAAGTAGCTCTTTATAGCAGTGTGAAAATGGACAAATACAAAATTCATTAAAATACCTCCAAATTTAATATGGAATTATGTTTACATTTAAGTTATCAATATCAAAAGCTCTATCAGTTGTCAATAAATATAACTGGGAATGTCCTAGAAGTAAATGGTTACCCTTTTTCCTTCATTGCTGCAACAAGAAACATTGTTCTGGTGGAACATTTCACAAAATTATGAATGTTTTGAAAGAAAGAAATATGAAATCCCTTGGATTTTACTAATATACACAGTTCTCATAATATACAACTTATTTACCATGCTGGAGAAATAGCAACCATAAAAACAGCTGCAATTAAAATGTTACTAAAGCTTTTGTACAAATGGTAGATTATTAAAAACAAAATGTTATACCGATAATTTAAGGGACAATATTGAGTTTCTGTATTTTTCCCTTTAAAGGCTGTAGGTTTATGCTTGACTAATCCTTTTGACAGTATCCCTGGCAATAATATTTTTTGAAGTAGTTGGTGTTCAATATTTGTAATTTCATGTTTCCCAACAGTCTGTTTTTCCTTGTTTATTTAAATAAAAAACTGTAAAACAGCCACGGGAAAATCGAAGAAATATAAAATCTATCACAGTTTAAGTAATGTGTCTGTGTCAAAGTAAAGAGTTATGTCTGAGGACACAACTGTCTCATTCAGAGGACTACTGTAATTTAAAGAGAATATTTTATTCTACTGAAAGTCATATGGATTATATAAATCCTGCATCCTGCACCTAGCACCGAATCCCAGCTGTTAACATAATATTTAGCTGCTAGTCTAACGCTATTAACACCTAGGAGGATCTCAAAAAATATTTATTGAATGTATAAATTCTGGCTACTTAACAGAAACACTGTAGATGTGTGTGTGTGTGTGAGAGAGAGAAAGTGTGTGTGTGTGTGTGTGTAAGTGTATGTGTATGTGCGGTTTTTAGATGGGAAAGACTAATTTATACACCATCAAATGAAAAAATAAGGTTTTTAAAAAAGGCTTCCGTGGCAAAGGCTTTGAAAGTAAAAGGTTATAAGCAGTTTAGAATCCAAACATGAGTATAAAAGGTAAGTGTGAATGATAAGTTCATACAGTGTAACTGTCTTTTAATGTCCTCTATTTGGATACTTTATTTTGTAGACATTGTTGCCTTAAGATATTTGTTGAAGTATGAATTTTCTGGATAAAATTTAATGTAATTTTTAAAAAAAGTAACGATGCTCAATTACATTGTTTAAACAAGTTTGAACTAGGAAATATGTTATACAAGGATACATATTTTCTCTCAAGACTTCACATATCTGAGCATTTTGCAATTTCTATAGAAAACATCATCTTGTATGAGGAGAGAGGGCATTTTAAACTGCATAGGCAATTCCATCTAGTTTTAAATAGGTTGTGTTTTAGAAGTTTATTTGAAAGTTAATTTTTTGGAAGTTATAACCTATTTTCTTGTGGAAGCAATGTGAGAAATAGGACTTGGATTCCCAGGATGCCAGATGGTGTCATGGCTTGTCCAAGCAATTTAATGTAAAAGCTAGTGCTCTGGAGGAAGAAAGATCAGTATTCAAATTTCCAACTCTCTAAATATTAGTTTCCTTCACTATAAAATTGTGCTAATTATAGCACACACTTCATTGCATCTATGTGGATTAAATGAGGTAATGTATTATTAAGTAAACTGCAGTATTACTCAATTTTTTCAAGGAAGCCATTGTTAGCTATGATTGTCACAAATCCTGTTAAAATCCACATTCCCATTCTATTTTTAATATCTTTATTGTATCCTTTCCCTTTGGGGACCCAGATATTGACAATGTTTAAAAATTATCCACAAAATTCTCTGCTGTGCCAGGTAAGACTTCATGCCTTTCCTTATGTTCTTTTCTCAGCTGGAAATGAATCCATCTACTTTTTGCATTCAGGTCCCAGCTCAAATTGCTACTTCCTCAAAAGACATTTTTCCTATATGGAGAACCGTTAAGAAAAATTCAAATGTTGGAGAAGTGCTAAATGCTAAGCAGAAGTAGTTTTAGAGCTTAAAAAGGCCTTTAGATTTGTTGGTTTTGTCTGCTTTTAGGGGTGGGTGAAGCAGGTAGTCAGTGTAACAGTGGATCCTGGATTAGTAAAGCATCTAACACAGAAGAATGAAGTTACATGGAAATCAAGCTGAAGCTATGTGATGCATAGAACTAAGCCATATATGGGCAGACACATGCTCCAGTTCATTGTTATAATCATGCCATCTAGTACAGGGCTAGCTGTTCATTAACTGACTTGGTTACTTGTTTAAACAGGAGAGATGGAAGGATGAAGGGAGAAAATGGAAAATTAAGTTGTATGGAAATCCAAAAGTCTGTATTAAACTATACTCACTGAAATAAAATGTCACCAAAGGTAATGATTCTACATAAAGTAAAACCACCTGCTTGGTGCCTCTGTTTTATTCTCTGACCTGTGTTCATCTTTTACCTGTTTGTTTTCGACCTAAACAGATACACGTGTGTAAGACAGACTGAAGAAATAAAACAAGATGCAGAATTTATGCAGTCTCAGAATAAGGCATATAAATATAAATAATATTTAATAGTTATTTTATGTTATATATTATATTAATAGCATATTATAAATTAATACATTATAATATTAATATATTAATAATATAATATAGGAATCATATAATGATGTAAAAATGGGGAACTATCAATAAATATTAAAAAGTTGGCTGAAGTGCATTAGAGACAATTTAAAACAAAACAAGTTATTAAAGAAAGATACTGTGGAAAGTGAGCTGTACTGGCAAGATTGCTGAATTTTTCAAATTTCTTATTTCTGTTTACCCTATATTTGCATGAGTATATACTAGGTATACCTGTTCCATGCATATTTTCTTGACTTTTCAGTTATTCTCATTTTTCATCAATAGTTTTGTTGTTTTTGTTAAAATAATACATACTTTTAACAGTTAAAAGCATAGCAAAAATTACTCCTAATACCACTCCTCAAAGCTAACTACCCAATAGTTGGAAAGTTTTCTTCTCATTCTCTCTCTCTCTCTCTCTTACATCGTATCCTTACATACTGCTTTTAATTTGCTTCCTTTCACTCAAAATCTGTTTCAGTATTTATAAGTCATTATAGACATCGTTATCGTCATGGCAACAAAGTATTCCACTGGGTATATGTAAGATAATTTACAGGACAAGTGGCCCATTTCTAAATTGGAAGGTTGCTTCCAATTTTTCTTCAGTATACATTTATTATTCTTTTAAAAACAAGTGCTTTACTTATGCCAGAGATAAGCCCAGCTTAACAGTAATGGAAGATTAAGTAGTCACCCAATTTTTCTAAACTAGAAAGACTAAGCTTCTGAAAGGTATTTATGTTCAGTGGTACTAATGATTAAAAACAAATTAATAAACTAAATTCAAGCCTAGAAACCTCTAAGCTTTCTAATTCGGGTAGAAAAAGCAGAGGGATTTATAGTTTAATCAAGAAAATAATGAGGAAATGGAGGGATAATCACTTAGACCTAGAATCATTCATCTATCTAACTTGTGAAAATGTGTGTGTGCATGTGTTTGTGTGTGTGTGTGTATTCAGCTTTCTGGAAAGATGAAACAATAAAACATTATTTGAAAAGCTGAAGCAATGAACATAGAGCAAAGTACTGCCTGTATCTTTGAAAATCTGAAATGCTATTATGGAGAAAAATATTAGCATCTGGCTTGCCTGATGTATTAATGTATTAATAACAGTACTAAAATAAAAACTTAGAAACTCCATCATGGAAATTAGGTAACAACAAACTTGTTTAAATGAGACATTAATGCAGATACTTCAAGGAGGACTAACTAATGCATGTGTTTTAAGACATTTTAAAGATAAGGGTTTGCTTTCATAAAACTATATTTTCTTGGCCAGGCGAGGTGGCTCACGCCTGCAATCCCAGCACTTTGGGAGGCGGAGGTGGGCAGATCATCTGAGGTCAGGAGTTTGAGACCAGCCTGGCCAACATGGCAAAACGCTGTCTCTACTAAAAAATGCAAAAATTAGCCGGGCATGGTGATGCACACCTGTAACTCCAGCTACTCAGGAGGCAGAGGTAGGAGAATCACTTGAACTCAGGAGGTAGGGGTTGCAGTGAGCCGAGATCGTGCCACTGTACTCCAGGCTGAACGACAGAGCAAGACCCTGTCTCAAACAAACAAACAAACAAACAGAAAAACAAACAAAAAACTATATTTTCTCAAGTATATGCTCTATTGAATTGTTATTCAGAAATATTTTTTAGTCCAAGAAGATTGTCTAAACGCTGTCAGTGTAGCAGTGTAGTTGGGTATGAATATTTGCAGGTAATATTCTGCAAATATCTAGAATGCCAGATATCAAATCTAATTGATGTGACTCAGTTTGATTCATTCTCAAAATATTCTGATTCACTTAAATAAGAAAGAGGAAAACAAAAGAGCAAACAAAAGATGAAAATCAAATCTTGACAAGAACTACAATAACAAGTACAGTCAGAGCAATTTTTCCTGGTCTTAAAATGAGAAGGCAATGGTAAGCCACATTTATTTTTTGCTCTAATTTGCAATTCCTCATTTAAGAAATAATTTCACATTTCATTTCAAACCATCATTATAAATATTCATATCTCTTGTGTGGCAATTTGGAATAGAGTAGGGTGGTGGGGGTGAAATAAAAGCTTTAACTCAATATTAAAAATCATGTTTTTTATCACAAGGCTTTTCAATTTCAAAACACTAGGTGAACATCTTTATTTACCCTTATAACTTTCATAGCTCAATGCATGTAGTTATAGAATAAGAAAACTCCAGCCAGGCGCAGTGGCTCATGCCTGTAATCCCAGCACTTTGGGAGGCTGAGGTGGGCGGATCACTTGGGGTCAGGGGTTCGAGACCAGCCTGGCCAAAATGGTGAAACCACATCTGTACTAAAAACACAAAAATTAGCTGGACGTGGTGGCACATGCCTGTAATCCTAGCTACTCGGGAGCGTGAGGCAGAATTGCTTGAACCTGGGAAGTAGAGGTTTCAGTGAACCGAGATCACACCACTGCACTCCAGCCTGGGCAACAAAGTGAGACTCCGTCTCAAAAAAAAAAAAAAAAGAATAAGAAAATTCCTTTGGGAAGAGGAGGGTCAGATACACACTAGCAGACTTAATTAAAACTCATATTGTCTTATTTTCCATTTTTCTAGCCCACCAAATTATATTGACAATGCTTACTTTTCCTAGAAAGGAATTTTACATTTTTGGTAAATGTCAGTTTTGTACGTTTCCTTAAGGGGTAACTATTACTAAAGGCTATTTTACACACACATATGCGTGCACACACACACACACGGGATTCTCAGAAGATAGTAGTTTATGGCTATATTCCAACTCTTCCATTCTGCACATGGCTTTCCCAAGGGGACTGTTTACTTTATAATTATGCTGTTATGGGCAACTGCTTTAACCAGGTGCAGTGGAAATTTTTCTTCCTTTCATGATTGCTAAGCCAGCCACCCCCTCACACATGTGGCTGCACATGTTTCTGTGAACATCAATTTGATCGTACATCTTCAGATGTAGTTCTTGTCCTTCATGTCTTTTCACGCTTGATGATCTTTGGTTTGTTTCCTTTCTTCCTATGATTTCTAGTGCTATCTCTGTATGAACCAAAGGTGCCCAATTCAAATTGCCAACCATATCTCTGTCCTGAATACTCAGATACATGTATTAATATCCAAATGTCCCTTAATATCTTAACTTCCATCAGACAGCTCAAACTCAACATGTTAGAATTTTATATATTACACACATACAATATCTCCCCTCTCCTTTTGTTTTCACAATAACATGGCTCTTTTGCTATATCCTTATCTCAGCGAATGTCACCTTTATTTATGTAGTACCTAAAATTAATCTGAAAGCATAGCTCCATCTTCCTTGTCTCTTACAGCCAATTAATTCACCCTCCTTAACATCTTTGCGATCTTTTTCTTTCCCTATATCATAAACGTACAACAGAACCTTGTAGAATTTTGCTTACTTTACTGCCATAACCTCCAAAATATTCATTTCCTTACAGCGCAGCTCTTTTCCAATTTATTTTCATACTCTACTCATCCACAGTGGTCTTTCTAACACACAAACCTTGGATTCTAAATTTAGCTAACATTCCTCTGATTCAGTAAGTTCCTTGAGTTTACCACATTTGATTCAACTTTGTATCTCTAATTTCTAGATGAATACAGGATAAGAGGAAGACTTACTAATTCATTCTCTTATTCATTCATTCTCTTTCTATTGAACACCTTCTGTGATCCAGGAACCATGACCTATACGGGGTATCAGATGTAAATAACACAGATGAAGCCCCTGTTTTGTGAAAAGATCATGTGATATGACAGAAAGTAAACAGAAGTGGCTATTTTACATAGTTTTATCAGAGAAGGATCCTCTTTTGACAAAACATTGGGGTTGGACTCTTAAGGGTGGGAAGGATTCAGTCTTGAAAAACAAAAAGGAGACAGTGTATCTGGAGCATGGTGGGCTAGAAGGGAGGTTGCAGCAAGGTCAGATTGCCCAGATGGGAACAAGCTAGATGTCAGAGGCATTCAATACACCTTCATTCCCTTCCTGGCTGAATGAATATAAATAACCAGGTGGGGAGCTTCTTCATTTTTTGACTTGGTCAGCTAACATAGCAGTCCTCAACCTTGTTGGCTCCAGGGACCAGTTTCATGGAAGACAGTTTTTCCACGGACGGGTTTCCGGGGTTTGGTTTTGAGGTGTAAATGTTCCACCCCAGATCATCAGGTATTAATTAGATAGATTCTCATAAGGAGAAACCTAGATTCCTCTCATGAGCAGTTCACAATAGGGTTTGTGCTTCTATGTCAATCTAATGCCTCATCTGATCTGACAGGAAATCTTTACCTCCTGCTGTGTGGCTCAGTTCCTAACAGGCCACTGACAGGTACCGGTCAGTGGGTTGAGGATATTTGAGCTAACAGACACAAGGAGAGGTTCTTGCTGGTCATTTCAAGCTATTGCCTTTACATTTCCATGGGATACTGCAATCTGCTTTCTGTTTAAAAGTAGCCACTGGGGATTAGTGAGCTCCATTGTCTTTTGGACAGTTGATTGGGAACCTGCAAGGCCAAAAATGAAGATGTCAGCAATTCTGTGTGATAGTTAAAGTGGATCCATCTAACGATTTATTTCTCCAAGTCTTTTAAAAGCCTTAAGTGGAGACTCAGAAGCATGATTTCAGTGTGAATTAGCATCAGGGAAAAAACATATTCTTCCTTTGTTTTGATTCATGCTAAAGGGCCTGATTTCACATTAGATCAAAAATGTCCTGATTTTTTTTAAAGCAGTACCAAGTTTAAATATGCTCTCTATTGTCTGCATAAACTTACAAAAGTGTTCCAAAATTTAAATATTTCCGTTTATTAGCGGCATCTTGAACTCCTTCTTATAGGCAGAGGCAGGGCCATTCCATTGGGATAAGCAAGTCACTATGATGAAGACAAAATTGCAAACTGTTGTTGCATAGACAAATACATCCATTTCCATAATGAAAATAATCAGTACCATGCTGCATAGTATACTTAACCGAATTTGGTTAGACAAGTTTGAAGGTGAGTGAGAATGAGGTTCTATTTGACGTAGTGAAATGGAGCCAAACAAATCTATTATTCTTGCCTCTAACCTGTGGGAAGAACTTCAACTCCTCTGAGCTTTAGACTTATGAACCTATTTTCTTTAATGCAGTATTCTGCAAATTTGCCTGGTGATAAAAGTTACCTATGGTAAGACTTATGTTTTACATTCTATAGTTTCTCTTGAGATCACAAACTGTCTAGGGGAAGGATTGGGGAAGTTAGGTATTTAATTCCTTGAATTATTTTCATAATCTGAAAACTTGGGGACCCACAAGCCTTATGTAAATATTTAGAAATTCTGTAATTAATCCCTGAAAATTCTAAGGTTCATCAGTTTGAGAAACATTGATTTAAGAACCTAAACACTTAAAATAACGATAGGCTTAGTTAGAGAATTTCAAGAAACAGCATTAATATACTTACCTCTTAAGAAAAGACAATGGAAATCCCAGAAAATCTCTCCTTTCATGGTGAATTCCAATCTTTATGGCATTTCATCATGGAGGTAAAGGACACATTCTAGCTGTATTTTTTGTTTTTTACTAATTCTTAGAGCCTATTAGTACCGAAGTCTTTTTAAAGTGAATTGTACAATAGGCTTTGGGCTTTATGCACATAAGTTACTTTGTTACTGCAATGTCTTGCTATCCTGACTTCCTAAAAGAGCAGTGTTTGTTTTTTATATTACCATCCTAACTTCATTTACTCTGCCACCACTCAATATATTATCTAATTTGATATTTATAAAATGTTGTAATACATAAGCTATTTTAAATTAAATTTATAATGCTAAAAAAGAAACTAAAGACATACTTTTAAAATGTCTTCAACATGCTAATTATCACTGAAAAAGAGTAGTTTTGCCTTTAAGCCTGTTAAAATTGGTTTAAGTCTTACCTGTACAGTAAATAGTAAAATTTAAAAAATTCTCAGAGAATTCACAAACCCCTAGGAAAATATGGTACAATCTTTGGCTTGAGAAACTAAATTTGAGCCCATAACCAAATCATGACAGTGGATTTATTGTTGCATAATTACTTTCAAACTTTTTATTGTCTAATATCCTAATTTCCCATTCTAAAGAAAGCCAAGTTGTCCTAATGAACACAAAATTAACATTTTGGACTATCTAATATATGTCAATATATACCTAATATATTTAGGTCTAGCTCCATATATGTTATCACATAAGTTTGATAAAAAGGTATTTCAATTAACTGATTTTATTTTTTGTGTTTTTCTCTGGGAGAAAGAGACAAGTCACTGGAAAATGAGTATGTGTGTAGTAGAACAACTTCTGGAGCAGTTGGAAGTCCAAAACCTCTGCCAGGCGCGGTGGCTCATGCCTGTACTTCCAGCACTCTGGGAGGCCAAAGTGGGCGGATCACTTGAGGTCAGGAGTTCGACACCAGCCTGACCAAAATGGTGAAACCCCATCTCTACTAAAAATACAAAAGTTAGCCAGGTGTGGTGGCGGGCACCTGTAATCCCAGCTGCTCAGGAGGCTGAGGCAGGAGGATCACTTGAACAATTGCAGAGAGCCAAGATGGTGCCACTGCACTCCAGCCTGAGTGACAGAGTGAGACTCCATCTCAAAAAAAAAAAAAGTCCTAAACCTCACTCTCCTTTGATTTTTACACCCAAAAGGAAGGATGATTGTTTATGTCCAAAGTAAAGATTTTTTGATTATGAAGTTCTTAAACATCAAGGAAAGCACCATATAGAATTTAATTGATTGCTCTGATCCCATATATTGCTAAAAGATTTTCAGGGATGATTTTACTATTTCCTTGCAGTCTTTAATTTTTCTATACATGGTTTTCATGTAGTTTAGATCTATCTAGCTAGCTAGTTTTCTCTCCTACTTTCTTTGTGTCCTTTTCTCCTTTCTTACTTTACAGTGTATTTTTCTTTTCAAGAGCACCTGTGATTTCTGAATCAGGTATCTTATGTATTTCTGAGACTTCAGAAAATCTAGGATATGGAGGAGGGGAACTGAAACTTTGACTGAAAAATGCGATTTTAGGCTGTTATAAGCAATTAAATTACGTACTAGTTAGTTGTCTCTCCAAACAAGGTTATGATTAATAATATTTAGCTTTCCATTTTTATATAGGATATAAAAAAGATGAATTGTTCTAGGCCATGCAGTATGTATTTTATAGCATACTCTTGATCTTAGATCTGTCACTAAAAAAACAAATGAATATATGTATAAATTAATATGAGTGTTAGGTCCTTGAATAAGAATGAGATATATATTTTCTCCCCTTTTGGCAATCTCTATCACAGAAATGGGCCAAGTTGTCACCACATTTAGTTCATGGGAAATTTGTTTTCTTTTGAAAGTGCTACTCTAGTTTTGTCGTATGAAATAACAACAATTTGTATTTAATTAGTCTAGTACTTCAGAATAGGCCTTCAACTGTTTCAACTATTTGGAAAAGTCACTCTAATTTTTGTTATCCCAGAAAATCTTTGTATTCTATTAAGAACTAAAATATAATTTGCCAGTCCTTTTATTATTACTATTGTTTTTTTAAAACTGCAAGATATGGTCATGAGTATCTGGAAATGGCTCAGAAAATTAAAAATTATAGCTAATAATATTGCATTATTTCTCACATGGTTACATTAAGAACTCACATGATACTAGGTGCCACAAGTTTTACAGAAAAAAAAGGCCCCTAAAACAAATTTGAAAGAGCAGTTTCTCAGTGATTATTAAAAGAATAATACACTTAAAAATAATTGTGTAATGATAATTTTTAAATATAAAAGTGATATTTAACAAATTCAGCTAAATCACAGTTCTATGAATAATTTATTTCCTATGTGAATTCATTAAACATATAACTCAATACTCATTTAGTCCTTGCTTAGCTAAGTTGACCAAATTCTCATGTAGCAATATTAGAAATGGCTTTTTGTTATTTGGTAGTTTGGCATTTAGAAAAAAAATTTCAAAGTAACACTTTTCATGCTATCTACTGGCCACTCCATGCTGGATTTCAAGAAAAAAAGACAAGATTTCCATACTTGACCTCTTTTTTTTAAATATATGTCAGCTTTGGATTATTTACTCTATCAACAAAAATATCCAAAATCATAGGTAATTTAAAATATTCGAATATTTGGTTTTTGAATCTGCAGCTTCACTTTGTGAAGTTACTTCCCAGATCTTCCCAGATCAGAAAATGCCATCCTGTGGAGATCTGAATTAAAAAAAGGAAGAAAGTTATACAGTTTCTCATTTTTAAAACATTCATGTTTTGTTATAGAAAATTTGGAAAATATAAAAAGAAGAATTAAGAGAAAAAAGTACTGTCAATTTTACTATTCAAAGTCAGAAGCATTTAATCTTCAGTACATGTTCTTCTAACATATTATCTAAGTCTACCTTTAAAGACTTTTAGAGTTGGGTGTAAGCAATATGAAACTCTGCTTTTCTTCCCAGCACACACCATATTTTCCCCATATTGTTATACATTTCTCACATATATCATTTTAAATATCTGCAAAATATTTCATTGGGTTGATGTCCCACAATTCATTTAATCTTTCCTCTATGCTGGACAATGAAAGGACCTGTAATATTATATTATTTTTTATACAGCTTTGCTATTCTGTCATTGACTTGTTGCATTTCTCTGTGACTCTATATGTTATTCATGAGAGTTCAAGTCCTTGGGAAGATAGAGCTATCAATAAATTTTAAAATGAGATTTTTCTCAATTAAAGTCAAGTGGAGTTATCAGGTGATGATAATGGAAATTGCTTATTCTTATTGAAAGATAATATTCGATATAATTGAATTATTACTGTAAAGGTTGGTATATCAATAACCAATCTCAAAATCAGTGTCTTGAAAATTATGTATAAAGCAATATAACCTTAACTGAATGGCAAAAATTATATGTACCTAGTAGATGTCCTAATTTGAATTATATATGATTATATTTTATCTAAATGCTTGAGGTTGAATATTGTCATGTTGGGTATTAAACAAATCCCAGCCAAAAATAATAGTCGGAACCAATTTCTGTACCTCATAGACTCTGTAATGTCTATGATCAGACTGGGATGCAGTGGGGATGGACAGTAGACTGTGCATTTTCTTATGTGTCTGGGGTGCTGAATCCAAGAGAGGTTACACTGTTATCTGTTGAAATAACAGCTGGAAACAGAGAAAGGGTTATTGATCCTTTCATCAATAAATCACGTGTAAACAATGTAAGCTCCTTGAACTGAGAGGGGAAGATTATGATATCTAATTTCCAGCTTACCTCCTCAAGGAGAGCGGGATCATTCACTAAATATGTGCAAAGGAAGTTTCAATTCTGAGCTGACTTCCAACATTTTTTTCAGGGAAAATATTATCTCTATTGTTTTATGTCTATGACAAACAGCCTTTACTGTAGCTCTTCCTTTTAATTTCTCTTTCTCTTGTTCCTTCTCTTCTTCTGCCAGCTTCTTCTCTTCTTTCACCTTCTATGCCTCATTTTCCTTATCTTCTTCCTTTATTGAACATGACTTTCTTTGAGAGACTCCAATGAGAGTTTCTTAAAAATAAAACCCAGTTCTTAAAAGGCAAAAAAAAAAAAAACCCCTCAAAACTTCCTCCTGTACCATTTTTCTTGACAATGGAAATTGAATACATCTATATTAGTCCATTCTCATGCTGCTAATAAAGACATACTTGAGACTGGGTAATTTATAAAGGAAAGAGGTTTAATTGACTCACAATTTCACATAGCTGGAGAGGTCTCACAGTCATGGTGGAAGGTGAATGAGGAGAAAAGTCACATCTTACATGGTGGCAGGAAAGAGAGCTTGTGCAGGGAAACTCCCATTTATAAAACCATCAGATCTCCTGAAACTTATTCGCTACATCAAGAACACTATTGGGAAACTGCCCAAATGATTCCATTGTCTCCCACTGGGCCCCTCCCATGACATGTGGGGATTATGGGAACTACAATTTAAGATGAGATTTGGGTGGGGACACAGCCAAACCATATCAACATCTAAGGCATGTCCTACTGGGCAAAAGACTTCTGTCAGCACTGGGTCTCTGGTAGTATTAGAATTGCTAGACCTGGCCAGTGGATAGAACTACTATGATAGGTGAGAGATCCAAGACTGATTTGAGCAGTAGCCAAAAAGAAGAGGGATGGGCATTGCAGGTTGTTGAGGAGGATCAGCCTGTTTTGTAAATGCAGCAGGTGATTCAACCAAAAGTCACTGAATACTTGATACCATCTAAAGATTTCACTAAATGATGGGCCATAGTTTTTGACAAGTTAGCAAGGCACAGAGAAAAGGAATTTAAGAACAGGTATTAATAGAGTAAAAATCACAAGGACTGACGTTCAGCCTTAAGGCGCCTGCATACAGAGAAAGAGAGTGAGGAGCAAAGCAATCACAAGTTTAGATGAAAATGCACTTATGGATGTATTTATTTCCCAGTACTTTTGTGCTGATTACACCATAATTGCATAATGTTTTATTACCTATTTAGAGTTTTCAGAAGATTTTGATGACAGAAATATGTCATTATTTATGTCTAATTAACTATACTATCATTGCTTGGGATCTCAATATAATTAAAATGAAAATCTAATCAGAAATGAATGTGTGCACACTGACTTGGTAAAATATTTTTGTGTAAATGTAATAAACAAGTCACAGTTAACTCAGGATGTATTTGTGTTCCTCTGTACCAAAGTAATAAGAAAAAAAAATAAGCAGGTAGCAAGCTTCAGATAGATTCTTTTGTATCGTCAGTTAATTTCAAAATGTGATTATATTTGCAAGTGAAAATAAGTTAAATATCAGAGAGTGATTAGACTACATCTAGTTATGCATCTTTTGGTTATCCAAGAATGAGCTGTGAAAGGTATGCTACTTGAATGATGCACTGAGCATTTACTTTAGTACTATTCTAATGTGTAATTATAGATAGTTACATCCCAAGACAAGTTGTTGTCTTTTTGAAAAGAAATCAATCAAGTACCAACGCATCAATATCAAGAGTATTGTACCCTTCATCAAAATGAGCCATTGCCTAAAGAAGATAGGTATTGGTAGTGAATTTATTTTATCATTTAGATGATCTTGAAGAATCTTGGTTATTTTGATAACACACTTTATTTTACTCAATCATATACTGACTATAGTGAGGAATCTAAACGTTCTTGGGAGAATTGGCGTTAGGATGTGGAGGGCTAGAAAGAGCTGGATGTTTCTTACCATCATAATTGACATACGCCCTTCATTTCTTAGAATAGGAATTAGAATAGAATGTTACTGATATTTCAGACTAAGGATTTTATCATAATAGTGCTTAGTCTGTTATGAGAATTTTCTTCCTGCAGGATATTCTCCTCATCCCTATCTTCAAAACAGAAGTAGATTCCTCTCAGTGTTCAAAAGTCAGTATTTTTTAATGGAGGAAAATAAAAATTATCAGTCGTCATCAAAAAGAGCAGCATTACATATCTGTACAGTTTTTGTTTTATGTTTGGGTTGAATAAAGAAAAGATCAAGCCAGGGTCTTTCCTTTGATAATTTATAACTTAGGGCATCTTTTGATAGTGTAGCTATATACTGAAAATGTTTCATGCAGGTTGAAACAATTATCTATGGGGTGTAGAATTTTCAATTACATGTCTACATAATTGAGTTTGTTAATTGTGTTCTTTAAATATTGTCATTAGTAATGTTTTGACTTCCTAATCTGTCCATTTATAAAAAATATAATTATACTTCCAATTATAATTGTAAGTTCTATCAATTTCTTGTAATTCCATAATTGTTACTTTATGTATTTTGAGTCAATTCTTTCATGTGTTTACATGTAAATGATTATTTTATTTTCTTAGTGTTCTTTTATTTTCATTATATGATGTCCTCCTTATTAACAAATTTGCTTATAATTCAATTTTTATTATTCATTATTATTGGTTACTAGTTATTGTAGTCCTGGAGAATCTTTGTCAATCTCTTCATGTTAAATTTCCCATGTCATTTTTAGGGTGTGTTTTTTGGAGCCAGCATCTAGCTAGATTGTGTTTGCTTATTGTGTTTACTGGTTTATCTTTTTATTATGTATGTCATTTTGTTTTATGTTTTTACTTTATTCTTTCTTTCCAAGGATTACTGTTAGACGTATGCTAGAACTTCTCAAGGTATTGTTTTTGACTTGTTTTTTAAGATTTCTATTTTATCTTTTTGGCCTATATTCTAGATGATTTTTTTCTATATCATCTTTGAGTTTACTAATTTTTTCTTCACAATACTTCAGATTGGAGTTTGTCTCATACTTATGTTCTCAATTTCAGTGAATTAATTTTATCATTTCTTAGGATTTCCAGTTTGTTCTTTAAATTTATCCATTCTTGAATCATTACTTAAAGTTGATTTTATAATTTATTGTTCTGTTTTAATGAATGCTTTCTTTCAATTTTGCTCTGTAAGAATGTTAAACATACTTATTTTAAAAATAAAAATGTTTTCACGTTGCATATTTTTATCTTATTTGAGATAAATTAGTCAGCTTTTTATTTATTTATTTATTTTTACAGGGAGGATTGCACTCTGTTGCCCAACTGGAGCACAGTGGCACAGTCATAGCTCACTACAGCACTGAACTGCTGGGTTCAAGTGATACTCCCATCACAGCCTCTTCAGCAGCTGAGACAATGGGAGACGCTACCACCTCTATCTAGTTTTTTAACTTTGTGGCAATGGGGGTCTTACTTGTTGCCCAGGCTGGTCTTGAACTCTTGGCCTCAAATGATCCTCCTGCCTCAGCCTCCCAGAGTGTTAGGATTGCAGGCATGAGCCACCATGACTAGCCCAGCTGTTTTTTCAATGTTGTTGGCTATCTGCCCATTTATTTATTTATTTATTTATTTATTTTAAGACGGAGTCTCACTCTGTTGCCAGGCTGGAGTGCAGTGGCACGATCTCGGCTCACTGCAACCTCCGCCTCCCGTGTCCAAGCGATTCTTGCCTATTTATTATTTATAGCTTGTATTAAATGGGAGATTTTATTTTTATCTCACATGCCTTTACCCACTTTTCATTGGTAGTTTTAAAGTTGCCTCCAGCCAAACACTTCAGAACTTCCAAATGATAGCTAAGTCTTATTTTTAACTCTGGACTCTGGTGCCTCAGAGATACTGATGACATAGAGAATCTAGTCACTAAGCTAGTTTATAATATGGCCCACACCTTGGCCTGTAGACTATGTCTTCTTGCTTCTGCTTCTCTTGTTCACTAGAAGCCTTAACCGCAGGCAGAGTTTGGACACAGATTGGGAGACCTGCCCAAGCCTTGAGTATGATGAGATTTGTCTTATTGACCAACCTGGCATGGATCACTTCTCCATGGATAGTTTCTTTTATTCTTTGAGTTGGGAATTCCCAGCCAACTTTGTAGAAACCAAGCTTGGCTGGCCTACGTCTATAGTTCTGCTGTGTTACTGTGCTAGAGATGATCATCTTATTCTATTTCTCAGTTATTTATTTTTTCATTTTTTTACACTTGCATTTTCCATTTACTGTGAGTTAGAAGAAACAGATCTCAAAACACAGAGGTATATAATGCGATATTGTCTACAGCAGCACTGTCCAATATGCAATCCATTAGACACATGTGGCAATTTAAATTAAAATTATTCAAAATTAAATAATATTGAAAATTTAGGTTCTTAGTCTTATTAGTCACATTTAAGTTCTCAATAGCCAGTTAGGGTTGTTAGCTACCATTCAGAATAATGCAGATATATAACACTTTTATCTTCATAGACAGTTCTCTTGGGTAGCTCTAGTTCATGGTATGAAACTAAATACTGAAAAGATAAAAAAAGAGTCTGCAGGTATTTAACCTTTTGTGAGGCTATTAGAAGCCCTGAAGCTCACTGAATTAATACATATAGTTCCTATTTCTGTGGGATCGGTGGTGATATCGCCTACTCATCTGACAAAGGGCTAATATCCAGAATCTACAATGAACTCAAACAGATTTACAAGAAAAAAACAAACAACCCCATCAAAAAGCGGGTGAAGGATATGAACAGACACTTCGCAAAAGAAGACATTTATGCAGACAAAAGACACATGAAAAAATGCTCCTTATCACTGGCCATCAGAGAAATGCAAATCAAAACCACAATGAGATACCATCTCACACCAGTTAGAATGGCGATCATTAAAAAGTCAGGAAACAACAGGTGCTGGAGAGGATGTGGAGAAATAGGAACACTTTTACATTGTTGGTGGGACTGTAAACTAGTTCAACCATTGTGGAAGTCAGTGTGGCGATTCCTCAGGGATCTTGAACTAGAAATACCATTTGACCCAGCCATCCCATTACTGGGTACATACCCAAAGGATTATAAATCATGCTGCTATAAAGACACATGCACACATATGTTTATAGTGGCACTATTCACGATAGCAAAGACTTGGAACCAAGCCAAATGTCCAACAATGATAGACTGGATTAAGAAAATGTGGCACATATATACCATGGAATACTATGCAGCCATAAAAAATGATGAGTTCCTGTCCTTTGTAGGGACATGGATGAAGCTGGAAACCATCATTCTCAGCAAACTATCGCAAGGACAAAAAACCAAACACTGCATGTTCTCACTCATAGGTGGGAACTGAACAATGAGAACACACGGACACAGGAAGGGGAACATCACACACCGGGTCCTGTCGTAGAGTGGGGGAAGGGGGGAGGGATAGCATTAGGGCATATACCTAATGTTAAATGATGAGTTGATGGGTGCAGCACACCAACATTGCATGTGTATACATATGTAACAAACCTGCATGTTGTGCACATGCACCCTAAAACTTAAAGTATATAAAAAAAAGAAAGAAAAAAGAAAAAGAAAAAAATTAATACATATAACAAGATATACACAGACTATGTAATAATTGGATTGTGAATCTATACGTTTTCTTTTCAACATGTCTGTAGTAGCGTACTATGAATTTTCCCCTGAAATATAATCTTATAGTTTTGCAGCCAGAACATCTGGGTGCAAATTCTATCCCTTCCCCTCACTAACAATTTCATCACTGGCTAGACACCTAACTTCTCTGAACTTCCACTGTCTCATTTGAAAATTAGGATAAGAGCCGTTTTGCCAACTTTGTGTGATCCTTGAAACGTAGTATGTTCTATTAAAGTGGTTTTCTCGATTAATTAAAAGTGTTCCTTTTTGTATTTAAAACTTTTTTTTTTTTGAGACGGAGTTTCGCTCTTTGTTGCCCAGGCTAGAGTGCAATGGCGCAATCTTGGCTCACTGCAACCTCCGCCTCTCAGGTTCAAGTGATTCTCCTGCCTTAGCCTCCTGAGTAGCCGAGATTACAGACATGTGCCACCACGCCCGGCTAATTTTGTATTTTTAGTGGAGATGGGGTTTCTCTATGTTGGTCAGGCTAGTCTTGAACTCCTGTTCTCCGGTGATCCTCCTGCCTCAGCCTCCCAAAGTGTTCAGATTACAGGTGTGAGCCACTGTGCCCAGCCTTAAAACTTTACATTAAAAAAATCTTGCTTTCCATCATGTCTTCTCAAGTCACATAATGTTTATGCTAATTCTATTTGAATATTGGGAATATTCATGTTTAGCTATTTTAATAGAGACTTAATTTTGAGTAAATGAGAAAAGTGTAATAACTTCATTCCAAAACAGGTATGCCTATGGATAACCTGGTTCTTTGGACTAGAGGGTACTAATGAAGGTAATGGTGGTGATAATGATGGCATTCCACTGCAGAATCTCCCAATTGTAGGCTTAGTGGATGAGGTATATGTATTTCCAACCCTCAGCCTAATCAATTTAAACCTATAGTTTTTTTTTTTCACAGTGTTTAGCACCCATCACACAATAACTAATTCATTTTTATTAGACATAGTAAGCCAAACTATGAAGCTGAAAGCTGAAGCCATCAAAAGGATTTGGCTCTAATAGTTGTATTTGTCTTTATAAATGTACAGTTTTGTCAGTCTTTTTTTTTTTTTGGTAAAACAGCTTAACATAAACATTTTTATCAAGACATTTACATTTTAAAATAATAAATTTGTTTAACATTGTGCTCTATGTCACCATAACAAAATATCTATATTCATTCCTGAATCATTTTATTTACTTACTAGAAAAGAGAATCTCTAATTGTGTAATAAAATGCTAATTTTGAGTGTAAGTAAATGATAGTAATTTTTAAATGATGCTATTTATTCTACTTTAAAAATCTGCCTACTTCTACATATTTTTGCTCATTAAAAACATTTATTTCTCCTCTATGAAACTGGACCATGTACTATTCTAAGATTTATCATTTATAGACTACTTTTAATGAGATTTACTTAAGTCTTTATACTTATAATATGTGGTGATTTGTTTATAGCAGCTGGTTCTTGTAACTATTACCCAATTGTGGTGACATATTCTTTCTGCTTTCAGCTTTTTATGTTATTTATGATTCTGAGTATAACTTTATTCTGAAAAATGAATAGTAAAATGAAATTTTACTTGTAAAATATCTTCCATAATTGGGACAATGAAAGGAAGAGGGCATCTACCAATGATGTTAATGTGATGGAAGGAAACAAACATATTTAAATATTTAAACCAAAATCAAATATTTTATTTATATATTTATAAAGTATAGCAAAACCTTTTCACTTCTTACTATTTCTACTCTGTCTTACATTTTTACTACCAGCTACTGTTATCTCTGGCCTTGAGTGTTAGAATAGACTTTTGTCTATTCTTCCACTCCTGTGAAAAGCACTCTTTCAGGCACTGAGAATATCAACTTAGCAAGACTGGCATAACCCCTAGTTATGAAGCTCAGAATATTTCATGGGATGAGTCTAGGCACCTGAATGTGTAGCAAGTTCCTAAGCTGATAGGTTATTTAACAGAAATATTTTGAAAAATATTTCTCTAGAGTGATGATTCGCAAACTTAGTAAACATAGGAATCACTGAGGATCATTGCTAATCAGATTAGATCGCTAAGATTTACCCCTGATTACTATTGGAAAACATGCAGGAAAGGGTCTTGGGAATCTACACTTTTAATTAGATCTTCAGATATTCTAATAATCAGTAGAGTTTGGGAAACACTGCTCCTGAAGCTGTAAGCAAGTCATAGCTGGCATGGATTAGGGCAGCGAAGCTCAGCTGAAAACTGTACCAAGGGTACCAAGAGGCTTCCTCCTGGCTTTCAGAGGAGTAGCCCCTGGGGCCTGGGAGCTGCAAGGCCAAGTCTAGACATGCAGCCTTAAAGTGGGAACAGCTGATAAACCAGAAGGCGGAGGCTTGCAACACAAAGAAATATCTCTTGGATGCTCAGCCCTCCAGGGCAATAACCATAGTCCAGAGCTATCCGGTAAAGAAGAAACCAAAAAGCTCTGAGGCATAGCACCCCTAAACCAACTTACCCAGGAAGCTAGAAGGAGCAGAGGTGTTTTCCCCCAGGGCTGAGAAAGCCAAACTGAACTGGTGGTTACTGTTCCAAAATTTGAATCAACCTAGAGGTAAAGAATTCCATGGGGTGCTTTCTAGTTGGGGAAAGTGGTAGAAGGGGTGAAGGCTAATATTTACTAAGTTATGAGATTCTTGTATATGTTGTCTTTTAATCTTCACAGGAATTCTGCAAGGCAAGTATGTTTATCGCCCAGTTTTACAAATGAGGCAACTGAAACACAAGAAGTTCACTTTTCCCAAACTAAGTTTTCAATTGAAAGTCTACTCCCTATCTGTTGTCTTTCTTGTAGTGAGGGCTCAAGACACAGTCCCTAACATATCAACTATCTGGTTTTTAACCCCAGAATGAAGGTTTTCAATATTTATATTAATTGATTTTTTATTAGATTTTTGGGGAAGACATTAATATAACATGCTTTTTTAATATGGCACCAAATGACTATTTCCAAGAAATAGTCATATAGATAGTGAATCTTGCCCAGATGGTCTAACTATTCCATTCAAATAACTATGGCTCCTTCTTGACTATAATCTCTAAGATCTTGTCTTGTAGTCTAGTTTTAGTCTGTGTTTTGTAATTGCCTATTTATTAATGATGTCTGTATCATAAAATTAGAATTGTGAAGTTAACATCTAATTTTCAGTTTGATGGAGAGAATTTATGTATAAATAATAGTGAAATTAAAAAATCCTAACTAAACATAGATATTTATAGTAAAATATTGTACATACAGGGATATACTTTCTATGAAGAGTGATAAGAATATCACCTTTTAATTTCATTTACCAGAAACTTCTAAATAAGTAAAACCTTGGAAAATTTAGTTTTCTATAAAAAGAATTTTACAAGAAGTTTTCCAGGCCACTGAGAATGTTTGAGGTGAACTGGCACACTCATTTTTCATTATGACCTAAGTTGTTTCTCTTAATTCAGATTGTAGTAGTGGGGCCTTTACATGGAAGATTTGTGCAATTGTATTGTGAGGCTGGAGTGAATTTTAAAAGGTTATGTATTCGTATATTTTTATCTTCTCAATTTGGCTGGGCCATTTAGGGTGGATAAAGTGTTAAGGTTATTAGAGAGGAAAGCTCACCGCCTACCTTACTAACTCTAATAAGCTTCCATCTTGCTGTATGCTTTATTTTAAATCTGTACCAGCCCTACAGGAGGACAGAAAATGAAAAAAGTAAGAAAACGTGAAACTATGTCACATGAATAGAGTTGAAGAAAGTTTAGCTAACTAGGAAAAGGATAAGCCATTCTTTAAGCATTGGAAGAGATGTCAAAAGAAAAGAAGACGCTTGTCTTCTAAGTGTTACTCATGCTAATGGATAAAAATTACAGGAAAATTGACTTCAGTGATAAACTAAAAATAATTTTATGACAAGTATTTAGAGCATTTCCTATATTTGCAGTTGTTGTTGTAGAAGGAACGGAAACACTAAACAAGTATTTGGGCTAGGAAATGTCTCCCATTTTGTAGACAATTTATTTGAACCTCAGGGAAGTTAAGTAACTTTCCCTATGTATCACACAAATTGTGCCAGAGTTGGAACTCAAAACCAAAGCCTACTTCAAGTCCAATGAATATTGCATTGTACCCAGTTTCTAATGCTCAGAATTTCAGTCAATGACCACCCCTTCATTTTTGCATAGGAGACAATTTAGTCCCGGAAAGAGAAGGGAACTTGCCTAAGTGTACATGTAAAACAAACTAAGGCTCATGTAAATGGAAAGCTATTACTGTACATTTGTTTGCAATGGTAGGATAAATTATAGATGAAAAAATTCTCACATCTTGAAGTAGGAAGATCGGCAGAGGTTACTTTGTCAATTGTAAAGATCCCTTTTAGAGCTTGCTTGATAAATGGTTATTCAGCCGGAGCTTAAAAGTTCAATCTTGTGAATATTCCTTTCCATATTTGTCAGAGAGCACTTTTATGTTGAAATAGAAAACTGTCTCTTTTTCTGGTAAAACTTCTACACTCAGAAACAATATAGAGTAAATTTGCTTTTTTATATGCCAGATCTTCAAATTTTGAAGAAGTCTCAATTGGTAGAGTATCATTATTATGCCTAATTGCTTGGGTGTTGATAATGCTGTTTTTGTTGTTGGTCAGTTAATAGTCGAAAAGGTTAAGACTCAAGTAATTATTAGAACAAAAGTACATATCTTGGGAAGCTTTATTGGTTTGTCAACTGTTTCTATGCAAAACGGAAATTAAAGGTAAGAATAAAATGTGCAAGAAAAATGTGAATTCATAAATTGTGAAGCATGAGGTGAACAATGCTTGCTTTTTACCACCAGAGGTCTTCAAAAGACCTATAATAGCTGCATCTCTGCCAGATGAGGAGGAAAAAATCTCTAGCTAAGCTGACAGAGATTCTTAGCAAGTAATTTGCTTAAGAGCTTAAGTAACTTTAGTATGAATGTTCTATAGTCTTAATACTAAACATTTCTGCTAGATAGATTTCAGGCAATGAAAACAAACAAAAACCCCAAAACAATGCAGAACCAACCTTCAAAATGCAGAACAGTTACAATGTATCATTTTACATTTTATTTTAATTTATTACCTAATTATTTTAGTTTATATTGGGAAGCTTCTGATGCTAATTATAATGATTTAAAAAACATAAATATTACATAGAAGTGGAAATCCACTATCATTTACATAAATTTAATGAATATACTCTGTATGTAGATTATAAACATATTGTGTGTATGTATGAAATATCCTAATTTTGCTGTTAAATTTAAAGCTTAGGAGACAATGTGGGCTAATTCCTTTGACTTATCCTAAACTATGATGAAGCAAAGACAGCCAAAGATTTTCTATCAACTTGGATGAACAGTTTCCCGTTTGGACTTAAAAAAACAATAAAAGGACTTTAGATGAACTGATACTAGAACCTATAATAATATGCATAATAATTTGAGTAGTAACAATCTTATTTCATTAGTATTTTGTATTTTTATGTTACTTACTTAATTCAATACTTATGGAGGGCCTACTATGTGTCTGCTATTTTACCAAGTGATGGAATACATAAAAATTGCAATCACACCTGACAAAATTCAGTTTACTGCAAGAAAAAAGACAAAAAATTGCAATTCAACTTTATAAATACCACATTAGGAAAATGGCAATCATATGGGCTGTGGGAACCCAGTGAGTGAGTCCCTAACTTAGGGAGAATCAGAAGATTTCACCAAAGAACTGACCTAAGAATGAGATGCTGAGAGAGACACAAGGCATTCATGCAGTTGGGCAGGGGAATGTTCCACGGAGGGGAGAGAATACTAGAAAATGCTGGGAAGTGGATGGATAAATGTGCCTCCTAGACCTCTAACACAAGCTGCTTTGCTTGCTCTGTGTAAAATGAGTTCAGGAAGTACATCCTTGGCTGTTTTATATTAAGAGAGAGGAAAGGGCTAATGTTGAAATATAGAGTCAGTATATCGTAATTCTTTTCTTTTCTTTTCTTTTCTTTTCTTTTTTCTTTTCTTTTCTTTTCTTCTGTTTTCTCTTCTTTTCTTTTCTTTTCTTTTTGAGATGGAGTCTTGCTCTGTTTCCCAGGCTGGAGTGCAGTGGCGTGATCTCTGCTCACTGCAACCTCCGCCTCCCGGGTTCAAGCGATTCTCCTGCCTCAGCCTCCCGAGTAGCTGGGATTACAGGTGCCTGCCACTGCGCCTGGCTAATTTTTGTATTTTTAGTAGAGACAGGGTTTCACCATCTTGGCCAGGCTGGTCTCAAACTCCTGACCTTGTGATCCACCCATCTCAGCCTCCCAAAGTGCTGGGATTATAGGCGTGAGCCACTGTGCCTGGCCCGTAATTCTTATTTGTTATTTTAACCATTAATCCTATGAAAATAAATAGTAGTTCTCTTATCAGGATCCAAACAAAATTTAGAAAGTAAATTTATGCAATGAGCTGAAAAAGAATTTCAAAATTGTTATTTTTTAATTATCTAGCTCATATTTTTTCTTTCTCATGAACTTTTTTCATTCTGTCCCTCCTTCTGGGGATAGAGACTGTATGGTCCACAAAGTCTAAAATATTTATCCTTTGGCTTTGTCCAGACAAAGTTTGCCAACCCTTGATTGTATGTTATGCTACTTAGTACAATTTTATTGGTCTATGCCACATTACTGTTTCTCAGTTGCTCTTTTTGGACAATGATGTAACAAGATATGTTACACATTAAACCTTTACAACATACATAAAAAAATTGAGATAGAAAGATAAGTGTGCAGTGACTAAAAAAGTTTATAAATACATATGTACAGGGATCTTTTTGTAAGATAAAGTAAAATTGAGTGAACACAGACACCTTAAAGAAAATATAATGAGCAGAGGAAATAAAAATATCTGTATTATAGATAACTTGTCTGTTAAATAACCTGTTTTTAAGCTTTCTTATTATGACATTGTTTACTACTCATTGTTTACTATTGTTTATTGCTCAGAAAAAAAAAGCTATTGAGTTAGTACCATCTGTGAAAATAAGTATACTTCATTTATTTTAAAAGACAGAAATTATACCAAGGTCAGCTAAGATAATTTTCCTACTCTTACCTATAACATTATGTTATTTGTACCACTTGTACTGCAGTTCCCAGTAATTAAAACAGCAGGTTACCGATGGATTATTTCGGCATGGGCACACTCACTTTCCTGCCCTCAAGTTAGAGGGACATTGTCTTATGTAGACACTGCCCATTATCCATGGGCAAGATTCCCTCAAATTACCCTTGGAGGAGAAAGGTAGCCTAAATAGATCTCTTTCATTTGTCTCATGAGTCTTTGAAATGAACTATATTAGTGACTGTTAGCTGAGTTACTCCAAACAGAAAAAACAATTCAGTAATCTTATGCTTTTGATGTCAACTTGACATAAAGTTAAAATGAAAGAGATTGTTATTTAAGAGAAGACTTTAAGCAAGTTTCTTTGAAGTGCATATTTATTTGTAAAGAAAACTTATTTTAGGTCAATTGGAAGAAACCACATTCCTCTGAACATTCTCTAATGTTACTGCATTGCATACCTGCAAATAGTGGTAGTTAGGAAAAATTGGGGGAGAAAGGAGAAAAGATAAAAATGTTTCAGAACAACATGTTCATTTGATTTTAAGCATATGCAGAATATGCAGAAAAATCTTAGCAAATATTGTACATGTCCCTTAGATGATGCCAAGTTTCTGCTCCTTTTTCATAACCAGAAAAACATTTTTTTCTAAACCAGTGTATAAATATCCAGATAAGATATTTCAGTGCATGATAGAAAATTATATTTTGTCTGATTATTCCTAGGTATAAAATGTGTAAACTGTTTATCACCATGTTTGAGTTCTCACAAATTCTTGGCAATGTCCCAAGTTCTATTTGACAAGTTTCTGTATTGAGAACTCCAAGGCTGCCTTGGAGATAGATGTAAATCTCTTTGATAATTTACAGATTTCCACACAGGTTATGAAATAATTTCTATGGTCCTGTTCACCTATATTGCTTACCTCTTTCCCTCCTCACCATCTGTCAAAATCCTACCATTCATTTTGAACTTTGTTCAAGCCCTATTATATTCGTGAAGACTGTTTTGATCATAGAGCCTGACAAGATCCCTCCTTCCTCTGCTCTCCCATAGCATTGATTACCAAGTCCACTCATGTGCTCTGTATTTTTACTGTGCTGTCTTGTACTGCTCTTCAGTAAAATTTTATTTGTCCTACTGGATAACAAGCTCTTAAGTTAGTGACCAGGTCTTATACTTTTGTGATCCCCGCATGATGCCTTGAACGTATTGATTTCTCAAAAATGTCTGAAACCATTTTTCATGAAAAATATAAGTGGTTTTGGATTGTCACCTTTTAAGATTACACATACATGATTCAGATAATCTTTTGGATAATTGAGTTGATTAAATCATTTCCACATATGAAACTAGAAGAGTAATCTCTTCCAAATCATTATTGATTGCTCATGAATTAAATACTCTACAGAAGGTATATTTGTGAAATATCAATATGGTAGTAAACATATCAGTATAATAATAATTTCTGTCAGTGTTTATGATTTTTATGGCCCCATGCTAGGGCTTATTAGCTTGAAGCTCCTTATTATTTACTTTTTTTTTTCAAATACATTGATGGAATACCCAAATTGAGAAAAATTATGTTAAGTGAAATAAGCCAAGCACTGAGAGATAAACATTTGCATGTTTTGTCTCCTATGTGGAAGCTAAAAAAAATACAAATTGGATTCATGGTGATAGAGAGTAGAATGATGGTTACCAGAGGCCAGAAAGGATAGTGGGAAGGCAGCAATAAAGAGGGGATGGTTAGTGGGTACAAAAATAGAGTTAGAGAGAAGAAATAAAATCTAGTGTTCAGTAGCACAATAGGGCAACTAGACTTAACAATTTATTGGATATTTCAAAATAACTAAAAGAGTGGAATTGGAATATTCTTACCACAAAGAAGTAATAGGGTGATATGTATCCCAATTACCCTGATTTGATCCTTAGCAATCATATGCTTGTGTCAAAATAACACATGTAGTCCATAAACATGTACTATTATGTAACCATAATAATCTTAAAAAATTAAAGTCATGGTGAAATATATTCCTTCTTTGGAACAACCACCCAAATGTGAGAAAAATCATGTTTGCATCTAGAAATGATGGAGGAATATCCAGATCAATATACATATGTCTCACAAGCAAGGAATTAAAATCAATGTAAGTATAAATACCTGTATGTTCTATGATTTTATTTTATTTATTTATTTTTGAGTAAAAATGGGGAAGGCAGTAAAAAGACCTTTTTAGTTTATCTCTAAACTTTTCAATACTTTTAAATTTCAACTTTTTTTTTTGAAATTTCAACTTTTAAAGTTATTTTTACAGACCCCCAAATCAGGCCTCATCTGAAGAAGAGAGTTACCCACAATTTGGGCAAGAGACTGATAAGGCACCATAGAAGGCACGTATGCAGACATCATTATGAATCACAAAACAATTAGTATTTATTGAGTGCCCACCCATTCTGCGAGGCATATGCTAGTGGATCATATAGACTGTCCCCTGTATTCCTCCCTGCAACTCCATGAGGTGGTTTAAGCATTTTGTTTTGTTTTGTGTTTTTTTATTTCTGAGTTATTTAACTTAGGATATGATTTAAACACTTCTATCCCACTGTTGCATATTGAGGAACTGAGGCTTAGAAAGAGGATATAGAGGCCGGGCGCGGTGGCTCACGCCTGTAATCCCAGCACTTTGGGAGGCCGAGGCAGGTGGATCATGACGTCAGGAGACCGAGACCATCCTGGCTAACAAGGTGAAACCCCGTCTCTACTAAAAATACAAAAAATTAGCCGGGCGCGGTGGCGGGCGCCTGTAGTCCCAGCTACTGGGGAGGCTGAGGCAGGAGAATGGCGTGAACCCGGGAAGCGGAGCTTGCAGTGAGCCGAGATTGCGCCACTGCAGTCCGCAGTCCGGCCTGGGCAACAGAGCGAGACTCCGTCTCAAAAAAAAAAAATAATAAAAAAAAAAAAATAAAGAGGATATAGAGCTTACCCCAGATTACACAACTGATAAGTCATGGAGCTAGGATAGATAGGCAGGTGCATCTGATTTCAAAGCCAGTGACTTTTCTCTTATCATGTTGCTTTCTGTTATCATGTTGCTTTTTTTTTTTTTTTTAACATTTAACAATCTTGCTTATCAAAATACCCCCAGAGAGTTTAGAGGCCACAGATGATAGATAGATGGGTGGATAAATGGATGGACCTAGATAAAAGGGAAATTTGCAAATACACTTCAAATTAACTTCAAAGAACTTTTTACAAGTAGCTTGTGAAAAAAAGCAGAATTTGCCATTTTATAGAAATTGTTCGCTTTTAAGGAGTTTGACATTTCTACCTCATATTCAGCGTGCTCTCCATTTGACCTCTGAGTCCTTGCCTGTTGTATTTTCACTTAACTTGCCTTTCTCCTTTTTAGAAAAACAATTTCCTTGTAATGGATTTTCTTTTAGGGTTGAAACTCAGTTCAACAGGAAACAGACTGACTGATTCAGAACTGCAAGAAACCTTGAGGCAAAAAAATTCAACTCCATGCCATCATTTTACTGATGCATAAAAAGCTGACATTCAGTATAGTTACACGGTTTATCTAGTCTATGGGAGAGACACAGGTCTCCTAATTCTCAGGGCGGTGGAATTCTGTGACCCACTGCATCTTAATGAGATGCTGAAATCAAACAGTTATGAAGTTGATTGACAATTTTTTTTTGTAATTTAGTGACCAGGTTGATTTGGAATTGTCTTTACTAATTCATTTTTTGAAATGCTATTATTAATATGGAGACCATGAAAAATTGAAAAATGCCGTTTAATATAGGAGCACAGATACTGTTGTACATCAATACTGGCTTCAGTCTCCCTTACCAGCTTCACGCTGGTTCATTCTGAAACTTGCCATACACATCATGGCTCTACGACTTAGCCCCCTGTACTCCTTTATCTGGAATCTTTCCACATCTTGACTGCCTGGAAAAAATCTTACTTATCCTCCCTTTTATGTGTCTTAGCCTTACCCACACCTTCCCTCGCTTTGGCAGAGTTAATTTCCCACTTGTCTGTGATATTACAGCAATTTCTGCCCTTTTTATGATACTTATCTATGTTTTATTGCCATTATTTCTTCACCTATGTTTCCTGCTCCTGACCGGAAGCTTCTTGAGAGCAAAAATTTTGTCTTAGCCCTCTTAGCATCTCCTATGACAATGTAATGCTAGGAACATATTGGGGCACTGCAAAAATATTTCTCTTGAATAAATTATTTGAAAATCATGGTATCTTTCAAAGAAAATGCCCCAAAAGAAAACATGATGTCCAAAAATCAGGGCTGTAAGTAAGACTATATGATCAGATAAATATAAGAAAATATTTGCTGTCATTTTTACTAACTGAATTTTGTACAGTTATAAAGTTTGAAGTTAATACTTTATTTTTTTCAGTGGTCTGTGTTTTATGTTGCTTTTTTAGTAACAGGGATAGATTCATATGTCTCCAATCATAATATCTTGCCTGGATGTTAGTTTGGCTAACATTAATTTAGTCATCTGTTGACTAAAGAATAAGCCTCTGATCATTCCTTCTAATTTGAGAACTTCTAATAAGAAAGCCAGTGACTAGTATAAATTATAAATCTTTATATCACTATAATTTTGGTAGATCCAAGGTTTAATATAGTATTACATATATGGAACAGATCTGTCATAAATAAAATGTAACTGCTCCTATTTATAGAATGAATTCACATGCAAACACTTCATAAAGCTGTTTTCTCTTCACAACTAAGAAAGATGGAAAGCCAAACGTCAGCTGTAGGATATTTAATTAAATAGATTATATTTGTTTTCATTGGTACGCTCCCAAAAATTAAGCATAATTCAAAACACATTGGGCTTTTAGAGATATTGTCTTCTGGTCCCTACATAGAGTTATATAATACCCAGCTGTTTGTTATTAATCACAGTTTGTAATGGCTCAAGAGTTTATTCTGTACTGCTTAAAACAGCAAAAATGCAATGATTTTTTGTTAGTTTGTTTTTTAGAGTGAACAAATTTTGGATATCTGAAACTGATAAATCAGCATTACAATTCCTTAATGGGGAGCTTTTGCTTTCCCAATGTCTAAAATCAGTGAAACATCTGTAAATATGCTTATATTGAGCTTGACAGACCCCCTTTATATAACAAATTGTAGTTACATAATCTATAACTAAAATGATGATTAGGTGGTATACATGAGCTCCTTCCTTAGAGATTTCCAATGGTGCAGGAGACAGGTGCAGAAGTATCCCAGAATCCAAGATTCTTTATATGGAATTTCTAAAAGGTCTGCTATTTTTCTTTTTTCTTTTCTTTTTTTTTTTTTTTTTTGCCATTTCAGCATTTACAAAAATGATCTGTCATTTCAGTAGCCCTAGTGGAGACCACATTGCCAAGGAATGGACCTCAATATTATTCTCTTTATCTTTGCACTGCTTTACTCCCAGAACCCAAGTTCTTGTGTATTTGTGCATTTGTGCATAGCTAAGTTAAGGTTATCCTATCCTAAATGTGCTGATTAATATATTAAATATGATATTTCTTTCCTCCTTTTTTATTTTTTGAAGGTGAAGTATTTCTCAAACAAATCATCACCTTTATTCAGGGGAAATGCATATACTATAGCCAATTAAATGCTACTACAGATGCACCATGAAATTTTCAGTTCATGTGAGGCATAGCTACATTCCTTTAGTAGACATTCTGCCCCTTCCCAAGAAAACAAGTTTCTTTGAATGCTTCTAAGACAGAAGAGTAAAAACAGATTTGCACAGATAACTAAAAGTGTGTTTCCAAATGTCCACAGCTTACCAGGTTATAGTACCTAGGTCATTCAATTCTTTCCTTGTAGCTACTTCTTGACTGGGAAGTGGGTTTTTGTTTTTTGTTTTGTTTTTTCATGTAGAACATAAGATGTTACATTGTTTTACTAAAACATCGCATAAGTCAATGAAAACTAATTCCACGGGACAAGTTCCCAAGGAAAAGATCCGGAGACTCTGAGATTTTCATGTAGGTTTGTTGGGAATGGCTCTTGGGAACACCTAGGAAAAGTGATCGAGGCAATGTTGAGCAGGAGAAGCTGAGCTATGATGCAGTTGCAGTAGTGGTCTCAGACAATCCTACAAGAAGTTTTCCTTCTGGGATGGCCCTTCAGAGTTTTTATGTCTTGAGGTAAGGGGCCAGGCTTTTACACTCCTATATCTACCAGTCATTTGATGCAAGCCACGCTTGGTGGGGACCAGACAGAGTAACTTTGAGCCACTCTGCTCTCTGGCTGAGGCCAGTTTCTCAAGATAAACTAATCTGAGAGCTGTCAACACTCCCAACAATGGAAAAAAAAGTCCTTAACTCCTGAGGAGGGAATCTGAGCAGGGCACTACAGTGTTCACTACAAGGAGGTGCTTAACTTTTGCTACAGTAGTCTTGTAATGCTAATAGTGAACGATAATTAACTTGGGTGTTACATAGAATACTAAAACTTTTTAAGTAAACTATGTATTATCAGTCATGGCTAACATCTGAATTATTCTGTAGCATGGTTGTCTTTATCTTTAGAAATCTAAAATGCCAGCCTCTAATTTCCAGCTGAGACCCTAGGGAGGTTAGAGCTCAGATTATCATTAGCTTTAATGAGAATAATTTGTATGGAATCCCATATGTTAGTGAAAGAATATAAACATCTCCACATATTGAGCTTTGAATATCCCTTTGTTTACTTCAGCCTTTAAATGAATACAAAATTGTTTTGTTTACAGAGTTTTTATCAAAATAACGTTGAAGATTTTTCATGTTTTGTTTTATTCCTAATAGACTTTCAAATATATTAGTATAAGATCAGTATTTTAAAATGTTTTTATTAATCTAAGTTAAAAATTATAGGTAAGGAAGAGTTACACTTTCTATTATGTAATACAGCTAAAATTCTAAGGTGAAAATGGATGTATTTTGAAGATATATTCAGAGTGAAAAAGAAGACAGTAATTGAGTGATATACATCTTGATGTTTATTGACAAAGTGACTGCCATGGCAAAAATAAATCCAGATGTTTGAGTATAAAAGAATGGCAAAGTGGTATAATTAAATCAAACACATGAAATTTACTAGTTGAATGAACAGGTCAATTTGCATTTAACACTAAGGGATCGATTGATATTTGGAATGAGGGTTGGTGACAGATGGCATAGTTTTGTAGTCCCATTTCAGTCAGTTAACAAGTAATTGACAGATGTACTCATGGTGCTGAACATTATTTAAATAGAAATGTTTAGAATTGTTTCTTAAAATAACTTCAAGGTTTTCCATTTGTGACTATAGTTAATTCTTAAACTGTACTAGGTAAATGGACATATTTCATGAATTTAGGATTCCAGTGATGTTTTAATTGAATGAGTAAGTAATTCTCATAGTTTATTTAATGAAACAATCTGTCTGATCTTGGTCTATACTAATATTGTTTCTTAGTCCATCAAATTGGTGGCTGTAACAAAATGAAGACTTCCAAAAAATGAATATCAATTTTATATGGTAAGAGACACAGCTCAAAAAATCATTGAGTAGAAAGAAATGACAATGTAGTTGTACTCTTCTTAAAGTTTTAATTATCAATGGACACTACCCTCATAGAATTATGTACTGTTCTAGTTACTTTACTTTTAAAGCTCAGGAAATAAAGTTTGATTTACTTTGTGTTGTCCTAGAGAAAAATGGTTCCAAGACTGTAAAATGTACCCAGGTTAGCATCCATGTAGCTGTATATATTGATAACAGTTGACCTGATAAGAAAGTATAGATGACTGATAGAATAAGAAAAATATACATTAAAATCTACGTGGGGAAAATTTTGTTAAATTAGTGAACAAAGATTTTAATATATGCCCCCATTGCTCTACCCACAAAGTTCATTAAAAAGTTGGGTTAAATATAAGAATCTTAAAAAAATAAACAACTACCAAGGACAAAAATGTCAAAGAAACTGTTGAAAAAGTGAGTTGTAGATAAACTGTTCCAACCCAGATGTATATGTGAAGCATTTATTCTTAAGAAATGGTAGCGTCTTAATGTCAGTGAACGTAGATTGTTGTCAACCTCATGCCTGCAATCTCTGAATCCTCTGAAAAGAGAAGTGCACAAAAAAAGACAAAAATTCTAAAAATCCTGTATACCTACACACACAAGTTAAACAATACACAGCTAAAGAAAACACTAATAAACTACAAGATATATTTGACAAAATACACCGAAAAGAAAAGAATGCTATTATATTTCCCATCTCATCAAACTGAAGTTCAGGCAGAAGACAGTTGAGAAGAGACACTATTTTAATAAATATTAATGAAAAATGATTCAGATTTAAAGAGAAACATAAATTCTCAGATAGCAAGAAAAAAATATCAAGTCCCTAGAAAGACAAAATAAATCTTTAACTAGATACAGTGTTCTGAAACTATAAGATATCAAAGATTTACAAAGATGTGAAGACAATGGAGAGAAATGACAAATTATTTTCAAAGAGACCAATTGAATCGATATCAGATTTCTCATTAGAAACAATAGACGCATAAAGAGAATAAGATGATATTTTCAAATTCTGGGGAATACAATGATATAACCTAGCTAAACTATTATTTGAAAATATGAGTTAGAGACATAGATATTCATAAATATGAAAAAAATAAATCGTTGGCCATAGACTCTTATTGAAAGACTTACTAAAAGATGTACTTTAGCAAGAAGAAAGCTGACAAGGAAAGTATGGAAAACAAGAAATGGTGAGCAAAGCAGTTGATCAAACTTCTAAATACTGAAATTACTAAGAATACTTATAACTACTTTTGGAGTGTTTAAAAACAAAGTGGAACTTAAACACTGAATAATAATTACAGTAACTAAAGGGGTGGATCTGAAGGAAATGTAATTTATTACATATTCTCAAATCTTTTGGGGGAAGATAGTGATATTAATTAACCTTAGAATTTTTTAGTTAGAAATAATGTAGGTTAAAAATTTAAAGAAAATAAAACACTAAAACAAGAGAAACAGACTGTTTAATTTCCAAACCAGGGTGAACATTTCTACTAAGACAACAGAAAGCAACAAAAGAAAAAAAAATAGGATATTAAGAAAAGCATAGTAAAATTTTTAAAACCTAGAATAAGATGTCGACATATATCCAAATGTTAGTAATCAAATAAATATAATAAATAATCTTAAGAGAAAGAGACTTCAGATTTGATTTAAAATAAAATAAATAGCTATGTGTTGTTTGCAAATGATAATGCCTTACAAAGAGAAGGGGAAAATTAAGGAATGATAACTTACATACTAATCAAAAAAAGCAAATAATACTTTTATCAGAAATATATAGAATTCAGACAAAAGAATATTATAAATGAAGACATTAAGTAAGCTAAAAATAATGTATTTCCCCAGATGATATAATAGCTGTGAACTTGTATGGCAACCAAAATGATCAATATATGAAGTGAAGTAGGCATAACACTAAGAAGAAACTAAAAAACTTATAATGATAGTTGAGTGTGTTAACCCATCTCTTTTGGAAACAGAGTAGCAGACAAGAATATTATAGGAAGATGTGCACATGTACCACAAAGCTTAAAGTACAATTAAAAAAAAAGAATATTATAGGAAGATGGTGAAAAGGAAGAGGACTAAAAGTGAGTGGTTGTTGGTAATATCAATTGGTAAGCACATTTTTAAGAACAGTCTAGGAACATTCATTTGAAAGTGCACAAGAAGTATTTCCTAATAATTCTGCTTCTAGATATACCACTTAGAAAAATCACTGCACGTCTGTACAAGAGGATATGTCCAAAGATTCCCACGGAAGCATTGCTTTTAGTAGCAAAAATTGGAAACAACCTAAGTGCTATATGATAGAATGCTATCCAGCAGTTAAAATGAATAAACTTGATTTTTATGTATAATGTGGGAAGAATTTAAAAAATACTTTTCTTGAGAGACCTACATATATTTTAGAAAAATCTGCCTATGCATCTTACATAAGTTAAAATACTGTATAATAATTAAAGATACTGGCAAAAGCCCTGATATGAGAGCTTATTCCTGATTCTAAGGAGGTAATTGAAATAGAGGGATGAAGAAGAGAATATCAAAAACATTATTCCTTTCAAGAAAAGAGGAAAAAATATTAAAGCATTCCCATTAAAATTAAGAAAGTAAAGGTTCTAATGATCACTGTTTTATTTAATATTGTTTTGGTGGTTCTAGATAATAGAATAAGACACTGTTTGGGATAAACATAGTAAAGAAAAAGTTTTGTTTTCAGATATAATTGAATACCGAAGAAAATCAGAAAATTCAACTGAAAACCTATTTAAAGTAAAAAGAAAACTTACTAAGATGGCTGCATACAAAAATCAAGAGTTTTCCTTTTATAGTAGTATAACAGGATGTGAAAATGAAAGCTTTGACTGAACTCTGAATTACAGTGTGCTATGAGTCAGATCAACAAGCTGAAATTTCAAAGAAGGTGTTTGTGAACCTGCTAGATGAATCATCTACATCAAGGATCTAAAACGGTCAGGTGGCTGGTGATTCAACAGGATTTGGTGAAGAGGACTGGTTTGGAAAATCTGTGTTCTTAATCCTGTCTTCCATCCCAGAGAAAGGGAGGGGGGATGATTGACCCTTCTTTCTCAAATCTAGGGAGAAAGTTTCATGAGGGCTGCTTGCAGAGCTTGATATATGTTTCTTGTAGTCGTGGGGCATTGTGAATTGGTTTCTGATTCATGCCTGTGAAATTTGAGACAAAAAGATCATGGCTGGAAGTTTCGTGTGACTAGGTGACTAAGTTCCTTCCAATAAGAAATAATGAATGCAGATGTCTTGTTCTCCTTTTCTCTCCTTCTTCCTGTTTCTAGTTGGCCCTGGAACAGTGGCCTCCAGGCCTGAGATAATCGAAGCAACTGGAGAAGCTTGAAGGAGTCTGGGTCCCTGATCCTGACAAAGCCGCTATTCCACCCCTAAACTGGCTACATCTGGATTTTTTTTCTTTGGCATGAGAAAGGAATAAACGATCTTACTAATTTTTAAAGTTAGTGTTATTTGAGGTTTAGCAGAAGCTAATCCTCTCATTTAATCATTTTTCTTATCCAATCTTCACAATTTGAGAGGTTTGAAGATGAAGAATACGTTTACAGCTAATTAAGCAGTGGTGGTTGCAAAACATTGAAGTAGCTGTGGAGAAACATTAATGAAGTCAATTTCAGAGAGGGAAAGAATGTAGAGATTGTGTGCCAGGATTAAAATATTTTTATTTACTGATATGTTATGCTCATAATTCTTTTTTTTTTGTTTGTTTTTTGAGACAGAGTTTCCCTCTTGTTGCCCGGGCTGGAGTGCAATGGCACGATCTTAGCTCACTGCAACCGCCACCTCCTGGATTCAAGCGATTCTCCTGCCTCAGCCTCCTGAGTAGCTGGGATTACAGGCATGCGCCACCATGCCTGGCTAATTTTGTATTTTTAGTAGAGACAGGGTTTCTCCATGTTGATCAGGCTGCTCTCCAACTCCCGACCTCAGGTGATCTGCCCGCCTTGGCCTCTCAAAGTGCTGGGATTACAGGCGTGAGTCATCGCGCTCAGCCATTATGCTTATAATTCCTATTTTGCCTACAGGTCATATCTCATTCAGACATTTGGCCTTAAAGATGCATTGCCTCAAGGGAGTAAGGATCAAAAAATAAATATCTATCATTCTTAGTTTTTAAGTTCCAAAGCTCCAAATGGAGGTTTCAGGTGTGAAAATTTCATTTGACCTCTTCTCCCTGAAAGTGATCTGAGTCAGAGAAGAGAGTGAAAGGACAAGGGTGTCTGAGAAAAGGCTGGCTAAGTCCCACATTGAGGAGAGGACACAAGGCAGACAGTAGAATGCTTCTGATAATTTTGTGATCTTGGGGTCAATGGAATTTGTGTTCTGTTTCCTGTCTGTAGCCCTGAGAGTACCCCAGGCCTTTGAGGACTAGACACTAGAAGACGGATGGTTGATGCAAATGTCCAAGACAGAAGTGGGTTTGGCATACCTACTGGGTTTCCTGGGCCTTCAGAGTTGTATGGAAGAACTGAAAAATTTCCTCATGTTTCCCAGGACAGCTGTGGAAATGAAGACAGAACGAGCAAGACAGCAAGAGAGAACTGTTGGGCACTGAAATCTAGAAGTTATGAAAAGAGGCTACCTCTGGGGACAGTTATGTAGATCAAATTTAGAGATTAATCATGGCTTAGGACCAGAAAGAACTCTATGTTTCAATTATGAATTATGACCAAGTAGGCAGAAGCTATCAGGCAGTGACCAGATGACCCCCTCAAGTTTTCTGGGTACAAAGAAAGTGTACTTGAAATGAAAATTAAGAACTTGTAAAAATTGTGTATATTTAACTTTTGAATTAATGGCCTGAAAAAATTATACCATTATGTGTGAATAACTAATAAAGTAGAAGTTTGAAGATGCAAGCATGAAAGGCAAATAACAGAGCACATTTCAGAGAAAACAGAGATTATAATTTTATGGAGAGGGATATGTAGTCTTGACCAAAAGGGATACTTCTTTTTCAGAAACAAGATCAAAATTAGATTTTTTAAATTGAAAGTTTAAATCATATAAACTTTGCCTATTAAGTAAGGGGGAAAAAATCCTCATCTGTTTATAATTTTAAAAAATGGGATGCTTTTGGGAAGTTTCTTTTTTTCCTATGGGTTTCACATTCCTGCAAGTAGCATCAGGTAGATGAATATTTAGAACCAATTTCAAGAAGCAAAAATTAAGTCTTAGAGAACTATATTTAATTTCAAGTACAGTAGTCTTTAGAGTATTTGGTACATTAAAGAACGGAAAATGTTAGTTCCACTTACTACTTAAATTTTAATAGATTTTATTTTGATTATTATTTTTTGTTTGTTTCTAAGAGTCAGCGTAACCCAATCATTTCACTTTTCCTCAGGATCACCACAAATATCACTCTTTTTCTTTTTCATTTTTTAGAGCTTAATTGCTTCGTTTTGTCTGTTTTGAAACATTTATCCAGATATATTCTAAGAAAGAAAATATCTGGTTGTGCAGCATTTTTACCTAGAGCATAATTAATCAACTAAATATATTATTTGCCAAATTAATATTTTTTCATACAGTTTATTACCCTAAAGGAGTAATTTTTGTCAACTTATTCCCCAATCTTCAACTGACTGGAAATCTTTGAAATAAAGATAATAAAGGTAACATATTTCATTAGATAGCACTAAGAGAAATAATCCTACAAAATCCAAGCTTGCAAGGACTTCTATCATCATTATTTTTTTAAATAACCATTTTTTTTAACTTTTGTGTAACTAAAGTAGGGATCTCAACCTGAATACAAAGTTTCAGACCAGTCTGGACAATTAGTGGAATGGAATGTGGAAGCCTGTTGACATCCCAAGTAGGCTGTAAAGTCCTTGTCCAACACTGAATCTTCATCGCCGACTAGTTTCTCAATAGATGTTTGTTGACTCAATCGGTTAATGGGAGGAGGTATGGATGTATGGATAGATAAAGGAGAGAGAAAGAATTTTCCATGAAAGAGGTTGCCAGAATAAAGATAACTAAGAAATATCACTGGTAAGGGGCTACTATCTGGGGCTGGTGGTGTGGGGAAAAGAAGAATTTACTGACAGTTGTAGGTGAAGAAAAGTTTATTAGATTAGGTATGAAATTATGTTTCAAGGAAGCAATGGGTAGGCCAGCAAAAAGGAGCTGACTGTAAGGAAACAAAGGCTTGCTGGGATTTTATAGGACAGTGCTTGTGCTGTGTGCTGAAGAGGGCTTTGTGCAGTACTGATAATGCCAAGATTGCAGTGAGCTAACTTTCATTTTTTGCATCATCCCAGATTCTGGTGATAGCTGGGCACAGGAAGACTGTGATTTATTTGTGCAGGAGGGGTATGTGTTTCTAGATCATGAGAAAGGCACACATAGTTCTTTTTTCTCTTTTTGCTTTCCCTCAGTCCCACCAGCCCGACTCCTTTTTCCTAATTAGGATTCCACAAGAAAGCTGTTTCTGGATTATCAGAAGGTGGATCACCCTAATAAACACAGGATCTGCTACTGGTATTTGTTTCCTGTCCTGACTGCATCGAACTCATGTCCAAGGTCAGAGGATATCCGGAGAACTGTGAAGGACAACTATGAACGTGGTTTCATTAAAACCTCAATAAGACTTGAAACACAAGCAATAATGCTTGTAATCTCAGTTAATGAAAGAGGGAAAACCTTCTTCCCCACTTAAAAGCAAAGCATAGGGATTTTCCATACTGTCCCTGAACCAGTGAGTTTATTCCTAACTACTTATAACACATATCCTGGGGCTCATAGCAATATTTGAGGAACAGTTTACATGTGGCTATAGCCTGCACTGATAGATGTTGGAAATAGCCAATATTATTTAAATTATCTTCCTAATGTGTCAAAATTATAAGGCCAGGACCAGGGATCTGCCCTACTACACCCTCAGAGTAAAGTGCCTTTTTAACTTTTACACTGTGGGCACCTTTCTTGCTTCACCCTAGTTTTTGGCCTTGTTTAATTAATACTCATTAGCTAATGACAAATAGAGATCCTAGGTTAAAAAATATTTCACTGTCTTTCATATCCATTGATGAAGCTTCTAGGATATAAAAAATGGTGAGACTAACAATACTGACCTCAGGTAATTGCTTTCAGTAGAAAATGACTTAATGCATGTGAACTCTGCATCCCCAGATATTATTATTTTTCACCCACTTAACTTCCTCAAACCTCAATTGATGTCCTTCTCTAGAAGTAATTACAGAGCTAAAGATGACTGCAGCTAAATCACTGCCCTTGGGACTTGGCATGTATTTATAATAAGAGAATATTTTTTCCCTTAGCAGTGGTAATAAGTATACACTGACCAGTCTCCATTCTATTACTTCATTTAATAGCTAAGCAGGACATTTTTTTAAAAAAGTTTTAAAGCCACTTTAAAATTAGAAAAGCTTTCAAATGGTGTATGACATACACTATACTGACAGGCTAACTGGTATGCTTTGGAGCACCACTCAGAATAGCTGTAGTTTTATTCCTACAGAAAATGATGTCAAAGAGGCCCAACCTTCGTGAATGTGGGCTGGTGTGGGACCTTCTTTTAAAAATAGAAGTGTCCTGACTAATCTGTTACACTGGCAACAGATCTAAAGACTATAGGCTGGTACTTGTGAAGATTAGAGAAAATGAAGACACGCAAAGACAGATTTGCCTTTCCCATAGTGGCTAAGATAAATCTGTCATTCAGTTAGAACTGCAAAGAAATTTCATTTAGATTTTAACTTTTTGATATCTAATTCACAAAGGGAATTTGTCTCACTCCAAAAATAACTCTTCAAATATCAAACAACAGAAGAAATGTTTTTTACATTAGAGAAATATTTGAGACTTTTCTGACAATGCCCTGTGTCCTAGTGGGGGGAAAAGGAGGAAACTTTGTTCTCTAGAGTTTTCCTAACAAACCTCTTCCATTTGTCTCTGTGGAAACAGTCAAATTGCCAGAGGCAACTTTGCCAACCATATGTTGTCAGAGATGTAACTTTTTTTTAAAGGTTAGATTACATTCTTCCATTTATTTCATTAATCTCTACTGAGGGCTCGTTTTATACTAAAACTTTTAAATTGTTGGTGAATTTACCGATCTTTTATAAGAACTTGTAAGTATAGAGCTGGGTGTTGAGGAGCTAACAAAAGTACTTTGCCGAACGGTGGGCATTTACAGCTTCTTTACAGTGTGGGAAAAGGTGTTAACATAATCTGAGCAAATTCAAGGTGATCTTCTAAGAGTAGAATACCCAACTATTGAGTGAGGTGGGAGGAAGAGGGCGGAAGGAGGAGGAGGAAATAGATGACTGATCTAAATGAGTTTTGCATTTTATATTGTGCTTGTACCAGCCCTCAGGGCAAATTGTGTGCATCTTCTCCCAGCTCTGTGCTCAGTGACGCCATGTTGGTAGCTTCAAACAAGACATGGTGGGAGTATTTACACTGCAAAAATAAGCAAATGCTACAAATCCTGGCATTTCCCTCTCTGGAGAGCCAGTTGTTAAACGTTTACCAGCTCACCACTCATTAACCTGGAAACTCTCAATGGACACTTTGGCAAAGAAAAGCAACGTAGTGAAAAAGAAACAAATCACGAGCTAGGATGAAGGTATCAAGGGGGGAAGGAAGAGAGAGAATTGAGGTGGTTAAGATAATCATGTAACCACTTAGGTAAGCATGACTATTGGAAAAACACACGTGAGAGTTGAGCCCATTTACTGAGATAGCTATGTCTCTGGTGTAACAGTACTAAAGCGATACCCAGGAGACACTAGAAAGTCAATAGATAGCTTTGCCTGGAGTTCCATGGAATAGCAGGAAGCAGCCCATTTTTAGAGTTAAATAAGAGTTGGGGACAAAACATAATTAAAATGTGGTATACCATGAGGGCAAAATTAGGTAAATATAGGCACTTTGAATGTAGAATTGAGGAGGAATAAGAGCAAAAAGTGTTTTGAACTCAAATCAATTTAATATAACCTATATCAACACAGCTCATAATGACTTCTTCCAGGTTTCTAGAATGTTCCAGGTACTGGATTATATACTGTATATACATTACGTGAATTGATATTCATGGTAATCATGTTAAATAAGTGCTAATATTGTCTCATTTTACAAATAAACGAAATGAAAGAGATATTAAGCCACAACCAAAGTCTAGTCCAGAGCCTAAGCTCTTTACCACCTTAGTATGCTTTGCTACGTCATTCCAGGGCTTGCTAGATAGTTTAAGCAGAGAATTCTGAGGTAAATTTTATAACTGAGGAATAATGACTCCTCAGTTCATTGAGATCTCTTGTACCTAAGGAAGATACCAATAAACTTGAATTTCTGTTTTTTGTTCTGTTTTTGTTTTTTGTGCTAATTGGTATCTCTCTCACAGTACCTTCAACATAGAGCATATATGTCTCATAGATCTATATTATATAAAATAATTATTTCGTTTAAATAACATAATATGAAAAGCCCCAATTTACTGTATAGTATCTACATCTGGAAACTTCAGCTGCCTAAATACTTTTCTTTTTCTTAAATTTTTTGAAGTATAATATACACATGAAGGACATACTTTGTAAGTGTAAGGCTGGATGAATTTTCACTAAGTGTTCATACTAGTGCAAAAATTGCCTAGAAAAATAGACCATTTTCAAAAACCCAGGAATTTTTCTCATGTCCCCTTCAGTCTCAGCCCCCAGCAAGTACAACTACTATCCTGATTTCTATCACCAGAGATTAGTTTATACCTATTTTTGAATTTATGTAAGTGGAATTATAAAGCATGAATACTGTGTCTGGTGTTTTGTTTGGTAAATACTGTTTCCAAGGTCCATTTATGTTGTCTATAGTTGCAGATCATTTTCATTGCTACATAATACTCCATCATTTTCATATATCTAAATTGAAAGTATTATTTATTATAATATCTTATTCTCTTGAACTTTCTATGTTAAGCATTTTGAGCCTCAGAGGTCTTGAAGGTTAGGAGAATCTCATAAAAAATTTGCCTTGCAAATACACACTAACAAATTAATCTCCACCCTTGTTCAACTTTAACCTATAACTTGTATACTAAATTCCTAAATCTTTCAACCTTTCTAAGATACTTCAGAGTCATATGACTTTCTTACTACCTATCCCACTTAGAGATCTCAAAGGCCTATGTAAATTCACAGACATGATCCAAAGTTTTGTGTCCGGAATTGGTGGGTTCTTGGTTTTGCTGACTTCAAGAACGAAGCCGCAGACCCTCGCGGTGAGTGTTACAGTTCTTAAAGATGGTGTGTCCGGAGTTTGTTCCTTAACTTGTTCAGATGTGTCCAGAGTTTCTTCCTTCTGGTGGGTTCGTGGTCTCGCTGACATCAGGAGTGAAGCTACAGACCTTCTCGGTGAGTGTTAACAGCTCTTAAAGGCGGCATGTCAGGAGTTCATTCCTTCCAGTGGGTTTGTGGTCTTGCTGGCTCCAGCAGTAATGCTGCAGACCTTCCCAGTGAGTGTTACAGCCCTTTAAGGCCCTCGCAGACCCAGTGAGCAGCAGCAAGATTTCCTGCAAAGAGCAAAAGAACAAAGCCTCCCAGCTACCCAAGCAGGTTGCTGCTGCTCACTTGGGCAGCCTGCTTTTATTCCCTTATCTGGTCCCACCCACATCCTGCTGATTGGTCCATTTTACAGAGAGCTGATTGGTCTGTTTTGACAGAGTGCTGATTGGTGCGTTTACAATCCCTGAGCTAGATACAGAGTGCTGATTGGTGCACTTACAATCCTCTAGCTAGATATAAAAGTTCTCCAAGTCCCCACCAGATTAGCTAGATACAGAGTGCTGATTGGTGCATCCACAAACCCTGAGCTAGACACAGAGTGCTGACTGGTGCATATACAACAATCCTCCAGCTAGACATAAAAGTTCTCCAAGTCCCTACCCCACTCAGGAGCCCAGCTGGCTTCCCCTAATGGATAACGCCACGGACCCGGGAGGCCCGTCAGTCTTGTGCCAGCGCCAGTGCGCTGGCACTCCTCAGCCCTTGGGCAGTCGATGGGACTGAGCACCGCGGAGCAAGGGGTGGCGCTCCTTGGGGAGGCTAGGGCTGCGCGGAGCCCACTGGGGGTGGGGGGGGCGGGTTCGGGCATGGCGGGCTGCAGGTCCCGAGCCCTGCCCCATGGGGAGGCGGCTGAGGCCCAGAGAGAATTCCAGCGTGGCCCGCGGACCCTGCGCACCCTCTGCAGCTGCTGGCGCAGGTGCTAAGCCCCTGCCTGCCCGGGGTGGAGGCCCCGGCTGGCCGCTCGGAGTGCGGGGCCCACGGAGCCCACACCCACCCGGAACTCGTGCTGGCCCAGGAGCGCCACGCACAGCCGCGGTTCCTGCCCCTGCCTTACCCTCCACACCTCCCCCGCAAGCAGAGGGAGCTCAGAGGGAGCCAGCTCTGGCCTCCGCCAGCCCAGAGAGGGTCCCCCACAGCGCAGTGGTGGGCTGAAGGGCTCCTCGAGCATGGCCAGGGTGGACACTGAGGCCGAGGAGGCGCCGAGAGCGAGCTGATGGCTGCTAGCACGTTGTCACCTCTCAGTTTTGCACATACAACCAGTATAAATTTATAGATCACTAGTAATCCTACTAGCAACTATGAGGCTAGAACTTTGGACAGCAGTGCAAACCATTGACAAAAGCTCTTGCTCTAAGCAAACTCCTATAGTATTCTACTTTCTTTGCACACATTGTAGCCATTTGCACAAAATCAATACTCAGCTAAAGTTTGGTGATTTAAATTAAATTTGGTCATTTCAACAAAATTGGAAATTATACAGAATGCATTAATTCAATTGATGACTTTAAAATATCTCTAGTTTTGTAGAAAATAAACAATTATTAATCAAAATTATATCTAGCATACAAATGTCCCTTTTCGGATAGGTCTAAAGCCAGTACTGCTTAATTTCTTTCTTAAGGAGCAATTTGAGAATATAGTGAAAGCTGTGGACCTTCTTAGAAAAATTCTGATGAATTGTATTTTTCCACAGAACTCTTGTGGGCCCATCTAGAATTCTATGAGGTTTCTGTAGACTCAGTATTAAGAAACTGTATTCTAAACATATTTGACGTCAAACATTTATTGAATAACTAAATGCCAGAGAATGTGCTATTTGTCACTTTTTGGCATGCATTCACTATGAGGGTTATATTGCTCCCAAGGGAATAACAAATTTGTTTTTGGAAGGTGAAAAAAACTTACTATTTTAATGTATAATGCACAGAAATACACACGGTACATTGACTGATAATATACCTGTGGTATTAAAATTTATAGATAAAGCAATTTTTAAAATGTCTAAAATGCCTCCTTATAGGGCAATTAGGAAAAATTGAGAAGAGCTGCTCAACAGCAATTTGCGTTTGTGGGACTTTAACATCAATAGATCAGGGAAACTTGGAGTGGAAGAGGATCCACATATAAAAGAGTTTCCTGGATATATTAATTATATATCCAGTACCTAGTATGATGTTTGCCGGCCTAATACACAGAACTGCTTCTCATTCCATAGAAATTTCACTGGAAATGGGAAGGTCAAAAGGACTACTGAAAAATCACCAGCTGGCAATAATAATGACAATTTTTCTTGCCATAACCTGTTATTTTGAATTATGTAGGCCTTAGAGTTACTTCTTGATGTTAAAGCCAGGAAACTAGATGAGAATCTCAAATTCTCCTTTTGTTTGTTTGAAGCAAAACATATTTAAAGCAAGATCTTGCAGAACATGATCAGAATACATTATAGTGCATATTATTATTACATTCAATCATTAGTCATCCAAATTTGTTGATAATAGTACAGATTTTTAAATTTAATATTGAAAAATACGTAAAAAATTTACAACAAATCGCTATGTAGATGATTAAAAGTTTTTAGTGATTTTATACTTATCAGAGTCTTAATGACTGCTTCTAGGCAATTTGACCCCTTCAGGAAAAAGTACTGTTTATAGTAAATCAAATTAATGTTATAAAATACTAATGATTTAACATTTCAGAATACAATAGTTTTTTCATTTATATAAGCCAATCTTTGTGGATGTGGTTTTCACTAAGTAGTCGTGACTTTTTAACAACAGAAAGTCTAGGAGAGCAGAATCCTTTTGGTTTCAGTTGATGACTCATCAGAAACCTCACCATGTCCACTGGTTAAAAAAAATTATCATCACAATATTTCAATACTTACTGCTTCTGTAAGCACTTGGGTGTGAATCCTGCTATAGTCAGATCTCTCTGGTTTAAGAGGTACTATAACTTTTGCTTTCTTTACTGATCATAGACTGCAATTCTAATTATATTCATCCACCTAACAAATGACAGCACAAAATGAAGCAAGAGAATGGAGATCAGTCAGTATAAATTTGTATTACCATTGTCAGGTGGTAGGGTGAGGGGAACTCTATTATAATAACTAAATAAAGCTCCCAAGGGCAATGACTGAGTTGTAGTCATCTTTGGCTCTCTAGTTACTCCTATGGAAAGACCTCAATCAAAGTTTGAGGATATTAATTTGGGTAAAAATTATAAAATTATATAGGTATGAAATTATAATACCTAACATTTGTCTAGGGATGTAGAGCTTATATGCATTAAGTCATTTCCACTGAAAACAATTACCTGAAGTCAGTATTGTTAGCCTTGCCATGTTTCACATCCAAGAAGCTTCATCAACGAATAGGAAAGACAGTGAAATATTTTTTAAGCTAGAATCTTCAGTTATCATGAGCTAATGGGTATTAATTAAGCAAGGCCAGAACTAAAGTGAAGCATGAAAGGTCCCTAGGGTGTAAAAGCTAAAGAGGCACTAACTCTCAGGGTCTTGAAGGGCAGGGTACTGGTCCTGATTCTAACAATAAAACAACCCTGTGTTTCATGACACATAGCAAGGGTATTAGCAGTTGATGGAGAGAGCAAGTCTGAAAACATCGTCTTTGTCCCCCAGCCAAAAATATTTTTATTACAGCGATCTTACATGATGGTTTTATTTTCTTGCCTTTATTTATTATTATTTTAGTTTGTTGTTAATTGGCACCTTGTTATATAAAATACCTGTCTGTTAGCCTTCGATAAACTTTCTAGAGATTTTTCTGCTGTCTTGGCGCTAAGAATATGCTTAGATAGAACATTTCCAAAAGTGTGGGACAGATATCAGTGATTTAAAGGGTAATTTTAGGTGGTACACATATATAAATATGCACACACAACACTAAATAATGTCAAATAACGCAAAGAAACAATTCCTTTCGTCCTTTTATTTAGGCCAAATACAAAGCCTCACAAAAGTGTTACTGTATTTTTTACTTAAAGTTCTCTAAAACTTAGTAACTTGTTTTCAACAAAGGATGGACCTCAGGGTCAGTCTTTGGCAAAGGCATGAAGATCACATTTAAAATGCTTTCTATATGCTTTTGTATAGCTATTTTCAGATTGATATTAAGTTCCTTAGAAATACATGTATTTAGGCCGGGTGTGGTGGCTCATGCCTGTAATCTCAGCACTTTGGGATGCTGAAGCAGGTGGATCACTAGGCCAGGAGTTCAAGACCAGCCTGGCTAAGATGGTGAAACTCCTTCTCTACTAAAAATACAAAAATTAGCCAGGTGTGGTGGCAGGCACCTGTAATACCAGCTGCTTGGGAGGCTGAGGCAGAGAATTGCTTGAACCCAGGAGGCAAATGTTGCAGTGAGCAGAGACTGCACCACTGCACTCCAGCCTGGGGGACAGTGAGACTCCATCACAAAAAAACAACAACAACAACAAAAAAGAAGTACAGGTATTTAAATTAAAAACTAGTAAAATCACTAAATAATATTACATATGGTGTAGGGATTTAAAAAACAAAATTCTTATCTGAAGATTTGAGTTTTGGAGAATTATGCTTAGGTACATTGCTAACCTCTAGTGACTCAGCATGAATAGATAAGAATGTAAAATACACGTAAATTCTTCACACCATGTAAGATGTAGGCAACTATAGTTCAATGCCAAAGGAGGCTCAGCAGATGTGATGAGTCAAAATGGAAGGCAAGTTATTAGTATATATGACCCTTTCCATAGTTTAATAAATTATGAATATTCAAGAACTGAAAATACACTATCAAGGAAAACAAAGGGCTGAGAGAGAGATAACAGGGCAAGAAAAGTTTGACTTTAAGCCTCTACCTTTTAAATAAAGTGTTACAGTATAACTCAGCCAGGTTTCAATCATCTCCATTTAAGCATCTCTTTTTATTTGTTATCAATCAGGTCAAAATGTGGTAGAAAAAGTATTAAATTCTATGCATGATTCCCATAGAAAGCAATGAATCAATATTTTAATGTTTTATACAGGTTATAAAAATGTAAATGATAAAAGTTCAATTTTTAAATAAAGTTCAATTGTATTTTTATTCCTGTATTTAAAAATATTTGAAGAGAGTTATACATACTTTAAAATTCTGACATAAATGTAACTGGCTCTAATTTTTTAATACTATGTCTTGAAAAGTTACAAATTATATGTAATCTTTTACTTCTGTACTTAACAGTGGAAGAAAGTGTAATGTTTTGAAATAAGAAATGTCATCATTTAGAATAACTTTTAATAAATTTATATATTTTATAACACATGAAGACTCATTAAACGTTGAATCCTGGGGATTCAAGTTTTAAAATAATTAGTAATTTATCTTATAGAAAAAAATGAATTAATTGCTTTTTTCCCACAGAACATTCCCAATGGGCTGATTAGTTTTATTATTTTCTCCCCTTCCCCTTCCCCTTCCCCTTCCCCTTCCCCTTCCCCTCCCCTCCCCTCCCCTCCCCTCCCCTTCCCTTCCCTTCCCTTCCCTTTCCTTTTTTTGTTTTGAGACAAGGTTACACTCCCATAGCCCAGGCTGGAGTGCAACAGCACAATTTCAGCTCACCTCCCAGGCTCAAGTGATTTTCCTGTCTCAGCCTCCTGAGTAGCTGGGACTATAGGTGTGCGCCACCTACCCGGCTAAATTTTGTATTTTTTGTAGAGAAAAGCTTTTGCCATGTTGGCCAGGCTGGTCTTAAACTCCTGGTCTCAAGTGATATGCCCACTTCAGCTCCCAAAGTGCTGAGATTCCAGGCTTGAACCACTGGGCCTGGCTTATTTTCTAGGTGTAAAAAGTCTGTTACTCACTTCTCAGTGGCCTCCATTTTTGACTGTGATAGTCATGCAGGACATACTCATCTTAGGTACCTATGTATAGTAAGTGGAGGTGATCCTTTACATGAATTTTGTAAAGTGTTGGATAAATTTCCTAAATAGTTGAACCTAAAAATAATACTATTTTTATAATACTATTTTTATTTTACTATTTTACTATTGTTATGTGAAATAATAAAGTTATCCATTTTAATATATGCATATTACTAGTTGACAAACTATGTAGACTATCTAATGGACTCTGAAAACATTTAAAGAATATCCTGGCTGTCCTGCCTATAGCTCTACCCTCAAATCCTAGTACAATGCCTGGTATATATTAGAGATATACTTACTACATGAATAAATGGATGGATGGATGATGAGTGAATGAATGAATGGCTTTACTAAAAAGACTCAGGATAGTTTCACGTGCTGTATGTACTACATTAGAGGTGGTTGATTATAGTGGTTAAGACAGGAGCTTTGTTCAGTTGCTTAGTTGTGCCAACTACTAGGAAGGGTTATACCTATGGTGAAGAAGTCTTCCCAGAATATTATCTTGAAAACAACTTCTGCCTTGAGTGATACCATTAGATATTCTGAGTAACACCATTAAACATCTTGGCAGCAGCTCTTTACAGGCATTTTTAAATTAATCAGTTCATGTCCATTATTGTGTACATTTTTCTACTTTATATTCATTGATTTATTTGAGGGCATGTGTTTGGATTTATGCCTACTCTTTTTCCACAGACCTTCCATTTTATTTTAAATTTTCTTAAATTTTTAATTATTAGGAGTATATAATAGGTATATATACATATTCATGGAGTACATGTGATGTTCTAATACAGACATACAAAGTGTGATAATCACATCAGGGTACTCAGGGTATCCATCACTTCAAGCATTTATCATTTTTTGTGTGTTAGGAACACGCAAATTCTACTCTTAAAGTTATTTATAAATATATAATAATTATTCACTGTAATCATCCTGTCATGCTATCAAATACTAGAACTTATTCATTCTGTCTGTGTATTTGCGCCCATTAACTAATTCCACTCCCTGCCCAGTTCCTGACCTGCTACTTTTCTCAATCTTTGGTAACCATCATTCTACTCTCTATCTCAATGAGTTCAATTATTTTAATGTTTAGCTCCCACACATGAGTGAAAACATGCAAAATTTGTCTTTCTGTGCCTGGCTTATTTCAGTTAACACAATGTCCTCAAGTCCCATCCATGTTGCTGCAAATGACAGCATCTCATCTGTTTTTATGACTGAATAATATTTCACTGTGTATATATACTACATATATATCCATTCATTCACTGATGGACACTTAGGTTGTTTCAAATCTTGGCTATAGTGAATAGTGCTGCAATAAACATGGGAGTGCAACTGATTTCTTTTCTTTTAGGTATATACCTAGAAATGAGATTGCTGGAGTGTTTTGAGGAACTGTCTTACAGTTCTCCACAGTGGTTGTACTAATTTACATTTCCACCAACAGTGTATGATATGGGTTGGCTGTGTCCCACCCAAATCTCATCTTGACTTGTAGCTCCCATAATTCCCACGTATTCTGGGAGGGATCTGGTGGGAGGCAATTGAATCATGGGGTCCAGTCTTTCCTGTGCTGTTCTCTTGATAGCGAGTAAGTCTCATGAGATCTGTTGGAAATATGAGTCGATTAAACCTCTTTTCTTTATAAATTGCTCAGTCTCAGGTATGCCTTTATTAGCAGCATGAGAACAGACTAATACAGTGTACAAAGGTTCCCCTTTCTCTACATACTCACCAGCATTTTTTATTGCCTGTCTTTTGAATGAAAGCCATTTTAGCTGGGGTGAGATGATATCTCATGGTAGTTTTAATTAGCATTTATCTTATGATTAATCACTTTGAGCATTTTTAATATACCTTTTGGCAATTTGCATGTCTACTTTTAAGAAATGTCTATGCAGATCTTTTGCCCATTGTTAAATTGGATTATTTGATTTTTCCCCATCAAGTTGTTTGAGCAATTTACATATTATGGTTATTAATACCTTGTCAGATGGGTAGTTTGCAAATCATTTCTCCAATTCTGTGGGTTGTCTCTTCACTTTGTTGATTGTCTCATTTGCTGTGCAGAGGTTCTTTAACTTGATGTGAAAGTTAATCTGTCCATTTTTGCTTTGGTTTCCTGTGCTTTTGAGGTATTACCCACAAAAATCTCTACCCAAACCAATGTCCTCCAGTTTCATCAATGTTGGCTTTTAGTCATTTCACAGTATGAGGTATTAGATTTAAGTCTTTAATCCATTTTTATTTGATTTTTGTGTACAGTGAGGGAGAGGAGCCTAGTTTCATTCTTTTGCATGTGGATATCCAGGTTTTCCAGCACCATTTATTGAGGAGACTGTCCTTCCCTGCAATGTATGTTCTTGGCATCTTTATAAAAAATGAGTTCACTGCAGGTGTGTGGATTTCTTTATGGGTTCTCTATTCTTTTCTACCAGTCTATATGTCTGCTTTTATGCCAGTGCCATGTTGTTTGGGTTATTATAACTCTGTAGTATAATTTAAAATCTAGCAATGTGATTCCTACAGTTTTGTTCTTTTTGCTCAGCATGGCTTTTGCTATTCTGGGTTTTTTGTTGTTCCGTAAAAATTTTAAAATTATTTTTTTCTATTTCTGTGAAGAATGTCATTGGTATTTCAATGTGAGTTGCACTAAATCTGTAGATGGCTTTGGGTGGTATGGACATTTTAACAATATTAATTCTTCCAATACATGAACATGAAATATCTTTTCATTTTTAATATCCTCTTTATTTATTTAATCAGTGTTTTATAATTTTTATCATAGCAATCTTTCACTTCTTTGGTTAAGTTTATTCCTAGGTATTTTATTTTATTTGTAGCTATTGTAAATAAGATGACTTCATTTCTTTTTCAGATTGTTTGTTGTTAGCATGCAGAAATGCTACGGATTTTTGTGTGTTGATTTTGTATCCTGCAACTTCACTGAATTTGTTTATCAGTTCTAATAGTTTTTGGTGGAATCTTTAGGCTTTTCCAAATAAGATCACATCATCTGCAAACAAAGATAATTCAGTTTCTTCCTTTCCAATTTGGATGCCCTTAATTTTTCTCTCCATCTAATTACACTGGCTAGAACATCCAGTGTTATGTTGAATAACAGTGGTGAAAGTGGGGATTCTTGTCTTGTTCCAGATCTTAGAGGAAAGGCTTTTACCCATTTCAGTATGATACTAGCTGTGGGTCTGTCATATATGGCTTTTATCATGTTGAAGTAAATTCCCTCTATACACAGTTTTTTTTTTTAGAGTTTTTATCATGAGGGTGTATTGAATACTATCAAATGCTTTCTCAGCATTGATTGAAATGAACATATAGGTTTTATCCTTCATTCTGTTGATATGACGTGTCACATTGATTGATTTGCATATGTTGAGCCATTCTTGCTTCCATGGGGTGAATCCCACTTGGATCTTTTTAACGTGTCATGGAATTTGGTTTGCTAGTATTTTGTTGTGAATTTTTGCATTCGTGTTCATCAAGGATATTGGCCTATAGTTTTCTTTTTTTGATGTGTCTTTGTCTGGTTTTGGTATCAGAGTACCAGAGTCTGGAAGTGTTCCCTCCTCCTCTATTTTTTGGGATAGTTTGAGTAGGCATGGAATTAGTTCTTTAAATGCTTATTAAAATTCAAAAGCGAAACTATCAGGTAAAAACATTCAATTTGGGGCTGGGCACCGTGGCTCATGTAGGTAATCCCAGCACTTTGGGGGGCCAAGGTGGGCGGCTCACAAGGCCAGGAGATCGAGACCATCCTGAGTAACACGGTGAAACCTGGTCTGTACTAAAAATACAAAAAATTAGCTGGGCATGGTGGTGGGGGCCTGTAGTCCCAGCTACTCGGGAGGCTGAGGCAGAAGAATGGTGTTAACCTGGGAGGCGGAGCTTGCAGTGAGCCGAGATGGAGCCACCGCACTCCAGCCTGGGCGACAGGGTGAAACTTCATCTCAGAAAAAAAAAACAAAAAAACACACATTCAATTTTGGTAGATTGTCTGTGTCTAGAAATTTATTTATTTATGCTAGGTTTTCAAATTTATTGCCATATACTTGCTCATATTAGTCTCTAATGATCTTTTGAAGTTCTGTGGTATCAGTTGTAATTTCTCCTTTATTGTCTCTGATTTTATTTATTTGGGTCTTCTCTCTTTTTTTCTTTGTCTGCTAAAGATTTGTTGATTATCTTTCCAAAAAACAACTTTTCATTGTGTTGATCTTGTGTATTTTTTTCAATTTCGTTTATTTCTGCTCTGATCTTTATCATTTCTTTTCTCCTACGTATTTTGAGTTTGGTTTGACTTTGCTTTTCCAGTTCTTTAAGATGCATCATTAAGTTCGTATTTGAAGTGTTTATATTTTTTTGATGTAGGTGTTTATTGTTATAAACGTTCCTCTTAGTACTCTTTTTGCTGTATTCCATAAGTTTTGGTATATTCTACTTCTATTTCTATTTGTTTCATGAAATTTTTTATCTCCTTCTTACTTTCTTCATTGACCCACTGGTCATTCAGGAGCATATTGTTTAATTTCCATGTATTTTTACAGTTTGCAAAATTCCTCTTGTAATTGATTTGTAGTTTTTTTTTTTTTTTTTTTTTTTTTTTTTTTTTTTTTGCTGCGGTCATGAAAGATCCTTAGTATAACTTCAATTAAAAAATACTTTTAAGACTTAATTTATGTCCTAACATATAGTCTGTCCTGGAGAATGCTCCATTTGCTGATGAGAAGAATGTGTATTCTGCAGCTGTTAGATGAAATGTCCTCTTAATGTCTGTTAGGTCTATAGTACAGATTAAGTCTGATGTTTCTTTGTTGATTTTCTCTCTGGACAATTTGTCCAATGCTGTAAGTGGAATTTTGTGGTCTCCATCTATTATTGTATTGGGGTCTATCTCTCTCTTTAGTTTTAATATATTTGCTTAATATATCAGAGTACTCCAGTGTAGGGTTCATACATATTTATAATTGTTATGTCCCCTTGCTGAATGAACCACTTTATCATTATGTAATGACATTCTTTGTCTCCTTTTTTTAGTTTTTGTCTTTAAATCTATTTTATCTGTTGTAAGTACAGCTACTTCTCCTCTTTTTTAGGTTTCCACTTGTATGGAATATCTTTTTCCAACTCTTTATTTTCCATCTGTGTGTTTCTTTACAGGTGAAGTGAGTTTCTTGTAGGCAACATGTTATTGGGTTGTATTTTTCTTAACCATTTAGCTACTCTGTGTCTTCTGATTGGACAGTTTAGTTATTTTACGTTGAATGGTTTTATTGGTAGGTAAGGACTTGCTACTGCCATTTTGCTATTTGTTTTCTGGTTGTTTTGTGGTACTTTTTCCCTTCCTTCCTTCCTTTCTTCTTTTATGTAAAAGTTATTTTATCTAGTAGTTTAATTTCTTGCTTTTTATTTTTTGTGTATCTGTTATAGATTTTTTGATTTGCCACAAGGCTTGAAATTATTTATAACCAGTTATTTTAAATTGATAACAACTAAACTCTGGTTAAACACACAAGAAAAATAGCAAATCAACAAATAAGCAAAGAGAAAACTAATGTAAACTCTACACTTTAACTCCACTCCCCCCAACACATTTCAGCTTCAGAATTTCTGCTTGATTTAACAAAATTATTTTGATCTCTTTGTTAAATTTCTCTGACATGGTTCTGAATTCCTTCTCTGTGTTTTCTTAAAGTTCATTGAGCTTTCTCAGAACAGCTATTTGAACTGTCTGTCAGAAAGGTCACATATCTCTATCACTCTGAGATTGTTTGCTGATGCCTTATTTACTTCATTGGGTGAGGTCATATTTTCTGGACTGGTCCTGATGCTGGTGGATATTTGTCAATGTCTAGGCATTGAAGAGTTAGGTATTTAGTCTATTCTTCACAGTCTGGGGTTGTTTGTTCTTATTCTTCTTGAGAAGGCTTTCCTAGTATTCAAAGGGAATTGAGTGTGGTCACTGCAACCATATCTGCACTAGGGAGTTCCCAAGTGCAGTAACAGTGCAACTCTTGAAGACTTCTCATGTCTTGGTAGGCTTGGGTAAAATGCAGGAGAACTCCCTGGATTACCAGTCTCTTGCTCTCTTTCCTCACTTTCCCCCAGACCGAGTCTCCCTCTCTGTTCCAGTCTGCCTGGAGTTTGGGGAGGTGTGATATAGTCACTCCCATGGCCACCACAGATGGCAATGCACTGGGTCACACCTGAAACCAGCACAGTGCTAGGTCTCACCTAAGGCCCATGGCAACTACTGCCTGGCTACTGGTGATGTTTATTCAAGGCCCACCAGCTCTTTAGTCAGCAGGTGGTGAATTTTGCCAGGACTTTGTCTTTCTCTTCAGCACAACAGGTTCCTTTCTGGTCCAGGTCGAGTCTAGGAATGCCATCCAGGAGCTAGGACCTGGAATTGAGGTTTTTGGCATTTTCTTGGTGCTTTATTTTACTGTGACTGAGCTGGTACTCAAATTGTAAAACAAAGTTCTCTTTACTCATCCTGCTCCTTTCTGCAAGCAGAAAGAGTCTTTCACCAAGTGGCACTGCCTGGAGTTGGGGGAGAGGTGACACAGCACTTCCTTGGCCACCCTGGGTGGTTTCTCCCTGGGTCATGTGCACCTCACATCCACTGTCTTTGAGCCCAGTGGAGCACAGTGTCTCACCAGGACTTGCCTCAGGATGATAGTTGTTATGGCCTAGAATGCCTTTCAAATTTATTCAGGACCCCAGGGCACTTTAGTCAGCTGGTGATGGGGCTACCCAGATTCAGGTTTCTGCTGCTCTGCCCTACATAATCCACACCTTTAATTTGACTGATAGCCAGCATTTTGGAGTTGACTTGGAATACAATTAACTCAGGGTTAATTCCTGAAGTAACTTTTTTAGGTGAGATATATAATTTTTAAGCTTCTATTATAAGTGCAGTAGTTATTAAATTACAAAACAAAGGAATTGGAAAGAAACCTAGAAAGATGGTAGACTTTCAATATATTTTCTCTTCAATGTTGAAATTATAGTTACCAGTTCTAGAATATTATTTTTATGTTGTTGCACTTATAATTTTTGGGGGCTGGATTATTAAAAAAAAATATTTTATATATATAAGTACAAATAATTTACATGCTCATAGTTTCCTTTTCCCCCAATTTATTTTGGTAAAATACACATAAAATTTACCATCTTAACCATTTTTAAGTGTACAGTAGAGTGATATCAAATACATTTATAATGTTATGCAACCATTACTACACTCTATCTCCATCACTATTCCTTTTTATCTCATGAAATTGAAACTTTCTGGTGAACAATATCTCCCCATTTACCCTTCCCCCATCCCCTGGCAACCACCATTCTAGTTTCTGATTCTATGATTTTTACTACTCTAAGTACCTCAAATAAGTGGAATTGTACAGTATTTGTCTTTTGTGTGGCTTATTTCACTTAGCTTAATGTCCTTATTGGGAACCTTGTGTACTATTGGTGGAAGTGTAAAATAGTACAGACATTGTGGAAAACAGTATGGCAGCTCCTCAAAAGAATTAAAAATAGAATTGCTGTAAAATTCATCAATATTATTTCTGGATATATTCTCAAGAGAATTAAAAACAGAGTCCTGATGAGAAATTTGTACATTCATGTTCATAGCTGCATTATTCACAATAGCTAAAATGTGGATAAAATATTCATTATAGCTAAACTAAACAAGTAAACCTGTATGGTTTGGCTGTGTACCCACCCATATCTCATCTTGAATTCCCACATGTTGTGAGACCTGGTGGGAGGTAACTGAATCATGGGGGCAAGTCTTTCCTGTGCTGTTCTCGTGATAGTGAATAAATCTCATGAGATCTGATGGTTTTATAAAGGGGAGTTTCCCTGCACAAACTCTCTTTATTTGCCTGCTGCCACCCATGTAAGATGTGACTTACTCCTCCTTGCTTTCTGCCATGATTGTGAGGCCTCCCCAGTCACGTGGAACTGTAAGTCATTAAACCTCTCTTTCTTTTGTAAATTGCCCAGTCCCGGGTATGTATTTATCAGCAACATGAAAATAGACTAATACAAAATGGATAAGTAAAATGTGTTATATACATACCATGAAATATTATTTAGCCTTAAAAAGAAAAAAAATTCTGGCATATACTACAATATGGATAAATACTGATTTAGTAGTTTATTTTTTATTTTTTGTGTATACATAATTTTTAGATCCCAAGTATCTTGATGAACAAACAGTGATGGAAACAGATGGAAATTGAATTTTTTCATATTAGTTTTATTATAGTGATATTATTTATCTTACAGCAATAAAGCCTACCAATTTGATTAACTAAATTGTCTTAAATTATCCACTGCTTGCTAGTATAATGTGTATGCTTTCACTTTTGTTCCCTTTTTTCCCTTCCTCTCTTTTCTTTCAACATGTCTCATTTCAGGAAGAATTTGAGGTAGCACAGAATATTCTACAGAAACCAAATGTACAAAGAATAAATTACAGTCAGGTGCCTGTGAAAATATAAATTAGAATAGAAAGTCAATAATGCAGATAGATCACAAAATTCAGAAAATGTCTAAGCTTGAATAATATATTTAGCACTGTGATTTGCAGTGGTCTAATAAAAATGCTGATTATATACGTTTCACTGTTCATGGGAAAATATAGCATGTTCTCAATGAATGTAATTTTTTTCTAGACATTTAATTATGAACAAATTTTTTACATGAAGTGTTTATAGAAGCCCTCAGGTGATATTATAGAGACAATGTAGGAACAAACATCATGACAGATTTTATTAGAGCTAATAATTAGTTTTAAGAAAAGTACCTACTATGAATTATTTTTGGAGAGAAATAGATTTTCATCTTATATTCAAGTTTCTTCCTTTTTCCTATATTGAAATACACAGAAATTAGTCCCAGGGAAGTTCTAATTATAAATGTCTTTGTTCATTGATTTTCGTTTTGTACACTTTTTTTTCTCTTTTTTTCTGTAACAAGGAAGACATCATCTATGTTTTTGAAATCCATGGCCCAAACACAGAGTATTGTGAGGGCCACATTGGCACATGTATTTCAATTTCTGCAAAACCAAAGCCTAAAATCCTCACTTACAGAGAATCTTTGTGATATCCATTCATGATAACATTCATCAAACTGGATCTGAATTCTCTCTCTAGAGTGAATGAAACCACTATTGTCCCTTTACCTAATGAAATAATTTTATGTATTCTAAACTGCAGATCTCATTATTTTGGTTAGAGATATCTTTCTGATCCTTGAAATGCAATATGGTTTTTAAAAAGGAGTTCCTAGTCTTTTTATTCTACACCAATCCACTTCACTAATCTTCTCATAAATCTGGCAGTATTATCATCCTGCCTGTCTTCCATTATACACACAGAGAGGTTAAAAACTCTCATCCTTGCAATACTATATTTAAACCATTGCCATAACCTATTTTTGCTTTCTGTGCATCTTTTGAGAGCGTTGTTTCTGCTGTAACCACACTTCAAAAGCTTTCTTCAAATAATAAGTTTGAGGCTAGATGAAAGCCTCAGGCTCATTATTTGAGACATATTTTTCAAGGACTTTCAGTCTTCAGTCATCCCATCTCCCCCCCGAATCCAATTTTCAAGGATGGTTAGAGAAGTGCACCAACGATGATTAATGACACAAAAGCCAGTGACAAGCTGCAAATAAATGCAAGAGACTTCCTAACTAAAAAAAAGAAAAAGAAAAAATGGCCGGGCGTGGTGGCTCACGCCTGTAATCCCAGCACTTTGGGAGACTGAAGCAGGTAGATCACGAGGTCAGGAGTTCGAGGCCAGCCTGACCAACATGGTGAAACCCCGTCTCTACTGAAAATACAAAAATTAGCTGGGCATGGCAGTGCGTGCCTGTAATATCAGCTACTCAGGAGGCTGAGGCAAGAGAATCACTTGAACCCGGGAGGCAGAGGTTGCAGTGAGCTGGGATCGCACCACTGCACTCCAGCCTGGTGACAGAGTGAAACTTCGTCTAAAAAAAAAAAAATCCTCATAATGTGAAATTCTTTTCACAACTATTTAATGAGCACCTACTACACACTAGTACTATTTTAGGTCATAGGTATTTAACTAAGTCCCCAAAATTTCAAATTTGGGAATCAGAAGTGAAGCTAAAAGACTGCTTGACACCATGAAATTATACACTGTGCAGAGAAATCTATGCACCTTAACATGGATGAAGGCTGGAGAGTGTATTAAATGAGATAAAGGGAAAGAATAGGAAAGGTAATTCAGATGTGGCAAAACCTTACGGTTATCTGTCCAGTTAGAGGGAATCAGTTGGTGATGTGCATGTCACACAATCACAAAAGTGTCATAATGGAAAATTCAGAAGTGACACAGAAACTTCAGCAATCTGCTCATCTTCTGAAAGTCTATTGCACATTAGCTGAACAACTGACACATTCTTACCTGGTCTTACTGACATTTTCGCACCCTGAAGGGTAAAGGAAGAGATTACAGAAGCTAATATTTTCAACCTAATTTGGACCAATGAGGATAATTTGGTTCATGAAGTGCAATTGACAGTAGCCTTTGGAAAAATTGACCATCTCATTTTAGAATTAGGAGCATAATGGGAAGGATTTTCATTGGACGGTTACTCTAGATTTTAAGAAGGAAGACTTCAAAAATTTCAGGTATAAAAAACTCAGAAGAAAGCTCAGAAAAGTAGCAAACTGCTATTGATATAACTCTGACAATGTAAATCTCAAATTATATTAATGAGGAAGAAAAGAAGGATGGTAGCAGTAGAAAATGGCATAACTGTAGAGAGAACTTTATTGTGTGTTCAGATTATAAAAAATGCATGCACGGAAGATAAGAAGGAAGACACATAACCAGAAGGAAGACAAATTACTCTAAATATAGAAATGCAGCATAGACCAGCAAGAATATTGCAGGAAGGTCAACATACATAATGAGCTGAGGTTTGCAAAATTTGCTACTGACTGTTGAGTTTGGCTTCAATTGGAATGAACAAGGCTATTTTGGATGTAAAGTCAAAACTGCTCTGGTTGATACATTTCCTTCACTGCTCTCTTGTTCTCTGGTATTCCTTTTTTTTTTTAATTAAATGGACACATTACCTAGTATTATAATGATTTCTTTTTTTGATTTCAGTATTTTCCATAAACCTATTTTATAGCTGATATGTAAGATTCATAAATTTGAAAAAAATATTTTTTTAACTTACCAATAATGGAAGTGAAAGAACCCAAGTAAAAGGTGTCAAAATGAGTGTATTAAGAGGCCAAAAGTTCAGAGAGAAAAGATAAAATGGGACCTCAGGATATATATATTTAAATGAATGGCAGAGGTTGTACTCACAAGAGGAATTTTTCTGCCTTCTGGAAACTTTTCTGTAACTAGCTGTGATAGAATTATTATTAAGATATTCCAGGAGAATGAAAACTAGCAGCAGAAATAGAAGATGAGCTTTGTTATCATTTTGTGAGAGAGCTGCATAGAAAGAAACTGGAGATGGCTTCCTAGATCTGAAAGTGGCTCCCATTCAAGAGCCTGTAAGAAACAGAGACTTCACTCTTACCACTATAAGGAAGCAAATTCTGTCATTAACTCAAGGGTGCTTGGAAGTAGATCTTTCCACAGACCAGCTTCCATATGAGAATGTAGCCAGGCTGACACCTTGATTGCAGCCTTGTGTGGCCCAGAGTAGAAGATAAGCTGTGTCCAGACCCACAAAAACTGTGAGATAATAAACATGCATAGTTTTAAGCTACCAAGCTGGTAGTAATTTGTTACATAACAATAGAAGACAAATGCAGGAGGAAAGTAGATCAAGGTAGTAACATGGTATGATGAGAGTAGGAGCCAGCTTACTGAAGACAAGTCAAAGTAAGGTCTTCAGCTTTTACTGTGAGTGTGGTGGGAAACCAGTGCATGGTTCCAGTGGAGAGGTGATACAATCAAACTTACATTTCAAAAGGATCACTCTGGCAGTTATATGAAGAAAGGTAGAAGCAGACAGCCTACTTAAGAAACTATTTTACTAATCAGAGTGTACTGGCTTGAATAAGGCAGCAGAGTAATGAGAAAAGTGGTTGGGTTTTGAAAGTTATTTGAAAGGTGAGTCTACAGGATTTCTTTGTTAATTGCTTGTGAGGTGAAAGCAAAAGAAAGGAAATGATGCTGAATCTAAGTTTTATTTTTTCATTGAATAACTTTACAAAAAGAGTGCTGTTGCAGAAATAACTGGAAAATGAACATTACTAAGGGAAATTCAGGGTTTGGGTTTCGTACATGTTAAGTGTGAAAGCCCGCTAAAGATCCCAATCTAGGGGCTGAGCAGGCGGTTGATTCATAAGACTGGAATAAGGGGAAGCATCAGCTGGAAATATACATTTAATACTTATTAGCAGAATGAGAGTAATTAAAGGACTAGGACTTGCCAATAATCTAGGGAGTGAATGCAGGTAGAACAGATGTCCAAAGACTGAACTCTGGGGGTATTCTCATTTAGAGAACAAAGAGATGAACAAGAATCAGCAAAGGAGACCAAGGCCTCTTGCTGCAAAATATTACTAAAAACCATCAATCACTAAGCATAAAACCATACCAAGAATATCAGAAAAAGATCATTTATTTATCAATTATTCAATGACTAACCCATGAAAATATTATTTCAACATGAAAAGTTTAATCTTACTAATTTAGTTTGTATTTAAAAAACATTAAGAATGAAGTAGTATGTTATATTTAATTTTGTCTTTGAAGACATTGCACCTTAAACATTTCTTATCAAGTTCAAAGGAAATTTGTAATTCAAATTAAATCCACTAAATGAAAAAACTTTGAGTAAACAAATAAATATGTAATTTTTAAATGACAAGTCAATTTAAAAATATATTAATGCCAAATCTTGGCAAGGATGCAAAGAAATTGAATCCACTTGTACCTTGCTGGTGGGAATATAAACAGTATAGCCACTCTGAAAAATAATTTGACAGTTTCTCTAAAACTAAACATGTGCTTACCATAAACTCAGCAACTGCAAAGGTTTGGGCATCTATCCAAAAGAAATGGAAACATGTTCAACGGAAAACTTACACAAATGTCAATAGCTATTTCATTGGTAATGGCCAAAAATGAAACAATCCAAATGAACTTCAGGAGGTGGTAAGTAAAGTCAACTGTAGCACATCCATACCATGGCATCCTCCTCAGCAATAAAAAGTGATGAATTACTGATACATGCAAAAACTCAAAAACTTGGATGTATCTTTTTTCTTTCTTTCTTTCTTTTTTTTTTTTTTTTTTTTTTTTTTGAGAGGGAGTCTTGCTCTCTGGCCAGGCTGGAGTGCAGTGGCATGATCTTGGCTTACTGCAACCTCCACCTCCTGGGTTCAAGCAATTCTCCTGCCTCAGCCTCCTGAGTAGCTGGGACTACAGGCACACACCACTGTGCCCAGCTAATTTTTGTATTTTTAGTAGAGATGGTGTTTCACCATGTTGGCCAAGATGGTCTCGATCTCTTGACCTCATGATCCACCCGCCCCGGCTTCCCAAAGTGCTGAGACTACAGGCATGAGCAACCATGCCCGGCTGGATGTATCTTAAGAAAATTATTTTAAGTGAAAAAAGCCAGTTTCAAAATTTACATGCTGTAAATTTCCATTTACATATCATTCTTGAAATGACAATATAATAGAATACAAAAAACAATTGTTGTAGCTAGGCCTTAGCAATAGGAAGTGAGGTGTTTTAGTTGCAAAAGGAAAGCAGCAGGGAATTTTGCGTTAAGACTGTTCTGTATCTTAATGTGAAGATATCACAATTGCGAGACACTACCATTGGGAGAAACTGGGTCAAGTGTATATGAAACCTCTGTATTATTTCTTACATCTACATGTGAATCTACAACTATCTCACAATAAAAAGATTTAAAATGATAAATGTTATCAATAGAGAAAAAGGAAAAATAAAAGGAAACTCATTTGATGGAGAAGGTGGTCAGGGAGAATCTTACTCTAAATGCAATATGAAACCATGACATTTTTCAAGCAGGGGAGTGACCTCTTCTCACATTTGTTTCATGAAAGAGCTTGGATTTAATTATTCTCCTGTCCACTATTATTTTCTTCTGTAATTCAGAAGATTATTTTCCTTGACAAAGAATCTAAGAGCTATCTAGTAAACAAGGATTTTTAACTTTTCTTAAATCATTCCCTATTTTCTTTATTGTTCTGACTGCCAAAATAGATTTTAAATTCTGGAAACGTAGGATTTTTAATTAATCTTTGGTGTTTCTGAGGTCCCTCAGGATCCTAGTCAAGACTAGGTCTGACTCCCTATATATTAAAAGAGTGTGCTCCACTCTACTAAGAGGAAGTCTTGTTTGATCGAATTTCATCACGGGCGCAAATCCCATCACCTTTGCATCTTTGTTACATAATGTAACCTAGTCAAGGGAATGTCATGCCATGCCATAACCTTTGCTCTATTCTTTTGTTAGAAGCAAAAATCCCACCCATATTCAAGGGAAGGAACCATACTGGGTGTAACACCAGGGGCTGAGACTATGAAAGCTATCTTAGAATTCTTCCCATCATACCTCCTAATGTCTCCATCACTTACTCTGCCCCACCTATTTAGGCCTCCCTTTTGTCCTCCAGGCATGCCTCTATGTTAGGGCCTCTACCTGTTGTTTCCTCTGGTTTGAATATTCTACCTCTAGATATTCACAAAAATCTGTCTCATATTTCTTTCTGTCTTTTCTCAAGTGTAACTATAACAAACAGGCCTTCCACCCTGATCATCCTATTTAAAGTAGCATTTCCAACAATATTCCCCTATACTCCTGTCTTCATTATGTTTCTTTATCTAGCACCATAGCACTTAACTCTACCTAGCTTATTATAGGGTATTTGTTTTCTGTCTGCCCTTATTAAAATGAAAATTTCCTGAGGCAAGGACTTGTTCTCTTGTTATTCATTCTAGCACTTTTAATGCTGTTTTGTGCATAATAGGTCTTAAATATTTGTGGAATAAATGAATAAATATATTTGATAATTATAGCCAGTATGGTTACATAATATAAGTAATGTAGTGTCTGGAAAGATTTTTTAAAACCTAAAGATTTTGTCTGAAAGAACACAGTATTTGAGCTCACAAGCTTTTGATTCTATAGCATGTAGAACTGCTCCATAACCTAATAGCTTTGTGGCTCTGCACAAATAATTCTATCTTGTTATGCCTGAATTCCTTTAATCTATGTAGTACTAAAATAATACTGTCTCATATTTGGGTTTCTAAAGAACTCTGCAGTAACACATATAAAATATTTATTAAAGTATTTTATAAATAGGAAACTATAAGTACTTACAAATGTAATTGCTCATGGTAGGTTATTCAAACCCGATTCATTAGGTAATTGCCAACTCTTATCTCTATTTTATATTGTTTGAGCCCTACTGTTTCAATGATTTCTTCCTGCATAATAAATTACCTAAGATATAACAGTTAAAAACAACAAATTTACTTATGATTCTGTGGGCCAGGAATTCAGGCAGGGCTAAGTGGGGATGGCTCCTCTGCTTCACAGGGTACTGGCTAGGGCAGCTCAGCTGGAATTAAAGGATTTAACATGGCCTCTCTCACACCTTGAGAACCTCATCCTGGGTGGCTCAATGGCTACGTGTTTTCTAAGATGACTGGATCTCTCTCCTTTCATGGAGTCTCATGGTCTCAGTTACATGGGGTGTCATTTCTCTTCATGTGACTTCTCTCTCTCCATAGTGTTTCTTCCCCCAGGGCATCTCTTCAGCCAGGCTATCCAACTTTTCATGGCAGCTGGCTTTCTAGGGTATGGAAAGGAGAAGCCAAGATCTTTCTTGATGCTTAGGCCCAGAAGTGGCACAGAATCACTTCGTAACAAGCCAGACCAGTTTCTAAAGGAGGGAAATAGACTCTAGTTCTTTAGGGAACAAGTGGCAGGAGTGTACAGAGATGGAACTGTTGGCAGCCATTCAGCAGATAATCCACCAAAAAAAACTAAGAAAATGTACATTGTTAGACCAAAAGTTGGAATACGGAAATAAAGTGAAAACTATATTTTCCAAACTCCACCCTTACAATATCTAACCTAAAATGAAAAGAGATCAACAAACTAAAACATATACACATGTACACATATACACACACCCACACACATATTAACAACAAAAAGGATCAAAAGTTTGACATACTAGATTGGAGAAAAATAACTCTAGACAACTCAGTCAAGTAATAATTCAGAAGAAAGACAGCCACTGGAAAATGCTAGAGTATGCCAAGGATTGGGGATTGAGAATAATTTGATAATACCTTATAAAATGAAGAAATATCTCCATATTGAAATTGGGAACATAATTTCAAAAGTACAGTTGGCTGTCCTGTATGTAAATTACATAAAAATTGGATTTTTTAGTACTTGTTTTTCTAGCTCTGATGTGGAAATAAGAATATATATCTACCTTGCAGTAGATTATTTTTTTCAGTTATAAAAACTATAAAACAGAAAAAGTAAATATTTTTAAAGAGCTAAATCACTATGGATATCAGAGTAATTAAATTCAACATTCATTCTATGCAGCGTATAAGGGCAAATCCAATCTAAAAAATAAAAAAATGAGACTTGCTAAGACTTGTTGAAAATAAGAGATCCCTCCTCCTCTAAACTTTTCTTAAAGCATTTACTTTAGAAAACTTGTGAGTTCCTAAACATTTCTGTTTCCCTGAAATGTACAGAAATGTTTTTTAAAAGCTAAATAAGCATTTTGCCAAGCTTGCAACCCAGAAATGTCTTTTTGAGGACTTAGGAATCATCTCTTTGAAATGCAATCATCAAGGAAGATAGGACTTTCTATGAAAGTGTATCTGTGAAAGGGTAGGAGGCTAACTTTGGCTGATACTGGATTCCGAGTTGCAAAGCCTGATGTGGACTGAATTGTATCTTCCTAAATTCATATGTTGTAGCTCATTACGCTAATGGGACTGTATCTAGAAATAGTGTCTTTAGGAGATGAGTAAGGTTAAATAGGTCATAAGCATGGAGCCCTATCCAATAAGATTATGGTATTAGAAGAAGAGGAAGAAAGATCAAAATCTCTCTTTTGCTCTTTCTCTGCCCTTGAGGACTTCTGGGTAGTCCTCATATTTCAAGCCAGAAAGAGGGTTCTTACCAGGAACCAAAGAGGTCAGCACCTTGATCTTGGACATCCCACCTCCAGAACTGTGAAAAAATAAATTTCTGTTGTTTAAGGCACCTAGCATTTGGTATTTTGTTATGGCAGCCTGCGCCGACTAATGTACTACCTCTACCTCTTGTCATAAAGATATTTATTTTTATTTTAGATAAAGCCAATTAGCTAACACAGGTGGTCAAATCACCCCAATTATAAGGTGATGTTAAGGTGAATTGTATGTGATAAATGGTGACATCAAGCCCTCTTACTTGAGGACTATTAATTGTTTATCCTGAGAATATGTGTGTAATGGGTTGTATCTGCTTGTCTATTTAAAAAGGTGAAATTTCTTTTTGACTTGGTAATCTCTCAGCAGATTACCTGTAATGCTCATCACATTGTGGTTTAATGTGTACTCAATAATAAAACTGTTTTCTTTTGTGGAAAGGTTTTCTGGGTTGTGAGGAGATTTATCATTATTATTATTATTATTATTAATATTTCAGAGACAAGGTCCCACTCTGTTGCCTAAACTGGAATGCAATGGTGTGATCATAGTTCACTGCCCCCTCGAACTCCTGGACTCAAGCAATTCTCCCACTTCAGCCTCCGAAGTAGCTAGGACTATAGGCATGTGCCATCATGACTGGTTAATTTTTAAATTTATTTTTATTTTTTATACAGATGGGGTTTGCCACTTTATTTTCCCAAGAAGATATAGCTCCTGAAATACACAGATTGATCCTAAAAATAAAATAATGTACCAAATAGTTTTAAGTTATTTTTGGTTAATGAGAAATGCAACCAACTCACTTCATGGGCAACTAAACTATTGGAAGAGAGGCAGAGATTTAGAAAACTGAACAATGGTATGGACATAGAGAATTCCAAATTCTTTTGTTTTCACCACATAGATGTTTGTGCTTGGTTTTATAAGAACTCTTTTATCTTATTTGTAAAATGAGGATAGACTGGACTGGTGGCTTATTGGTAATATCCACGTTTATACATATTTCATTGATAATACACTTCATTAAATTAGTTACAAATTGGAGATGCCACATAAGAATTAACTGCTGGATTATGAGAAGACGAAAGAAGGAAGAAAAGTAGAAGGGGAGGAGAAGAAGAAGAAAAAGAAAAAAAGACTAACTTTTTATTTGGGACATGTGCTTTTTATATGGGACACGTGCTCTTGGGTTTCCCACAATTTTCACCATTAGTTGGTTTGTTCATCCACTTATGCTTTCTGTACACGTGTATGCAAGATAGAAGTCACTGAACAAACCACTTAAAATAGGTGGGTATGACAAGAGCAAGAAATAGCTATCTAAATAGTACTTTCCTGCTATCCTTTTGAGGAAACGTAACATTTATATGTATACATGGGTAAGGGAAGCCATGAAATGTTTCCAAGATGTGCTCCAACAAGGCATCCTTCTTTTGTTTCTTGAGGGGCAGCCATTAGTGGTGTAAAGAAAACATGCCTTCACCACCGGTGCCTTAATTGGCCAGGGTTTCAACATAGAACAAACTATATGCATTTGTAAAGTCAGCTATTGACTGATTGAAAAATCTCACTAGAAGTGAATTTTAAAATACCACCAAAGCTATTTGGTTAAGTGTACCTTTACTAACTAGATTTCAATTTTTAATCTTGGTTGTAATGATTTGTTTTTAATACAGACTTAAAATTTCTATTCTTTAAACATCTAATTTACTATCTTTTTGTGAAAAAGAATTGCCCCTTTTTATTGTTCAAGGCTTCAAAATGCATATAGTTTTTAAAACAGATGAAAGGTCAAACCTGTAATGAAAATTAGTTTTATATCCAGTATACCAAACTATGGCAGCTATGTGGGCTTTCATGTTGTAGTTTTAATGAACATATGATATTTTTATCTGATCTATGGATAGTATATAAACTATATCGGCCGGGTGCGGTGGCTCACACCTGTAATCCCAGCACTTTGGGAGGCCGAGGTGGGCAGACCACGGGGTCAGGAGATCGAGACCATGGTGAAACCCCATCTCTACTAAAAATACAAAAAATTAGCTAGGCGTGGTAGTGGGCACCTGTAGTCCCAGCTACTTGGGAGGCTGAGGCGGGAGAATGGTGTGAACCCGGGAGGCGGAGCTTGCAGTAAGCTGAGATCAGCCACTGCACTCCAGCCTGGGAGACAGAGCGAGACTCTGTCTCAAAAAAAAAAAAAAAAAACCCAGACTATATCATATGTTTGTTTTACATCAGAAAATTGCCACAAATCAACTTTAAAAAAGGAAACTTAGAGTATCTTCTTAACCTAAAATAAAATTAAATAGTATCATTAGTTTTGAAATGATTTGTAATTAGCTTTTCTTTCTAATAATAATAAATGAAACTTACCAAGTACAAGGTTTGTCATTTTTTAAAAGCTTCTTTCATTAAATAAATTAATATTGTCAATAATAGGAAATAAAACAAATGTCCAAATCAGCTAAAAATAAATCTATTTAAAAGAGAAAATGTCACAAAAAGATAAAATGATCAAGATCTAATTTTTAGATTGTGATGGATATTGGAGGACTAATTGCTTATATGTTGAATACCCTGTCCAGGCAAAATTAAAATGAACTGAAATTAGCATACTTGAAAATTGCTTATGTCATACATTCAGCCATTCAAATTTCAGACATTATGTCTTCAGCAATTCTCCTGCTAAATCCATTGCCCTCACATTCTTTGTACATATTCCATTTCCAGTCTTTTGCCTGAATGGCTTGCTGAAAACTATTTTTAGCCTTGGACTATTGGCAGCCACCTAACTAATTCCAAGACTATATAACAAAGAGAAATGAGGAGAGACAGAGGACGTAGCATGCCTGCTTCAAGCCCAGACCATTTCATTGGGCCTCATGTCATGATTTTTAAATAATTTTATTGTTTTATTATTTTTTACAGCATGAGGCAATATCTGAGGGTGACACTTTAATTTTTGGGGATTAGCTTCTTTAAGAAATGTTAAGTCATCACAAAGTTTAATGAATCAAATTATTGTAGTTAGTCTTACTCTAACAAACAACAGCTTATAGAATGATGTATTATGTTTCAAAATGTATTCTCTCCTTTATTTCACATTTAAAATTTTCCAGACTAAGAATGTAACTGGTTGGTTATGGAAATTACAGTCAGTCTTCTCCATGGGGCATCCGAATACCTAAAATCTTAATTCTAGCACTAGAACTATCCAACATGGATTACAAATAAAACCATGTGCATGGCACAAGCAGCTGCATGTTTAAAATGAATTCTAATTTATAAGATTGGAAATTTTTCTGTGTCTCATTGACTTATAACTACTTTGATTTGAAAAGTAACCACAACTCGGAGAAGAGGAAAATAGCAGATATAGATATATTAGCAGTTAAATATACTACTAGATAGAGACTTTACTATAATTTATTATAAAATCTCAGACTCAAGATTTTATAATATATCTCACTGAGATTTTGAGTTCAAAACTTATAGCATGCCTTTTAGCAACACACAGCACTTTACTACCTACTGAAAAAGTTTGAGTTTAAATAAAGACTTAGGAATATAGAAACATTAGATATTTCTATGGACAATATAAATTTATATTTAATTATTTAAAATCATACAGATTTTTATTTTCAATTTTTATTTTACATATTTATCTTGCAAAACCAAGAGATTCGTGATTTAAGATTTCCTATAAAGAAATCTAACAGAAGCTATTATCCTCAGCTTTACTGCTTTTGTGACACTAGGGAAAATGTAGCTGTTTCTTGCCTTGAAATAAAGCTGCTACTTAACCCTGGATTTACTTGAAGAATTGAGAAAGCAAGTAGGAAATTAAAGAAACCAACAAAAAATATTAAATCTAGAAAATATTTTGTACTTTAATGACATTAGTACTAATAGGACTTCTTCAGGCACTGTTTCCAAATTTGTTTGAATCTTTTTTATGATACCTCATTTCCTGAAAGCACAGCCCACTTTGGAGTAGTGTTCTTAACTGGTCTTATTCTATTTATGCTGTTACTTCACAACAGTGTTAGTCTGGTAGCTGCATATTTTCTTAGAACTATTATTGCAGGCTTTATGGATTTTAAGGACTATGCTGCTTTAAAGACAATAATTGTGTAAGTTCCAAACATGTTGGGTAGCACCAGCATTCAAAAATTTCTCAGGCGTGTGAAGTTCATTTTTTAACGAAGAATAAACCCAGGCACAGCCAAGTGTAAGATATTGGAAATAACCATTTCCAAAGTACATCAGAGAAATTTAAAAGGTCACAGAACTCCTTATAACATTAATATTTGACATTTGAATTATTTTCCAGTTTAGCAAGCTGGATAAAGAGCTTCATCTTCAGATGAACTGAAACAACTAAAAATACAAAAACTTTGTCTTCAGTTCAGTCAAGATAAGTTACTGAGAATGCAACTATGTGCAAGGCCAAAGAAGGTTTATAGCACTAAAAGAGGAACTGTTGACAATCATTTTAAATATTTGAACAAAATCATGGTCCTATTCTTCAGAAAGAAACCCAAAGTTTTAAAACCCAAAGTTTTAAACAGTTATTTTAAAGGAGTGCCTGCAGGCAATGTTCAATAGAAGTTAGCATCACCATCATTGTCATCTTCATTATCAGTCATCATGGTGTATGGTTGGTAGCTCAATACAAGCAAAACACACATTCCTTTCTTCAACGTCACTGCCCATATCACTCTCCAGAGTTCTCCTCTCTCTCAAGGAAAATGAGATTTGCCATCAGAAAGCCTTCTTAGGTTATAACTATGACTCTGCTACTTATTGCAACAAAAACTGGGCATATTTCTTAACTTTGGTGAATATATAACTGTTCTATAAAATGAGGCCAAAAACTTGTACATCACAGGTTAAGATAACAATGTAGTCTCTAACACAGAGTAGGTGCTTCCTTTATATGCATTAGTGTTTTCTCTGAAACATGTATTAAATTGAAACACTTTTCAATGCATCCACTCTAGTAGAGAATTCTACTAGTACTAGTAGTACTATAAAATCCATTCTCCACTTTGTCCTTAGTAACAGAACTTCTGAATGTTAACTGGGCAAATTTCTTCCCTAGATATACTCAATTTCTCAGATATCCTTCCAGCTGAGTGTGGCCATGTTAGTTCTGATGAATATAAAAATAGAAATACAATGTTCAACTTCCTAAGAGTATGCTAGATTAGTACTTGACCTACTCCTGTGGCAGGCCAGGTCTCACTAATGCAGGCCTGCATAACAAGAGCTTAAGCACCAACTGAGGGGGTTAAGTTACGTGTTAAAAGCTGAAAGAGCCAGTGCCCTGATACAAAGGCTGGAATGTAAAAAAACCTACCAAGAGTTTTGCCTACACCTTTCCTGGGCCTTAAACCAAGACAAAACAACAAAGAAATTCTTAACAGGAACATTTAGGATTAAACAAGTGTTACTGGGGGTCTGAAGAACTCTGTAAACCTACGTGAATTAGCAGGAGACAAGATAAGGGTAATCACCCCAGAACCTGGACCCATTTAGTTAAGTGAATTTACTGAGGCTTCAGAGGAAGGTCTGCAAGACTCAGACCTTAGTTATAGATTCAAAGAAGTTAATCATTTATGTCTTTAGATGAATGCACGCTTAAATGTAGACATATAGCTTAGAAGGTTTATAAGCTCTGGAAAACTTGTAATTTTGAGTTCATCTGGTGATAATTTCCAGGCCTTCTCCCTGTAACCGGTTACAGAAATTTAAAAAAAAAAAAAAGTTCTTGGCTGGGTACAGTGGCTCACGCCTGTAAGCCCAGCAGTTTGGGAGGCTGAGGCAGGTGGATCATGAGGTCAGGAGATCGAGACCATCCTGGCTAACATGGTGAAACCCCGTCTCTACAAAAAATACAAAAAATTAGCCAGGCACGGTGGCGGGTGCCAGTAGCCCCAGCTACTCTGGAGGCTGAGGCAGGAGAATGGCCTGAACCTGGGAGGCGGAGCTTGCAGTGAGCTGGAGCTTGCAGTGAGCCGAGATCGCACCACTGCACTCTAGCCTGGGCAATACAGTGAAACTCTGTCTCAAAAAAAAAAAAATTCTCTTCCTCCCCAGTTTATCTGCATCTTGTTATTGGGCCACAAGAAATAGCAGCCCGGCCCTCAGTTTGGTCCAGGAACACTCCTTCTCTTTCCTCATTCATATGGACATAATAGGTGGAGGAACAGCAGCCATTTTGGATCAAACCCTAGAAATGGATTGGTTAGAAAGCTGAGAAAACCTGTGTATTTTTAGTGACACATGGCTCAAACTTAGGTGTGTTGTCTGACCCCCACACCTGAGACTGTTAAGTTATTTGGATAAAATCTTATGCATTTAAGCCACTCTTGATTTCAGTTTTCTTTCCCAAGTAGCAAAATTAAATCCTAACTAAAATCTGTCCCAAATTATCTTTGGGAATACAAGCAGAATCAAGATGTTATTCATATATTCTTCTAGTTTAAATATTTTTTGATAGCACTTTTGCTAGGGTCACTTTTTACATAAAGGTCTCAGAAATACTTAAATTATATTTATGGTATACATACAAACAAATTCTATAAGAGCCAGATAAATAGGCATGAAGTTAAAAACAACGGCATTTAAAAACAGGAATCCACTACCTTTCACTGAGCTTTAAGTTCTGTACTTTCCAAAGGGGGCACTGAAAAAAGTGATTAGTGTCTGACCATTTGTTCTGTTTACTGCTGCTGTTTGACACCACACCAACACAACTTAGTGGCTTAAATCAAGACTTAAGCCTTTTTTACACTCCAGAATTTTGTGGATTAAGAATTTGGACAGGGTACAAGTGGACCTGCTACACTGTGCTCTATGGTGTCTGGGGGCCTCAGCTGAGAAGAGCTGAAAGGTGGGGTGACTCAAGAGTTAGGGGGTAGAATTATCTGAAGGTTTTATCCTTACAAGTCTGTAGCCAGCATGTAAAGAGTTGAAGCCTAGCATTTTCGGCTATACTCTTACAGTCTTCTCTGTGTGATTTGGCTTCCTCACAGCATGGTGGCCTTAAGGTACCCAAGCATCTTAGAGAGTGGTACAAGGCTCCAAGTGCAAGTGTTTCAAGAAACAAGATAGAAGCTGCATCACCTTTCATAACTCATTCCTCACTGCTACTGTACTCTACTTGTCAAAGCAGTTCTAGGGGAAGAAATGTCAGAAAATTGAGAGGGCAGGAATATTTTCAAATAGCCACATTTTTGTGTATTGAAGGAAACATAAGCACATGAAAATTTTGTCATGACCAGTGTGCTGGTTCCAGTGACACTATAAGAGACGGAATGAGGAATTAACACAACTTATATCAGGCAAATTCCTGAATGCTGACATGGCCCTTTCAGACTAATGGTATAAAAAGCAGGGAACCCAGATGTATTAGTCTGTTTTCACACTGCTGTAAAGAACTACCGGAGACTGGGTAATTTACAAACAAAAGAGGTTTAATTGACACAGTCGTTCATGGCTGGAGAAGCCTCAGGAAACTTACAATCATGGCAGAAGGTGAAAGGAAGCAAGGCATATCTTACATGATGGCGGGAGAGGGAGAGAGAAATTGAAGTGGAGAAGTGTCACACTCTAAAAGCATCAGCTCTTGTGAGAGCTAACTGTCATGAGAACGGCATGGGGAAAACTGCCCCCCATGATCCAATCACCTCTTACCAATTTCCTCCCCTGTCATGTGGGGATTACAATTTGAGATGAGATTTAGGTGAGGACACAGAGCCAAACCATTTCACCAGAGGGCTGAGTAACTCTAATCTGGCAGGATGATTATCCTACACAGGTTGCAATGGCCCCTGAAATTTGGACGCACTTTGTGAGAGACCAGTGTCTAGATAACTAGGAACTAGGTAAATGTTGGAGAGCTGCTTCCCTTCATTTCTGTCATTGTCTGTTTCATTTCCTTTGCATTGTTTGTTGATCTGTATTAAACAAAAATGAAAGCAAACCTTGTATCTGAGTCTCCATTTTTACCAATCCTCACATTTATGGTTCAGTGTCTTAGTCTGGTTTCGAATAACAAGAACCTTTTGTACTTGGAAGTATAAAACTTGATAGCAGCAACATTATTGATATTTAGAGCTCAGTACCTGTCTAATTACAGGCAGGCAGAAAGAAGTGTCAAGGTATTCTTGCTTATCAGGTCACAGGTAATTTCTTCCTCTAAGAATTCATAAACTGATAGACTAATATTGGAGAAAGAAATGCAATTTAATTGCTGAAAGTCTGTTTCAGTTTACTGGTCTTGTAATAGAGGTAAAATTCTAAACAACTTGGGGAGCTTTGGTGAGAATTAAAATAGGTGGGTGTGAATAGCTCCTGGCACAGAGCAGGCACTAACAACTGCTGGCTTCATTCATTGCAGATAATGAACCAGTAACACAAGTCTGAATTGACACCTCCCTCACACTACTAATTTACTTTATTTTCTTCCTGCCCCACATCAGAGTATGAACATTATATATATATTTTTTTTCTTGTGGGAATTATTTGTAATGGTGGTAGTGGAACTAGGGGATTAAGACATCTAGATTCTGATGTGCCAGTTCCATTTTTCCGTACTGATAATCTAGCATTATGCTGTTATGCAGAGAGGCATTTTTCAATTTAAGTACACCTAGAAAAGGTGCATGGAAAAAAAGCTACATGAAAGCATCAAAAGTCAAAATTATAGCAGAGTCACAGAATGAACATTTTAAAGCCTTGTCTCAACCCCAGATATATGCATAGATTTTTCCAACAGATCATTATAATGCCATTTGACCTTTTTACATCTTCAGTACAATATGTTTTTTAGCTACATTGATGAAAATAGGGGAGCAACTCTCCTTGATGTTAGAGATCTTGGCAAATGTGAAGTATTTAACAATGAATAGACCATGTTATAAATGCGAATTCACCTGCTAAACTCAGTGAAAGGACAGTAACACTGTGGCACCAGTAGGACTGATGAATGGCCAAGAGTTAGGTGTGTTAAAATAAATAACATATAGTATGTTTGTTTATTCCTTTTAACAACCCTCTGAGGTATGTGTTTGTCTCTACTTTCTCCAATGAGAAAGCTAATAAAAGTGATCTTCAAATGCCTTTCTTTCAGTAATTTTGAGAATATGAGTTGAGGTTTTTAATTCTGCCATCTGTAAAGTCATTCAGTTGTTGGGTCCCAGTAGTCACAAGCAACTGAGACATAGAAAGACCCCCTGCCCAACTCAGATGGTGCCCAATGAAATACTTTAATAAGTGAATTTTAAAATATGGCTGTTGAGTGATGACATAGTTTGAATATTTGTCCCCTCCAAATCTCATGTTGAAATTTGATCCCCAATGTTGGAGGGGAGGTGTGGCCTAACAAGAGGAGTTTAGGTCAGGAAGGTAAATATCTCATGAATAGATTAATGCCCTCCCTGGCTTGTTGGGGAGGTGGGGTAGCAAAGTGAGTTTTCTCTCTATTTCATCCCTGGAAAGAAGGTTGTTAAAAAGAGCCTGGCGCCTTCTTCTCTCTTGTTTCCTCTCTTGAAATGTGATCTCTGCTTACATGTTGGTTTCCTTTCTCCTCCTGCCATGGGTGGAAGCAGCCTGAGGCTTTCACCAGATGCTCAGTCTTCTAGCTAACAGAACCATGAGCCAAATTAATCTTTTTTCTTTTTCTTTTTTTTTTGAGACTGAGTCTCACTCTGTCGCCAGGCTAGAGTGCAGTGGCACGATCTTGGCTTACTGCAACCTCCACCTCCTGGGTTCAAGCAATTCTGCCTCAGCCTCCTAAGTAGCTAGGACTACAGGCATGCACCACCAAGCCCAGCTAATATTTGTATTTTTTAGTACAGATGGCATTTCATCATGTTGGCCAGGATGGTCTTGATCTCTTGACTTCGCGATCTGCCCACCTTGGCCTCCCAAAGTGCTAGGATTACAGGCTTGAGCTACCGTGCCCAGCCCAAAAGAACTTTTTTTTCTTTATAAATTACCTACTCTCTGGTATTCCTTTACAGAAATGCAATAAAGACTAAGAGAAATGATATGCACAAGTGATATAAAACAGTTTTTTTTCACATTCTTTTTTATTTTAATTGAAATTTTAATAATAATAGATTACATGCAGTTTTGAGAAATAATACTGAGAGGTACTCTTTACCCAGTTTCCCCAAATGTTACTATCATGCAAAACTATAATGCCATACTGCAAACTGGTTATTGATGATACAATTCAGCTATCTTATTCAGATTTTTTCAATTGTGCTTGTAGTCACATGTGTGTATATGTATTTAATTACATACATTTTTATCATGTGTAGGTTTGTGCATCTTCAATCACAGTCAAGATACAGAATACAGCACTTTGGGAGGCTGAGGTGGGTGGATCATCTGAGGTTAGGAGTTCGAGATCAGCCTGACCAAGATGGTGAAACCTCGTCTGTAGTAAAAATACAAAAATTAGCTGGATGTGGTTGCGGGTGCCTGTAATCCCAGCTACTCAGGAGGCTGAGGCAGGAAAATTGCTTGAACCTGGGAGGTGGAGGTTGCAGTGAGCTGAGATCACACAATGGAACTCTAGCCTGAGTGACAGAGTGAGACTCTGTCTCAATTAAAAAAAATAAAATGAAAGAAAGAGAGACAGAAAGAATAATTTCCTCATAACAAAGATTCCTGATGGTGCCAATTTATAACCACATTCACCTACCTCCCACCCTCCTGCATCCTTAATCCTGACAGCCACTAATCTTGCTTCCATTTCTATAATCGTGCTATTTCAAAAATGTTATATAAATGGAATCATAGAGTATGTAACCCTTTGGGGTTGGCTTTTCTCATTCAACATAATAATTTGGCAATGTACACAGGTTGTTGTGTGTACCAATAGTTCGTTCCATTTTATTACTGAGTAGTATTCATGGAATGGATGTTCCATAGTTTATTTAACCATTCACCCATTGAGTGACATCTGAGTTCGTACTGGTTTTTGACTATCACAAATAATGCCACTATAAATACTCATATACGGGTTTCTCTATGGACATAAGTTTTCATTTCTCTGAGATAAATGCTCAGAAGTGCAATTGTTGGAAAGTTTGGTAGCTGCACATTGATGTTTTTAGGAAAATGCCAAATTTACTTACTGAACAGTTGTACTGTTTTGCACATCCACTCTCAAGGTATGAGTAATCTAGTTTTTCTTTATCAGTGACAGCATTTGGTATTATCACTGTTGTTTGACCCTTTGGGTAAGTATATTGTGATATTTCATTGTCATTTCAGTTTTTATTTTTCTGATGAATGATAATGTTGAATAGCTTTTCATGTGCTCAGTTACCATCTATATATTCTCTTTGATAAAATGTTTGTTCATGTCTTTTGCCCAACTTAATTGTTTACTATTGAGTTTTAAGAGATACCTACTCTCATATATGTATATATATATATTTAATGTTAAGTGAAAGCAGTCAGTCACAGAAGACTATATACTGTAGGATTCTATTTATCTGAGATGTGAAGAATAAGCAAATGAAAACACTACTTTAAAATTATGGTCTTGAAACAAAGTGTGTTAAAGCCGAATGGACAGCCCAATATACTACATGATACAACCAGAATGCACCTTCAAAGTAAAGCAACAAATTTACATTAACAAAGCAGGATGTGGTCTCTCTTAGTCATGAAAAAGAAAAGACAGAGATTTTTTCCTTTTGTGAATAAATTGATAGCATGAACTCTGTATTAGCCTTCTGTTGCTGCTGAAACAAATAACCACAAACTTGATGGCTTAAGACAATACAGTTTTTAAATTTCACAGTTCTGGAGGTCACACATGCAAAATAGGTCTCACTGGGATAAAATCAAGGTGTCTGCAGGGCTGCATTCCTTCTGGATGCACTAAGAGAAAATCCATTGCCTTAGTTTCTTTGCCTTGTGCAGATTTTATGGGCTGCCTGAATTCCTTGGCCTGTCGTCCATTTCCACCTTCAAAACCAGCAATGGCTTTTCTCACATCATATGACTCTGATACTGACTCTTCTGCCTCCGTTATTCACGTTTTAGGACCCTTGTGATTACAACATTGGGCCCAGGTGATTATACATCAAGATATCTCTGTCTTAAAGTAAGCTGATGAGCAACCATAAATTCATCTGCTTCCTTAATTTCCCTTTAGTATGTAATTAACATATTCGAAGGTTCCAGGTATTCTGCCTATCACAACCCTATTCAGAATAGAGCTGAGAGCAGTGGAGTTTAGAACTTTGTTCAGGGCTTATTAAAAAGCAGCCAAGGCCAGGTGCGGTGGTTCAAGCCTGTAATCCCAGCACTTTGGGAGGAAGGATCACAGGGTCAGGAGTTCCGAGACCAGCCTGGCCAATATGTTGAAACCCCTCTCTACGAAAAAATACAAAAATTAGCTGGGCATGGTGGCGGGCACCTGTAGTCCCAGCTACTTGAGAGGCTGAAGCAGGAGAATGGCCTGAACCAAGGAGGCGGAGGTTGCAGTGAATCGAAATCGTGCCACTGCACTCCAGCCTGGGCAACAGAGCAAGACTCTGACTCAAAAAAAAAAAAAAAAACAGTAGCCAAGTCAGCTTTGCTACTCTCCACCACTCCGTGCTTCCTTATCTTGCCTTTCAACCACCAAAAATAGTCGATGCAAGTTTGTCACATTCAAAGAATCCCGAGTCTTCCACAGAGAAAAGATATTCTTCCTCCTTTTCCTCTCCTCCTGACAAGCCAAATGGGGACAAGCTCTAGAGGAATCAGTAGAAGAGATTAGGGAAACATGAAAGAAGGTGACATTGGCAACTCATTTCCTGGATGAGCTTCTTTTCACACAACAGACTTGATGTTCTGCCCTCTGGGCAGACCTAACAGGGGACGTGTTAGAATTAGAGGAAGATGATGAAGTAGACAGATAAAAGGTAGTCAGACACTGGAATATCCACTATGTATTGAGGATGAAAGTCAAGTTGACATAGCAGAAATTAGAACGTTTTATCACCTGACTTTCCCTCCTCCAGCATGTGTGCCCCAAGAGAGCACTACTGGTATTCCTGCCACTAAGAGGCATAAAGAGTTCAGACTAGCTAGAGAAGCCATGAAAGGCAGGAGAAAACTATCATAAAACTGATTAAGTAAAATGTCTCTGCCCACTTTGCTCTAAACACTAATCCTAGTCTTCAAAACCCTGGGGCAAATGGACCCAGTAGAGGAAGAGAAGGGGGATATGGAAGAGCTGACCATGCCCGGTCACAACCTTGGGGAAAGGGGAGGATCTGAGCAATGATGTGGATAAGAGCTTGAGGTTTTAAACTGGGGTAGAGTGCACTGAAATTTGAAACCTAAAACTGGTCAGAGAATCATGGAATTTACCCAAGAAATCTTTAAAGAACAGTGAAGAGAGGTTTAACTGCAGATGTTTGAAGGTAATGATGAGAGAAAAATAAAATTATTTCTTGTTTATACCCTTCCAGTTTAAAAGTGATCCATACACTTGTTACAGATACAATAACATAATTTTCTTTAATTCTCCTTATCAAAAAAAAAATACACAAGCGTTACCTTAACATATTACATTATAATGATATAATGATAAACACAGTGGTGTCCTGGCTTTCCTGATTAAATATGGAAAGACTTTTTTCTTAAAAGATCAATTTGAGACTACCTTGAGATACTTATAAGCTTGTCTAGAAGTTATCACATTTTCGGATGGGGTTGGTATAGAGAGCACAATTTTTGCATTTGAGAAGATGACATTTTTCAACTTTGCTTGGTAAAATGTGCATGGGCCCTCATGCTTCTAATTTACTTAATCCTATGGAGTAGTTATAATCCCCATTTTACACCTGAGGAAATTAAGGCAGAAAGAGGTTATGTAACCTGTCCTGTCCAATGTCACAGAGATATGAAGTGTTGGAATCCAGATTTTACATAGGAATTTTCTTTAGAGCTGGCACTATATACAACTAGGCTCATAGCCTAGCAAAGCAATGTAGTTATTCCTAAGGATTTGCTGAATTGAAATGATTACTACAGTTTATCTGTAGTCATCATCATCACCATCTTTGATACCCAAACTAGCTCTCAGTATTTTACAAAATATGGCAAGATAAATTATTCTTCTCCAGGAGTAGTAGTTAGTGAATCATACTGTTAAATCGCCTGATTTTCCAGATGTCAATTGTTAAATTGCCTAATACATTCTGTCAGTGGTATTTTGTTTCCCTTGAAGAAGTAAACAAACAAAACTTTTATCTCAGCAATTATAGGCTAAGGCTTCTTTCCAAGCAAAGCTTTTGCATGGGTGATGTTAAAATATTTTTAAGCATTTAAAAGGCAAATTGCTTTATACATGACAATTATATTGTGTTAGAAAAACTTAACTAGAGAATAAGGTCCTTGCCCTCTCACTTTGATGTCTGTGGTAACATTGAAGTCAATTATCTGTGTTAACCAGCATTTAAAAATTAAGGTTCATATTTTAGCAGAAATTCAGCTTGCAACATAATAAAAAATGAGATTGTTAATTTTTATTTGTGGTTTAATATTTACTCAGTGCAAAATATCTATAAGGAGGTAAATTGCACAGGAAAAAAATTATTTGAGGAAAAAGAAATTACACACACACACACGTACATATTTGTAAATAATATATTTTCCAGTTAGAAATTAGTTCATGCTGGCTGGGCACAGTGGCTCACACTTGTAATCCCAGCACTTTGGGAAGCCGAGGCAGGTGGATCACGAGGTCAGGAGTTCAAGACCAGTCTGGCCAAGATGGTGAAACCCCATCTCTACTAAAAATACAAAAATTAGCTGGGCATGGTGGTGGGTGCCTGTAATCCCAGCTACTCGGGAGGCTGAGGCAGAGAATTGCTTGAACCCAGGAGGTGGAGGCTGCAGTGAACTGAGATTGCACCACTTCACTCTAGCCTGGGTGACAGAGCGAGACTTCATCTCAGAAAAAAAAAGAAAAAAAATAAACTAGTTCATGCTTATATCGGAAAATTCAGAAAACATGCAGAGAAATAAAGCCAATCATCTCATCCATAATTTTACTACCTAATAATAATTACTATTTTAAATCTGATGTATATCTGTGATATGGTTTGGCTGTGTCCCCACCCACAACTCATCTTGAATTGTAGCTCTCATTATTCCCAGATGTTGTGGGAGGGACTCAGTGGGAAAGAAATAGTTGAATCATGGGGGCAGTTTCCCCCATACTGTTTTCATGGTAGTAAATAAGTCTCATGAGATCTGATGGTTTTATAAGGGGTTTCCCTTTCTGCTTGGCTCTCATTCTCTCTTGCCTGCTGCCATGTAAGATGTGCCTTTTGCCTTCTGCCATGATTGTGAGGCCTTCCTGGCCACATGGAACTGTGAGTCCACTAAACCTCTTTTTTAAAAAAAAAAATAAATAAATAATAAATTACTCAGTCTCAGGTATGTCTTTATCAGCAGCATGAAAATTGACTAATACAGTAAATTGGTAACAGCAGAGTGGGGCACTGCTATAATGATACCTGAAAAAGAGACTTGTTGAATGGCTTTGACCAAAATGCTGATAATGATAAGGACAGTGAAACCCAGGCTGAGGTAGTCTCAGATGGAGATAAGGAACCTGTTGGGAACTAGAGTAGATGGACTCTTGCTACATTTTAGCAAGGAGACTGGCAGTATCTTGCCCCTGTCCTAGAGATTTGTGGTACTTTGAATTTGAGGGAGATGATTTAGGGTATCTGGCAGAAGAAATTTCTAAGCAGCAAAGCATTCAAGAAGTGACTTGGGTGCTGTTAAAAGCATTCAGTTTTAAAAGGGAAACCGAGCATTAAAGTTCAGAAAATTTGCAGCCTGATGATGTGATAGAAAAGAAAAACTCATTTTCTGAGGCGAAATTCAAGCCACCTGTAGAAATTTACATAAGTAATGAGGAACTAAATGTTAATCACCATGACGATAGGTAAAATGTCTCCAGAGCATGTCAGAGAACTTTGTGGCACCCCCCTCCCATCACAGGCCCAGAGGCCTGGAAGGAAGAAACAGTTTCACGTGATGGGCCCAAGGCTCCCTACTCTGTGCAGCCTTGGGACATGGTGTTCTGCATCCAAGTTGCTCTAGCCGTGGCTAAAAGGGAACAAGATGCAGCTTGACCAGTGGCTACAAAGGGTGCAAGCCCCAGGCCTTGGCAGCTTCCATATGGTGTTGAGCCTGCAGGTGCACAGAAGTCAAGAATTGAGGTTTGGAAACCTCCACCTAGATTTCAGAGGAGGTATGGAAATGCCTACATGTCTAGGCAGAAGTTTGCTGCCAGGGCTGGTCCCTCATGGAGTATCTCTGCCAGGGCAGTGTGGAAGGGAAATGTGGGGTTGAAACCCCCACACAGAGTCTCCAGTGGGGCACTACCTAGTGGAGCTGTGAGAGGAGGGCCAGAGTCATCCAGACCCCAGAAAGGTAGATCCACCCACAGCTTGCACTGTGTGCCTGGAAAAGTCACAGACACTCAACACTAGCCTGTAAAAGCAGCTAGGAGGGGAGCTGTACCCTGCAAAGCCACAGGGGCAGAACTTCCCAAGACCATGGGAACCCACCTTTTGCATCAGCATGACCTGGATGTGAGACATGGAGTCAAAGGAGATCATTTTGGAGATTTAAGCTTTGACTGCCTTACTGGATTACAGACTTGCATGGGGACTTAGCCCCTTTATTTCAGCCAATTTCTCCCATTTGGAATGTGTGTATTTTTCCAATGCCTGTTCCTCCATTGTATGTAGGAAGTAACTAACTTGCTTTTGATTTTACAGGCTTATAGGCAGAAGGGACTTGTCTTCTCTCAGATGAGACTTTGGAGTGTGGGCTTTTCAGTTAATGCTGGAAGGATTTAAGACTTCAGGGGACTGCTGGGAAGGCATGATTGGTTTTGAAATGTGAGGACATGAGATTTGGGAGGGGCCAGGAGTGGAATGATATGGTTTGGCTGTGTCCCCACCCAAATCTAATCTTGAATTGTAGCTTCTATATTTCCCGCATGTTGTGGGAGGCACCCGGTGGGAGACAACTGAATGATGGGGGTGGTTTCCTTCATACTGTTCTCATGGTAGTGAATAAGTCTCATAAGATCTGATGGTTTTATAAGTGGTTTCCCTTTTTGCTTGGCTGTCATTCTCTCTTGCCTACTGCCATGTAAGATGTACCTTTCACCTTCCACCATGATTGTGAGGGCTCCGCAGCCACATGGAACTGTGATTCCATTATACCACTTTTTCTTCATAAATTACCCAGTCTCAGGTATGTCTTTATCAGCAGCATGAAAACGGACTAATACAATCTGTAAAGATGTTTTGTTTTATGTTGGTGTGCATGTCTCTGTAATTCTCCTCATAAAATATAGGCAAAATATAGCATTTACTATTTTTTAAATGTTTATGTTTCCCACCCCCACAATTCATATATTGAAATCCTGACCCTCAAGATGATGACATTGGTAGGTGAGGTCTTTGGGAGATGATTAGGTAATGAGGGTGGAGCCATCATGAATGTGATTAGTGCCCTTTTAAAAGAGGCCCCCCCAAGGGAGCTTGTTTACCCCTTTCACATGAGAACACAGTGAAAAGACAGTGTCATTAAACCAGTAACTGAATCCTCACCAGACATGAAATTTGCTGGCATCTTGATCTTGGACTTCCCAACCTCCATAACTGTAAAAAATAAAATTTTGTTGTTTATAAACTACTATAGTTATTTGTTATATCAGTCTACACAGACTAAGACAGCATTCAATAACTATATGTTTTAAATAATTTTTTCACTGATTAGTGTATTATTAAGGTCTTTCTATGTCCATAGATATATATGTCTATAATACAGATTTATTGGTTGTACAGTAATCTAATAGCATCACAATTGTGTATTAAAGTAACAGTCTTAAACCTGAGGATATTTTGACCCATCCAAAAATAATTTCTTATATCTTCAGCTTTCAACAATCGAATACTCTGCCAAGTAGATATTTTAACTTATACTGAGTGTGATAAATTGAACAAAAAGTATCTTTTTACTAGTGCATGTATTTGAGATCTTAGAAGCAAATAAGCCAGGACAAATACCTTCACTTTAAAATTGTATACATATCTGTGGCTACAAAATAAACAAAATCATTGTTAGCTCCACTATGTTCACCAAAGGTTTGGCCAATATGCAGAGCTATGTACAGTTGACTCAGGTTGTCTAGTAACATTCTGAAACAGAATTCAGAATGATAATCTGCTCACTTAAAACTGATGCAGGTAAAAATTCTGTGTCCAAATCTAAAGAGATCATGGACAATAGTAATATGTGTTAAGGAAAGAAATTCTCAGAAGTCATTAAAAACATTTATTTTGAATTGGGTAAAAGAATGTGAAAGTGGAGCTATCCCTGAAGATCTCTAAGAAAAAGCTCACACTTTTCTTATGGATTATTAATTATAAAATCATATTTTATTTATGTATTAATGAGTTTTAAATAAAACTTCATTGGAGGGCCTCAAGCAAAAAAGGGACTTATAGATACTTTATTAGTGCTAATTTCTATAAATATTTTAAATTAGAGTAAATGTTAAATTACATGATATTGAGGAATGGGATGAATCTACATCTACAGAGGGTGAAGAATGTGATCAAGGAGGTAAATAACATGAAAATTTAAAAAGAGAAAACTGACCACATAACAGATGATGGAAATATATAATATGGGAGAATGAGACATGCAACAAATGTAGGCCAGTGACTGGGTAAGGGAGTGGTTACCATTTACATTAGATTGTTAGGGAGAATCTGGTTTAGTAATTATCCTAGATTATTTTCTGCTACTCATCCTCCTCCTCATCTTCTTTTTTTTTTTTTTTTTTTTTTTTTGAGATGGAGTCTCACTCTGTCACCCAGGCTGGAGTGCAGTGGCGCGATCTCGGCTCACTGCAAGCTCTATCTCCCAGGTTCACGACATTCTCCTGCCTCAGCCTCCCGAGTAGCTTGGACTACAGGCACCAGCCACCACACCAGGATAATTTTTTTGTATTTTTTTAGTAGAAACAGCGTTTCACCATGTTAGCCAGGATGGTCTCGATCTCCTGACCTCGTGATCTGCCCGCCTCAGCTTCCCAAAGTGCTGGGCTTACAGGCATGAGCCACCGCGCCCGGCCTCCTTCTCATCTTCTTAAAAGAAAACATAAGCTGAGGTGAATTTGGTGGCCCTCTGTACTCCTATCATCTGCCACAGTTTGGTAAGTGGGCAACACATATATGTGATGAACTAAACAGAATTCTCAGTCTGACACATAGTCAAGTCTGCAAAATTACCGACAAACCTGCTACAGACTGAATGTTTGTGTCCCCCCCTGCAAAATTTATATGTTTAAATTCTAGCTCCCAATGTGATAGTGTTAGGAGGCAGGGCCTTTGATAGGTGATGAGTTCATGAGGTCTCTGAGAAGTTAAAGACTCTTAGAATGTCCAGCCAAGATTAGGGCTCTGTCAGACTCAGTGTCTGGTGAGGATTCACTTCCTGGTTCACAGGTAGCACCTTCTGGTTATGTCCTCCCTTGGTGGAAGGAGCCTCTTTTATAGGGTATCAATCATCTTTTATAAGGACATTAATCCTATTTATGAAGCCTCTGACTTGAACTACTCACCTCCTAAAGATCCAACTTCTAAAACATCACATTGCTGATTAGGTTTCAACATATGAAATTGGGAAGGTGGGGACACAAACTTTCAGACCATAGCAGCTCCCTGGCCCTTTCTGCCATGTGAGGAAACAACTGTATGTCCATCAATGAACCAGGAAGCGGTCTGTCATTAGACACTGAATTTGCTGGTGCCTTGAGCTTGGACTTCTCAACTCCAGAACTGTGAGAAATAAATTTCTGTTGTTTATAAGCAAACCAGTCTACAGTATTCTGTAATAGCAACCCCACAGTACTAAGAAAAAACCAGTCTCTCTTTTATCCATCTTTTTCAGAAACAATGTAATGAACAGCAATTCATAGAATCAAAGTAAAATTTGAAAATAATGTAGTTGCCTTGATTCAAAATAAAGCTTTGTCATATGAGGAACATGTGATATTATTGTAAATGTTGTTATAATTTTAGTTGAAATGTTCAACTGGACAACTGTTATGGGTTGAATTGTGTTCTTCCCCAAATTCCAAATGTGGGAGTCCTAACTTTAGGTAACTGTGAATATGACTTTTTTTGGAATGGAGTCTTGGTAGATGTCATTGAGTTATGATGAGATCATTAAGATGGTTCTAATAATAATTCAGTATGACTGGTGTTCTTGTAAGAAGAAGAGAGCAGAAGCAAAGCAAAAAACATCCTGTAAAGATGGAGACAGAAAATGATCTGCTGCCACAAACAAAGGTATTTCTGGGACTCAGGAGGGGGAAGAGGCAAGAAAGGAAGACGTCAGCAGGAGCATGGTCCTGCCAACACCTTAATTTTGGACTTCTAGCCTCTAGGGCTGTGAAAGAATAAATTTCTGTTGTTTTAAGTCACTGACTTTATTACAGTAACCTCAGGAAACTAATATAGCAACCTTCCAGCTTGGGAGTGTGATTCTTTCCTGTGTTGAATAAGAGCCACACTCCCTCCTTTCCTCAGACCAATAATGCCCTATGTCAAAGGTTTTCTTCAATAGTCTTTCGTATTTATAGACTTTTTCTATATAGCTGGGAGGCGAGTGATGAAGCTTGACAGATTCTAGAATAATTTCTGCTATCTTTTTTAAGTCCTATAAGGAGGACCCTAAGATAATCCTTAGCACATAATTACCTGCTATTCTCAGTATTATGGTTTTAGCCAAAGCTATGAGTCAGGATGGAAATTCTCATTCAACATTCTGTTAAACATACATATATTCATGTAAGTCAAAATTTATGCTGAGATAGTCATACAAAATGTGAGAAGGGGTTAGGTAAAAGATAACTTGTAATTGTTTGATTTATGCAAATTAATGGGGAAAAACCCTCCGTCTTTGTCATTAGAGTGAAATTCTTTTAAAATATTGTAATGCAAAGTGCTAGGGCCAAGAAAACTGCCATAGTCATCATTATAACTAGGGCAGCATTTTGTATCTAGCATAAAGAACTGTAGACCAAATAAATAACTGAGAAATATGAATTCTCATCTGTAGCCCAATATTAACTAGCTCAAAATTTCCTTCCCATGAAACATTCCTGGAATCCCTTAGTGACATAAATCAAGTAACCATAGCACTTGCTCTTCTACTGTGGCACTTCCCATAGCATAGTGTGCTTTATGTACATGTCTGTCTTTTCACTAAATTGTATGCTTCTTGAGGCCAGGCCTATGTCTAATTCATTTCATAGTTTATTTACTGAGACACTTGTAACATCTTAGACACTTTAAAAAAGTTTAATGGATAAAAATAAATGACCAACCTTTTTCTCTTTCCAGCTAACTACTTTCATTTTAAAATTGAAGATATTGAAATAAAGAATTTATAAATTCTCCCCAAAGCACCAAAATTAGATATTTTGTCTATTATTGTTCGAGATTAAATAGTCTTATATAGTCTTGCATTTGTAATTGAGTTTATAGCTTTTACTTCTCTTTATGTTAAGCCATGATAAAAACTTTTAAAAACAATTTTAAGATATTAAAAACTAATTTAAAAGTAATCATCCTGGAATGACCCAGGCTCCATTTTGGAATTTTTCTAACATAAATAAGTCACGTATATTTGATTTTGTGTCTTTCATTATAAACATAAATTTTTGAGATATCATTTTAAAAATATCCCTTGAACACCAGATCAAATTAACTGTGTTAAACTGTTTGTAATTTGAAAATGATAGCAAGATCATATATTTTGCCTGAGTATATTTTTAAGAGGTCAGAATTCTTGTTATGACTTTCAAAGACAAAACTTTCAAGATAAAAGTTATCTGGGGGCATTGTTTAATGCAATATGTTGTAGTTGTTTTGTTTGTTTTTAATATTACTCTTTTTTGTATGCTTATTAGCAACCCAAAAGATCTCTTGATTTTTCATTTTATTTTATGGATGTTGGAAGTTAATTTTCTTTAACCTAATCAGGGAAGACCTGCAAGGGGGAGTTTAAAATAAGAAAAATAATTTTAAAATTTTTTATTTTAAAATGACATAATAATTATATATACATATATATTTGGGATACGATGTGATGTTTTGATACACAGATACATTGTATAATGAGCAAATCAGGGTAAGTAGCATTTTCATAAATTTTCTTCATTTATCTTTTTTTGTGATGAGACTATTAGTATTTTTCCCTTCTAGCTTTTTAAATATGCATTGTTGTTAACTATAGTCATTCAACTGTGCATTAGAACACTGAAACTTATTACTCCCATCTAACTGTAACTTTGTACCAATTGTTCAACCCCAAACCCTCCCCTTCTCCCTCCTTCCGCAACCTCTAATAATCACTATTCTACTCTACTTCTATAAGCTGAACTTTCAAAAATTCCATGTATGAGTCATATCATGTGGTATTTGTCTTTCTGTGCCTGGTTTATTGCATTTAACATAATATCCTCCAGGTCCATCTACATTGTCATAAATGATAGAATTTCATTCTTTTCTTATGGCTAAACAGCATTTCATTATGTGTGTGTGTATATATATTATATATATATATATAATATATATATTATATATATATATAATATATATATATATAATATATATATATATAAATATCCATTCATCCTTTGCTGAGCACTTAGGTTGATTCCATATCTTAGCTACTGTGAACAGTGCTGCAATAAATGTGGGAGTGCAGATATCTCTTCAACATAAGGATTTCCTTTCCTTTGGATATATACCAAATAGTGGGATTGCTAGATCATATGGTAGTTTTATTTTTAATTTTTTGAGGAAACTCCAAACTGTTTTTTATAATGGCTGTAGTAATTTACATTTCCACCAACAGTAAGTGTTCCCATTTCTCCCCATCCTCACCAACACTTGTTATCTTTGTCTTTTTGATAACAGCCATTCAAAATAGAGTGTGGTTATATCTCATTCTGGTTTTAATTTGCATTTCCTTGATGATTAATAATTTTTAGCATATTTTTCATATATCTGATAGCCATTTTTGTGTCTTCTTTTATGAAATGTCTATTCAGGTCTTTTGCTAATCTTTTAATCAGGTTATTTGATTTTTTTGCCACTTAGTTGTTTGATTTCCACCTATATTTGAATATTAACGCCTTATCAGATGTATTCATTTGCAAATAAGTTCTTCCATTCCATAGATTATCTCTTCATTCCATGATTGTTTCCTTTGCTGTGCAGAAGCTTTTTAGTTTGATGTAATCCCATCTGTCTATTTTTACTTTTGTTGCTTTTGCTTTCGCAGTCTTATTCAAAACAATTTTTGCCCAGATCAATGTAAAGAAGCATTTCCTCTATGATTTTTTTTCCAGTAGTTTCATGTTGGGTCTTACATTTAAGTCTTTAGTCCATTTTTCATTAATTTTTGTCAGTGGTGAGCAATAGGGATCTAGTTTCATTCTTGTTCATGTGGATATCCAGTTGTACTGGATATTATTTACTATAAATAGTAATTTATAGTATATATGGTATATTACTATTTACTATAAATAGTAATTTATAGTATATATGGTATATTACTATTTACTATAAATAGTAATTTATAGTATATATAGTATATTACTATTTACTATAAATATAATATTTATGTTTTGAAATTTAATATTTTATATGAAATTATATATTTATATACATTTACATTGATAATTTATATTATCAAATTTAATTTATATAAATAGTAATATAAGTTAAATTATATAAATTAAAATAAATAGTAATATAAATATAAATATTTACTATTTACTGAAGAGACTGTCCTTTCCCCATTGTATGGTCTTGGCATTTTTGCCAAAATCATTTGGCTATAAATAAAGTATGTAAATTAAAATAAATAGTAATATAAGTATAAATATTTACTATTTACTGAAGAGACTGTCCTTTCCCCATTGTATGGTCTTGGCTTTTTTGCCTAAATCGTTTGGCTATAAATGCATGGATTTATTTTTCGATTCTGTATTCTGTTCTGTTGGTCTATATTTCTGTTTCTTTGCTAGTGCCATGATGTTTATGCTGTTTTGGTTACTATTAGTTTGCAGTACATTTTAAAGCCAGGCAATATGATGCCTCCAGCTTTGTTCTTTTTGCTCAAGAAGGCTTTGGCTATTGGAGGCCTTTTCTAGTTGCATACAAATTTTAGGATTTTTGTGAAAATGTCATTGGTATTTTCATAAGGATTGTATTGAATCTGTAGGTTGCTTTGGGTAGCATGGTCATTTTAACACTCTTTCCAGTTCATGAACATGAGATTACATTTATTAGTGAGCTCTTCAATTTGTTTCATCCATATGTTATAGTTTTCATTGTAGAGATATTTTACCTCCTTTACATTTATTCCCTGGTACTTTATTATTTTTTGTAGCTATTGTAAACAGGACTGGTTTCTTGACTTCTTTTTCAGATACTTTACTAGTGGTCTATAGATAAATCACTAATATTTGTATGTTGATGTTTTATTTTGTGACTTTACTGAATTTGTTTATTAGTTATAAGGGATTTTTGGTGGAGTCTTTAGAGTTTTCTACATATAAGATTATGTAATTAGCAAACAGAAACAATTTCCTGTCTTCTTCCTTTCCAATCTGGAGATCCTTTGTTTCTGTCTCTTGCCTAATTACTCTGGCCAGAACTTTCAGCATACGTTGAACAGAAGTAATGAAAGTGAGCATCTTTGTCTTATTCTAGTTTTTAGATGAAAAGCTGAATGTTCATGTATGATATTGGTTGTGAATGCATGGCCTTTATTGTGTTGAGATGTATTCCTTTTATACCTAATTTTTAAAAGGTTTTCATAATGAAGCGCTGTCCAATTTTATTGAATGCTTTTTCTGCATCTATTGAGATGATCATATGGCTTTTGTTCTTCATTCTGTTAACGTGATGTATCACGCTTATTAATTTGCATATGTTGAGCCTTCTTTTCATTCTTGCAACAAATCCCACTTGAGCATGGTAAATGATCTTTTTGAAGTTCTGTTCAATTTGGTTTGCTAGTATTTTGTTGAGGATCTTTGTATCTATGTTCATCAGGAATATTGGCCTGTAGTTTTCATTGCTGTGTCTTTGCTTGGTTTTGGAATCAGGGTAATGCTGGCCTCATAGACTGAGTTTGGAATAATTTTCCTCCACTTGAGGCCTGGGAGTCTGAAACTCCATGAGGAGCTTGCTAACTTTTGTCCCACAGTGGATCTTGAGCAGGCCCAGTCTCAGCTCCAGCCGCTCTAAATTTTTGTACTAGTTTGAGAAGAATTGGTATTCGTTCTTTACACGTTTGGTAGTATTCAACAGTGAATTCATCAGATCCTTTGCTTTTTTCTTTTGATGAAAGAGTTTTTATTATTACTTCAATCTCATTATCCATTACTAGTCTAAGTTTTATATTCCTTAATGATTTAATCTTAGTAGTTTGTGTGTGTCCAGAAATTTATCCATTTCTTCTATTTTCCAATTTGTTGGCATGTCTTCATTCATAGTTTTATAATGATGCTTTGTATTTCTGTTGTATCACTTGTAATGTTTCCTTTTTTATCTCTGATTTTACTTATTTCAATAATCTCTTTTTCTTCCTTAAGCTAATCTAGCTAAAGGTTTGTTGATTTTGTTTATCTTTAAAAAAAACCCCTCTATTTTAGTGATATTTTGTATTTTATTTTAGTTTCTATTGTGCTTACTGCTGCTCTGTTTTCTTTCCTCCTACTAATTTTGGTTTTAGTTTTTTCTTGTTTTTCTATTTCCTTGAGGAGCAATGTCATTCATTTGAGAACTTTCTATTGCTTTAATCTAGGTGTTTATCACTATAAACTTCTTTCTTAAAACTGCTTTTGCAATATCCCATAGTTTTTGGTATGTTGTTTCCATTTTCATTTCTCTTAAAAACTTTTTTCTTTTCTTTTCTTTTTTTTTTTTTTTTTTGAGATGGAGTCTCACTCTGTCACCCAGGCTGGAGTGTAGTGGCACTGTGTCAGCTCACTGCAGCCTCCGTCTCCTGGGTTCAAGCTATTCTCCTGCCTCAACCTCCTAAGGAGCTGGGATTACAGTCACCCACCACCATATCCGACTAATTTTTTAGTTTTTAGTAGAGATGTGGTTTCACCATGTTGGCCAGGCTGGTCTCGAAATACTGACCTCAGGCGATCCGCCCGCCTCGGCCTCCCAAAGTGCTGGGATTACAGGCATGAGCCACCACACCCAGCCTCTTTTCAATTTTTTTGATGAGCCCTTTGTTGTTCAGGAGCATGCTGTTTAATTTCCTTGTATTTGTACAGTTTTTAATATTCCCCTAGTTATTAATTTCTAGTTTTATTTCATTGTGGTCAAAAAAGATACTTGAGATAATTTTGATTTTAACAAAATTTGTTCAGACTTGTTTTGTTGATAAATATATGATTATACTGAAAAATGTTTAATGTGCTTTTGAGAAAAATGTGTGTTCTGTGGCACTTATATGTAATGCTCTGTAAATGTATCTTAGGTCGATGTGGTCTACAGTGTGGTTAGACTCTGATGTTTCTTTGGTGATTTTCTGTCTAGATGATCTGTCCATTGCTGAAAGTGGGGTGTTGAAATCCCTTATTATTATTGTATTACAGGCGATCTCTCCCTTTAGGTCTATTTATAGTTGCTTTATAAATTTAGGCCCTCTTACATTGAATGATACATATTTATAATTGTTATAGCTTCTTGCTATATTGATCCCTTTATCATTATGTTATCGCTGCCTTTGTTGCTTTTTATAGTTGTTAGTTTAAGGTCTATTTGTTTTCTGACTAAGTATAGCTACTCCTGCTCATTTTCAGTTTCTATTTGCATAGAATAGCCTTTTTCATCCCTTCACTTTCAGTTTATGTGTATTCTTGCAGGTCTAATGAATCTCTTATAAGCAGCATATGGTTGGGCCTTATTTTATTATCCATTAAGCCACTCTGTCTTTTACTTAGAAAAGTTAATTCATTTACATTCAAAGTAATTATTGATAGATAAGGAGTTACTACTGCTATTTTGTTATTCTTTTCTAGTAGTTTGTAGTTTTGTAGTTCCTTTCTTTCTTCTTTTATAGTCTTCCTTTGTGGTTAAGTGATTTTTTCTTGTATATTTTGATATCTTGCTTTTTATTTTCGGTTTCTCTATTATAGGTTTTTGCTTTGCAGTCGGCATGAGGCTTACAAAAACATTCTATAGCTATAAGTTATTTTAAACTGATACTAAATTTTGATTGCAAAGAAAAGAAACAAAAAATCTGTACACTTCAGTCTCCCTCCACACTTTCCACACTTTGAATTTTTGATGTCATAATTCACGTGTTTGTGTGTGTGTGTGTGCATGTGTTTGAGACAGAGTCTCACTCTGTCACCCATGCTGGAGTGCACTGGTGCAATCTTGGCTCACTGCAACCTCCACCTCCCAGGTTCAAGCAATCCTCCTACCTCATCCACAGATGCACACCACCACACCCAGCAATTTTTGTTTTTTGTATTTTTGATAGAGATAGGGCTTCACTATGTTGCCCAGGCTGGTCTCAGACTCCTGAGCTCCCAGAGTCCACCGGCCTCGACCTGCCAAAGTGCTGCGATTATAGGCATGAACCACTCTGCCCAACCAACAATTCATCTTTTTAAAATACTGCCTACCTCTTAATAAATTATTGTAGTTACTATTTTAAATAGTTCCATCTTTTAGTCTTTGTATTAAAGATATAAGTGGTTTAAACACCACAATTATAGTATTAGAGTAACAATCATGTTAGCTTACCTTTTTATCAGTTTGAAGAACTCTAACATTTTTTTGCAGTTCAGGTCTGGTAGTGATGAATTCCCTCACTTTGTGTTTGTCTAGGAAAGTCTTTATCTCTCTTTCATTCTGAAGAATAGCTTTGCTGTGTACAGAATTCTTGGTTTGTAGTTTTTCTTCTTTTTTCTTTTTACTTTCAGCACTCTGAATTTATCACCCCACTCCCTCCTGGACTATAAGATTTCTACTGAAAGTCTGATGCCAGATATATCAGGTCTCCCTTATATGTTATTTTCTTCTTTTCTCTCACTGCTCTCAGAATCTTCCATTTGTCTTTGACCTTTGGGGTTTGATTACAGTATGTCTTGGAGTATTTTTATTTGGGTTAAATTTGATTGGTAAATTTTGATCTTCTTGTACCTGGATACAGGCTTGAAAATTTTCCTGTTATTATTTGTTTGAATAATTATTTGTTATTATTTTTACACTTTTCTCAATTCCCTCTTTAACTTCGATAACCCAGATATTTGCTCTTTTGATGTTATCCCATAAATCCCATTAGCTTTCTTCATTCCTTTGCATTCCTTTTTTCTTTTATATCTGTGTATTTTTAAGTAGCCTATTTTGGGTTCACTTATTTTTCTTCTGTTTGATCAATTCTGTTGCTGATACTCTCTATTGCATTTTTTCAATTCCTTTATTGTATATTTTACCTCTAGGTTTTCTGTTTAATTATTATTATTATTTCAGTCTCTCTGCTAAATTTATCTGATAAATTTCTGAATTGTTACTCTGTGTTTCATTGAAATTTGCTGGGCTTCCTTAAAGTAGCTATTTAAAATCTTTTTTTGTCTAAGAGATCACACATTGTCGTCACTTTAGGATCAATCTCTGGTACCTCATTTTGTCAATTTAGAAGGCTCTAGCTGCTTGTGAACATGTGACTATTTCTGTGATTGAGGGTTAGGTTATATTCATCCTTTACAGTATAGACTTGTTTGTCCCTGTCCTTTTTCAGTGGGCCTTCTTAGAAATTCTAAGCAGACTGACTCTTGTACTTCATGAGCCTGTGAGCACTGCAGCCATCTCAGCATTAGAGGGCACTATAAGCCCAAGCTTAATGAGTTTTGTGAGGGCTCTGAAGTTGACAAGGTTTTCTGCTTGAATGGACCTAGGGAAGACCCAAGGAGGATACTAGGGCTGTGTGGTAAAGCTGGCCAGGGACATAAGCCCAGAAGACAGTCCTGGGGCTCAGATGGGTATGCCCTGCAGCAGGTCCTTGCACAGGCAGGATAGGTCCTTGACTGCAACAAGAGGGGCCGGAGTTTAGACTCGGCTCCCTTAGTATCTGCTATGGGATGCTGGTGAGCCCATTCCATTGGCTCACATGGGCACACATCTCCCCGCAGGTCTTCGCACAAGTGGTATAATTCCTTGACTGCTACAGGAGGGCCCAGACTGAGACTTGGCCCCCCTTAAGATCTACTGTGAGATGGAGGTGAGAGAGCCATATTGTTGGCTCAGATGGGTATACATCTCCCAGCCAGTCTCTGCACTGATGGGATAGTTCTCTGACTTAAGCATGAGGGGCTGAAGCTGAGACTGGGCCCACTCAAGATCTGCTGTGGGACAGTGGTTGGCAAGCTTTTCATGAAGGCTCAGACTTCCAGGCATTGAGGTATGGGCAAGTCTCCATCTGTGTCCTTGTGTAAACAACTCTGTGCTGGGACCTCAGCTGAGGGGCCTGGAAGAGTGCCACAGGGCAACTTTCAGGTTCATTGCCATGAACAATGTCAGCGGGCAGATTAGCCTCTTCACTGAGGCACTAGTGAGTTCTATTCCTCTTGGACCCCTTGGCAGATGGTTTTGTTTGCAGGCTCGAGGTTAACTGGGGCTGTAGCCAAGCCCCTTGGGGAGTAGGACCATTCCTGGGTTTGCACCTTGGAGCACAACTGGCAGATCAGCCACTTGGATGCCAGTGCCATTCTGTACTTTTGAAACAACCCTCCTGGCTCTTAGGCTTCACAGGGGTTTCACAACCTCCTACCTGAATTCTGAGGCTCCTGTAGAGAGTCTTTTGTTTATATAAGGGTGTAGAATTCTTGTTATTGTAGGGGGATATGAGTGGGTTACCTCCTATTCTGCCATCTTGCTAATGTCACTGGGAAAAATGTTTTTATAAATTGGAGAGTAATATCTTTATTCTTGCATAAAACACCATTGGCTTTTAAGAAGACATAAAATGCTGATACCTCTGGCTTTTAGTGACATTTCATAAAAATGAAGATGATGATAATGACAATGATGACTATGATGAGAAGGAGAATGTAGGCTGCAAAACTTCAAAACACATCTTCAAAGGAGCTTGAGGCTATAACAGCATATTATTTGGAAACATACCAAGAAAGGAGCAAATAAACCCAAAACAGGGGCAGCTGTTTTTCATAGGCATGTTGGTTTTTATATTAACAAAAAATTAAGGAGAATATCATGTGTAAGTACTTTATAAACACCAAAGTAATTTACAAGGGTAAAATATTCTTATTTTCATTATTGTTATTGGTATCAAGATTATATTTGTTGGAGCAATGGATATTCATATCATCATTTGTCATTATAGTTTCATGTATATGTGTGCATGGTGAATATGATGATGAGAAGCACTTTGCTGAAGGCCAAGATAAGGGACAAAGGATATCAAGAAAAAAGCCAGAATTAATTTATCATTATTTAAGGCTGTGACATGTAGCTTTATTGTCACATGGCTCCAAAATGACTTTGATGTTGCCATTTTCTTATTGGAAACCATCATAAAGTAAAAGCTTATCTGAAATTGCAATTGTTTTGGAAAAACATGGTTTTGTTTGCAGAAGACTGTTGTTTTTTCGTGCGCTGACTTAGCTGAAAGAGAAAAAAAAGAGAAGTTTATTTTGCCTAAAAAGATCCTTGGTAATCCACAACATTTCTTGATGATTCATTTTCTATTTTCTAGTCTCCTTCAGGTAAAATTCAGAACATCATAGAATGAACTTTCCCACTGAAAAGCTGCCAGGGTAATAAATCCTACCAGAGGAATTTATTGAAGTGCTTATTCCACAACCTGCACACCTGTGTTCTCATGAAGGCTTGTGAAGTATGGCACATTCTCAGATGGTGTGCATTTACACAGACCATATATCAGTGACAATTTTATGATTCAATGTGCCATTAGGATATCTCCACTGTGCAATAGGTAGCTACTAGTCATGTGTGGTTATTTAAATTTAAATTAGTTAAAATTTTATAAAATAAAAATTCATATTTTCAATCACAGTAACTACATTTCAACTGCTCAGTAGCCATCAACAAATATAGAACACTTCCATCATCACATAAAGTACTATTGAACAATACTAGTACAGACACTTGCTATGCATAATATTGTCCAAAAACAGGACCAGGAGCAGTATCAGCAGCAGCACCAACACACAGGAGCTCATTAGGAAGGCAGAATCTCAGGCACTACCACATACCCACTGAGTTAGAGTCTGCATTTCAGTAAGGCCTTTATGCGTTCATGGGTGTGTTAAATTTGTGAAGAACTATAGGTAGTCAAATTCGATAATTTAGTGTGTTTTAGAACAGAAATATCAACTTAAATGTGTGGCTCACTGGATATTTCATAATTTTGGTCCGAAATAGTTCAATTAACTTCATAACTTTAGCAGTCCTGTGGCATATGTAAAAAAAACTACTGGCCTGGCGCAGTGGCTCACGCCTGTAATCCCACCAGTTTGGGAGGCTGAGGCGGGTGGATCATGAGGTCAGGAGATGAAGACCATCCTGGCTAACACGGTGAAACCCCATCTTTACCGAAAAAATATAAAATATTAGCTGGGCATGGTGGCGGGTGCCTGTAGTTCCAGCTGCTCGGGAGGCTGAGGCAGGAGAATGGCGTGAACTTGGGAGGCAAAGCTTGCAGTGAGCTGAGATTGCACCACTGCCCTCCAGCCTGGGCAACAGAGCGAGACTCCAAAACAAAACAAAACAAAACAAACAAAAAACAAAAAACTACTGACTGGGCACGGTGGCTCATGCCTGTAATCCCAGCACTTTGGGTGGCCAAGGCAGGTGGATCACTTGAGGTCAGGAGTTCGAGACCAGTTTGGCCAACCTCAACCTTCAGTAGAGCCTAGTGAAACCTCATCTCTACTAAAAATACAAAAATTCGCAGGGCATGGGGGCAGGCGCCTGTAGTCCCAGCTATTTGGGAGGCTGAGGCATGAGAATCACTTCAACCCGGGAGGCAGAGGTTGCAGTGAGCTGAGACTGCGCCACTGCACTCCAGCCTGGGCAACAGAGCAAGACTTCATCTCAAACAAACAAACAAAAAAAACAAAAAAGAACAAACAAACAAAACTACTAAAATATTTGCTTATATCTCTGGAATTTTCACTATTTTTTTCCACCTAAAATATTGTCATTCAGAAGGGAATCACTTTAATATCCACAAAGGAAAATTAACATGTTATAATTTCAGCCACAATAATATCTATGTAAACATGCATTTAATCCTACTAATTTACAATTAATTCAATTTTTCTTTTATATTCTGCATTCCACATAAAGCGATAACAGGAAAACATAAAATTCCACTAACTTCATTATTATTTGTGTGTGTGTAGGTGTGAGGTTTTCAATTTTAAAAATTTTTCTTTTTTTCTTGTCATGTTATTTCATCTTGGTTTCATTTTTATTCTTCAGGATTATAATAATCCCCCTTGTTTGCAGAAGCAGTTATAACTCACTGCAGTTCTTTTCCATGAAAAGATTTTCCTATCTTCAGTCAGGTTTCTCATGATGTACAAAGAAATATCTGGGCTGTCTCTGCTCTTGATGAATTTCACTCAATCTTTGAGAGTTAGAAAGCTCTCTTCCTTAACCGTGTGTTAAGTATTTGCTCACATGCACAGTCAGTGACACACTTATACAAAACACATGTGCACACACACACTGTATTTACATTCATCTACTTTGCAATGCTTTTAACGTGCTTCATTGGATATTTCATAATACCTAGGTGTGATGACTAATATTAAGTGTCAACTTGATTGAAGGATGCCTAGATAGCTGGTAAAGTATTGTTTCTGGGTGTGTCTGTGAGGGTGTTGCCAGAGAAGATTAACATTTGCCTCCGTGGACTGGGAAAAAAAGACCCATCCAAAATGTGCATGGGCGCCATCCGATTGGCTGCCAGCACGGCTAGAACAAAGCAGGCAGAAGAAGGGAAGGTGGTGCTGGGCGCGGTGGTTCACGCCTGTAATCCCAGCACTTTGGAAAGCCGAGGCAGGCGAATCACGAGGTCAGGAAACGAGGTCAGGAAATCGAGACCATCCTGGCTAACACGGTGAAACCCTGTCTCTACTAAAAATACAAAAAAAAAAAAATTAGCCAGGCGTGATGGCGGGCGCCTGTACTGTAGTCCCAGTTGAGGCAGGAGAATGGGTGAATCCGGGAGGTGGAGCTTTCAGCGAGCCGAGATCGCACCACATCGCTCCAGCCTGGACGACGGAGTGAGACTCCGTCTCCAAAAAAAAAAAAAAAAAAAAAAAAAAAAAAAAAAAAAAGAAGAAGGTAAGGTGGGATAAGCTGTCTGTCTTCCTGAGTGTTTGGGCTTTCCTCTTTCTCCCATGCTGGAGGCTTCCCTTGGTTCCTTCTGCCCTTGGTCATCAGACTCCAGCTTGCAAACTGCCTACTGTGGGATTTTGCCGTGTGATCGCGTGAGCCAATTGTCCTTAATAAACTCCCTTTCATATATACATATATCCTATTAGTTCTGTCCCTCTGGAGAACCCCAACTAATACACTAGGCCAAAATAAAAAACAGTATGCCTCAACTTTAGAGTTCAAATAGGGCATTGCTAATAGAATCCATCAAAACTCCAAACTTTGGTCCTATGGCAGGAAAAAGATAAATTACCAGAAAAGTGGTCACAGTTTTCCTTCCTCCATAACCTATACATACACAACAACAACAACAACAAAAAAAGCCATTCTTTAAAATTGAATTGCCTCTTCTTCCCCACACACTGAGGCAAGTTTATTATTTTTTTTTATTTTTATTTTTTCTGAGACAGAGTCTCGCTCTGTCGCCCAGGCTGGAGTGCAGTGGCGTGATGTCGGCTCACTGCAAGCTCCACCTCCCGGGTTCACGCCATTCTCCTGCCTCAGCCACCCAAGTAGCTGGGACTACAGGCGTCCGCCACCGCGCCCTGCTAATTTTTTGTAGTTTTAGTAGAGACGGGGTTTCACGGTGGTCTCGATCTCCTGACCTCGTCATCCGCCGGCCTCCGCCTCCCAAAGTGCTGGGATTACAAGTGTGAGTCACCGTGCCCGGTGGCAAGTTGATTTTTTTAATGCTTCAATGTGTAGGAAGAAAGATGAGCTAAAGAGTGAGGAGGCATTGTATTAGGTTTTGGAGTGCAATTGGCCAAAGTGCCTGAATTGTAATTTACGCTCAAAATAGCATAGTAAGGGCCTGAAGAGAGAAAACAAAATTTGACTGTCTGAATTGTGGGTGTTTCCCAAGCAACTGCTGATTAGAGATAACGAGGTAGTGGGGAAAGCAGCTTTTGAACAGGTTAGTGTGGGGTTTAAGTTGGATGTGGAGGACTCTAAAAGATAAAATCTTTTTTTCAACTTACTTTTGTTGCCAAAATGTGCTTCTTAAATTTGACTTCATAAAGAGAATGAGCAATATGGAACCCTGGACCATTAACATTATATACATACGTCTTGTTCTGTTCAAGCTAGTATAACAAAATTCCATAAACTAGGTAGCTTATAGCTTATATGACAGAAATTTATTTCTCACAATTCTAGAGGCTAGGAAGTCCAAGATCGAGACACCAGCAGATTTGATGTCTGTTGAGGACCCATTTTCTGGTTCACAGATGGTGCCTTCTGGCTGTGTCCTCACATGGCCTTTCTCAGGCCTCTTTTGTCGGAGCACTTAGCCCATTCACGAGGCTCCACCCTCATGACCTAATCACCTCCAAAAGACCTCATCTCCTAATATTAGCCCCTTAGAGGTTAGAATTTTAACATGTAAATTGGCGGGGCGGGGTGGGGGAGACATAAATATTCAGTTTATTGCAACATGTGTTTAAAATGTGAAATTATTATTGCATGATAGGCTATATATCATCTTGGTATTAATTCGGCTAGGCTTAATTATCTAGGATTTTAAGTTGATTTTATGAAAATTAACTATGAAGTGTTGCATAGTGAGCCTATCAGGGTAATTAGCATATACACCATCTCAAACACATATTATTTCTTTGAATTGGAAATGTTCAATATTCTCCCTCTAGCTATTAGAAGCTATATAATATATTATTGCTAACTATAGTTGTCCTAACTAAGTTTTGAATGTCCTTACTGTAAAAATATTAATCACAACATCTGACCAGTCAACATTGATTAACTGTGGTTAGTCCTTGATCCCTGAAGATCATGAATGACTTTTATTATTCTGTTTTCTATGGCTTCAAAGTTATTTTTATATTGAAGTATACATGGCATTTGTAGTAGGATTATAAACTATCATTAGGGAATGGGATTTCTGTTTTCCTCAGTGATTTATTTTCAAATAAATTTTATTTGAAAATAAAACAAATCTAAGTTCTACATGTATTTTACAATTAATATATATTTCTTTTACAATATGGCAAAGTGATTAAATGTCATACCAGTTTACTTTTGGCATTATTTCTGTAATTTTACTTTTGTATCATTATTTTTATGCTCTAATGTCCTGTTTTGGAGGAAATCCCCATGGATACAGTTACCATGCATCAATCCTTGGGGAAGTTTGCTCTTCCAATCAAATATCCAACTAGAGAAAATGTCTCCTTGTCCCTTGTAATATTTCTACTGTGCCTTGTCTTCCAGCTGTCAATTCCCCACCTATGATTTATTTTGACCCATGGAATAAAGTAACTGAAAATTTGAGGCAAAAACTTCTGGCTGTTTAACTAATTTACTCCCTAAGATTAAAGAGCTGGGAACTGATTAAAAAGTTTACATGCTTACCGTGAAGTTTACTGAGGACCTTTTACATTGATAGTAGAATTATTCAGCAACAGAAGATGAGGTTATTTGATAAATTAAACTGCCCATTGTGCTTAAGAAATGGTTTCCAAAAAAATATAAAACTTGCAGAAAATTGGGGTCCCAGTTAGTCACCCCTCAGTATGAGTCATCATCCGTTTCCCCCCTCCCTCTCATAGATGCCACACAGAGACCTCTTAAGCTATTCAGTTACTCCTCCCCCACAGCAGACAAAATCTTGGATGCACTGTTTGAGAGCCCTTAAAATCAGTGGGGCTGTGGGTTGAAGAAAAAGGGCAGGATGAAGCCTTGTGATGCTTTGGCTCTCTCCAGAAACCTGAAATATTCTTGATGCCCAAGGCATTTTGTGGCTGCCATAATGCGTAGTTTCTTCTACACAACATCAACAATAGCTTTATTATTAGAAACTTTTGAATTAATTAAGATTCCTTTGGCTGAATATGCTACTACACCATGGAAATGAGGAGTAAACAAAAGCAGGCCGACTCTTTGTCACATCACTCTTTTCTTATTCACCAAGCCTCAACAGAATAAAATGCGGAGGCTTCCAAAAGGGCTCACTAAGTGATTTTGTAAAAAGATATTCACTCCCTCTCAAATTGCAGAACACACTGCTAGGAAGCCCTTTCTAAATTATTTAACTTCATAGTAGCTTTCACTTTAAAAAATGTTTGCTGTAAATGTCAATGTACAGATTTGGGGGGAGGGGTGAAATTTTCACACAACGTTTTCTCAGCAAATGGCAGGAGATAGAACACATTAATCTTTTTAAATGACTTCATGTTTATACTTATCTTCCGTAATTATGTTGCATTCTGTAAAAAGAGCAGTATGAAAAAAGCAGATTAACATTCAAGCTGGAGGTACAACGACCTAAATGAACTGAAGTTTTTTAGGTGTTTAGTTCTAAAAGAAGTTTGTAAAAGTGGACAGAAGCTTGTCATTTTGGTTCAACTAAAAATAACAGATGAAGCTTTCATTTTCAACTGTCGTGTTGAGTGTGGAAATATTAAGAAGTGTTTTACTCCCTAAGATTAAAGAGCTGCTAAGTCCTGTCAATTCTAATAATAAAAATTATATCCCGTAAGTTTGACTTGGCAATGTCTGTCACAGACCTTGCCTCCTCATTTCCAGTACTTCTACCAAATCCAAGCCTTCACAAACCATGCAATCTAAGGAAAGTTGGTGAGCCTCTCTGAGACAGGTTTTTCATCTGAAACAGGGAAAGCCTTGCCAGCCCCATATGGTTTGTTTTATGCCCTTTGTATTTCTGCATGTCAAGTACAATTCTGTGCACTTTATAAATATCAACTCAGGCATCCTCATAATAACTCTATGCAATAGATACTATTGTTACATCAGCATTTTGCAGATGAGAAAACTGACTCACAAAAAGTTAACGAACTTGCTCAATGTCATCAGTTCGTGATGTGGTGCAACCAGGAATAAAAGCTGGTTAGTCTAGCTCCAGAAACTATCTTTTAACCACCACAATATTTGGTGTGGATTTTATAGTATGTAAAGCATTCCACATAGTGTGCACTCAGTATTTAATAGCCATCTTTACTATAATTTATGGCTATTGCCAACCAATTAAAGCACACATTCTTTCTATTTGTGTGTGGTCTATTCAAGATGTATGGAATGTAACACTTGGTTTTGGGATCCTTATTATCTCTTTGTGCTGCTTACTGAAGAAGAAATAAATCTTTGTTGCTAAAGATTCTTTTTTAAAAAAGCCATAGAAACCATTGAGATTTGGTGTACTTTGTGGACACTTGATGTGGATGGAAACCTGTGTTTCGGAAAACTGAAAGATCATTTTATGTATTTTTTGTGCACTGATGAAAAGACAGCAGTTCAATAATGTTAACTCTAGAAACTAGAGGGGGAAAATCGTCTTATCAAAATGATTTCCCAGCCCCTCCACGTGGTTTTTAGAATCAGTCACCTTAAAACTGTATGTGTGTCAGTGTGTGTGCATGTGTGTGTATGCATACCTATTTTATAGGTATACAGAATTTTATAAATAAAGGTAAGTAATATCCAATGTCTGCCCACTCTCCTCATCCTTAGAATTCTCCCTTCCACGGTCTCCAAGCAGAAAAGTCTCAGAAACTTCCTTAAGACACATGTGGCTGATGAAGAATGGGTTCTTAATAATTCCCTTTGGGACCATGATGAACTTTAGGTGGCTCCCATTTGATGCTTTTTCTACAGGTAAGTCATTCGGATTAAACTCCACCTCAAAGTGCAAAGTAAATAAGAGATTATACACAGTATCTGTTGCAAACCATGATAGGGTATCAGTTCTCTCTCTCTCTTTTTTTTTTGCATCTTGTTTCAATACACAAGAAAAGGATAAGCACCACACTGGCCCCAGATGGTTATATAGGAAATAGGAACATACTTCTCAAAGGCTCACCCTTTTTCCCTAAGACTTTTAGAGAAAAATAAATAATATTAACTCAATTGCTTCATTATGCTTAAAAAAAACCCCTAAAATTTATCTAACATTCAAGGATTAAAATTATTTTGTGGCCAGATGTCGCTAACACAAATTTATTTCTTATCTGGGGCGCATTTTAAATCATAACTCATTTCTCATAGGAACCTGCATAGTATTACTTGATTTTTCTCATCATGGTAAATGTAATCATAACAATACTATTTGAAAAGTCTTCCCTGCACAAACTGACACCAGTTTATTTTACTTCCCTGTCATACTTAAATATTTGCAAATAGGACTTTAAGAAATTTCCCTTAAAACTATGAAGTAGTTAAATGATCTGAGGTGAGTTGTAGAATTTGCTTCGATGTTTTATGGTTATACTTTATGAAGTAAAACTTTCCATTTTGACTGGAAACAAAGCACTCAGTAATACTTTCCAATTAAAATTGAAGAAAGATGTTTAATACAAGTTAACTTAAAAGAAAAACTTCTATACTTACAGAAGAATTCTGTCACAGTTCTGCTCACCATTCTTTTTTGAAACACAGTAAGATTCAATATGTGCATTCTTTATAGTAAGCAAAAAGGAGACATGAATAAGTGGAAGAGTAGCACTGTCAATATGGAAAATTCCATGAGAATTCAAAGTGGCCACAAAGCTTAATCACATCCTGCACATTTAAGTCTTTGTGTTTTATAAGAACAACTAAACTCTAGCAAGACAGAAAAATATAAAGTCAACATAATATTACAATTTCCACAATTTAGTGTCTGATTTAATAGGTTGTAAAATCTCTGTCATAATGAAAAATGATGGCAGACATTTTAATTTTTTTGGCATTACTGAAGACAGATGGATATAATTATATAGAGGAAAGGAGAGGGAGAAAGGAGGGGAGAAAAAACTAAAAATAATAAACATAACAATAAATATAGAAGCAGTTCAAAGCAAAGGTGTTGCAGGACAGCAGTCAAATCTTCAACAGTAAAGAAAGATTGAGTTGAAGACTGAAGAACTGTGAGGTCAGTAAGGAGTGGAGACAGCATATGACTGAGTCATCAATAGTCCTAAAAGCTTTGTGGCACTATTCAGTGTAGTTAAGTCTTGAATTCTAGGTTTATCTTGACTGTCTTGGATCTGCCTTTATTGCTTGTTAGCCGCCATCCTTGGGTAAATTACTTAATCATTCTGTGCCTCAGTTTCCTCAATTGTGCCCCAGTTTCCTCAATTGTGCCCCAGTTTCCTCATATGCTCAAATGAGGATAGCAATTGTACTGACTTTGTTAAGTTGTTTTGAGCAGTACCACTCACTCTTAGACTGGGGGAAAAGGACTCCTGCTCTTTGCCTTTCATGGTAGTAGGCCTTGCATATTACAAACACAAACAAACTGAATTTATTAAAGTACATCTAGGCACATCAGCACTAGCACAGTGCCCTTAAGTATAGATATCTGCTTTTATGACAACTTTCAAGCCTGAAGGAAATGCTTTTCAAAATCTCTACATCCTCCAGAAAAAAAGAAAACTGTGTCCAATCAGCCTTTGAAGGTTGTTTCTTTGCCCACTTCTGAGAGGAACACTAGTTTGAAGTGTTGGGAAGATGGTGTTGGCAGCTCTTGTAAAATCCTTCCTCTCGATATGATATTTCTATAAACTTCGTTGCTTTCAAGAATGATTTCTTCTTATGATTTTTCCCAACAATAGATCACGCTTTGTGTTTAAAAAAATGACCTAGAACATTTACGTATAGAGTGTAAACTAGGGGGAAGTGCACCAAGAAAACTTCTCACTGGCTTTGATCTATTGGTGCTTTCAGTTAAAGTTATTTTTCTTGTATTTAAATAAAAACTTAATAGAGTACAACAAATAACATTGTGCCTATGACTCTGAGTTTAAAAAAGAAGGGTGAATATATATATATATGTATATATATATACACACATACACACACGTGTGTGTGTGTGCATGTGAGTAATGATCATTTTGTCCTTGAATAATGATTCTTCCTGTTTTAAATCTGTGAAATAGAGTGCTCTTTGGTATAAAAAAGGAAGTTAGTCCACTCAATGCAAGACATATAAGGTTTTCATTCTTCTCATCCCAACAGATGCACCTTATAATGTTACTTAAACAGTGAATTCTGTTCTAGGTCAAATATTAAAGGGCAATTTGAAGCAAATTGTCACTTGATTTCTGTCTGCTCAGGTATCAACCTTTTCTTCTGACAATGAAAATGTTGTAGTTTAAAGAAATCATAGAGGAAATTAAAAACTTCAATCAGAGAATCAAAAATATACTTTGCAGAAAGCCAAGTTACAAACCGCTAGAGCTGTGTTTCCAATATTTTACTTTATGAAAAAGGGGGACATGATCAAAAATCAAAAGGAACTGGTATGATACTTTGTAATCCTACATAAAGTTATACCACAGACCTTGAACCTATCCATTCCTCTCCACATAATGTCTAAAGTCATGACCATACCAATATGATTAAAATCATTTTAATTTCATTGATTGAAGTTCCTCGGAAATAAATGGTTAAAAGGGAGAGAGAAGCATTTGTTGCCCAAAGGGATATATTTATTTCAATTATCAGAAAGTTTTCTATCTTGAATACCTCATTAAGTAATATTGCTTTAAGATGTTATCTATGGTTAATTATTCTCAGCATTGCCAATGAAGTTGTCAGTCACAAGCCATTTATTATACGTATTCTCTGTTTCTCCCTCCCTCTCTCTGCCTCTCTCTGTCTGCATATATATATATATAAAATGCACACTTACATACACACACTTATATATATGGTATATACTCTACATACATATATCTCTGAAGTCCAAAAGTGCTTCCGAGGAGAAAATGTCAAGTCTGAGATGATCTTGGAGTGAAAAAAATATGGGTTCAAAGCCTGCTCTGCCTCTTCTTAGGTTGCTTGGACACATTACCTTACCTTGCAAAACCTGAATCTTCTTAACTATAAAATCTTCTTAACTATAAAATAGGACCGAAATACCTTCTGAAAATATCCTCAAGGATAATAAGATAATGTATATAAATGCTTATCTTAGTTTCTGGCACAAGTGCACACATACAGTAGATATGATTGTTATGCTATTATAAGTATAAATATGTTCACGGAAATTATCAGCATTTGCTTTCTAGCAACCATCAGCTGTGATCATTGATTGCGATATGATTGGCTTTATGTCATAGAGTCGGGAAAATCGATGTTATGAAAGGTACCTGAACATGACAACCTATGTTGGGAAGGCAGTGTGCCCAGGGAATGGACAGAAGTTTAAATATCAAACAGTAGAAAATATGAAACCCACTACAGCTTAAAACTTTCCGCATGGGAATGCTTCTACACATCTTAACCAGGCTGCCTCATGTGCTCTAAATAGGAGCCTCTCAGAAACTTTGTTGTACATCAAAGTGGTATGTATTAAGAAGGACTTCCCCTTATTATTTTCTCCCAACTTGAAGACCTCAACAGAAGTGCCATCGGATCTCAAGAACTTTATTGTACTTACAACTTCCATAATGGTCACAATCAATTCCAAAGTTAATGCAAAGGCTAAGTTACTAAACCTTGGAAGGTACTATGGGCTTTGTTTGCTAATTTAGCTTTTGCAAGTGAAATTCAAAGTATCTTAAAATAGTTAGACTGACAGGATAAGCAACAAAAGTAGTTATTATATGTTTGATTATTTTAAACTTGGATGAATGAAATTCAAAGTAGTTCTTTAATCTAAAATTCCAAGATTAGATCGTGACAAGAACTGTGAAGGAGCTGGGATTTAATTTATACTGCTTACAAGCTAATCAGTTAGCCTGTGACCGTTTTTTAGATGCTGGTAGATAACACAAGATTCCCGGTCAGGAACAAAGGGCTTTATTACTCCTGGCACAAGAAGAAGCATGAGCACCAGATATGTTTGTCAGTTTTCCTAGTTGCAAAGTACCCCAAGACTAGACAGTGGGCCCAGATGGATGCTATGCATAAACACAACAGACTTTTGTCATAGCTGAGGAGCAATCATCTTGGGGATTCCATTGCTTTTATTGAGAGCAGTAAGCAAACCTGCATGTATCCAAAGCAGGGGGATGTTACAACTTCTCAAGGTTACGAGCTGCATGAACAATTTTGAAAAATGGCCCTGCAAAAAGAGCAGTCAGGATCTTGTTGTCTTGGCATACCTGGCAAGCCTTAGAAAAATACCACAACGTGGCCAGGCGCGGTGGCTCATGCCTGTAATCCCAGCACTTTGGGAGGCTGAGGCAGGTGGATCACCCGATGTCAGGAGTTCGAGACCAGTCTGACCAACATGGGGAAACCATGTCTCTAAAAAAATACAAAATTAGCCAGGTGTGGTGACGCATGCCTGTAATCCCAGCTACTCGGGAGCCTGAGGCAGGATAATCGCTTGAACGCGGGAGGGGGAGGTTGCAGTGAGCCAAGATCGCGCCATTGCACTCCAGCCTGGGCAACAAGAGTGAAACTCCAGCTCAAAAAAAAAAAAAAAAAAAAAAAAAGAGAAATGCCACAACATGTATTTTTTGTTGTTATGCTCTAGATAATTGCTCTCCAGAGTATAACAACCAAAAATACATATTATATTTAGTTTACTGCTACTTTTCAATTAAATTACTTAGAAACCATATGTAAGGTGGCCCCAATGGTCCCGACCTCCTACCTACTATTATCTACTCTTGTTGAGTGTAGTTGGGACCTGTGACTTACTTTTAACCAGTAGAATATGGTAACCATAATGAGACCTCACTTCTGTGATTGTGTCCTGCTATAAGACTTGTTGGCAGAGTCACTCTAGAGCCTCTTTGCTGGCTTGATGAAGTAAGCAGGCATATTGGGGAAGCCCATCTGACAGAGAACTCCAGATAGCTTCTAGGACCTGAGGGCAGCCTCTGTCTGGTAGCCAGCTAGAAGCCAGATTTTCAATCCTACAGTTACAAAGAGATGACTTCTGCCAACAACCTAAGTGAACTTGGAAGCGAAATCTTTTTCAGGTCTCATATGAAAATATTGTCTGGCCAAAACCATTACCGAAACCATGTGGGACCCTAAACTGAAGACACTGCTAAACCGTGCTCAAACTTTTAACCCACAAAAACTGCGAGATAATATGTGTGTTTTTTAGACACTAAATGTGTAGTATTTTATTATACAGCAATTCCTAACTAATACACTCCAGTAATTCAACCTCTATCAGTGTTATTATAATCAAAATATCACTCTTGATGTTGAATACATCTAGACATTCATTTTTATATACTTTTATTTTAAAATTAGTATTATCTAGGTTTAATTTGTATAAAGATTGTAAGCTGAACCACCTAAACCATGATTTTTAACTTGTTAATAAAACTGCCGCAGTGAGTACAAAGTGATTAAATAGTAAAACCTCTGAGCTATTGCTGATGAGGGAACACTTAATGTTTAACACGGGTAGTGTCATGGTACTGGGCAATATGAGAAATTGCCATCAGTTCAGACACCAATTAGAAAGGGAATATTTTGACCAAAGGGAAATTACTGTCACTTTCTCTATTATTTTGGTGAGGGAAACAAGTATAAATGGCAGCCAACACTTACAGAGCTTATTGAAAAAAGTAAACCTCCCCAGAAATCAATTGATAAAGACTAATGACTTTCTAGAAATAGTAATGAGTTTCAGCTGAGTAAGAATCCATCAAAGACAGACGGTATCAGTGGGTATGGGACAAAAAGTAGATCAGCAGAATATGGGGAAAACAAAGAATACTTATCAAACTGGAACAGACTGGGACCGTAAACACATTGAGCAGGAATTAATATGCTTCTTATTAAGTAGGATTCAAAAATTAATATCAAAATATATTTATGTAATATTGAGGCTTACTGATTATAATTATGTGTAAGCTAACATTTACTAAACTGCACACTGTATATTTTTATGGTGTAGGTTTATCTGTTCTCAACAAATCATTTTATCATTTTAATAATATCCCAAGTTAAAGCACAGTAATGGGCACTGCTATACATAGACCTTTGGCCATTGTAGTATTTATATGACTATTATAATTCAGGCCGTGTTGCCAAATAATACACTATTTTAAAGTGACTGGCAGTTTTAAGCAATCTTTATTACTTTTCTGGTGACAACCTTGGAATACATTATCATTATATATTTTGCAGGTAGGAAAGTTGAGTTGCATAGCATAAATATCATAGTTAATATCATGAAGAATTTATGAAAAAAAATTCAGTGATCACAAAGTATCTGTGTATTGTTTATTATATGAGTAGAAAGCAAAATATGTATATTTATGGAAGTTGTGGTTGTGTTTAGATTCTAAAAATATCAGTCACTCAGAGCTTGCATTTCAACCTAAGTTTTGCAGCAGACGTTTCAAAGTCTGAAAGGCTATGATTGAGGTCAAATCAGATATGCTGAGACATTTGGGAACACTGTACAAACATTGGGGTATAAACTATTTCTCCCCTGGCAAAAAAATCTTCACTGATTGCTCATTAGCCAATCTTGGGAGACATAATTTTACTTTACGCATCTCTATGAATATTTTCTGAAGCATAAATTTCAAATTTCCTACTTGCATTTTATACATAGCTGCCACAACATTAGAGTTCTTTGTTGTGCTTATATTGACAACCCTGGGCCTGGAGGAAATAAGTGGTTGCTTGTTTTCATTCTTTGAGACTCTAAAGAAACAGCATGTTGGACCATTTAACTTTTTACTGTCAGGCTTCAGTGCACGCTGCCCTTTCTGAAGTGCAATAATTAGGGAAGGCACCATTTCACTCCCCTTAATCTTGGCGGAATTTGCCAAGATTCTGAGATCCATTTCATATAAACATTGAGAATGAAGAGCGCTGGCCTAAATTTTATTGGTATCTCCAAATCAAAGTGAGGCAAAGAGAATATTGCTAAGACCTTCTTTCCAGTTTTTCACCTGTCTTTGCCTTTTTATTTTTATATGTAACAGCTTTATTGAGATATAACTCACATATCACACAATTCACTCATTTAAAGTATACACTTCAGATTTTGTTATATTCATGTAGCTCTGCAACCACCACCACAGTCAAATTTAGGACATTTGCACTACTCCTAAAAAAAACTCCGTACTCATGAGTAGTCACTCTCCGTTATGCCCCCAATCCACCCCATTGCACACTTAAGAAACCACTAAGCAGCTTTCTGTATTTGCCTATTCTGGATATGTCATATGAATAGAATCATATAACATATGATCTTTGGAGACTGGCGTTTACAAGTTTCAACTATTTTGTAGCATGTATCAGAACTTCATTTCTTGAGTTATTGTCAAGTAATATTCTATTCTGTGAATATGATTACATTTTATTTATTCAATTGAAGTACACTTAGGTTGCTTCCACTTTTTGACTGTTATGAAAAATTCTGTTATTAACATGCATGTACAAATTTTTGTGTGACCATGTGTTCATTACTCTAAGAGTGAAATTGATGTGTTATGAGGTAACTGTTTAATATTTTGAGGAAGTGCTAGTTTTCCAAAGTGGCTGCATTTTACATCTCCACCAGCAGAGGGTTCCAATGTTCCCACATTCTCACAACATCCTCCTTGTTATTGTCGGTCTTTTTTATTATAGGCATCCTAGTGGATGTGAAGTGGTATCTCATTATGGTTGCAATTTGCATAAGCCTGATGGTTAATGGTGTTGAAAACCTCTTCCTGTGCTTGACTTTACATTTTGACTGGGTGCCTATCATTCAGAAATAGCTACATATTTGGGGAGTAGACACAACATGACTAGTAAAATGATGTCATTTGGATGTGTTGTGTCTGTGTGATGGTCCTAAGGTCCTAAGGTCCTAATCTATGCAGGATTGTTATTCTTTCAAGGATTGGTCTGATTTTAATATTAAAACAGACAAAATTATATACTAAACTTGACTGATTGAACCCAGCTAAGTGGTAATCGTACACTGGAGAATAAAATAATATAAAGTAAAATAAATTAAAAAGCAGACATTGTCTTGAACAGTTTAATATAAAGAACATACAGATACTTGCTAAAGCTTATTGTTTAAATGGTAACTTTAGGAAACTTGGTGCCTTTAGTTTTTTTTTTTTTCATTAAAAAGTGTACATCACACTATGTATATGCCAGAAATAGTTGTGGCCTACTTAGAGTGCTAAATGTTAAATTTCAGAATCAATAATAACTTCTCTCTGTTTCTAAGATATTTTTCCTTTTTAGGGTCTTCAGGGAATTTAGACTGCCAAGAAACTAAGAGTCTTGTACAAAGCATATGCATAACATCAATGGGCTTAGTGAGTATTTGTGGATAATGAGGTTGATGACAAATTATCACTTATTTGTTATGTCTCAGAGTGGTTAACATGTACTGGAATGTTACTTGTTAAAAATGTTTTCCTCCTACGCTTTGGTTTTTAACACCCCTTGATGATTCCTTTCATAGAAATTGATGTAAGAAATTGTCATCCTGTTCATTACCTCCGAACCAGCAATTACAAAGTGTTTGTAGAGCTTCAGTGAATTCTCTTTAAGCCTCTGTTAAACTGGATTTTCAGCATTTATGTAATTATAAATGATATTTGTGCAAATGAAAACTTTGCAAATGTAGTTTTAAAAAGACTTAACAGATATTTGCACAAACTCAAATTTTTACAAATGTAGCTTTAAAATGACATCTCCAGTATTTCTCCTAAAGGAAGAATTAACTTTGCTGGGGAACACAACTTGAATGGCCAATTTGTGTGAATAGTTGGAACCCAGGGTCAAAGAGGAGAGGGTACTAGGGGAAGATAGGCTATATTCCTCTGCACAAGAAAATGGTCTGAGATGTTTAGGCATAGATATGCCTAATATTTACATTTAAGTTTTATGGATAACTAGAAGTACAAACCATTTATTTTCTTATGAAGTCCCCATGTAATGGAGATGAAGAGAGCATATAGTATTATCACAGTACTATATAAGTAGGATTTGTTAGACTTTAACTACACATATGCCCTTTATGATTGTAATTATTTGAACACATTTCTTGTGAGCTTGGAAATTGTCTTCCTAGTTTCCAAAAGGAAAGTCACCATTTTGTGCACTTGTGCTCTGAATTAATTCAATGATACCTTTGTTTGATGGCAGAATACCATAGATAACAGCTTGTCATTGCCTTTCCCACTCCTTTCCAGCAGTGGCTGTGACAACATGGCACCAAAGCTACTGTGCTAATTCTCCTTTGCCATTTTCCCATAAATAAAGACAACGAACTCCTCTGTAAATTGTGCCATCATTGTTGATATTCTTTAGAACAGAGACAGTATTGAATAAAGCTTAAAAATTTTGCTGATTAAATTTCAGGCCCCTCTATAGGAATAAAAATAAGTCCACAGGTTAAAGATTAGGAGAAACCATGCTGTATTCCAGTACTGATCAAATTTTTTTGTATTGATCAAAATATTTGTCAAAGTGCTTTTATTTATTGGAGGGAATAGAGAGGAGGTTTTGTCTCTACATTGACTCTGGGTTTAGTCCTTATGTATATTTTCAGTGTAATAGCTTTGTTACATGCATTCTACCTTGTAAATCACCTCCTAAATAACCAAACTCTCTGAGTCACTGTGTCACGGCCAATAGCGTGATCATCATCATGTCTATCATAATTCTTGTTGATTGCAGGTTTCTGAATTCCTATTCTCTTGTATATTCCTTTATGATTCAAACTTTCTATTTTTAGCCTCCAATCCTTATCCTGAGTTTAAGCAATTAAATATTATGATGTGTCAGAAGTGGAATAAAACTAAAACTGTTCATTATATTGAAGTATCACAACAATTATTTCTTTTGTGATGCAAGGGAAGTTACTGGGAAGTGAAGTGCACAGGAACTTATTAGAACTTCAGTGTTTCTGAACAAACTTTGTGAGCATAAGTTTAGAAAGCTGAAATGATTTTTGTGAGCCAGTTTGTGTGTGTGTGTTTGTTATTATTATTTTTTTGAGGGAAGCAGAAAGAAAAAATAATAATTTTCAAATAACTAACCTGCAGGCTGCAATGGGCTTGACAAGGAATCACGCACACCAGTTCCTTTGCTAAGCAGGCTGGTGGTGGCTACAGGGCCGGTTATAATGAGTTCTACATAATGAGTTCTACTAAAAACAGGTTCTTAACCTCTTCACTGTGACATAAAAACAGCACCAATATTCCCAGATTCCCACATACACACACACACACACACACACACACACACACACACACACACTAATTACTCTGTGTATGAATATTTTACTTTCAAAACTATCATAATAATAGGAAGAAGACACCAAATTAGCCAATATAGAAAGTGTTATTTTCTGGATTTTGTTTTTGTATACATGTGAAAAAAATTAAATCAAATATAAAAATGACCACCACAACAAAATTTCTTCCAAGTTTTCAGGTGGTTTTGTATATGCCTTGATACCTGATTGTATTCTCCTGCTTTGCACAGGTTTCCCTCTGAGGGATATGCTACTCTAAATGTTTTCTCTTCTTTCTGAGGTAGGCTCAGACATTCTGGGACATTTTGTCTTTAATTTTTTCATTCCTTTATGGATTTATTCGACACACACATATCACTGAGCCCACAACTTATCTGGTACTGTATTAAGCTCTGGAGAAAGAGAGAGAGAAAAAAAACCTAGTCTTTGTCATCAAGGGGCTCACAATCTAGTGGAGGAAACATGCACAGATACGTGTAATTCAGATAGTAACAGGAATAATATGTATATATAGAGTATATTATGAAATAACAAAGAAAAGTCATTTCTTGAAAAGCTGAAGAAAATCTTCTAGCAGGTTTCTGAATTCTCAGTCTCTTGTATATTCCTTTATGATTCAAACTTTCTATTTTTAGCCTCCAATCCTTACCCTGAGTTTAAGCAATTAAACATTATAATATGTCAGAAGTGGAATAAAACTAAAAATGTTAATTATATTAAAGTATCACAAAAATTATTTCTTTTGTGATGCAAGGGAAGTAATTGGGAGGTGAAGTGGTAGGTGAATTGGTAGGTGACATTAGAATTTAGCTTTCAAGTGTGAATATGGATTAGATGGGTAAGGAAGTGAGTCCTTGCCTAGTGAGCAGCATGGACAATGACACTGAGGTGGTAAACATCACAGGTGCAAGAAGAAATTATAGGCAATACACTAGAGCACAGAGAAGGAAGAACCATGGAGTGTGAAGAAGGAAAGCTGAAGATGTAGACTGGGCCCAGATCTGGAGAGCCTACTGACCTATAAAGAGATTGACTTGATTCTCCAGCTGAGGTAAATTGCTCATGTATTTTGTTTCTCAATTTCCTCTCCACATAGTCTGAGTTATTTCACAGGTATTTTTTCAATTCATGATACAAATCACTTCTGGATCATCAAATATGCTTTAGTCCTAAACTGAAAATAATAATTTTTTGTTCTCAGGTTGAAGTAGATATCTTCCTTCCAACCATTAGGTTTGGAAAAGTGAGTTGAGGAAATTATTTTCATTATTATTATTTTGTATTTTCAATTGAAAAGTAACAATTGTATATTTTATGGAGTACAACATGACATTTTGATATATGTATACACTGTGAAATGATTCTATCAAGGTATTTAACATATCCATCATCTCGCATTTCTATCATTTCTTATGGTGAAACATTTAAATCTACTCTTCTGGCAATTTTAAAGTATGCAATACATTATGATTAACTACAGTCACTCTGCTGTGCAATAGATTTCAAACACTTCTCCTCCCACCTAACTGAAACATTTCCCTCTTTGACAAACATCTCTCCTTTTCAACCTCTACCACCCCCAGTCTCTGGTAATCACTATTCTATTCTCTATTTCTGAGTTCAACTTTTCAGATTCCACATATAAGTGAAGTCATGGGTATTTGTCTTTCTGTGCCTGGCTTATTTCACTTAGCATAATATCCTCTAGGTTCATCCATGTTGTCACAAATGACAGAATTTCCTTCTTAAGATTGCATAGTATTCCACTGGGTATAGATACTACATTTTCTTTATCCATTCATCTGTTGATGGATAGATGCTTAAGTTGATTCCACATTAGCTACTTTGAATAATGCTGCAATGAAGATAGGAGTGCAAATATCTCTTCAACTTTCCAATTTCAATTATTTTAGGCATATAACCAAAAGTTAGATGAATGAATCCTATGTTAATTCTATTTTTATTCTTTGGGAACATCTATACTGTTTTCTATAATGTGTGTACTAATTTACATTCCCACCAACAGTGTATGAATGTTCTCTTTTCTCCTTGCCCTTGTTAACACTTGTCTTTCATCTTTTTGATAACAGTCATTCTAATTGGGGTGAGATGATATCTCAATGTGATTGTGACTTGCATTTTCCTGATGATTAATGATGTTGGGCATTTTTTATAAACATATTAGCCATTTGTATGTCTTCTTTTGAGAAATGTCTATTTAGGCTAATTGACCATTTTTAAATCGTGTGATTTGTTTCCTTGCTATTGAGTTGTTTCAATTACTTATATATTTTGGATATTAACCGCTTATCAGATATATGGTTTACAAACATCTTATCCCAACCTATGGGTTGTCTCTTCATTCTGTTGATTATTTCCTTGGTTGTACAGAAGTTTTTTTAGTTTGATTCAATGTCATTTGTCTATTCTTGCTTTGTCTGTGCTTTTGAAATCATATCCAAGACATCATTGCTGAAACTAATTTTATGGAGTTTGCCCCCAATGTTTCTAGTAATTTTACAGTTTCAGGTCTTTCATTTAAGTATTTAATACATTTTTAGTTGATTTTGGTACATGGTGTGAGACAAAGGTCTAATTTCATTTTGTTGCATGTGAACATCCAGTTTTTTCAACATCATTTATTAAAGAGACTCTTTCCCCATTGTGTGATCTTGGCACCTTTGTCAAAAATCAATTGGTCATAAATGCAATGGATTTATTTCTGAGCTCTCTATCTAGGTTCATTGGTCAATGTGTTTGTTTTTATGCCAGTATCATGCTGCTTTGGTCACTACAGCTTTGCAGTATATTTTGAAATCAGATAATGTAATGCTTTCAGCTTTGCACTTCTTAAGATTGCCTTGGTTACTTTGATTATTTTGTGGCTTCATACAAACTTTAGAATTTTTTTTCTATTGTGATAAATGACATTGGATTTTGATAGGATTGCTTTAAATCTATAGGTCATTTTGGATAGTATAAACACTTTAACAATATTATTTCAATCCATGAACATATGATATATTTTATTTGTGTATTCTTCAATTCCTTTTATCATTAGTTTATAATTTTCAGTACACAGATCTTTTACTTTTTTGATTAAATTTACTCCTAAGTATTTTTTAATGATATTGTAAGTAGAATTGTTTTCTTAATTTATCTTTTAGATGATTAGTTGCTGATGTATAAGAATGTTAAAGATTTTTGTATATTGATTTTGTATCCTGCAATTTTACCGAATTTTTTTATCATTTACAACATTTTTTGATGGAGTATTTAGAATTTTCTCTACATATAAGATCTTGTCATCAGCAAACAGATAATTTCACTTTTTCCTTTTTTATTTGCATTCTATTTGGATGCCATTTTCTTCTTCTTCTTCTTCTTCTGCTGCTGCTGCTGCTGCTGCTGCTGCTGCTGCTGCTTCTGTTTCTTCTGCTTCTTCTGCTTCTGCTTTTCCTCTTCCTCCTTCTCGTCCTCTTTCTTCTTCTTCTTTCCCCTCCTCTGCCTCCTCCTCCTTTTCTCCTCCTTTCTCTTCCTTCTCCTTCCTCTTCTTGTTCCTCCTCCTTCTTCCTTCTTCCTTCTCCTCCTTCCTTCTCCTTCCTCCTTCTTTTTCCTTCTTCTCCGTTTTTCTTCCTCCTCCTCCTTTACCCCTCCCCAAGAACTAAAACTAAAAGGACTACATTCTTTGGGAACTTATAAATAAATTTTTCAGATTTGCTATGAACTGAATATTTGTGTTTTCTAAAATGTATATACTGAAGTGTTAAGCCTCAATATGACTGCATTTGGAGACAGGGCCTATTAAAAGATTACAAAGGTTAAACAAGGTCATAATGAGAGGTGAAGCCAGCTGGGCTCCTGGGTCCAGTGGGGACTTGGAGAAATTTTCTGTCTAGCTAGAGGATTGTAAATGCACCAGTGAGCACTCTGGAAAAATGCACCAATCAGCACTTTGTGTCTAGCTAAAGGATTGTAAATGCACCAATCAGCACTCTGTAAAAATGCACCAATCAGCGCTCTGTGTTTAGCTAAAGGATTTTAAGTGCGCCAATCAGCACTCTGTAAAATGGACCAATCAGCGGGATGTGGGCGGGGCCAAATAAGAATAAAAGCTGGCCACCCTAGCCAGCAGCGTCAACCTGCTCAGGTCCCCTTCCACGCTGTGGAAGCTTTGTTCTTTCACTCTTCACAATAAATCTTGCTGCTGCTCACTCTTTGGGTCTGCACTGCCTTTAAGAGCTGTAAAATTCACTGCAAAGGTCTGTGGCTTCACTCCTTAAGTCAGCAAGACCACTAACCCACTGGAAGGAAGAAACTCTGTACACATCTGAACATCTGAAGGAGCAAACTCCAGACACACCATCTTTAAGAGCTGTGACACTCACCGTGAAGGTCCGCGGCTTCATTCTTGAAGTCAGCAAGACCAAGAACCCACCAGAAGGAACCAATTCCAGACACAGTAACAGTCAGACCCTAATCTAATAGGATTAATGTAGTTGTAAAAAAGGTAAATGAGGACATAGCTAGAAGGCTGTCTGCAAGCCAGGAAGACAACCCTTACCAGGGGTTGCACCATGATCTTGGATTTACCAGCATTCAGAATTGTGAAAAAAAAAACCCTGTATTTTTTGGCTTTGTTTATTTGTTTGCTTTTTAATAGGTTTATTTGTTATTTATTTGTTTGCTTTTTAATGCCAGTGTATGGCATTTTCTGTGGCAGCCCAGGCTGACTAATACAATGTTCCATTCTTTAAAAACACTAATTTTGGAGAACTAAAATAAAAATTTAAAACCCTCTGCTTTTTGATACTAGATGTTTGATTGCCTCTAACGTATGCATTTAAGTGGCAAGATTTTAACGTAAATAAAAGATTTTACAAATCTGACATTCTCACAGAACTTTCAGTTGAAGAACATTTTCATATGCAAGCCAGGCATGGTGGCTCATGCTTGTAATCCCAGAATTTTGGGAGGCTGAGGATCACCTGAGGTCAGGAGTTGGAGACTGCCTGACCAACATGGTGAAATCCCGTCTCTATCAAAAATACAAAAATTAGCTGGGCATGGTGGGGGGCACCTGTAATCCCAGCTACTCGGGAGGCTGAGGCAGGAGAATCGCTTGAACCCAGGAGGTGGAGGTTGCAGTGAGCTGAGATCGCCCAAGTGCACTCCAGCCTGGGTGACAGAGCAAGACTCCATCTCCAAAAATAATAATAATAATAATAATAAAATAAATATGCAAGGTTTCCTTCTGGATATTTGTTTCCCTTTGCAATTAAAAATTTAAATTTTCCTTTAGAATTTATTTCTAACAGAGAAGGGGAAAATGACAAAGTAAGATATAAATGAAGCAACTGGATTAACATACATATCTTGAGCAAAAGAGTATATAGCTTTCAGGCTCTTTTAACCTTTTTTATCAAATTTATCCAGAAAACTCTCGCAATATTATAGCATCTATGTATCACAGCTGAAGAATAAATATTGGCTAATTTGTCTTTGCAGGGAAGAACACTTACCTAATCATAATTTATAGTTTTGTTTACCTTTCCATTGTGAAAGCTAATTATTTGTCTGAACAAGAGTTTCTCCCCTATTAAGCCACTGGTGAGTAAAGACGCAATTTAAATTTTACTTGTGTATTCAGTTCACAAGCTTTATAACTCCCATTAGGGAATCAAATCCCTTCAGGATTTTTGTGAATGTTTACCCCTAGCAGAGGTAAATGACCAGTCTTCAATTTTAAATCATGGCTAGCAGAAGCTATAGTAAAGCATCAAAGAAGACCAAAACCCAAGTCACTTGGTTTTCAACACTCAGTTGTGTGACCATGACAGCAAATTATTAGCCTTGTCATTTAAATAGCTTTATTTGAAATGAATATAGAAAAAAAACCTCCTTCTTATTCTATTACCATATTGCTGTGGATTATCTCCGGTAATTAAAAACAGCCCCTATTCCATTTTGGAGCTTCCAGGCTAGAAGTAATTTTCTGTTTTTTACATTTTTTTTTCTGCAAAAACAGGAGTTTTCTTCGAACATAAGTGCGTGGGTACAATTTCGTATTCTACAAATTTGGATAAGTGAGAAGTATAACTTCTAAGAATTTTGTTATTTCTTTTTTTTTAAGTTAAAACATACCTTTTTTCTTAGTTCCCAATTCTACTCTGTGGTAAAAATGCAATCCCAGTCATTTCTGGGAAGTCTTCATCAATTCAGACTGATCTTACTCAATTTATAATTTCCCATATTTTCTAAATTCCAAGATGTTTAAATAATGTCAATGTATAGGGAAGGATAAAGATGCCTAATTGGCATTGATGTATCCTGGCATCTAAATTCACATTCCCAACTGGTCTCTTCTCTTTGGCCCATGCAAATTCACTTTAAGTCTTTCTTACTTCAACCACAAAATTCATTCTGTTTTCTCTGGCTCTTTGTTTCATGGGAAACTTCAGCTGTAACCAATCTCCTTTCCCATGTGGAATGACATAGAATCCCTGTGAGCCTCATTCCTGCCTGCCTACATACCTGGGTACCTCATGCAGTCATTTATAGTACATGGTTTCTGTATTGCGCAGAATAATAATCTCCCTTCTCTCTCAAATTTCCACATCTTCATCCTCAGAACATGTGAATGTGTTATTGTTACTTGGCAGGGTAGACTTCAGGTTGCAGGTGGAATTATGGTTGCTAAACAGCTGGTTTTTACATAGGGAGATTGTTAGGCCAGATGCGGTGGCTCATGCCTGTAACGCCAGCAGTTTGGGAGGCCAAGGCAGGTGGATGGCCTGAACTCAGGAGTTCGAGACCAGCCTGGGCAACATGGTGAAACCCCATCTCTACTAAATTACAAAAAATTAGCGAGGCATGGTGGCACGTGCCTGTAGTCCCAGTTACTTGGGAGGCTGAGGCACAACAATTGCTTGAAGCCAGGAGGAGGAGGTTGCAGTGAGCCAAGATTGCACCACTGCACTCCAGCCTGGGCCACAGAGTGAGGCCCTGTCTCCAAAACAAAAAAAAAACAAACAACAACAACAAAAAAATTGATAGATCATTGTGGATTATCTTAATGAGCCCAGTGTAATAACAACAGCTCTCAAAAGTGGAAGAGTGAAGGAAAAGAAGAGTCAGAGAAGATGTGAGAACATTAGCAGAACAGAGTGATGCCATATAAGAAGGACTCAACCTACAATTACTGGCTTTGAAGACAGAAGAAAAGCCATGTATCAGGAATATGAGAGGCCTGTAGAAGCTGGAAAATGTAAGGAAATGAACTTTCCCCTAAAAGCTCGATAAAGGAAAGCAGCTATGCTGCCTCCTGCACCTTAGCCCAGTGTGTGAGACTCATTTCAGACTTTTGATCTACAGAACTACGAGATATTTAAAATTTTGTTTTTTTTAATTGCACTAAATTTGTGGCAATTTGTTTGTTACAGCAGCAATAGAAAGCTGAGACAGATCCCATGCCATGAGTGACATGACAGACTGTATTAGTTAGGGTTCTCTAGAGGGACAGAACTAATAGGATAGATAGATAGATAAAGGGGAGTTTATTAAGGTGTATTGACTTACATGACCACAAAATTTAGTCCCAAAATAGGCCATCTGCAAGCTGAGGAACAAGGAAGCCAGCCTGAGTTCCAAAACCTCAAAAGTAGGTAAGCTGACACTGCAGCCTTCAGTCCATGGCTGAAGGCCTGAGAGCCCCTAGCAAACCACTGATGTAAGTCCAAGAGTCCAAAAGCTGAAGAATCTGGAGTCCTATGTTTGAGGGCAGGAAGCATCCAGCACAGGAGAAAGATGGAGGCCAGAAGACTCAGCAAGTCAAGTCCTTCCACCTTCTTCTGCCTGCTTTATTCTAATCAAACTGGCAGCTTATTAGATGGTGCCCACCCAGATTGAGGGTGAGTCTGCCTCTCCCAGTCCAGTGACTCAAATGTTAATCTCCTTTGGTAACACCGCACAGACACACCAGGAATAATACTTTGCATCCTTCAGTCCAATCAAGTTGACAGTCAATATTAACCATCACACAAGCTTTATAAGTCTTGTTGATGTTCAGGACTCTATCTGGGCATGTAGGCACAAGAATGTTTGCTCTCAAAGTCTCTAATTTAACTCTCTTTCTATATCGCCCTTCCTTCCTGCTAGCTTGACTGCAACTGGGAAAGAGGTAGAGAATCATACTGACAGTTAAGGTATTTTTTCTTCTTTCTCATTGCCCCCTCTCCCTTAGCTTATAAAAACTGGAACAATTGAGGAGATCAGGAATAACTGCCTGACTTCACATCTCTCTAAAGTAAGTTATTTGTGGGATAAACTTCATGCTCTGTTTCCTTGAATCCTTAGACAATTGCAAATAAAACAGCACAGCTTTTATAAAGCAAAAGCTTTGAATTTCAAAATTTGTTTTGGCTATGAATTTTGAAAGCTTGTTTGAAACTAAGGAACCAAGAGTTGTTTTCTTTATTCCCTCGGTTTACTAGAATTCCTTCCCTAGGAAAATGGAGGTGGAATAAACAAGTTGTCTGGGCTTTGAAATGATCACATGGCACAAAGATATATAGAGAAAAAAAGTGAGTTAAAACTTCAAAATATTATCCCCATAAATAAATTCTGGGCTCTTCATGTAAATTATTCACTTTTTCATTATCCTCAGTCAAATTTAATCTCAGGACATCTTTTTCCTGTCACCCAGGACACAACTGAGCTTCTGGTTCCTGTCCTCTGCTTCTGACTTTAATGGTTATGCATAAGAGTGTTTCAAATTCAGATTGCCTATCAATTGGTGGGAAGAAATGCTCTCACCTTAGACCCCTCAGTAGGCACTTGAAGATTTGCTAAGTTTCTTGATCTATTTACTTTAAAGCATAGCATCTCATCATAAATAGGGTGTGCTGCCACTCTTGACACTGTCTTGGTGAGAGGACCTTGATGGGTTTGAGCAGCTTCATGTCTTGTGTACCACTTTTCTTTCAAACAAGCTTTTCATCTGTTCTCAACTAATACAAACAATCTTGGTTTTGAGTCAAATTGATTATCAGTAAAACCATGTTTTTATGTGTTGGGTGGGATGATGGGGGTGGACATAGGATGAAAAACAGAATAGAATCAGTGTCCAGACACATCCCTGAGCATAATCTCTGATTCCAGCATAGAGTCTATTTTCCACTCAGTTTATTGCAAATCAGACATGAATAGAAAGAGAAATATTTTGGAAGAGAATAAATTATGTTTCAAAATTTAATGTTTTGAATACATTACTTCAGATAACACTCTTTCTTGCTTCCCTCAGTTAGTATGTAGAATCAGAAATTGCTTGCATTTATTTTATATAGGTATCAGCAAAAAGATTTTGAAAACAAGTTATCCTAAAGCCAAATACCCCAATCTGTTTCAAATATGAGGCCAAATTTTGTGATAAGCTATAATTGTTAATGTATTAATTGTTTTTATACAAAAATAATACTTGAACAAATGTTCAGGAAACAAAATTGAATTGTAATAATTATAGATATTACATATCTTGCTCAGTTAAATAATGAATAATTTCTTTAGAATTAAATGTGCTTTCTTCACTCTATGTTTGAATTCAAGTAAATGTTGTTCCACATAATATATGTCTGTTTATAAAATTATATCTTTACACCAACAATTTTAGAGCTATTCCTCTTAATTGTAAGTTATAGCAGTTCTTTCTAATTTTAGTTTTTTCCTTTTTTAATATCAATATGTTAGCAGCTGTTAAGTCATAGAAATGCACTAAAAAAGCTAAATATTTAAAAGAATATTGTGGTGATTCTTTTTATAAATGATGAGGAAAACAGAGACAAACAGTGGACCTAAAATATATTAGTGTGTCCTCTGGACCAGGTTTATAAGAACCTATAAAGGTGATTTTATTTAATCTTTAGAACCCTGTAGTATTTTAATACCTATATATACAAACAAGTTGACTATGGCCTAGGGCAATTTCTAACTTATTAAAAAAGCATATAATTGGTAAGTAGTAGAGCTGGTATTTAACTCAAATTTAACTCAAGTTTATCTGACCTCAAAACTTGTATTGTTGCAATAACACGACTCTTTTTTTTTCAGATGAAGTCTTACTCTGTTGCCCAGGCTGGAGTGCAGTGGCGCAATCTCCACTCACTGCAACCTCCGCCTCCTGGGTTCAAGCAATTCTCCTGCCTCAGCTTCCCAAATAGCTGGGATTACAGGCACCCACCACCACACCCAGCTAATTTTTCTGTTTTTAGTAGAGACTAGGTTTCACCACGTTGGCCTGCTGGTCTCAAACTCCTGACCTCAGGTGATCCGGCCACCTCAGCCTCCCAAAGTGTTGGGATTACAGGCGTGAGCCACTGTGCCCAGCCAACACATGACTCTTAATTGCTTGCTAAGTAGTCTTTAAACAATGAGATCAATCTTCATATAATATGTCTATTTTGTGAGTTTTCAAGTTGTATAACATGACTGAGGATTATTAGATCTTATGAAAACCATAAATAAATATCATTTTGTCCAAAGTTCATTTTGTTTAAAAGAAAATATGCTCAAAGTGATAAAATGCCAACTTATGGCCTTGCAACTTGATATTGAAAGGAGGAATATGAATACCCATTATGAACCAGCTTCCCATTTTACTTCACCCAACTGTTTTGGGAGAATCTTAATAGTGCTTTTTATATCTCTGTGTTACTTATATATGGATTGTCCATCTCAATCATTGGAAAATAAGGGTCTCCCTATTATCCCCAGGAAAGAATCCTGACGGGATATTCTATATCACATATTCATATATATTCTTTTGGAAAATATGCAAATATGCTACTATTTCCCATCGGAGTAACATAGATTACCCTGATGGGTAAAAGTAGGGGTTCACAAGCCTGATGGATGCTCTAGGGGGCTGCATTTTGTTATTTGGAATTCCAGCCAGGCAGGTGGTCATTTTCCTGGAGATTTCCCTTGGTTTGAGAGGCCAAGGTGGGAGTATCACTTGTGTCCTGGAATTTGAGACCAGCCTGAGGAACATAGTGAGACCTTGTCTCTACACAAGATTTTTTTTTTTTTAAATTAGCCAGGTATGGTGGCACACACCTGTAGTCCCAGCTACTGGGGAGGCTGATGGGGGAGGATCACTTGGACAGGGGAGGTCGGGGCTGCAGTGAGCCATGATTGTGCCACTGCTCTCCAGCCTAGGCAACAGAATGAGACCTGTATCCAAATAATAATAATAATAATAATAATAACTTAGATATTTATTTAACCTCAAGTGTAGACAAAGACAAGTCAGCAACAAAAAACATTTATAATATATAAGCAAGAAGCTGGACTATGGAAATATGAAAGAGTAATTACTTTTTAAAATATTAGGATTTTGTAAAACTAACAGTGAGGGAGAGACGTATAGAGTAACAAAGGCTTCAAACATTGGGGCAACTGAGTTTCCACAGTAATAGGAGAAGATGTTGATTAAGAAGTTGAGGGTGGAGAAAAAGGCCTTTTTCCATGCTGAGGAAGAATTTGTAAACAGGCTTTTGGAAGAAGACATTATATAGAGGAATATATTGATTATACATGACCTTTTAAACTTTTTCTTATAATAGTAATATGTCCAATTTATCTAATTGAGAAAGAAATAAAAAGAAGAAAAAATTAACCATAAAATAAATTAGCAATTCTAAGACTCAGAGGTAGCTACTAAAACATTTTGAAATTGTTCCTTTCAGTTTTCTATGCATTGTTATATGGATGGTATAATAAAGTTTGTAACTTTAAAGAACTGAGAAATTGTACTAATGTATGAGCTATATCTTGATTGCACAAATCAAAATAGAAGATGAAGATGCAGTCATGTAAAAATATACAAACAAGAAAATTGGATAAGAAGGAGATTGAAAGAGGCAACAGATAAATTGTATTGTGGTAAATAGTAATGTATGAAACAGCAAAAAATATTCACCAATGTGCTGAGGTTTCTCAGTTTCAGCATTATTCAAAATTATGCTATTTATTAAAATTTATCCTGCTGCCTAATGATTTTGAAAAGATTATAACTGGCATAGATGACTAGTTCCAAGGACTAGACTAGGTCTTTGATCACAAACAATCCTTTTATGTAAGATGCATTTTTGGCTTGTGGCAAACAACATGCAGTAATCAGTAGTACATGAAAGTAAGGTAGCATCTGCAGAAAATCGCCTGCTGATTGCACAAAAATACTCATCTCTGCTCCACTTAGGATAAAGAAATCTACAGCTAATGGTCTCTCATGTTATTAATGAGAAAATACCAAATAACCCTCCAAAGCATAAATTTTCTTGAGCCTATAAGAAATCTGAGGTCATAAGGCAACTAAGTAAATACCACTTTGGAATAGTGAGGTCCAAAAACACAAAAGGCATTCATCTCTCTCAAGCTCTTTTTTTACCAGCCTCTGCCAGGTGCTCATGGGAAAGACTGAGGGCAGGGCAAGAGATTAGGGAGAGTCCCCCTTGATGGTACAGGTGCAGAGATGAGAAGTGGCTGCTGGAGGATAGGGGAAACGACCTTCCCAGTTTGTCAGAAACTTCTGTTCTACAAAGTTAAGCCACTGGGGTAAAGAGACAAAGCACCCTCTTCACCACAGTAACAAGCCAAAGATCCACTGCTTCTGGAAAAAGTAGGAGTTAAATCTTTAGGGCAGGAAATTATTGGCCAAGACCAACCACAGATACAGGCAGAAATGATGAAAGAGCCCTGTCCTTTGCACAGGACCTGTCTAAAGCTGAGGCTGGATCAAGATAAAAGACAAACCCACCCTCATGACAAATCTAGGTCCTACAACAAACAACAATCCACCACTGGGGTAGGTAGAAGAGCGTAGAAAGACCAGAAAAAGAGCAGAGAAGGACCTCCTCTGTATCAAGGGTGTGCAGGAATAGCTGAAGGGGAAGCCAGAAAGCTAAAACCTCCAGCATCTTAGCTGTCACTGTAAGCACAAGGTAAGTAAGTGGTCAATTAGTCCATCAGACTCAGGAAGAAATGGAAACCTGTGGTCTCCTGAAGGTAACAACAGAAACAACAACAGGCAAACACTAACACTGATGAAATCTCAAAGGCATTATGCAAATGGAAGAAGTCAGGCACAAAAGACTCTACATTTTATTCTTTCATTTTCATGACATTTTGAAAGGGTAAAAGTATACAGGGTCAAAAATCAGATTCATGTTCACCAGTGACTGGGGATGATTGGAAAGGACTGTGTAAAAAATGCATAAGGGAATTTTTTGTGGCAATGAATATTTATTCTATGTCTTCACTGTGATGGTGGCTACATGACTATGGACATTAACTTAAATATATGTAAATTAACTTTTTAAAAGTTTGAACAAAGAAAGAGTGATGTAACCTTTGTTGAAAGGAAAACACAACTGGGATTCAGGAGACCTCGTTCAAAAAAAAACGTTCAAACACAGAGAAGTGTTCAAAAAATGTTTTTAGTTATGTAAAAAGTGAAAAATAAAATCCTGATATTACTATACAACAACCGGAATGGCTTTAACAAAGATATGCACAAACACACCAAATAAACATAAACATACCAAAAAATGTAATAAACCAAGTTTAGACCAGAGTATAGGGAAATTGAAACATTGCATTGCTGGTGGGAATGCTAGTTGGTACAACTATTTTGAAAATTGGCAATATCTACTAAAGCTGAATATATGCTTTCTATATAATCCAGCCTTCCATTTTGAGGAAGATGAAGTGGAGGGGATGAAGGAAGTTTGAAAACATGTATGGAAGGTTCCCCACAACAAAAATGCTTCCCCTTTTACCCCTGGCCTATTTTAGTTAAGATAAAGATCATACCATAATTTGCTTTCCAGAACTTGTTTACCTACTCTATCAGGTAACAAATGCTGGATGATGAATTTTTGGCAATGAGAAAAATGATGTAAGTGTTACAAGATTAGGTAGATGATTCAGCTACTAAGCAAGAGTTAGTAATATTTTGCAAAGTTATATAATTCTGATATTTATTCTTTGTGATTTATAAATATATAACCCTCATTTGCTTTTTTTTTTTTTTTTTTTTTTGAGACAGAGTCTTGCTCTGTCACCAGGCTGGAGTGCAATGGCGCAATCTCAGCTCACTGCAACTTCCGTGACCTGGGTTCAAGCAATTATCCTGCCTCAGCCTCCCAAGTAACTGGGACTACAGGCACACACCTCCAGGGCCAGCTAATTTTTGTAATTTTAGTAGAGAGGGGGTTTCACCATGTTGGCCAGGATGGTCTCGATTTCTTGACCTTGTGATCCACCCACCTCAGCCTCCCAAAGTGCTGGGATTATAGCCATGAGCCACCATGCCAGGCCTGTTTTTTTATTTTTATAAATTTATGGAGTACATATGTATTTTTTTTTAACATGAATAGATTACACAGTGGCAAAGTCAGGGCTTTTAGGAGATCCATCACCTGAATAACATTCATTTGTTTTTATTGAAGGTCCAAATTTTTTTCTTAATAAAGGAAGTACTACTTTTGCCCTGTCAGCTCACTTTAAAAGTGACATTGTTGAAGTTGACAGACGTAAGATGAATGTGTTTCAATAATAAATTTGTTCATGTTCAAAAATATTTTGAGAACGATTTCTTTTTTTATGTTCGTCATTCAAATGGGAGAGAAGAAATCATACAAAAATCTTTGTTAATTGCCTTGTAGTAAATGAGAGCAAGAACAATGTCAACTCATGTTTTGGTCCGTCCAACCTCACTTCCACCCTGCAGAGTCCTCCCCTGACATGCAAGCTAGCCTAACTATTATGGAACAAAGCACAGAATCAAAGGGGATGAAAGTAAAGTATGTTTCTTTTGAACCTAAATAGGATTATAGAAGAGCTGCTATTTACCAAGGCTCCATTATGTATAAAATGTCCACATATTTTTCCTGCCGGTTGCCTTGGAACACAGCAGGGAATGTCTCTCCCAAGCAGAAGAACTGCTTCTAAACTGCTATGAAACCAAGAATGCACTAGAATATTAGCAGATTATCAGTTCAGGCTTTATAGTAATCTTCAAAATGCCCAGAATGCTATTAAGGATATCAGGTAATTCTAGGTTATTGTTTTATATGTTGGTATAAATTTTAATGAGCTATATCTCTGGGGAGAAGTGTCTAATCAACAAAGTATGGGCATTTTAATCAAGTTTTACTTTTTACTTGTCTGAGATTAGTAAAATTATTTGTAGAAAGGCCAACAGTCAGAAGATCAGAATGTAACCAATTGCACTACAACAGTTCCCCCATCTGTGCTGGGACTAGTTTTCTGCATCTGGTCTAGATTATCTCATCTTCCTTCCCAGGTCTAAAATCCAATGCATCTGTTACACAGCAGAAGAACTTTTTTGTGTGATAAAAACATAATTTATATAGTAAAACCTTCATTTTAGAATCAATAGGAAACTCTCAACAAGGGATTAACTACCAGAATATACAAGGAACTCCAACAACTCAATAGCAGAAAAGCAAACAATCTGATTAAAAATGGGCAAAAGACCAAAATAGACATTTCTCAAAAGAAGATATACAGATGGCCAAAAGGTATATGGAAAAATGTTCAACATTACTAATTGTGATGGTTAATATTGAGTGTCAACTTGATTGGATTGAAGGATGCAAAGTATTGTTCCCGGGTGAGTCTGTGAGGGTGTTACCAAAGGAGATTAACATTTGAGTCAGTGGACTCGGAGAGGCAGACCCACCTCAGTCTGGGTGGGCATCATCTAATCAGCTGCCAGTGCGGCTAGCATAAAAGCAGGGAGAGGAACATGGAAGAACTAGACTGGCTAAGTCTTCTGGCCTCCATCTTTCTCCTGTGCTAGATGCTTCCTGCCCTTGAACATCAGACTCCAAGTTCTTCAGCTTCTGGACTCTTGAACCTACACCAGTAGTTTGCTAGGGGCCCTCAGGTCTTCAGTCACAGACTGAAGGCTGCACTGTCAGCTTCTCTACTTTTTCAGTTTTGGGACTCAGACTGGCTTCCTTGCTCATCAGCTTGCAGACGGCCTATTGTGGGATTCACCTTGTGATTGTGTGAGTCAACACTCCTTAATAAACTCCTCTTCATATATACATCTATCCTATTAGTCCTGTCCCTGTAGATAACCCTGACTAATACACTAATCATCAGGGAAATGAAAATCCTTCAAACATCATCTCACCCCAGTTAAAATGGCTGTCATGAAAAATACATCAAAAATAATAAGTCCTGGTAAGGGATGCAGAGACAAAGGAATGCCTGTACACTATTGGTGAGAATCAACAGGGAATTCTTGAAACATTTTCCATCTTCAAGCATAAGAATAGCTTTTGGAGAAACTAGGCCTCTTCAATACCTGAACCTGGAATATAAAATTCTGAATATTGCCACTGTTGGAAACATAATGACCTGAGAAATACATAAAACCAGTTATGTAACATGTAAAATATATATTTTTATTTTATATTGTTTTGTTGTTCATGACCCCAAAAGTCATAAACTTTCATCAGCATCTAGGACAGTGCATGACACAAAGTAGATGCACAGTAAATAAGTGTTGAATGAATATAAATGGAAAATAAAACAGAAATCTGTGAGTCTCCTATTAAGAGGCCAACTGTTGGACCATCTGAATTGCCTGAGCTTCTTCAACCATTTAAAAAATTTTTGTATTCATTGTTAAGTATTTTTGTTTTATTTTGTTTTTATTCTGAAGCATAACACAGAAAATGCATACAGAATATAAACATACAGTTCATTAATTTGTAATCACACAATGAAAACATGGGTATCTGCCTTCTGGGTTAGGAAATAGAAAATTGCTACTACTTCAGAATTCTCCCTAGTATGCCACTAAGATATTGAATATCCTAAGCTTTATGATATTCACTTCCTTATTTTTCTTCATAGCTTTACCCCCAAGCATGCAACACAAAACACTATAGTTTAGTTGTGCCTGACTTTTGACATTTATGTAGTGAAATCATACAGTATGCATTGTCATCCACAATTAAGTTTGTGGGAGTCATCTATATTATACAGAGTAAAAGTTAATTTAATTGCTGTATAGCAGGGAATGTCAAACTTTTTCTTAAAGGGCCAGATAGAAAATAGTATAGGCTTTGTGAGCGAGAAGCAAAGTTGAAGCTATTATGTATATAACCATTTAAATAATAATTATCTAAAAATACATAAACCCTTCTTAGCCTATGGGCTATAAAAAACAGACAGCTAGCTAAATATAGTTCAAGGTCTACAGTTTGATAATCCATGCTGAATAATTTTGCATTATATAGATATATCACCATTTATGTATGCCTTTTACTTTTGATGACATTTGGGTTGTTTCCAGTGTAAGGCTTTTACAAATGATGCCACTATGAACACCTTCATATATGACTTTGGAGAACATAAGTACACGTTTCTGTTGTGCATATACCACATTTCTTGTAGTGACATTTCTTGGTACTAGGTTATCCATATATTTTGACTTTAGTAGATAATGTCAAACCATATTCTAAAGTTGTACCAATTTACATTACTAACATAGTCTATGAACTTTCATACCATACTTTTTTTTGTCTTTGGCCTTTCATATTCAGTCAAAACACTATTTTCTAAAGTTACTTAGATCTGCTCCTTTTATTCCTTATCCCCTTCATCAAGGTTAGGTCATATATATACAACACAGTAAAATTCATTTGTCACAGTCTGCATTTTATCCTGTAATCCCTAAAATCTTGGTTGATCTTTTTGAAGTTTGTATACAGTAAAGTTTACTCTGCATGAGTTTTAATACATACGTGGAGTCATGTATTCCCCACCACAGTGCCCTAGAGAAGAAGAGTTCCATTACCCTAAAGATTTCTCTGTCTGGCCTTTTGTAGTCAACCACTCTCCCCTTTCCCAATGCCTGGCAACCATTGATATGGTTTCCACCTATAGTTTTTTTTTTTCTTTTCCAGAATTTTATTTGAATGAAATCATGTAATATGTGGTCTTTGGGCTCTGAGCTCTTTCATCTTACAAAAGGCATTTAGTATTCATCCATACTGTTATATAAATCAATGGATTATTTATTTTTATTGTTGAATAACAGCAGTCCATTTGATGGATGTACCAGTTTTTTATCCACTCAACTGATGAAGGACATCTTAATTGTTTCCAGTTTTGGTAGATTAGGAATGAAGCTGCTATGAACTTTTGTTTATGAATTTTTGTGTGAACAGTTTACTTGGGTAAGTATCTAGAAATAAGATTTCTCCTTTTAAAACTTTGTAAGAAACTGCCAAACTATTTCCCAAAATGGTTTATCATTTTCTATCCCCACCAGTAATGAATGAGAGTTCTTGTTCTTGTTTTTCCACTCCCTTTCCAGCATTGAGAATTATCAATTTGTTTGATTTTGATAATTCTAATAAATGTGTAGTGGCATCTCATTGTTATTTTAATTTGTATTTCCCTAATGATAAGCAATATTCTTGGTTGCCATTCATATGTCTTCTTTGTGAAGTGCCTGTTCAGATATTTTGCACATTTTTAATTGAATTATTTTACTGAGTTTTAAACATTCTTTATATATTCAGGATGTAAGATTTATAGCAGGTATGTAATTTGAAAATATTTCTCCCTCGACTGTATTTTCAATCTTTAATAGTGCTTTTGCAAAGTAAAAATTTTAAATTTTGATAAAGTCTAATTTGCAATTTTTATCTCTTATAAGTGATACTTTTGGTCTTTCATCATAAAACTCATTGCCTATCCAAAAGTCATACAAGTTTCTTAGATAGGACTCAGATCCATGTGTCCTCATTATTGTGCAAATTGTGTGCTAGAGTGCCTACATTTGGGCTGTCCAGAGAAACACACTGTTAGGGTCTAACCCATCCAAGTCAGAGTTACCAACAACTCTAGAATTTTTAATTGAAAAAAATAATTTTCAACAGCTTTTGTCTTATAAATTACTAGACCTGATATTTTAGTTCTTAATGTAAGCACCTTTATCACTTTTTTAAGGCTTTTAGAGATAATCTACAGCAACTTAAATGAGGGCATTGATCATTTATGGGATAACTGGTAGAGCTATGCAGAACTCCACAGGTCTATTTTTTAAAACATTACTAATACTTCTTATTTCAGTTAATAAATTTAATAGTAGTGCCAAAAGTACTCCTTAGTACGTCCACACAGTAGAACCTACATTTATTAACTGCTTCATTTGATTAATTTTATCCTCAGAGAGACTTTCAAAGTTGTGAATTTGATTATTCATGATCAGTTTCTTGTGCATAAATCTCAACTTGGCTAGGTGCCATGGCTACCACCTGTAATCCCAGCACTTTGGGGGGCCAAGGTGAGCAGATCATGAGGTCAAGAGATCAAGACCACCCTAGCCAACATGTTGAGACCCCATCTCCTCTAAAAATACAAAAAATTAGCTGGGCACGCTGGCATGCACCTGTAGTCCCAGCTACTCAGGAGGCTGAGGCCGGAGGACCACTTGAACTCAAGAGGCAGAGGTTGCAGTGAGCCGAGATCGTGCTCCTACACTCCAGCCTGGTGACAGAGTGAGACTCCATCTAAAAAATATCTCAACTTAACCTTGAAGATGTACTTGTGAGAGGTGACAACGTGCTAGCAGCCCTCGCTTGCTCTCGGCGCCTCCTCGGCCTCAGCTTCCGCTCTGGCTGCACTTGAGGAGCCCTTCAGTCCACTGCTGCGCTGCGCTATGAGGGCCCCTCAGGGGCTGGCCGAGGCCGGAGCTGGCTCCCTCTGCTTCTGGGGAAGTGTGAAGAGGAGGCGTGGGTGGGAGCTGGGGTTGCATGTGGTGCTCACTGGCTAGCGCAGGTTCCAGGTGAGCACGGGCTCAGCAAGCCCCACACTCGGCGCAGCTGGTCAGTGCCTGCTGGGCTTGATCGGAGGCTGAATCCTGTGCGTGGACCACCATTCTTTCTTCGCGGGATTGTTGGCTAAGATAGCAGGTCTCCATCTCTTTCTCCCTTCCCCTCTTTTCCTATTGATTGTCTGGGACAAGCTCCCTCTGGGCTGCCAGAGTGCCAGGGCTAGGTGCTGCCAAGTCCTCTGGAGAGTGCCAGTGAGAGGTGAAGCCAGCTGGGCTTCTGGGATGGGTAGGGACTTGGAGAACTTTTCTGTCTAGCTAAAGGATGGTAAACACACCAATCAGCACTCTATGTCTAGCTAAAGGTTTGTAAATGCACCAGTCAGCACTCTGTGTCTAGCTAAAGGTTTGTAAATGCACCAATCAGTGCTCTGTGTCTAGTTAATCTGGTTGGGAACTTTTCAGTCTAGCTAAAAGATTGTAAATGAACCAATCAGCACTCTGTGTCTAGCTAAAGGTTTGTAAACGCACCAATCAGCATTCTGTCAAAACGGACCAATCAGTTCTCTGTAAAATGGACCAATCAGTTCTCTATAAAATGGACCAATCAGCAGGATGTGGGTGGGGTCAAATAAGGGAATAAAAGCAGGCCACGGGAGCCAGCAGAGGCAACCGGCTCAGATCCCCTTCCACACTGTGGAAGGTTTGTTCTTTCCCTCTTCTCAATAAATCTTGCTGTTGCTCACTCTTTGGGTCCACACTACCTTTATGAGCTGTAACACTCAGTGCAAAAGTCTGCAGCTTTGTTCCTGAAGCCAGTGAGACCACAAAACCACCGGGAGGAACAAACAACTCCGGACGTGCCACCTTTAAGAGCTGTAACACTCACTGGGAAGGTTTGTGGCTTCACTCCTGAAGTCAGTGAGACCATGAACCCACTGGAAGGAAGAAACTCTGGACACATCTGAACATCTGAAGGAACAAACTTCCGACACACCGTCTTTAAGAACTGTAACACTCACTGCAAGGGTCTGCAGCTTCATTCTTGAAGTCAGTGAGACCAAGAACCCGCCGATTCCGGACACACTTGGAAACATTATTGGGATACTATTCCATAGAGACTGGATTTGGAAATGAGAGCTGTCTTAGGTTTGGTGTGGAAGTTTGAGAGAATCTACAGCTATTTGTTTAACTATTAACATGTATCTGTTTTCTCCATTTAAGTGTTCTAGGTTGTGTATAGTTGTTTTTAACATGTAAACAGAGCCTTTTTTATAGTATGAGCTTTACAAATATTTATTACATTTTAGTTTTGACTTCAAGGTAATGTCAAGTGTATGATATATATTCCCAGAATTGTATTACAGATGGCTCTGATATGGATTTGAAGTACTCCATGGTGAAAAGAAGCAATACAGATGCTGCTTTTTATTCTTTTAGTCTCTGTGGAATCAAAGATGGCCCAAATCTGATCGTTTTCATGAATCGAAGCCTGATTTGGAAAATTTAAGTGAGTGGTATCTGAAAATAATAATCCATGTCGAAACATATAAATAGAAAAAATTACTATCCACATAGCATAATTGTAATCATTGATCAGCAAACCCATAATCTTATCAATGACTTGCTACCTTACTCACTAGATGACTAGATGTTGACCAAAATTTTAACTTAAGTGCATCATGCTCTTATATTAAGGCTTTGATGTATTTTTAAAATTAAATTAGCCAATGAGAGGTATTTTAAGCTGTTTTAAGCCATTGACATCTTACTGTGACTGAGATTACAAGTTTAGGTTTTGGTAGAGGAGAGAAAACCAAAAATATTTTGTATCTAAGTGATAGGAAATGGGCAAGAGAAGGATAAAGAATAGAGAGACAGAGCTCCAGGAAATCAAGCTTTACTCTATCCACAATTAATATTCGAAGTAGTCCTTTTGGGCTTTTGAAAATGATAAAAGTGGAACCTTTAGTTTCATTTGCTTCAAAAATAAAGAACATGAGTTCTTTATGTTCTATCTCCTACAGCTCTTCCAGCTTCCTGGGTGTTTATTAATTCATGGTTATACTATTGAGTAAGCAGCCTATGGCTTCAACTTTATAAGTAAATGCTACTATATATATATGTTTATTTTTCAAAGATGCCAAATTAATAATAGTTAAACAATTAATTTGAAATCAGTGACATAGTAGGTAATTGTAATGTGACACTTTTCAATAACACTGCATAAAAAGATTACAGGCAGATATATCAGGATACTAGAGTAATTATTCTTTTTGGTTTGTGGATACTATTTTCTTGTGTTTACTTTTATTGACTTGTAAAATTTACTACAAGAATCTTGACATTATTAATTCTATAGGAATATTCATTTAGGTTTAAAAATTCATTTAGGTTTAAAATTCATGTATTGAAAGTTTCTTATTCCAGTTTCTAAAGAGAATGTACATAACTGGCATATAAGTTGCCATTCATAGCCACACAATAACAGTGGGTAACTTCAATTCCCCACTGACAGCCTTGGACAGATCTTTGAGGCAGAAAACTAACAAAGAAATCCTGGACTTAAATTTATCACTTGACCAATTGGACCTAACATCTTCAGAATACTCCACACATAAACCACAGAATATACATTCTTCTCATTTGCACACAGAACATATGCCAAGATCAACCGTATACTCAGCCATAAAATAAGTCTTAATAAATAAAAAAAACCTGGAATTATACCAGCCATATTCTTGGATCAGTGGAACAGAAATAGAAATGAATACCAAGAAGATAGCTCAAAAAGCATACAATTACATGGAAATTAAACAACATAGATCTGCGTGACTTTTGGTAAACGTCAAAATTAAGGCAGAAATGAAAAAAAGATATTTGAAATAAATCAAAGCAGAGACAACATATCAAAATCTGGGATGCAGCAAAAGTAGTGTTAAGAGGAAAATTTGTAATGCTAAACACCTACCTCAGAAAGTTAGGAAGATCTCAGATTAATAATCTAGCCTGGAGGAATCAGAAAAACAGGAATAAACTAACCCCAAGGCTAGCAAAATAAAATAATAAACTTAAATCAGAGCAGAAAAAATGATCCATGCAAAGAATCCATTATACCAAAAGTTGGTTATTTGAAAGCATTAAAATGAGATTGATAGGCCACTAGCTAGATTAACAAAGAAAAAAAGAAAATCCAACTAAGCACAATCAGAAATGACAAAGATGACTGTGCTATTCTATTTTCGTGTTGCTGTAAAGAAATACCTGAGGCTGGGTAATTTTAAACAAAAGAGGTTTAATTGTCTCACAATTCTGTGAGCTATAAAGGAAGCATGGTGCTGGCCTCTGCTCAGCTTCTGATGGGACCTTAGGAAGCTTAAAATCATGGCATAAGGTGAAGGGTAAGCAGGTATATCACGTGGTAAGAGTGTGAGCAAGAGAAAGAAGAGGTAGGTCCCAGAATCCTTTAAGCAATCAGATCTTGCATGAACTAACTCAGTGAGAACTCACTCATCACCAACGGGATGGTTCTAAGCCATTCATGAGGGGCCTGCTGCCATATTCCAATACCTCCCACTAGGGCTCCACATTCAACATTGGAGGTCACATTTCAATATGAGATTTGAAGGAGATAGACATCTAAACAATATCAGTGACATTACAATGGATCCCACAGAAATATGAAAGAACGTCAGAGACTATTATGAACCACCTCTATGCACATTATCTAGAAAATCTTGAGAAAATTGATAAATTTTTGGAAAAACATAATCTCCCAAGATTGAATCAGGAAGAGAATGAAACCATGAACAGACAAATATCAAGTTCTGAAACTGAATCAATAATAAGAAATCTAACAATAAAAAAAAAGCCCTGGACCAGATGGACTTATAGCTAAATCCTACCAGGGGTACAAAGAAGACCTAGTACCAATTCTACTGAAACTATTCCAAAAAATTGAGGAGGAGGGACTCCTCCCTAATTCATTCTCTGAAGCCAGCATCACCCAGATACCAAAACCTGGCAAAGCTGCAACAACAGCAACAAGAAAAAAACTACAGGCCAATATCTCTGATGAACATAGACACAAAAAAATACTCAACAAAATACTAGTAAATTGAATCCAGCAGCAATAAAAAAGTTCATTCACCATGATCAAGTAAGCATTCCTTCATGGGATGCAAGCTTGGTTCAACATATGCAAATCAATGAATGTGATCCACCCCGTAAACAGAATTAAAAACAAAAACCATATGATCATCTCAATAGATGCAGAGAAAGCTTTCAATAAACTTCAACATCCCTTCATAATAAAAACCCTCAACAAACTATGCATTGAAGGAAAATACCTCAAAATAATAAGAGCCATCTATGACAAATCCACAGCTAACATCACACTGAACAGGCAAAAGCAGGACGCATTCTCCTTGAGAACTGGAACAAGACACGTATGCCCAGACTCACCACTCTTGTTCAATGCAGTACTGGAAGTCCTAGCCAGAGCAATCAGTCAAGAGAAAGAAATAAAAGTCATTTAAATAGAAAAAGAAGAAATCAAACTATGTCTCTTCCTTGATGATGTGATTCTATACCTAGAAAACCTTAAAGATTCTGCCAAAGTGTCTTGGAACTGATAAATAATTTCAATAAAGTTTCAGAATACAAAATCAATGTATAAAAATCAATGGCATTTCTATACATGTTTCAAATTGAGGGGCAAATCAAAAATTCAATTCCATTTACAATAGCCACAAAAAAATAAAATACCTGGGAATACATCTAACCAAGGAGGAAAAAATCTCCATAAGAGAACTATAAAACACTGATGAAAGAAATCATAGATGACACAAATAGGAAAACATCCCATGTCCATGGATTGGCCATATTGTCCAAAGTAGTCTACAGATTTAAGGCTAGTCTTATCAAACTACTGACATCATTTTTAACAGAATTAGGAAAAACTATTCCTAAATTTCATCTGGAACAAAAAAGAGCCTGAATAGCCAAAGCAATCCTAAGTTAAAAAAGAAAGCTGGAGGCCAGGTGCAGTGGTTCATGCCTGTAATCCCAGCCCTTTGGGAGGCCAAGGCGGGCAGATAATAATGTCAAGAGATTGAGACCAACCTGGCCAACATGGTGATACCCCATCTATCCTCAAAATACAAAAATTAGCTGGGTGTGGTGGTACATGCTTGCAGTCCCAGGTACTTGGGAGGCTGAGGCAGGAGAATCATTTGAACTTCGGAGGCAGAGGTTGCAGTGAGCCGAGATCATGCCACTGCACTCCAGCCTGGGCCACAGAGTGAGACTCTGTCTCAAGAAAAAAAAAGAAAGCTGGAGGCATCACATTACCAGGTATCAAACAATTCTGTAAGGCTACAGTAACCAAAAGAGCATGGTACTGGTATGAAAATAGACATGTAGATCAATGGAACAGAATAGAAAACTCAGAAATAAAGCCATACACTTACAACTATCTGATCTTTGACAAGAACAACAAAAATAAACAATGGGGAAAGGACTCTCTAGTCAATAAATGGTGCTTGAATAACTGGCTAACCATATGCAGAAGAATGAAACTGAACCCTTACTTTTCACCATATACAAAAATTAACTCAAGATAGATTAAAGATTTAAACGTGAGACCTCAAATTATAAAAGTCCTAGAAGAAAACCTCGGAAATACCCTTCTTGATATTGGCCTTGGCAAAGATTTTTTGACTAAGTCTTTAAAAGCAATTGCAACGAAAACAAAAATTGATAAGTCAGACCTAATAAAACTAAAGACCTTCTATATAGCAAAGGAAACTGTCAACAGGGTAAACAAACAACTTACAGAATGGGAGAAAATATTCACAAACTATGCATCTGATAAAGGTCTAATACCCAGAACCTACAAGGAACATAAACAAATCAACAAGCAAAAAACAAATAACCCCATTAAAAATGGGCAGCAGACATGAGCAGATGCCTCTCAAAAGGAGACATGAGTGGCCAACAAACATGTAAAAAAATGGTCATCCTTACCAATCACCAGAGAAATGCAAATCAAAACAACAGTGATACCAGTTAGAATGCTATTACTAAAATTCTTACAGCAGTCAGAATGACTAGTATTAAAAAGTCAAAAAACAACAGATGCTGGAAAGGCTGTGAAGAAACGGGAATGCTTTACACTGTTGGTGGGAATGTAAATTAGTTCAGCCACAGTGGAAAGCAGTCTGGAGATTTTTCAAAGGACTTAGAATGGCCATTTTACCCAGCTATCTCACTACTGGGTTTGTATCCAAAAGAAAACAAATTGTTCTACTAAAAAGATACATACACTCATATATTCATCACAGCACTATTCCCAATAGCAAAGACAAGAAATGAACCTAGGTGCCCATCAACAGTGAGTTGGACAAAGAATATGTGGCATATATGCGGAATGGAATACTATGCAACTATAAAAATCAATGTAATCATGTCCTTTGTGGCAATATAGATGCAGCTGGAGGCCATTATCCTGAGCAAATTAATTCAGGAACAGAAGACCAAAACTGCATATTCTCGCTAATAAGTAGGAACTAAACACTGCATACTCATGGACATAAAATTTGCAAGAGTAGACATTGGGGACTACTGGAGGGTAGACAGAGGAGAGCTGGGTTGAAAAACTACCTATTGAGTACTATGCTCACTATCTAGGTGATGGGGTCATTCATACTCTAAACCATCTCAGCATCACACGATATACTCATGTGACAAACCTACATATGTACCCCCTAAATCTAAAATGAAATTTGAAATTATATGAAAAATAAATTGCCATTCATCTTTTTACTGAAGCTTCTGAAGTACAAAGATATTCCTAGAATATGACGTCATATAGGCATTAATTTCCATGTTATGAATTCACCAGTAAAATTGTTTAAACAGAGAAGTAAACAAGACGGTAATGTTATTCAGGTAAAAGTAGAGAGGGAAAAGAAATATTGGAACCAGTTCAGCAACCAAAATGGTGCCAGAGCCCAAGCATGAGTTATTAAAGGCTGGTGGTTCCTCTCTCCTGACCCATTACCATTCTTATCTCTGATGCTCCAGGCTGTCAGTTTCTTTCTTTTTTGACCATATACAGGTAAGGAAAGCCCATTTATGAGCTATTTTATTTCCAAGTTTTAAAAATGTCAATTGATATAGGCTATGATCTACAGTAATGCTTAATCTATTGAAGTTTTTGCATCAAATTCCATCTTAAGATGCAAGCCTGAAGCCCATTTAATGCCAAATGTAAATACAAGTGCTAGTTTCAAAGGGCAAGATTCAAAGAAAGACAAACAGAAGAAAAGTATTTTAATTGCTATCTAAAAGAAGGCTGTGTTCTTGGGTGAATACTTTGTTGATGTATTTGGGGTAGAAACAGAGGGAGAAATAATTATGTAATGTTAAGCTGTTTTCTAAAATTCCAGGGCTCCTTAACTGCAAAAACCTTTTGTTTTTCTTTAAGGAAATGAGTACATTTAGGTAAGAACCAGAGACAAGATTGAGAGACTGAGTGGAGCAAAATATAGAGAGAGCTGAGACCAGTTGGAGCTGGAAGGGATGTCAGTAATAGGGAATTTATTCAGTATCACTGCTTGTGGAGATATATAAATTCCTCTTCCCCATATTTCCATGAAGTCTCCATAAAAATTCTATTGAAATCTGTATGAGTTTGCTAGGACTACCATAACAGTGCCACAAACTGAGTGGCCGAAGTAATAGAATGAATCTCAGTTATGGAAGTCTGAGATCAATGTGTTGGCAGAACCACATTCTCTTTGAAGATACCAGGAAAGGATCTATTCCAGTCCTCTCTCCTTGGCTTGTGGCAGCATAATTCTAATCTTCACATGACATTCTCCTTACATACCTGTCTGGTTTTGTGTTCAAATTTTCCCCTTTTTATAAGGACAGCAGTCATATTGGATTAGGGCCTTTGCTAATTATTGCATTTTAATTTGATTGCTTATGTGAAGAGCTGATCTCTAAATAAAGTCTGGAAACTTTGGAGTTTGAGATTCAAAATACCTTTTTAGGGGGATACAATGTAACCTATTGTTGAGGGAATCAGGAGGATCAGAAAGACCATGGGGTAAATATAGAAGGATTTATTGAGTGCACTCAGACCAAGCAGATTAACATCTGAAAACTGGGCAAAGAACAAAGACAACACTTGACTTTTTATACACACTTCTAAAAGGGGATGGGCTAGCCTGAAACAAGCTTACAGTGGCATGAAGCATACTGGTGTGAAAGCAAGGATACAGAGGCAGAACAAAGGCAGTTAATCAAATTGTGACAGGTGCAAAACCCAGAATTACATATGACCCTTACTATGCAGCCCAGATGGCTGTTACCTAGGCTTGCTCAAAAAAGCCTTTCACAGGCTTATCTCATAACCTTTGCTATGGTGCCCAGATGGCTGCAGCCGAGGCCTGCTCAGGCATGTCTTATAATTTTCACTGTACTTCTCAGATAAAACAGAATACTTGAAGCTACTAGTTACAGAAAACATGAATCTATAAATTCAAAAAACTTACAGAGCAAGGTACAATCACATGGAAGCAGGTGGGATTTGAGGGGGAACTTTACTTATTCTTATGTTCAGGGAGTGCTGGGAGAGTCTCCAGAGGACATTCCTTTGAGCCTCAGCTCCTTTGATAATGTTATCAAGACTACACCTGGGTCTGGGCTTTGCCTACTACTGCCTTTGGGATGAGTCAGCCTAATATAGAAAGCTTGTTTTTCTCTTTTTTAATTTTGTTTTTCTTCTTTCTCTAATTTCTGCCTCATTATAACAATCTGCCCTCTGTGCCCCACCCCAAATTCAAGTCTTTCCTATGTGCAAAATATATTCATCCCAAAAAAAATCTTAATCATTCCAGCATTGACTCTCTTGGGCCAAAAGTCTCATCAAGACTTCATCATCTCAACATCTCAAATCTCATTATCTAAACAATTGAAATCAATTGTGGTATGATTCTGGGAAAAAAACTTGAAATCATCTGTTTCCAAAATACAGTGGAACAGGTATAGAATACATATGTCTATTCCAAAAGGGAAAAATAGAAAAAAGAGACACAGAGAGAGAAAGAGAGAGAGAGAGAAAGAGAGAGAGAGAGAGATTATGGTGTCCCAAGAAAATTCCAAACCTAGCAATCTAATCAAATTTCATTAGATTCTAAGGCTAGGGAATAATTCTCTTTGGCTTGATGCTCTGTCCTCTAGGCCCACCAGGGTGACAGCACCATCCTGAGGATCAGTTTTTGCTTTTCTTGAAAGATAACACAAATTCATATTCAGGTAGCTTTATTTATTTATTTATTTGAGACGGAGTCTCACTCTGTTGCCCAAGCTGGAGTGCAGTGGCGCGATCTTGGCTCACTGCAAGCTCCGCCTCCTGGGTTCACAGCATTCTCCTGCCTCAGCCCCCCAAGTAGCTGGGACTACAGGCACCCGCCACGACGCCTGGCTAATTTTTTGTATTTTTAGTAGAGACAGGGTTTCAACGTGTTAGGATGGTCCCGATCTCCTGACCTCATGATCCACCCATCTCGGCCTCCCAAAGTGCTGGGATCACAAGTGTAAGCCACTGCACCTGGCCTCAGATAGCTTTATAAAGCCATTTCTTTCCTGTAGAATCCCTGAAGGGCAAAACCCTTCTTTCATTTCAGCCTCTCCCTGCTTCCTTCAGTGCAAACTGGTGGTATTTCTCTTAAGATTGTTGACTACAAACACAAGTAACATACCTAATCTCTTTAAAGCAGGGTTGCCCAACCACAAGTTTGAAGTTCTCTCTAGAGCATGTTTTCTCATTTTTTTTGCAATATGAATAGGCAGAGAACTGTACAAATCTTCCAGTTCTAGTTTATTTCTGCTTAACATTTATTTCTTCAATTATCTCTCTTCTCTCACAGTTTATCATAAGCAGAAAGGAGAAATCAGGTGATGCCTTCAACACTTCACTTAGAAACCTCCTCTAAATATGAAAGTTCATCACTTACAAGTTTATTTTCCACAAAACAGTGGAACAAAATTCAGCCAGGTTCTGTACTACTTAATGATAAGGATTGCCTTCTTTTCCAGTTTTCAATAACATGTTTCCAATTTCCACCTGATACTTTATTAGAAGCACTTTTAATATTCATATTTCTAGTAACAGGCTCCTAGGGCACACTCTGCTTTTTCTATTATGCACCTTGAAACTCTTCTAGACTCTACCCATCCCTCATTTCCAAAGCTGCTTTAACATTTTGAGGTATACTCTATAGCAACACTCCACTTCCTATTACCAAAATTTGTATTAGAGTTTTCTAGAGAAACAGAACAAATATATCAACTATATAATATACATATTACATCTCATATAGTGATAGAGAAAGAAGAGAGAGAGAAAGAGATTTATTCTATGAAATTAGTTTACATAATTGTAGGGACTGATAAGTCCAAAACTTATATGGCAAACTAGCAAGAAAGGAAATTCAGGTAAGATTTGATGTTGCATGCAGTCTTGAGATTGAAATTTGCAAAGCAGGCCAGATGGGCTGGAAACTCAGGCAGTTTTTATATTGTAGTCTTAAAACCAAAATACTTTTTCTCTGGGAAAACTGAGTATTTGTTCTTAAGGCCCTTCACTGATTGGATGAGGTCTACTCACATTAGAAAGAATAATCTGCTTTATTTGAAGCCTACTGATTAAAGTTATTAATTTCTGATGAGATTAAAAACTTAGGTAGAATATACCTCCACAGCCACATCTATACTAGAGTTTGAGAAAACATCTGGGCACCACAGCCTAGCCAAGTTAATATTTTATATTAACCAGCACAAACTCCAATGTTCGGAACAGGCCACCCAAAATCTGGCCATAAACTGGCCCCAAAACTGGCCATAAACAAAATCTCTGCAGCACTGTGATATGTTCATGATGGCCATAATGCCCACACTGGAAGGTTGTGGGTTTACTGGAATGAGGGCAAGGAACACGTGGCGCACCCCAGGTGGAAAACCGCTTAAAGGTGTTCTTAAGCCACAAACAATAGCATGAGCGATCTGTGCTTTAAAGACATGCTCCTGCTGCAGATAACTAGCCCAACCCATCCCTTTATTTTGGCCCATCCCTTGGTTTCCCATAAGGGATACTTTTAGTTAATCTAATATCTATAGAAACAATGCTAATGACTGGCTTGCTGTTAATAATACGTGGGTAAATCTCTGTTCAAGGCTTTCAGCTCTGAAGACTGTGAGACCCCTGATTTCCCACTTCACACCTCTATATTTCTGTGTGTGTCTTTAATTCCTCTAGCTCTGCTGGGTTAGGGTCTCTCCAACCAAGCTGGTCTCTGAAAGTGGAACCCATACGTCAGGGCTCGAATCCAGGTTGAAGAGTCGCTGGAGCAACAGTTGGAGAACGTGGAACTAAGCTGGAGGACAACTGAGTACTATTTTTTTTTTTTTTTGGAGAGGGAGTCTCACTCTGTCACCCAGGCTGGAGTGCAGTGGTGCGACCTTGGCACACTGCAAGTTCCACCTACTGTGTTCACGTCATTCTCCTGCCTCAGCCTCCCACATAGCTGGGACTACAGGCACCCACCACCACACCTGGCTAACTTTGTGTATTTTTAGTAGAGATGGGTTTTCACCGTGTTAGCCAGGACGGTCTCGATCTCCTGACCTTGTGATCCACCTGCCTCGGCCTCCCAAAGTGCTGGGATTACAGGCATGAGCCACTGCACCCAGCCGGACCTGAGTACTCTTAAAGCAATTCCCGTGGTGAGTAAGAAGGGGAGCTCAGAAGCATCAGGGTAATAATGGGACAAGTATGGGCTCTGGTTCGTTCCACTTTGGAACTTTTTCACACTAATGATGAGGAGGAAGGAGAGTATAATGAAGTAACAGAAGAGGTTACAGAGCAGGTTTGTTTGCCAGCTAAAGCTAAAGTGGCAAAGGAGGGAGAGGTTAATCCCTACCATTCTGCACCCTCTCATTATTATTTTGAAGAAAAAGAGTGGTCTGACCCTCCAGATCTTTCTTTTCCAGAGGACACTGGGTGAAAAGTAGTTGCCCCAGTGACTGTTCAAGCAGCACCTTGAGCAACCACTCTTAATTCTATTCAGGCAAGAATTCAGCAAGCTAGACATGAGGGTGATTCAGAGGCTTGGCAGTTCTCTTTTAGAATACACCCCCCAGACCAACAGGGAAATATTATAGCTACATTTGAGCCTTTTCCTTTTCAATTACTCAAAGAATTTAAACAAGCTATTCATACTAAAAAAGAATGTAGAAATTATCAGTGAGTCAGGCCACCAGATAGGGGGAAAAAATAAAACTGCTGAATCTGAAATATGTCTAAAATGTAAAAAAGGAAAACTTTGGGCTAATCAGTGTCACTCTAAGTTTGATAAAGATGGGAACCTGATTTCAGGAAATGCCATGAGGGGCTTGTCCCAGGCCCCATTCCAAACCACGGCATTTCCAGCTTAGGCCATTCCCTCACCCCTGTATGATGTCTGTACCCCACCACAGCCGGTAGTGCCGTAGTAGATTTATGCTGCACAAACCTGTGAGCCTTTTGCCTGGGGAACCCCCACAAAAGGTCCCAAAAGGAGTCTGTGGACCCTTGCCAGTGGGGATGATAGGATTACTTTTAGGAAGGTCTAGTTTAAATTTAAAAGGGGTACAAATACATATAGGAGTCATTGATTCAGATTATAATGGGGAAATTCAAATTCCCTGGAAAAAAAATCCTTCTGTTCCCTGGAAAGCAGAGCCAGGAGAGCGCATAGCACAGCTCCTGAATGTGCCATACGTAGGAATGGAAAAAAGTGAAATTAAATAAACAGGAGGATTTGGAAGCACAAGTAAGCAAAAGCAGCTTATTGGGTAAATCAAATTACTGATAAACGTCCTACCTGTGAAATAACTATTCAGGGAAAGAAATTTAAAGGTTTGGTAGATACAGGAGTGGACACTTCAATCATTTCTCTACAGCACTGGCCATCCATGTGGCCAATTCAACCTGCTCAATTTAACATAGTTGGAGTTGGTAAAGCCCCTGAAGTATATCAAAGTAGCTATATTTTGCACTGTGAAGGGCCTGATGGACAACTTGGGACTATTCAACCAATTATAACTTCTGTACCTATAAATTTATGTGGAAGAGATTTATTGCAACAATGGGGAGCACAAGTTCTAATTCCAGAACAATTATATAGCCCTCAGAATCAACATATGATGCATGAAATGGGGTATGTCCCTGGTATGGGAGTAGAAAAAAAATTGCAAGATTTGAAAGAACTGCTTCAAGTGGAAAGACAAAGTTCCCACCAAAAAATTAGGATATCATTTTTGATGGTGGCCATTGTTAAGCCTCCAGAACCTATACTTTTAAAATGGTTAACAGATAAGCCAATTTGGATACAGTAATGGCCGCTAAGTAAAGAGAAACTGGAGGCATTAGAGGAATTAGTTACTGAACAATTAGAAAATGGGCACATAGCTCCAACATTTTCCCCTTGGAATTCTCCAGTTTCTGTAATTAAGAAAAAATCAGGTAAACAGAGAATGTTAACTGACTTAAGAGCCATCAGTCCAGTTATACGACCTACGGGAGCATTACAGCCAGGATTGCCTTCTCCTGCTATAATAGCAAAAAAAATGGCCTTTAATAATGATAGATTTAAAAGACTGTTTCTTTACTATCCCTTTAGCTGAGCAAGACTGTGAATGGTTTGCATTTACAATTCCTGCAAACAACCTGCGGCCTGCTAAGCATTTTTATTGTTTTACAGATGGGTCCAGTAATGGTAAAGCTTCTTTTTCTGGCTCAAAAAGTAAAGTTTTCCAGATTCCCTCTACTTCAGCTCAAAAAGCGGAGGTTGTAGCTGTAATTGAGGTATTGACTGCTTTTAATATGCCTATTAATGTGATTTCTGATTCTTCATACATGGTTCTTTCCACACAGTTAATTAAAAATGCTCAGTTACTATTTCATACAGATAAACAACTGATGACAAAAACAAAAAAGGGAGAGAAATAGGGATTATGGGACAGCCCATACACAATTGAATCTAGCATTATTAACTTTAAATTTTTTGAGCCTGCCCAGCTGAATAGCATCTACAGAAACCAGCTGCAAAGACAGAAGCAGAACAATTGGTTTGGTGGAGAGATCCTATAACAAAAATTTGGGAAATAGGTAAAATAATAACTTGGGGTAGAGGTTATGCGTGTGTTTCTCCAGGACTGAATCAACAGCTGATTTGGATACCATCAAGACACCTTAAACCTTATCATGAGCCAGATGCTGAGGAAGAGATTCTGGTAGGATCCCGAGGACCCCTTGGTTGCATCCCTGTCAAGACTGATGCTGAGGAGGACCCCGACTGTCACAAGCAACACCCATTGAACACAGCCACCCACCTGGGGACAGATCAAGAAGCTGTCACAGGTGGCAGAAGAAAACCTGAGGAGAGCAGGACAGCCAGTCACAATGAGTAATTTAATGGTAGCTATGATAGCAGTGATCACCACTGCCATGAGTATTCCTTCAATAAGGGCTGACACAGAGAACAACTGTACTTATTGGGCATATTTATCCAATGGTGATTGTGCTTTTAATCTGTGTTGTTTGTCTTTGTATAGTCTGCAGATGTGGATCCTGACTCCTGTGAGAAGTAGCTCACCATGACAAAGCTGCCCTTGCTTTCATCACTTTGCAAATCAAAGAAGGGGGACATGTTGGGAACAGGCCCCCCCCAATCTGGCCTTAAACTAGCCCCAAAACTGGCCATAAACAAAATCTCTGCAGCACTGTGACATGTTCATTGGGGCCATAACATCCATCCTGGAAGGTGGTAGGTTTACTGGAATGAGGGCAAGGAACACCTGGCCCACCCAGGGTGGAAAACCGCTTAAAGGCATTCTTAAACCACAAACAATAGCATGAGCAATCTGTGCCTTAAGGACATGGCCCTGCTGCAGATAACTAGCCCAACCCATCCCTCTATTTTGGCCCATCCCTTAGCTTCCCATAAGGGATACTTTTAGCTAATCTAATATCTATAGAAACAAAACTAATGACTGGCTTGCTGTTAATAAACATGAGGGTAAATCTCTGTTCGAGACTCTCAGCTTTGAAGGTTGTGAGACCCCTGATTTCCCACTTCACACCTTTATATTTCTGTGTGTGTGTCTTTTATTCCTCTAGCGCTGCTGGGTTAGGGTCTCCCTGACCGAGCTGGTCTCGGCACTCCAATAGTACCACATAGTTGAAATTGATTTTGTAATAAAATACAGGCTCAATCCTACTATAAAATGAGTATAGGATGAGAACAGAAACTTCCCAGGGAAATGAGAACCTCTAAATCACCCACTTGTAAGTTGCGGGACTTCAGAAAAGTTACTCAACTTCCATGTTCTTTTCTTTTTAATTAGAGAAAAAAAAGGAAATATTGCTATCCGTTATAGGGTTGTTGTGAAGATTAAAGTGGGTAATACATCTAAACTTCAAGGTACATAGCATTACTCAAAAGATGTTGATTCTATTCCTGTTTCCTTTAGTTTTAGACTCTGGAAATGAAATAACATAAGCTTTGAAGTGAAATACTATAAGGATACCTACTCTCTCTCATATTGATTATGTTTAAAAATATGGTGATCCAATAGCTCCCCTAAAGTTATTAGCAAGAAACTATATAGATCAGTAATGAAATATTCAGTAGGGCACAAATGTGCTTATGGATTCTGAATATGTGCTTGCTGAATTTTATTTATGAGTCTGGTTAATCATCAAAAGGATAGAATTAAAAATTCATGAGTAAAGCAGCTGAATAATCTTAGAGAGTTGCATTATTTTAATCTTTGTGTAAAATGTGCATTAGATATTAATGTTAGGTACTTATGATGATTTGCTGCTTATTAATTGAATGGACAAACCTTTAGCTTGGCATATGGGAAGGCCCAGATATTTAGATTATGGTAGTGTTGTTTAGAATCACTGTGTATCAGGAAACATTTGAAATAAAGGCTCTGGAAGTACAGTTTAACAAATCAAATATGAAGTAATGGCAAATATCATGCTCAGAGCTTTGTAAGCATCATAAATTTTGGAAATTCCTTATCATCAGGTTTCTGGGAATGATTTTGCACAATAGATTTCTCCCATATATAGAATTGTTTCTGTCTTAAAACTGAATTTCTTTTTGGATGGACATTCTAGTTAAATGCCCAGAGGGTACTATAAAGTGGAGTGCTCATAAATATGTAGACTCTTGGGATCTTTATAAATTAGAACATATTTGTAGAAAAACAAGTGAAAATTCAATAAAAGTGTTGACATGCTGCCAAATAAATCAGTGAAAAATAGTCATCACATACCCAAAACTCAAAAATAATCACTATCATTCAAATCAACCATGATAAACAAAGATAAATAAGTGGAGAAAAGCTGAACCAGAATTTCTGAAAACAATACTTCTGAGTCCTTCATACCAGAAATAGCATTTTCATGAACAAGCTATGGAATTTATCTGAAATTTTCAAATAGGGCTCTTTCAATGAGCATTTCAGAAATGGCTTTCTCTAGGGTTACACTTAGGCTAGTTGACAATTTTGCCTAAGGAATGAACTAAAGGCTGCAGGTTAAGCTCAGGTGTCCACACTTTAGAACACTGTTTTTGCTGCTTCTTACATTCAGTTTCTTAGACTTGAAATCCAAGAGTCATCCTGGTTCTTCTCCTTCCCTTCTGCTCATACGGTATATCCAATTCATCAGCAAATCCTGTCACTCTGCCTTCAACATCTATCTCAAATTAAACTCCTTTTCACCATTTTCACTCTGTCACTCTCTTCCCGTGATTTATGGCAATTGCTTTCCAATTGGTCTTGCAATTTCTAATCTTAACCCTTCACTCTCTCTTCTCCATACAGCAGACAATTGTAGTTTAGAAATCAAACCAAGTTTCCCTCTGGCACAAAATCTTCCTATGGTTTTCTGTTATACTTAAAATAAAAATTTAAAATTCTTAACATGGCTTAAAAAGGTCTACTTGATCTGGCCCTCTTCCTTCATCCCATGCTTTCCCAATTGAACTCACTCCACTCCAGCCCCTTCAGGATTAATTCTATCCCTTAAAGAAGCGAAACTTATCTTATTAAACTTACTCTTCCGTCTGTCTGGATGCTCTATTTAGGTTTTCACATAGGTTTCTCCTTTAAGTCAGTGAATTTTGCCCTTGCTTTCCCCCTTTCCATCCCTTAACCTACTTCATTTTTTTACGGCATTTACCATTATATGAAATTGTACTGTTTGTTTATTGTTTAGTTGTTTATTGTCTGTCTTCCTCAATAGAAAATGAGCTCCCAATAAAGTGGTAAGTGTTTTACGCTTTCATTCACTGATACATCCCAGCTCCTGAAGAATCTGGTAATACTTACTGAACAAATGAAAGAAGAATGAATGAATTTCTGTAGAAATCCTAGGTGAAAGTAATGGATCATTGGTCCAGAGAATAATTATGATGAAATCAGTTCAAGAATCAAAACATGTTCAAGAAGTACAGAATTGAAATAAAAAATAGTAGGTAGAAATACTCTAATATGAACTGCCAGAGCATGCCAAGACTCTTTCCTAAAGAGGCTATTTATAGTGACAAAAATTGAAATAAGAGTAGCATTGATCACTCTTTTATTATAACTAGTTGTGAGAATTTTGCTTAAAAATTATGTTTCAACATAATGGAAAGTGTGTATGTATAAGTGTGTTCATTTAATTTGCTTAGAAAATATCAGCCATAGATATGAAGGTGGGTCTTATCAACTCAGGATCTGGGACTAGTCATTCAGACCTTTCTTCTCTGGAATTTATATGTAATTTGAGAAATGGAAGCTTTCTTTTACATTCTTCCTAACTTGGATAATGGAAACTTGGAGCTGTTCATTGCTCTTTCCCTCTGCTTGCATAATTGTACAAACGAAAATTGAAGCCAACTTATGAAGAAGTAAAGATGAGACAAGGTGGGAGAGGGAAGAGGAGGGGAACCAGATGCCATCATTTGAGTACTGGTATCTAGATCTGTCCTGAGGCCAGCTCCACCTCTGTCCTCCCTAAGTCAATGAGGCAATTAATTCTATTTTTTAAAAAACTAATTTGTGTTGATTTTCTGTCACTTGTGACAAAAAGTCCTGAGTAATTCATTTAGAAAAGAATCATGCTCTTGATTGGATGCTTCAAATATTCTTCTGATATTTAGACAATATATGTTGATGGATATTATATTAGAATTAGACATTTTATGATGATAGAGTTCTTTAGAGTATATCTGTTCTAGGGTAGTTAATGCTTTATGTAAATGTAATCTTACTCAAAGCCCCAAATATAAAGCAAATAAAAATGCTGATGTTGTGTTTTGTGAGCGTTTCCAGATTCCTCCAGACAGAGGGATTGGAAGGGCTCTATGGAACTGCAGGACTCCATGGGGGCATTGACTATCTCCTTAGTTTGAGAATAAACAAATTGTAAATGTCAAGTTAGAGGAATTAAATAACTTTCCCCTGGCATATAACTAGCTGATTTACTCACTGGCCATGGGAAAAAAAAATGGGTAAAGAGAGTAAATTCTAATCTAATTTTCTAACCCTTAATTCAGAGTAATTTCTTAACACAGGACTGAGAATTTCTTAAATTTTCAATATAAAGCTCAAAGTCTTTATCTAGTACACAAGCCTTTTGAAGCTCTAACTGGGCTTTCTTCCCTACCACATACATTCACCAAATTACTACAGATCTGTGAAAACATGGCTCTTTGTGTTTCCTTGTATTTACAGGTTTTTTTTTTTGCCTCTGCTTACCATGTTCTACTGGATTTTGTACATTTTCTGCCTCCAACAGTGCCTGGAATGCAGTAGATATTCAACAGATGTCGGCCTAAAAGAATGAATGGATTTCCTGTCTTCTGCAGGTTTCTGTGATCTAGAGAAATCAGAGATATCAGAGACTGTATTATGAATTAGCATATTATACATACACAATGTATTGCTCATTTAGAAAAATAAATGCTTAAAGAGAGTTGTTTCCTTTTTGGATTGTATAAAGAAGAAAACATTGGGATTATGAAACAGAATCTACTTTCATTTAACACATATTTTTTGGTCTTCCTACTACAGGATTCCTGAGAACCCCAAAGTCTTAATTGCTACATCCATAAAAAAAGAAGTAACCTCACTTTTCAGTCTTCTATATTTGCCATCATTCCAACAGATAGTGTCCTGGGTGATTCTGTTTTATAATATCAAGCCAAATTATGAACTTATAACTTGTTTTAGCTTAAATGTACTGTCTATTAAAGAAAATTCAGACATATCAATTACTTTTTCAGCTTGAATAATTATTTTCAGTATAATTAGATAAAAATTCATTATTTTAAATTAACTTTTGATGAAACAAATGTTAAAGAATGGCTATGTGCTTTCTTGAGAGTTGAACATATTAAGAAAAACAAAAATAGATTTATTTTTATGATAGTTTATATAACCATGTAGATCTTTTACATTTTTAATAAACTTTTTCTTCTTTTTTTATTTTTATTTTTTTCAGACAGAGCTTCACTCTCTCACCCAGGCTGGAGTGCAGTGGCAGCATCTCGGCTCACTGCAAGCTCTGTCTCTCAGGTTCATGCCATTCTCCTACCTCAGCCTCCCCAGTAGCTGGGACTACAGGCGCACGCCTGGCTAATCTTTTGTATTTTTAGTAGAGACGGCATTTCACTATGTTAGCCAGGATGGTCTCGATATCCTGACCTCGTGATCCGCCCACCTCAGCCTCCCAAAGTGCTGGGATTACAGGTGTGAGCCACCGTGCCCGGCCGAACTTTTTCTTTTTTTAATGGGAGAATTTTATTTACCAGGAATGGCATATTTTCTGAGTTGAGCATGATGGTTTTTCAGCTTTGATGTATATGTTAAGACTCTCACAAGGGATTTATATAAATGTTTATCATTGGGTCCAGCTCTCATATAGAGCCTAGAAATATTTTTTTCCAAGTCTAACAAGTGACTCTGATATGGCTGATTTAAGGACCCCAAATATTAGAGTGCACAAAGCTAAAATATTCCCTGGTAACATGAAAACAAAACAAAGCAAAGAAACAAAGAAACCAAGTAGTGAAATTATAGAGAAAACTCATTATTCTCTTTAGAAAGAACCATCAGAATTCTATGGAGTTCAAGTAATTAGTGAAAAGAGTAGTAGGATTGCAAGTAAAATGAAAAATAGTCCATCTTATAAATTACTGGTCATACATTGTGAGGAGAAGAGCCTACTTAGAGAAACCTCTGCGTGGGCTTTTAAGTTAGAAAATCTTGGCTTTAAGTTTAATATTATCATGCAATAGTTGTGCCCTTACTAAACCCCTGAGGCTGAAATTTCTCATATACAAAAATCAAAATAATGATACTGATATGTACTCACAGGATTAATGTCAAGCAGGAGTTAACAGAAGTGGAAGCAATGACTTTTCCCTTTTCCAGACACTTTGAAATGGTTCAATTCACTTATTTCTTCAGGAAAATATAATTGGAGGACTAATTTAATATTCTCTGAAAGTCAGACATTGAAAGCACTGATCCAATGCCTGGAAAATATTAAATTTTGAAACAATCATGCAAATTTATACTTTATCACTTTTTTAAAAATCTTTAATTACTGAAGTCATTGATGAATACATGCTTTTTGCAAACTTGTCAAAGTCGTTCATGTTCCATCCTCCAACATTTCTTCTCTCTCTATAGCTAAACATTGTGGGGATTTTCCCAGATCATTTTCTGTCATTGTTATGATTTTATAATTAGTCTGCTAAATCCAAATATTAGAATGTATTTCTCTAATTGGAATTGTTTTGGCTTCAATGATATCTGACAAAAGCTTAACAATATTTGATTATTATCTCACAAAGTGGGTCCAGAGACAGGGCAGGAACTCCGAGGTAAGCCCAAGACCTGATATCAGTATGGGTACTTTTTCCTCCATTTTTTCACATTCCCATCCTCACCTTGACAGAAACACCTCAACTTGTCTGTGGTTACAACATGGCTGCAGCTCGTTCAGGCATCAGGTCCTCACGTAACAATATACAGTGGTGAGAACTGCAGTTTTCCTAACATATGACCTTTTAAACATTTTTCTCAGAATTCCTCAGAAGAGTTCCCCTATTGTCTCATTGGCCAGGGTTGCAATTCATGCCATGCCTAAACAAGTTATGTATAAGAAGAATAGAATTTTTATAATTGGGTTAGACAACTGACCTTCACCCTCATATTCCCAGCAAGTATGAGAGGGTAAACATATGAATAAATCAAAGGCTCTGCAGAAAGAAACCTTCAATATCTACCAGAAGCTACAAATTATATGAAAACTGTGCTCCATAATGGCAACAAATTAATGATAGGAAAAATATATGAATGTTTCTAGTCATCCTTCAAATCTCACCTCACCTTCTGCTTCCTCCAGCAAGCATTTCCTTGACTTCTCAAAGTGGGTCACTGGCCTGCTTGACATCATCAGAAGACTCATGGGCTTTCAGAGCTAGTTGGAACAAATGTTGCTATGGGATTATTTCATTCATGTATGACTTACTGACTAAACTGTAAGATCAATGGTAGAAGAAACTAGGGTTATTTCACTCACCTTTATAGCTTTCATGCTTAGGACAGTGTCTGGCACACAATACATGAATAAAGATTTTATGTAGAATAAACAGCAGGGGAAAATTAGGATGGCTTTTACTGTTGCTGAAATAATCCAATAAAAGAAGGGAATGGAAATATGGCATAGAAAGTTTTAGATGTAAAATCAAGCAAATTTTCAAAGGTGACATAGGCAAAATTTGCTTGGACATTAAGAATTTAAATATGCAATCTCTGGAGCAGGAGATAGTGTTTTAAATTTCTTAGGCTTGTTCTTGAAAAGCTTAGGAGGCAGACACTGGCTTTCCAATATAAATATTTCAACAGTTAAAAGCTCCCTCACTTGGCCTTAATCAATAACGGCTCTGTATGTGTATGTACAAGTGGGAGACACACTCTCAAATAGAATTTTACTTTAAACTAGGGAAAATATAAGGGAAATTCAAAGTTAAAAAACAAAACACACTAATAGGAAAGCAATGAAGTTGGAAATGAGATATGAGAGAGAGAAAAAGAGAGAGGGTGAGAGAGATTTAGAGGAAGGACTTCTGTGTTATTTTTTTTAAAGATTCTGAAGAGAGTGGATTGTTCAGAACTGGTACACTCTCTCTGTCTGGTTTTAGAAGGGGTCTCTGAACTATCTTGCACTATGACTAACTCCCTGCTCTTAGCCCTCCTGGTGTGTGAGATTGATAGCAGGGATACAGAATAATGGGAAACCAAGAGCAGGGCAGCCCTATCAACCTTTCTAGATAGGAGTTTCTGAAACATAGCAGCCTTGAAAGGTTGTGATGTATGAATTGAACTTCTTGGAATCTTCCTCCCACAAGAAAAATCTATGAGCCTTTCTAGCTAAAGAATGATAAAATCCTCATAGCCAGTGTTCTGAAACTTTGTTTCAGTCCACAGGATGTGACTTTTGCTTCCTGTTACTTCTTGTGGTCTGTATATGTGTGTGTAGCTGAGTGTATCTATTTGTGTTCTTTTGTAGATGACAAACTAGCAGTCTTTTCTAGTAGGTTGTCCTTAGAAATATATGTATATCCCTTAAATTATTTAAAAGGTAAACCCTGTGACACAGTGAAATGAGTAAAGCAAACAGCATTAGTAACAAAGCAAGCATTATTTCAACAACGCTTACTGCCATGGTTTCCAAAGTCATCAATATATTTTGAAATAATAAGTGGGCACTTCCAGGGAATTAATAGTGAAGTTTCCTATTTAGCTTAGGACAGTTAACCATATAAAGGCCAAATTACTTCTAAAGAAAAATAAATATGAGATGCATTTGTAATAATAAGCAATATTCTCTGCCTTTGCTGAATCTGATCTTGTTTTAGTTCTTCAATAAGTTTTGAATTTGTTAACTACTCAACCTTATTATATAAAAATAGAGTGCTTTTTGACTAAGGGCAGCAGTTTTGACTCTCATCTAGTTGGTAAAAGAGTGTCATGGTCAGAGGAAATTGGGCTCTCAAAACTGACAGAAGATCATTCCAAATGCTGATGGACATCTATCTTAAAATTGCTGTTTCACATGGATTCGGCACAGTTGCAACACTTCGTAAAAAAATACTCTTGACTTCTTAAGAAACTTCTTTTTTACCATATGGGAAGTGTTTTCTTTAGAAATGAGGATGACAGAGGGCTCTCTCATCATTTTTTCTCATATTTCTAGTTCCTAGACAGTGTTACTTGTTTATTTGCTGTTAAGTATATGTGACCAATAGTTGAAGCCATTGATAATTAACCCAGAACATTCTGAATATGAAGCAACCTGAAATTGTGGCTGATGCTGATATTGATTCAAATCAGTGAACAATTTTTATAATTTTTCTGATTTTTTTCATTTTTATGTTAGACAAAAAATATCAACTACTAATATATAATAAGAGAGAATATTTAAAAATTGTAGCACAAGATCCAGATCCTTGGTCTTAACATTGAGTTTATTTAAAAATATGTATGATGTGCATTATTCTAATTTATATGTAACAATATTTCAATTAAAAAATTAAACATCCCATCAAATTTGAAAAGCAAAGGCTATGTAAATGATAAAACTGATGCAAATATTTGTTGTATTTCTGTTTCGATCAAATTGACACAATCATGCAAATTTCATCCAAATTAGATTTCAGTCCTTTAAAGAGAGTAATTCAGTTGAAATTAATCTGCTCATTCTTTGCTCTTTTTCTTTTTTTTTTTTTTTTTTTGAGACTGAGTCTCGCTCTGTCACCCAGGCTGGAGTGCAGTGGCGCTATCTTGGCTCACTGCAAGCTCCACCCCTGGGTTCACGTCATTCTCCTGCCTCAGCCTCCCAAGTAGCTGGGACTACAGGCACCCACTACCATGCTCAGCTAATTTTGTTTTTGTATTTTTAGTAGAGACAGGGTTTCACCATGTTAGCCAGGATGGTCTTGATCTACTGACCTTGTGATGCCCCTGCCTCAGCCTCCCAAAGTGCTGGGATTACAGGTGTGAACCACCACACCAGGCCTCAAATTTCTATAAAAATAAAATTTATAAAGACAGCATAAAGAGAACAATTTAGAAAGAAGTTCTAAAAACTTAACAATAAAACAATTGAAAGAACATTAACATTATCAGAATAAAAGTTTACAAAGGGGTTTCTCAGTTGGTTCCTGCTGGTGGGTTTGTGGTCTCACTGACTTCAAGAATGAAGCTGTGGACCTTTGAGGTAAGTGTTACAGCTCTTAAAGGTGGTATGGACCCAAACACTGAGCAGTAGCAAGGTTTATTGTGAAGGGCGAAAGAACAAAGCTTCCACAGTGTGAAAGGGGACCTGAGCAGGTTACTGCTGTTGGCTGGGGTGGCCAGCTTTTATTCCCTTATTTGTCCCTTCCCATGTTCTGTTTCTGTTGTATCACAGTGCCCTTTTTTCAGTCCTCCCCACTATTGGCCACTTTTAGGATCCTGCTGATTGGTGCATTTTACAGAGTGCTGATTGGTGCGATTTACAGAGCACTGATTGGCGCATTTTACAGAGCACTGATTGGTGCACTTTACAATCCTCTTGCTAGCTGCAGAGCACTGACTGGTGAATTTTACTATCCCCTTGCTAGCTACAGAGCATTGATTGGTGCGTTTTGCAGTCCTAGCTACAGAGTGCTGATTGGTGTGTTTTACAATCCTCTTGTAAGACAGAAAAGTTCTTCAAGTCTCCACTCGACCCAGGAAGTCCAGCTGGCTTCACCTCTCAATACTTTAAATGCAAGACTACTTCAGTATTTTGTCTGAATTGTATTTTTTTTATTTATTCCTCTTCCTTGAATGCACAGTCCAATCAGTTCTATTTAAGTACTTAAAATAAATTTGTTAGTAGGTAAAGAAATAGAGGACACCAAAGCAATTAAGAAAACAAATCAGGCTGGGTGTGGTGGCTCATCCCTGGAATCCCAGCACTTTGGGAGGCTGAGGCAGGTAGATCCCGAGGTCAGGAGTTCAAGAGCAGCCTGGTCAAGATGGTGAAACCCCGTCTCTACTAAAAATACAAAGAAATTAGCTGGGCGTGGTGGTGGGAGCTTGTCATCCCAGCTACTTGGAAGGCTGTGGCAGAAAATTGCTTGAACCTGGGAGGCAAAGGTTGCAGTCAGCCGAGATCTCCCCACTGCACTCCAGTCTGGGTGACAGAGTGAGACTCCACCTCAAAAAAAAATAAATGAAAAAATAAAGCAATTCAAGCCCAAACTGATGTCTAAAGAAGTGAAGTGGCCAAACAATGTATGTAAACAGAAAAATATTCTTTTTTCTTAAAGTCCTGAAAAATCTATTTAAAAATTATATATTAAATAAGAAACACTGAAGCACATTGAATTAAGTGTAGAGCAACATTTAAAAGTATTATTTTTAGCATGATGAATGAAGGTGCTGTGTTATCCTGATACTATAGGGTATCTCCAAATTTCTATTCAGCAATTAACAGTCAATAGCAGGAGTAGGCAAGCTACAACTTGTGGCTCTGCCACCTGTTTTTATAAATAAAGTCTTATTGTAACACACCCATAACCACTCATCTGTGTATTGTTCAGGCTACTTTCACACTACAAGAGGAGAGTTGATTAGTTGTGATAGAGATCCACAGAGCTGAAAATATGTACTATCTAATGCTTTGCAGGAAAAAAAAAATAGTTTTCAAACCCTAGTCTACACCAATCAAAATAAATTTAAGCTATTTTAAATGACATGATTGAAGCAATTTTACTAATAAAAAAGGCAAAGATAACTTATAACTTACAGAAGTCTGAGATGAGCAATAGCATATGATGAGGCTTATCTCTCTCAAATTGTTGGCTTCATAGAAAAATTAGTTTTTCTGCAAGAGTACAATGATTATGACACATTACCTATTTGGATTTAGAAGGGAAAAGAATGCATTCTAAAAATATGTCTATTTGTTAAGATAAGCTAATTGCTACAGGAAATAACTAAAATTTGAGTGATATCACATTATTATCATTACTATTCCCTTTTCACTCTTGTAACAATCTGTAAAAGCAGTCAATTGTTATTGTTAGTAAAATAGTCTAGTTTTACAATCCAGTTGAACAATACTGTGGTAATTGTTCAAGTTCATGGATTGAAATAACATCAAGTTTATTTATAGAACTGATTTTTCTTATAACATTAAAGTCATAATAGCTTACATATATACTATATATATAGTATATATATAAAATAAAATTTAATACTTGGTTGTCACAAAAAATTAAAAGTGAATATTCTTTAAATATTCTAACAAATTGTTAAGAAATATAAATATTTCATTATAAAGCTGAGCAAAAGATATAAAGTTATTAGTAACCTCCATAGTCTAGAAAACAGTGCTGTTTGAACGAAATATGATGGAAGCCACATAGGTAATTTAAAATTTTCTAAGAGCCACATTAAAATAGTAAAATCAAAAAAGAGGTGAATTCATTTTAATAATATATTTATTTAGCCTGTTGTATCCATAATACTATTTCAACATGTAATCAATAGAAAATTATTAATATGTTTTACTTTTTTTCACAACAAGTCTTCAAATTCTGGAGTTTATTTTATGCTTTGAGCATGAAACTAGCCATATTTTGAGGACTCAGTGGCCACATGTTGCTGTGGCTACCATAGTGCACAGCACATTCCTAGATTATTGACTCTCAAACTTCAGGGAGTCTAAAAGTCAACTGGGAGAAATTGTTAAAAAAATAGAGTCTAGCTCCTCAGCTGGGCACGGTGGCTCACGCCTGTAATCCCAGCACTTTGGGAGGCCAAGGCAGGTGGATCACAAGGTCAGGAGAATAGAGACCATCCTGACTAACACAGTGAAACTCCATCTCTACTAAAAGTACAAAAAAAATTAGCTGGACGTGATGGTGAGTGCCTGTAGTCCCAGCTACTCAGGAGGCTGAGGCAGGAGAATGGTGTGAACCTGGGAGGCAGAGCTTGCAGTGAGCCGAGATGGTGCCACAGCACTCCAGCCTGGGCGACAGTGCGAGACTCCATCTCAAAAAAAAAAAAAAAGAAAAAGAAAAGAAATTCTGGCTCCTCAATTAAAGAGTCTGATTCAGTAGGTCAGGGTGAGGCCCAGGAATCTACATTTTAACAAATAGTCTCATGAGTTTTATGTAGGAGATCAGGAGACTACACTTGATAAAAGGCTACTATAGAAATCTCTACTGTCTCTTCTAACACTAATTACACTAATTTTATAGTTTCTAGAATTTTCAGAACCTTCATTTCTAACAATTTCAGCATATAGTGTTTATAATAATACATTATTCTATAGAAAATTTGTTTAGAGGAACATATTGGATTTTAAATCATTGAGGATTTTGAACAAGGCTGCAGGGCAAGTTAGAGATGACTGGGACCATCTTTGTTCCAGTTCACACTCTTCCCCACTGATTGAAGGAACAGATGGAGGAGAAGCAACTTCAGTGTCACTGAAAAAAATACTTTATTGCCAGATATGAAGAAACTCCTTCATTTTAATAAACAGAGAAATTGGGATTTCAGAAAGCAAATCTATATGTAGTAGATCTCAGCTTTAATATTCTGATATTCTAAATCATTAGCAATGTATGGTTTATATTTGCTGTTTTATTACCTTTTTCTATCGTGAATTTCCCTTCAATCCTCAACCTCATATGCTTTCCTATCAACTTTACCAGATGTCTCATTCTATCTGATACTGTACTTGTCTGCAATACAAATGACTACTATTTAGAGAGTCCAATATCTTTGTATATACAAATTATTCAGATATATTTTTGTGTGTGTATATATATATGGTTTTTAACATTTAGAAATGTCGAATCTCTCAAAATGTTGCATGTATATTAGCAGCAGCTTCTGCTTTACAAATAAATGATGTTTTTTCATTATTTTCCAATTTAACAGGATTTATTCCATTCACTCATTACGTCAGTGAATTATTTTCTTCTAATATCAAGAAGACCAATAACTTCTTAGAATGTGCATCCCTTCTGTAAGAGAACAAGGGTAAGAGAATAATACATCTTCCTTCAAGGGTGCTTGCTTTCTTCGTTGAAAATCAAAACCAATCCTCTCCACGTTCAGTCATAGTCTAATATGTGTTTCCAAGCTATTTTCTTTTCAAAGATTTGTACTTTTAAGTGAGGTATGATATGTTTTAAGCTTTATCAAAAGAGATGTTGGGATATACCTACTGTGGAGTCAATCTATGCTGTTCAAGATATTTTGTAAAGTTTTTTGATTACTTTGGGAGAAAAAATGATCTCTATTTCATTTATCTCCTCAAATTACTTACAGAGTGAATGCTTGCTTTGGAATGCTGACTCCAACAGTTTATTAGATCTAATTTTTGAATGCAAATTGAGCATATTCTAGATGCAAAAAGGTGCCATACATTTTACTAAGAATGCAATGAACTGTAAGACTTGATCTCTATCTCCAAGATTATTTGAGCTGTGTTTATACACATTTTACCTTTTAGATCATATATTGTAAAATAGATATTATTATTATTCCAATCTTATAGACTGAGCATCTAAACCCAGTGTAACACACCTCCCAAGTGTTAAAACTGGGTTCTAAACCTCATATTTCAATGATACTTCTAGAACTCTTTCTACTACATCCGGTAATAATATTAAAAACAAAATGTATATAATTTCAGTGAACATTATTGAAAGTTTTGTGATACTTATCTTAATTCCTCCCATTATGTGGCAAATATAATATCCCAGATGGTTTTGTAAAATTAGAGAAATCTTGTTTGAACAGCAGTGTTGAGAAAATGAGACTGCTAAAAATTTTAGAGAACCAAACTCCTCATTATTTTTCTTTGAAGGTACATGATAAATTACCTATCCTTAAATTCTCATGTAGTCATTTTATATACCAGAAAGATATTTAATATTATATTGTTATGCCATCGCACACTGAACAGTTGAAAATTGGTGTAATTTAGTTCATGTAGGAAGCTGTTAAGACCCTTAAAGTAAAAACCTTTTAAACTGAAAATCTTTCCTGGACTATTAAAAGTATCAATTGTTTTATAGTCTGACAAATCGCAGTTCAACTATAGTTAATAACATGCTTTTAATAAAGAAAAGACATAAAGTACTGTACTTTCCTACCTTTTCATGTTAACAGGAAACAATTTTCCAGTTTCTTTCAGTCTCCAACTGCCAAGAAAAAAAAAGATTTGAAACAAATTCTCAAAACCGACAATACTACACTACAATTGGATTGCTGGAAATACATTACAGAGACAGATTTTACATGCTATAAATTTTTCAAACATTGATGGTGAGTAATTAACCTTTACTGGAATGTGTATGTATGCTGTACTCTTACGCAGCTAAAATTTCTTTAGTCCCTTTTCATTACATAGTTACTCTAGGACTGGAGATGAATAAATTAATAAAGATTGCTATTTAAAAATAATGCCTAGGGGGTTGACAGTGGGAGGTAAAGTCAAGATTAAGATGAGCACTGGCATAAATATTACTCTTTTTTCTATTTTTCTCCAACTTCATTGCAGCCCTTTCTCTCTGCACTCTGGACATAAAATCTTTAAACTTCACTCTTTTTCTCTGCTAAGAAACTTCCCATCCCCTTGTTTTTCCTACTGACAGCTGATTTGTCACATCTCTAAGGGGTAATTCCTAATCTCTTCGACCAATCAATTCTCTGAGATATATTTTTTCCAGAGTCATATATCTCTGCTTAGGAGTATTTATCAATAGTTTAATTATCTTTTTAGCTGTGTGATTGCAGGCATACTTCATTTAATTGCACATCACTTTATTAAGCATCACAGATATAGCATTTTTTACAAATTGAAGGTTTAGGCAACCCTGCATCTAACAAGTCTATCAGCACCATTTGTTCAACAGCATGTCTCACTTCATGTCTCTGTGTCACATTTTCTAATTCTTGCAACTTCTCAAATTGATTATTATTATATCTATTATGGTGACCTGTGATCAGTGATCTTTGATGTTACTACTGTAATTGTTTTGGGGTCTTCGTAAAAACTTGAGTGGTCTTGATAGAAGATCAAACCAGCCACTATATTCCCTTAAACTGAAGCCTAATCCAGAGCAAGGCCCCCAACTGTCTTTAATTCTATGAGGGCTGAGAGAGGTGAGGAAGTTACAGAAGAACAGTTATAAGCTAGCAGAGGCTGATTCATGAGGTTTAAGGAAAGAAACCATTTCCATAACACAAAAGTATATGGTGGACAGCAAGTGTTGATACAGAAGCTGCAGCAAGTTATCCAGAAGATCTAGCTAAGGTTCATTGATGAATTTGGCTACACTAAACAATAGATTTTCAATGTAAAGAAGGCAGCCTCATATTGGAAGAAGATGTCATGTAGGACTTTCATAGCTAGAGAGATGAACTCAATGCTTGGCTTCAAATCTTCAAAAGACACGCTGATTTTCTTGTTTGGGAATAATGCAGCTGGTGACTTTACCTTAAAGCCAATGTTCATTTACCATTCTGGAAATCCTAGGCCCCTTAAGAATTATGCAAAATCTACTCTGTATATGCTCTATAAATAGAACAACAAAATCTGGATGACAGCACATCTGTTCACAGCATGGTTTACTGAATATTTTAAGTCCACTGTTGAAACCTACTGCTTAGAAGACAGATTCTTTTCAAAATAATACTGCTCATTGACAATGTATTTAGTCATCCAAGAGCTCTTTTGGAGATGTACAAGGAGATTAATGTTGTTTCCATGCTAGCACAACATCTATTCTGTAGCCCAAGGATCAAGGAGTAATTTCAACTTTCAGGTTTTATTATTTAAGAAATAAATTTCATAAAGCTATAGCTGCCATAGATAGTGATTTCTCTGATGAGTCTGGGCAAAGTCAAATGAAAATCTCTGAAAAGGAAAAGCTGTTCTAGATGCCATTATGAACATATGTGAATCATGGGAGGGGGTTAAAATGTCAATATTAATAGGAGTTTGGAAGAAGTTGATTCCAACCTTCATGGATGACTTTGAGGGGTTCAAAACTTCAGTAGAGGAAGAAACTCCAGATGTGATAGAAATAGCAAGATAACTAAAATTAGAAGCGGATCATGAAGATGTAACTGAATTGTTTCAATCTTAGGATAAAACTTGAGCAGATGGAGAGTTGTTTCTTAAGGATAAGCAAAGAAAGTGGTTCCTTGAGATGAAAACTACTTCTGGTGAGGATGCTGTGAACATTGTTCATATGGCAGCAAAGAATTTAGAATATTCCAAAAACTTAGTTGATAAAGCAGAGGCAGAGTTTGAGAGGATTGACTCCAGTTTTGAAAGACATTCTACTGTGGATAAAATTCTATCACACAGCATTGCATGCTACAGAAAAATATTTCATGAAAGGAAAAATAAATAGATATGACAAGCTTCATTGTTATCTTAAGTACCTGCCACAGTCATCCCAACCTTGAACAGCCACCACCCTGATCAGTCAGCAGCCATCAACATCAAGGCAAGATTCTCCATTGTCAAAAAGATTAGGACTTGCTGAAGGTTCACATAATCATTAGCATTTTTTAGCAATAAAGTATTTTTATTTAAAGTATGTAGATTGCTGTTTAGACATAATAATACTGCATACTTAATAGACTGCAGTATAGTGTAAACACAACTTTTATATGCACTGTGAAACCAACAAATTCATGAGACTCACTTTATTGCAATATTCACTTTATTATGACAGTATGGGACAAAATTTTCAGCATCACTGAGCTATGTCTGTATTTAATTTGCTTCTATTTTCTGTATGGCATAAGTCACATAAGAGCATGGTTGGTGTTTATGTGGTTAGACAGTGTTTGGCATTGTTTATTGAATTTGCTAACAAATATCTGCCTAGGTTAAGATAGGGAGAAGTGAAGCCAGCTGGGCTTCTGGGTCTGGTGGGGACTTGGAGAACTTTTCTGTCTAGCTAGAGGATTGTAAATGCACCAATCAGCATTCTGTAAAAATAGACCAATCAGCATTCTGTAAAAACGGACTAATTAGCACTCTGTAAAATGGACGAGTCAGCACTCTGTAAAATGGACCAATCAGCAGGACATGGGTGGGGCCAAATAAGGGAATAAAGGCTGGCTACCCCAGCCAGCAGCAGCAACCTGCTTGGGTCTCCTTCCGTTGGTGTGGAAGCCGTGTTCTTTCGCTCTTCATAATAAATCTTGCTGCTGCTTACTCTTTGGGTCCACAGCGACTTTAAGAGTGGCTTTATTCCTGAAGTCAGCGAGAACACGAACCCACTGGCAGGAGCAAACAACTCCGGACGTGGCACCTTTAAGAGCTGTAACACTCACTGCGAGGACCGTGGCTTCATTCTTGAAGTCAATGAGACCAAGAACCCACCAGAAGGAAGAAACTCCGGACACATCTGAAGGAACCAACTCTGGACACAATAGTACCTACATTCTTATCTCCCCATTGAGCTCCTCTGCTTTTTCTTCAGTTGTTTATTTATGGGTTAGTTTTGTCACAGCCAAAGCAGTCTTTGCACTGGATTCATGCTTCTAGTTCCACTTGATTTTTTAAAAATATTTAATTAAAAGGATCTAGTTCTATGTTTTTGTGTTTAATTACGTTAGTGATAAAAACATTGTGAGCTTAATGAATAAAAAAAATTCAATTGGAATATTTCATAGTATTTTATTACTAAAGTTATCATTTAGGCCAGGCGCGGTGGCTCATGCCTGTAATCCCAAAACTGTGGGAGGCCAAGGTGGGGTGGATCACCTGAGATCAGGAGTTCGAGACCAGCCTGGCCAACATGATGAAACCATCTCTACTAAAAATACAAAAAATTAGCCAGGCATGGTGGCGGGCACCTGTAATCCCAGCTACTTGGGAGGCTGAGGCAGGGGAATCACTTGAACCTGGGAGGCGGAGGTTGCAGTGAGCTGAGATCACACCATTGCACTCCAGCCTAGGTGACAAGAGAGAAACTCTGTTTCAAAAAAAAAAGTTATCATTAAATGCTCAACTCACAAAAATGATGTTGAAAGTAATAAAAAAAAAAACTTAAATCCCCAAACCAGTAAAATAATAACACATGGAAATTTGCCAAAGCAGATGACACTCTATAAACTTCCCATGATTTGAACTTCCCACAAATTTTGTAGGGGTTACCTCTGGGACCCCCTATTCAAAATTCACAGTTTATAATTTTATGTATTTTTATATATTTTGTTTTTTCATAGTATCTCTTAAACATACAGTTTGTTTTGTAGCTTTTTAAAATTGATGTCAACAATTTTATATTGTATTTTTTAGCACCTGGTTTTTTTCACTCAACATTATAGTTATAGGTTCATCCATATTTTATGTTGCTTTAGTTAATTGTTTTTACTGTTGTAGGATGATATTTAAGCTATTTCAAATTTTTTAACGTTTAATACAATTCTTCCCATAAATATAACTTAAATGTCTTTGTAAATATTTATCTGAGAGCTTCTCTAAACAATATACCTATGTGTGGAATGGCTAGGTCACAATTTTTATACGTGTTTGACTGTACTAGTTATCCCATATTATTCTCAAAGCTGATTGTACCAACTTACTGCCCTAACACTAGTTTAGTAGATGTATTGTTTTACATCCTGATCAAATTTTTTATTGTTCTATTATATCATTCTATTTTTATCATATTATCAAATTTTAAATCATTCTAATATAAAGACGCATGCATGTGTAGGTTCATTGCAGCACTATTTACAATAACAAAGACATGGAATCAATTTGAATGCCTGTTAATGATAGACTGGATAAAGAAAATATGGTACATATAGGGCATGGTGGTGCACACCTGTAATCCCAGCTACTCAGGAGGCTGAGGCAGAAGAATAGCTTGAACCCAAGAGGCAAAGGTTGCACTGATCCAAGGTCGTGCCACTGCACTCCATCCTGGGTGACAGAGAGAGACTCCATCTTCAAAAAAAAAAAAAGAAAGAAAGAAAATGTGGTATGTATATACCATGGAAAACTATGCCACCATAATAAATAACCAGCTCATGTCCTTTGCAGAAACATAGTTGGAGCTGGAGGCCATTATCTTTAGCAAACTAATTCAGGAACAGAATTGATAAATTGACCTGTTTATTACTTTCTGATAACCTTTTTGTCTCTTGTGGCAATTTTAAGTTGAAGAACATTAGTAAAACTTACTGCTGCCTATTTTTTTCTCTGTTACACTAATCACCTGTATCCTGCATGTTCTCTCTTTTAAATGGGAGCTACAAGATGAGAACACATGGACACATAGAGAGGCACAACACACACTGGGGCCTACCTGAGAGTGGAGGGTGGGAGGAAGGAGAGGAGCAGGAAAAATAACTAATGGATACTAGGCTTAATATCTGGATGATGAAATAATCTGTACAGCAAACCCCCATGACACACTTTTACCTATGTAACAAACCTGCACATACTCCACATGTACCTCTGAACTTAAAACAAAAATTAAAAAAAGAAACACATTTTTAAATAGCATCATACTAGCACCATGGACAACAAAGTGCATAAATCTTACTAAAAGTTGACTGATAAATGCACCTTTTGGAAGACTATATACAGCATTATGCAAATTCCTTTTTGAAAGCTAGGAAATAGTAATCTCAAAATTAGACTGCAGTATAGTGTAAACATAACTTTTATATGTACTGTGAAACCAAGAAATTCATGTGACTCACTTTATTGCAATATTCACTTTATTGTGATGGTATGGGACAAAACTTTCACATCACTGAGCTATGCTTGTATTTATTTTGCTTCTATTTTCTCTATGGCATAAGTCACATAAGAGCATGGTTGGTGTTTATCTGGTTAGACCCAGAGCTAGACACAGAGCGCTGAGTGGTGCATTTACAATCCTCTAGCTAGACAGAAAAGTTCTCCAAGTCCCCACCAGACCCAGAAGCCCAGCTGGCTTCACCTCTCACTATCTTAACCTAGCCAGGAAAGTGGTTCTCTCTCTGGGAAGCAGGATACAGGTGATTAGTGTAAGAGAGAAAAAAATAGGCAGCAGTGAGTTTTATTAATGTTCTTCAACTTAAAACTGCCACAAGAGACAATAAGGTTATTAGACAGTAATAAATGGGTCAATTTATCAAGAGGTCTAGCAATTGTAAATATATGTGCACCCAACATTGGAACTCCTAAATTAAAACATGAAAACAGAATTGAATCAACATAGCAGTATAGAAGTAGTGGAAGACTTTAACAACTCACTTTCAACAATGGATAGATCATTCATACAGACAATCGATAAAGAAGAAACAGACTTGAACAACAGTATAGACCAAGTGAATCTCAGACATATATAGAACATTCCATCCAACTGTAGCAGCATGAATATTCTTCTCAAGAGCACACAAAACATTTTCCAGGAAAGATCACACATTAGACCACAAAATCAGTCTTAAAAATTTAAGAAGATTGAAGTTATATCAACTGTATTTTCTGACCACAATGGTATGAAACTAAAACACAATAACAGGAAAAAAAAAAAAAGGAAAAATTCACAAATATGTGAAAATTAAGCAACACTCTCCTGAACAACCAATAGGTTGAAGAAGTCAAAGGGATATAAAAATAATCTAAGGACAAACAAACAACCTAAATGTCTATTGATAGATGAATATATTAGAAAACATGGTATATACATATACAGATATGTATATACACATACATATACATACATGATGGAATATTATCCAGCTTTAGAAAATAATAAAATTATGCCATTTGCAAAAACACTGATGGACCTTGGGAACATTATGCTAAGTGAAGTAAATCAGATACAGAACAACAAATACTGCATAATCTCACTCGTTTGTAGAATCTAAAATAGTCAAATTCATAGAAGCAGAGTAGAATGATGGTTAACGGTGGCTGAGGGGAGTTGAAAATGGGGGAGGTGACGATCAAAGGGTACAGAGTTTCAGTTATGTAAGGTAAATAAGTTCTGAATATCTAATGTACTTGATGGTGACTATAATTGGTAATAGTGTATTGAATACTAACAGAACAGATCTTAAATGTCTTCACTACTCACATAAAATGGTAATTATGTAGGGTGATGATATGTTAATTAGTTTGGTAGTAGTAATCCTTTCACCATGCATATATATATTAAATCATCAAGTTTTAAACCTTAAATATATATAAGTAAAAAAAATTACCAAAGAGCAGAAGACAGATATATTTCTATAAAGGCCTTCCTGGCTGGGCGCGGATTACACCCGTAATCCCAGCACTTTGGGAGGCCAAGGTGGGCAGATCACGAGGTCAGGAGATCGAGACCATCCTGGCTAACACAGTGAAGCCCCATCTCTACTAAAAATACAAAAAAATTACCCGGGCATGGTGGCAGGCTCCTGTAATCCCAGCTACTCGGGAGGCTGAGGCAGGAGAATGGCGTGAACTCGGGAGGAGGAGCTTGCAGTAAGCTGAGATCAGCCACTGCACACCAGCCTGGGCGACAGAGTGAGACTCCATCTCAAAAAAGAGACGTTCCTGAATAGAAGGCATTAGAGTAGAAACTTAAAGAAAATAAGGAGTTGAGCAATGTCAATATGTGGAAGAAGAGTAATTTAGCTAAGAGTAAAATAGAGGGCAATAGCCTCTCTGCACTTTGTGTGTTTGAGGAAGAGCAAGCGAGTACATGAAGCAAAGTGAGAAAAAGAAGGTAATAATTTTGGTCAGAAACATACAGAGAGACCAGGTTATGAAGCAACATGTATGATGGGGTAAGACTTTTGGCTTCCCTTGGAGTGAAGCAGGAAGCCATTAGAAGGTTTTGAGCAGAGACCTGTTATGACTTGAGTTTTACAGAGGCATTCTGGCTGATGTGTTAAGAATAAATTACAGCTAGCAAAAGAGATAGGTTCCCATTTGATTACTTGATTTATATTTTCATCATAGTGTTTTTGATAAAAAGATGTTTCCAATTTTAATCATTTTTATTCCCACAAGTGCAAATAAATATTCTTAAAATAGATTTTGATACTTTGTACAGCATTACATTTACCCTTCCTTATTCTTTTTCAATATTCTATTGACTGTTATTGACCCTTTGCTCTCCAATATAAATCAGTATCAAGTACTTCAAATAACCATGCTCAGATTTTTGTTGAAGTTACATTGTATTTGTAGATTAATTTGGAGATAATTGATAGTCCCACAATATTGAGTGTATTTGTAAACATTGTCTATGTCTCCAGTTACTAAGTTCTTTTGAGTTTTAGATTTTTGTTGAACACAGATACTAGGCTTTTGATGCCGCTTTCATTGGGAAAAACTCATGAGCTTGGAGCCATGCTAGGATTGTAGGCCCTCCATTGAATCCTGCTCTGCACCAGAAGATAGGATATAATTGTGCCAGATATGGAAGGGGAACCTTGGACTTTGACTGAGATGGTTAAGTTTGCTTGACTAGGGAAGCCATTCTCCTCATGTGATTCAGGTTTTTCTCCAGTGACATGACATGAGAAACCTGACATTCACCCTGTTCTGTTGTTTAAGCATTCATGGTTGGTAGAGCATCACTCTCTTCCCTGATGAGATCAGGGAACTGGGGTCTATACTTTTAATTTTCCCCTGTGTGGAGGACAAGTGATCTGATCTCTAATGTCTATCCTCTATCAAAGTAATTGCCTGAAGAAGTTAGTGTAGTTGGTTTTTCATACAGTTTTACAGGAGCCTCCCCAGAGCATCAGTTTTGGACAAATTAACCCTTCTCAATTTTCTACATTGTGGCCATATAAATAATTTGTCATATTGACTCCCAGGTAATATTTGTTTTTCTCATTACTGTAATTGGCATTTAAAAACATATCCAGTAACTTGGTTAAACTTTAGTTAATACTGATAATTTGTCTATATACTCTTTTGGGATTTGTCATGTGCTGAATTTTGTCCCCAAAAAATTTATATGTGGAAGTCCTAAACCCAGTACTTCCAAATGTGATGGTATTTGGAGATAAAATCTTTAAAGTGTTAAGTAAAACTGAAGTCATTAGGGTGAGTACTAATCTAATATAACTTTGAATTAGTGCCCATGTACAAAGAGGAGAATAGGATGAAGACACAGGCAGAAGGAAGATCATGTGATGACTCAGAGAGAAGATAGCCACGGACAAGACAAGGAAAGAAGCCTCGGAAGAAAACAATCCCACTGACTTCATGATTTCAGGCATCATGGCTCCAAAACTGTGAGAAAATAAGTTTCTGTTGTTTAAGCCCCGAAGTCTGTGGTAATTTGTTAAAGTAGTCCTAGAAAACTAATACAGATTTCACATTGAATTGTGCTCCTGAGGTTTGGAAAATTCACAACCTGGTTAGCTGTATGTGGTAGTCTAGACAATCATATCATATGGAAAACACAACAACAAAAAACCCTTATTTTTTCTATATTATTATAATGCTTTTTATTTTTACTGGAATATTTAGAACTTCCAGTATAATTCTGAAAATAATCAGTGAGTGAGCATTGATGGAAAGCATCTTAAGTTTTCACCACTATGAGTGATGATTGTTATGGGTTTTTGATAAATTACCTCTATTAGGTTAAACAGTTTCCTTTAATTCTTATTTTGTGAAGAATTTCTTCTTTTAAAATTATGAATGATTATATTTAATTTTATCTAATAGTTTCTCTGTGCTAAAGTAGGATCTTTTTAACTCTACGTTCTTTTAGAAATTTTAACAACTAAAATACATATAGGTATTATTTACATTATTTAAAAAGAACGGAGAGACCAGGGTGAATATTTCTGTTTTTCTTTCTTTCTTTTTTTTGTTTTTGTTTTTTTGAGACGGAGGCTCACTCTGTTGTCAGGCTGGAGTGCAGTGGCATGATCTTGGCTCACTGCAACCTCCGCCTCCCAGGTTCAAGCAATTTCCAGCTAATTTTTGTATTTTTAATAGAGATGGAGTATCACCATGTGGGACGGGCTGGTCTCAAACTCCTGACCTCGAGTGATCTGCCCGCTTCAGCCTCCTAAAGTGCTGGCATTACAGGCGTGAGCCATCTTGCTTAGCTGGGGTGAATATTTCTAATCCCCTACATGATTTGACTAAGTCTGATGAATACAGACCCTGGTAATACCACTCTTGCCAGCTCTCTGCAGGTACAACCTTTGTTAATTTTATTGGTGATATCTCGCAAGCCTTACAATCCAAAAAACATACATAACAAATATCCACTGTAGAAAAAAAATAGAGTCAGAGGCAGAGAGAAGTTACTCTTCTAAGACTGCAGCATGATATTGGGTATCAGCTCCCTATTAACTCTAATATGATGGTACAAAAATTCTCCATTAAAAATTAGCAATTGTTGCCTGGGTACAGAGGCTCACGCTTGTAATCCCAGCACTTTGGGAGGCCAAGGCGGGAGGATCACGAAGTCAGGAGATTGAGACCATCCTGGCTAACACGGTGAAACCCCATCTTTACTAAAAATATACAAAAAATTAGCCAGGTGTGGTGACATGTGCCCGTAGTCCCAGCAGCTCGGGAGGCTGAGGCAGGAGAATGGTGTGAACCCAGGAGGCAGACCTTGTAGTGAGCTGAGATTGTGCCACTGCACTCCAGCCTGGGCAACAGAGCAAGACTCTGTAAAAAAACAAAACAAAACAAAACAAAACAAGCACACCAAAAAAAAACAAGTAATTGTTCCCATTTTTCAGCATTACCAATGATTTTGAAGATTGCCTTATTTCACCTTTTAAAAATCACACTTACAAAATACAGGGGGTTGTTATTTTAATGTATATGTTGTTTTACTTTCATATGACGATGGCCATCTAAGATGTTCTAAGTCATCTCTCTGTAGTGTTTATTTTCAGGTTCATGTGGAAGTCATTGAGACCAAGAACCCACCTGAAGGAATAAATTCTGGACACAATAGGACTCAAAAAGACTTAATTTAGCATTATGTCTATAAGTCAAAAAAACTTCAATTACAAAAATGACTCAACCCATGCTAGTGACAAGACTGGTAAACTTTGAGAATTTCTTCCTAGCATCAGACTAAAACAAAGTATTGTTATTTAAGTGATCTCAGTAATCTGCCTTCTTCCAAGCAACTAAATATGTGTATTGGATTAATTAAAGAGAAATCAGAATTCTTTTTATTTTCCCCCTCAAGGTGGCTTCTCTTTATTGCCTGTGTTTGATCTGATGCCAGGTTTTCAAGATATTAAAAAGCGAGCTGAAATGTTTAGCAGATCCACAAATTTAAAGCTCTCCTCAGACACAAAAAAATCCTTGATAAGTGCCTCATGGGGCTTGTGTATAGCTTGAGAGGAAATGATTGATTAATAAAAGGTAATAATGAAGAATAAGCTTCCATGTTGGGGTCAAGGACAAGGTCAATCCTGACCTAAAGAAATTATATTTTGCATCAAAACCCCAGATAGAATTGTGAAAAGCATCAACATGAATCAATGACTTCAAGAATGAAGCCGCGGACCCTCACAATGAGTGTTACAGCTCTTAAAGATGGTGTGTCCAGAGTTTGTGACTTCAGATGTTCAGATGTGTCTGGAGGTTCTTCCTTCCAGTGGGTTCGTGGTCTCTCTGACTTCAGGAGTGAAGCCACAGACCTTCGCAGTGAGTGTCACAGCTCTTAAAGGTGGCACATCCGGAGTTGTTTGTTTCTCCCAGTGGGTTCGTGGTCTTGCTGACTTCAGGAGTAAAGCCGCAGACCTTCACAGTGAGTGTTACAGCTCATAAAGGTAGTACAGACCCAAAGAGTGAGCAGCAGCAAGATTTATCGTGAAGAGCGAAAGAACAAAGTTTCCACAGCCTGGAAGTGGATCTGGGCAGGTTGCGCTGCTGGCTCAGGTGGCCACCTTTTATTCCCTTATTTGGCTCTGCCCATGTCCTGCTGATTGGTGCATTTTACAGAGGGCTTATTGGTCTGTTTTACAGAATGCTGATTGGTGCGTTTTTACAGAGTGCTGATTGGTGCATTTACAAACCTTTAGCTAGACACAGAGAGCTGATTGGTGCGTTTTTTACAGAGTGCTGATTGCTGTGTTTACAAACCTTTAGCTACACACAGAGAGCTGATTGGTGCGTTTTTACAGAGTGCTGATTGGTGCATTTACAAACCTTTAGCTAGACACAGAGCACTGATTGGTGCATTTACAATCCCGACTAGACCTAGGAAGTCCAGCTGGCTTCACCTCTCACTATCACTTATCAGGCAAAATGCTGACTGACATATTTAGTACAAGCTACTGTTGTACATAAATCTTACCAGAACTAGAAATATTTTCAGTTTAGCATTTTGTGATTCATCTATAAACTAAAGTAATTATAATTTTGAGAGTTTTAGTAAGGTTTTTTTTTAATACAATTGAAAATTACTGCAGTTGTGGGCTACATTACAAAGTTTTGGTCAATGATGGACCGCATATAACACAGTGGTCTCATAAGATTATAACACAGCTAAAAAATTATGTCATCCAGTGTCGTCATTGTCATCAGAGCCATCATAACTAGCATCTCAGTGCAAGACACATTACTCATGTTTATGGTGATGGTGTAAAGAAACCTACCACTCTGCCAGTCATATAAAAGTATAGCACATGCAATTATGTGTACTCTATAATACTTGATAATAAATGATGGTTACTGGTTTATGTATTTACTATACTAAACACATGATTGTTATTTTAAAGTGTACTCTTTCTACTTATTAAAGAAAAAGTTAACTTTAAATCAGCCTTAGGCAGATCCTTCAGGAGGTATTCCAAAAGAAGGACTTGTTATCACAGGAGATGATAGCTCCATATGTGTTATTGCCCCTGAAGACCTTCCAGTGGTACAAAATATGGAGGTGGAAGACAGTGATATTGATGATTCTGAACCTGTGTAAGTCTATGTTATTGTGTGTTTTGGTCTCAGTTTTTAGCAAAACAGTTTAAAAAGTAAAAATAGAAACAAAAAAACCTAAAAATAGAAAAAAGTTTACAGAATAAGGATATCAAGAAAAAATATTTTTATACAGCTGTGCAACGTGTGTTTTAAACTGTGTTGCTACAAAAGAGCCAAAATTTTTTTAAAAGTTTGTAAAGTTAAAAAGTTATAGTATTCTAAGGTTAATTTATTACTGAATAAATTTTTTTATCAACTTAGTGTAGCCTAAATGTACAGTATTTATAAAGTCTACAGTAGTGTACAGTAATGTCCTGGGCTTTCACATTCACTCACCACTCACTCACTGACTCACCCAGAGCAACGTCCAGTCCTACAAGCTTTATTCATGGTAAGTGCCCTACATACTGTATTTTTACTGTACCTTTTATAGGTTTAGATATGTTTAAATACACAAATACTCTTATGTTAGATTTGCTTCCGGTATTCAGTATAGCAATATGCTGGACAGGTGTGTAGCCCAATAGCAATGGGATATACCATATAGCCTAGGTATGTAGCAGGCTATCCCATTGAGGCTTGTGAAATACATTCTGTGATATTTGCACGACAAAAATGCTACCTAATGACTCATTTCTCAGAACATATCCCTGTCATTAACCAGCACATTACTATATAATAAGCAACACATGCGTGGGTGTGTACTTGTAGGATGACTGTGACAAAAATAATATCATTTAAAATAGACAAATAATTGTAAGTTTGCCATTAAAGATTTTGTACAAGCTGGGCGTGGTGGCTCACACCTGTAATCACAGCACTTTGGGAGGTTGAGGCAGGCGGATCACGAGGTCAAGAGATTGAGACCATCTTGGCCAACATGGTGAAACCCCATCTCTACTAAAAATACAAAAATTAGCCGGGTATGGTGGCATGCGCCTGTAGTCTCAGCTACTCCGGAGGCTGAGGCAGCAGAATAGCTTGAACCCAGGAGGCAGAAGTTGCAGTCAGCCAAGATCACACCATTGCACTCCAGCCTGGTGACAGAGCAAGACTGCGTCTCAAATAAATATATAAATAAATAAATAAAGATTTTTAAAGATTTTATTAACTTTATAAATTAAGAAGGCATTTCGTGATGTAAATTAATGCCTGTAGCAGTAGAGTTTTCAGATTTGAAAAATAGGGATGTATAGTAGATTTCATTATTGGCTCTAGTTCTTCAGCCCTTCCTGCAAGCCCACCATTGTCATGGCTTCATCATGTGCACAGTGGACTTCCCTTGATCTTGAACTTAGGCATGTTACTGGCATTAGCTGGTGAAATGTAAGCACATGTGACACTGTGCCAAGTTCAACCCCATGTCTAAAATGGCATCTCATGGAACTTGCTCTCTTGAACTTCTGACTTTTAAATGAGAACACGTGCCCAGGCCAGCCTGCTGGTCGGAGGAGGATGAGAGATATGAGGAGCAGAGCTGCTCTGTTTAATTCCTACTGACTCCCAGTAAAGCTGCTTTGCCCAGGCACCAAGCCCTGCAGATGCCTGGGGGTTTTTATCCCTTGTGCGGTCTGTAGCCAACGACATCCCCGTTCAGGAGGAGGAGGAGGATAAAAGCACAGCTTCCTTGAACTAGTTCTTGCCTCTGATCTCCGGGAGGCATCAGGGAAAGACTGGGACATTGCTTGGGATAGCACTGCTTTGGTTTCTTCCTCTTCCCTTCCTGCTTCACTTAATCCCTCACTGGTCACTGGTCTCCATTGGTTCCTGGTTTGCTTAAACCCTCACTGATCACTGGTCGCTACTGGGGACACTTGTAGACAAAAGCACATCCCAGGATCTGCTTTTGGGAAATCCAACCTAACACAGAAAACATATGAACACATATTTAATTAATCCAAAATCTAATTGCCCTATCAATCTAGCACATTGCTTAGTATTTGTTGCTATATTTTCTATCTTTTATTGTGTATCTCTTTTATTCATTTTTACCTCTATGCACCTTTATTCTATGCACTAGAATCTCACTGAAGTAATATCTGCTTTCAGCATACACATTGCATATGAAATGGAGCCCCTGTCCACAAAGAAAATAATTGGGGGATTTGCTTATACATTTTAGCAGCCTTGGCTGGAACACTAGAACTTTTTTACCAAGCATTGATTGTCCTACTGTAGAGGCTTGATCCTGCAAAGTTAGGTCTAATCTTTTCTCGATTGTGGACAAAAAAGATAAACAATAAGAATGTCAAAGCAAAAGAAAAACTGTTTTAGTATTCTAGTTAGAACATCTTAAATGTTTATTCATTTATATATTGCTTAATTTAAGAAATATGTATAAAGAGATGGCCATTTTTCTAGGCACTATTCTTATGGCTGAAGATACAAAGGTTTAAACAAATATCCCACTCATTTGGGGTAGTGACAGTGGGGTGAGACAGAAAGTAAACAAATAATGATAAAAATGTCAATGAAAAGTTCTATGAAAGAAATCCTCAGCAAACTAACACAGGAACAGAAAACCAAACACCGCATGTTCACACTTATTTGTGGGAGCTGAACAATGAGAATGCATGGACACAGGGAGCGGAACAACACACACTGGGGCCTGTCGATGGGGGCGGGGGGAGAGAGAGCATCAAGATAAATAACTAATGCATGCTGGGCTTAATACCTAGGTGATGGGTTGATAGGTGCAGCAAACCGCGATGGCACATGTTTACCTATGTAACAAAGTGCAAGTCCTGCACATGTATCCTGGAACTTAAAATAAAATTAAAAAAAAAAAATGGCCAGGCACCATGGCTCACGCCTGTAATCCCAGCATTTTGGGAGGCCCAGGTGGGCGGATCACCTGAGGTCATGAGTTCAAGACCAACCTGGCCAACATTGTGAAAATCGCTCTCTACAGAAATACAAGAAATACAAAAATTAGCTGGGCATGATGATGGGTGTCTGTAATCCCATCTACTCGGTAGGCTGCCGTGGGAGAACCGCTTGAACCCGGGAGGCGGAGGTTGCAGTAAGCCGAGATCACACCATTGCACTCCAGCCTGGGCGACAGAGCAAGACTCCATCTCAAAATAATAATAGTAATAATAATAATAATAAATTTAAAAATCAGCAAACAAAAAAGAAATACAACATAAGAAGTGAATATCAAGTGGTGGTAGGAGCTACTCCTTTACCTCTGCAGGTGACATTGGGACAGAAACCTGAATAATAATATATAGGGAAGGAAGAAACTTCAAGAACGCTTGTGGAAGAATGCTCCAGGCAGAGGGAAAGCCCCAAGAAGGAAGCCTGCCTGTTGTGTGTTTATGGGAACAGAAAATAGGACAGTGGGACTGAAACACAATAGAGAGAGAAAGAGTAGTAGGATCTGGGAACAGAGACCTAACCAGAGAACAGATACTTAAGGGCTGTGCATGTCATGGTAAAATCTTTGAATTGTCTTTGAAGTGTGATGTAAGGCCATCAAAAAGGTTTTGAACAGATTTAAAAGGCTTACGCTGGTAGTAAGAGGCATATAGGCTCTAAGCTGGCGAGAGAGCCAGTGTGGTGAGCAGATATTGCTGTTCATCAAGACACTTATTATGCTCTCAGAGCGCTAAAATCTTCTATGAATAGAAACTTTCCATAGATATGACTCCTGTTTATTTTTCATTTTGCTTTCTAGACCCTGTTTTACCTTTCACTCTTTTAGATAGAAGTGGACGTCACAATTTTCCCCCACTAGTCCCACAGATGAACCACTTTTCTGGTAACTATGAAAAAGAAAGATGTTCAAGTCTATAAAATATTTTCTTGGATGAATTTAGAGAAGGGTTTCCCAATATCAGCAGTGTTGACGTCTGGGGCCAGATAATTCTTTGTTGTTGGGGCCTGTCCTGTGATTGTGGGATGTTTAGCAGCATCCCTGACCTCTACCCACTGGATGCCAGTAGGACCCCTACAATTAACACAGTTGTGACAAACCAATTTCTCTCAGATACTGCCAAATGCTCCCTGAAGTGGCAAAATCCCTTAATTGAGAAGCACTGGTTTAGATATTTTGCAAAGAAAGACAGTTTTATTTCAAATATACTAGCCAAAATATTGGTTAATATTTTACATAAATGATTTTTAAGTGCCAAGTAAACTTTTTTTCTTTTACTTTAGGAGCCTACAAATTTTTGAAATGCTACATTACTTTTACCCATGCTTTCACCCTACCTGTTATCAAATCTCCATAACCCGTGCTTATTCAATTAATACTGCTAATTCTGTGTATTTGGATGGAGAAAACATAAGATTCCTTCAGACATAGTGGCTTGTTAATAGGAGTTCCTGTTTAGGTCATATAATTCTCGGTTGATGAGATGGTTATTTTTACAGAAAGTTTAACAGATTTTTAAAAAGAGGTTTTATTGTTTATTTTTATATACTACTTTTTGTGAAGCAAATAGGGACTAATTTCTAATGGTATTTAATGTTTTCTCACACTTGTTATCTGAATTTCCATTGGTTTTAAAGTAGACTCAGCGAGGCATGGTGGCTCATGCCTATAATCCCAGCACTTTGAGAGGATGAGGCAGGTAGATTGCTTGAGCTCAGGAGTTCAAGGCCAGCCTGGGCAATATGGTGAAACCCCATCTCTACCAAAAATGCAAAAATTAGCTGGGCACAGTGGCACACACTGTAGTCTCAGCTACTCGGGAAGCTGAGGTGGGAGGATCACTGGAGCCTGGGAATTTGTGGCTGCAGTGACCTGACATCAGGCCACTGCACTCCAGCCTGAGTGACAGAATGAGATCCTTTCTCTGCCCCCAAAGTGTAAATAAATACATAAAGTAACTCTATAAATTAAGCTAAAATTATTTGGTATACATTGATATGGTTTGCATCTGTGTCTCCACCAAATCTCATGTTGATTGGAGGTAGGGCCAAATGGCAGGTGACTGGATCATGGGGGTGGTCCTTCACGAGTGGTTTAACACCATCTCCTGGTGCTGTTCTTGCAAGATCTGGTTGTTTAAAAGCGTGCAGCACCTTCCCCCTAGCTCTCTCTTGGTGCTGCTTATGCCTTGTAAGACATCTGCTCCTGCTTTGCCTCCTGTCATGAGTAAAAGCTCCCTGAGGCCTCCCCAGAAGCAGACACTGCCATGCTTCCTGAATAGCTTGTGGACCCATGAACCATTTAAACATCTTTTATATATATATATAAATTACCCAGTGTCAGATGTTTCTTTTCTCTTCTTTTTTTCTCTTCTTTTCTTTTCTTTTTCTTTTCCTTTCTCTTTTCTTTTCTTTTCTTTTTTTCTTTCTTTCTTTTTTTTTTCTGAGATGAAGTCTCACTCTGTTGCCCAGGCTGGAGTGCAGTGGCGCAATCTTGGCTCACTGCAACCTCTGCCTCCTGGGTTCAAGTGATTCTCCTGCCTCAGCCTCCCACGTAGCTGGGATTACAGGCACACACCATCACATCTGGCTAATTTTTGTATTTTGAGTAGAGATGTGGTTTTGTCATGTCAGTCAGGCTGGTCTTGAACTCCTGACCTTAGGTGATCCACCCACCTTGGCCTCCCAAAGTGCTGGGATTACAAGCATGAGCCACTGTGCCCAGCCTCAGATATTTCTTTATAGCAGTGTGAGAATGAAATAATAAAACATTTATTGAACAGTCAGGTGCAGAATCATGTTCTGACACACCATATCTTAGAAACACAAGACTGACCATTCTACATTCTAGAAGTCAACATTCAAATGTGAATTCAATGTGAATGGTGGTTGTACAACATTACTGGGGTACAAAATAAATAATACAATTTAGATCTTGTCCTTCAGAAGCTTACACTGAAGTTTGAAAGAATGATCTCAAAGGGTATAGAAAAGAAAATCTCAATAACTCATGTTCTAGGGTTATTTTCTTTTCTTTTTATTGAGACGGAGTCTCACTCTGTTGCCCAGGCTGGAGTGCAGTGGCGTGATCTCGGCTCACTGCAAGCTCCACCTCCCGGATTCACACCATTCTCCTGCCTCAGCCTCCCAAGTAGCTGGGACCACAGGCGCCTGCCACCACGCCTGGCTAATTTTTTTGTATTTTTAGTAGACACAGGGTTTCACCATGTTAGCCAGGATAGTCTCGGTCTCCTGACCTCGTGATCCGCCCGCCTCCACCTCCCAAAGTGCTGGGATTACAGGTGTGAGCCACCACACCCGGCCCTCATGTTCTAGGGTTATAATTGAGACAATATATGCTAAAACCCCAGTATTTTCTATAGGATATAGGAAAAGCCAAAAACACTTTTTTTTTTTCTGTTCTCCTGTCTTACACAGTCACTTAACACTTCCAGTACCAGGTGTGTGGAAGTTTTATTCCCATTCACCAACCAAACAATTCTCCAGCAGATGCCAGCTTGTGTCCTCTAATTTTTTTTTTAGATGGAGTTTTGTTCTTGTTGCCCAGGCTTGAGTGCAAAGGCATGATCTCGGCTCACCACAACCTCTGCCTCCTGGGTTCAACCAGTTCTCCTTCCTCAGTCTCCCCAGTAGCTGGGATTACAGGCATGCACCACCACACCTGGCTAATTTTGTATTTTTAGTAGAGATGGGGTTTCTCCATGTTGGTCAAGCCGGTCTCAAACTTTCGATCTCAGGTGATCTGCCCACCTCAGTTTCCCAAAGTGCTGGGATTACAGGCGTGAGCCACCACGCCCAGCCAGTGTCCTCTAATTTAACTCAGTTCTGACATCATCTACCTGGAGATAGTGTTAGATTCCATAGTCAGGGGGCTCAGACCCACAAGACTGCCCTCCCCTTCAGATGCCAGCCACAAGTACAGGTGGCAATGAATCAAGGTTCCCATGACCCCTATCTTGAATTTGATTAATTTGATAGAGTGACTCACAGAACTCAGGGAAACACTTCACTTTTGTTTACTGACCTATTATAAAGGAGATGAACAGCCAGATGAAGGGAGAAATAAGGGAAGGTATAGGCAAAGGGGTACAAAGCTTCCATGTCCTTTGATGCACCACCTCCCAGGAACCTTCATGTATTCCTCTATCCAGAAGCTCCCTGAATTCGGTCCTTTTGGGTTTTTATGGAAGCTTCAATATGTAGACTTGATTGGTTAAATCATTGCCACTGGTGATCAACTTTACCTTCAGCACCTCTACCCTACCTAGAGGTTGGGAGTGGGGCTTAAGTTCCCAACCTTCTAATCGTGCCTTGATCTTTCTTATGGCCACTCATCTTAGCATGCAAAAGACACTCATCACTGTGGAGATTACAAGGATTTTAGGAGCTGTATGTCAGAAAACGGACAAAGACCAAACAGACATTTCACAATATCACCTTTGCCCAACTGGCATTTTTGTCTTTCATGGAAGATAAATCTACTGTATTCTATGTTGGTTTTAGGAATCATGAAACGTGTACAACTTGAGCTGAACTCTGAAGGATGGGTAGAGACTGAGGGAAGATATGAGCAAAATGACCACAGACGTGGAGCAAAAGCAAGGTTTCGTTTATGAATAGCCTAGACCCATTGGGGTAGTAGGAATCTAAAATGTACCTCACTGATAGTCCTGTGTGTAGCTGGCTTAAGCAAGGATATTTTGTGTGTGTGTGTGTGTGTGTGTGTGTGTGTGTGTGTGTATTGTAATAACCATTGAAAGGTATGGATAACATAAATTTACTTGAAAATTCCAACATCAGAGATAGTATTGTTTTTCATAGAACTACCTCCCACCACCAGAAGTTTAAGATGCATATATTAACGTACCTATTAGCATTATTATCACACCTGCTTGAGGTGTTTTATCATGTTTGCTTGAATTACCAGAAGTCAGGGACTCTTGATAGGCTGAGTTGGGACCTTCTAGATAGAGCAAAAGCTGTGAAAAGGGAAGGTACATGCAGAAGAGTGATTCCATGGAAGCCTTGAGCCAGGAGGAAGTAGAATGAGGACACAACAACTAGAGGAAGAAAAGATCCTGGAACTGAAGAGTAGAGAGCCACATCTACATTTGCCAACAAGCATTTTTAGAACAACATATTTTCAGTTTTACAGGGATTGGTGAATTGGAAAAAAACATTCCTATAACAAATGCAAGAGGAATAAAAAAAAAAACAGAGTAACGAGTGCATAGCATTAACTATCTCAGTTTCCAAAATGGGATCCACTTCCTGTTGTATTGAGAAATGTAAAATAAGGGCAGATGCTGAGGTGAAGAAACATTCTACTTAGAAAATATTCAAATCACTCTTAGAGTTTATTCATAAAAAATGTCTAAGCCTATTAAATTGGCTTCAACTCTTTAACACTTTCCAGTGTTTATAAAGATGATGAATATTGTGATTGTGAGCACTAATATTAAAACCTTAAAATTTAGAGACCAATACTATTATCTTAATTTGGGCTGCTATAAGATAAATGTTATAGGATTAGTGACTCAAACAACAAAAATTAATTTCTCACAGTTCTGAACACCGGGAAGTCTGAAATCAAGGTGCCAGCTCCTGGTGTGGGCCGTCTTTCTGATTTGCAGAGGATGGAGAACTCTGGTCTTTCATCTCTTAAAAGGGCACTAATCCCATCATAGGGCTTCACCTTAACTACCTAATGTAACCTTAATTACTTCCCAAAGGATTTACCTCCAAAAACTACCTCATTAGAAATTAGGATTTCACCATATACATTTTAGGGACATATAAACATTCTGTCCATAGCAATTAAGATGCTCATTCCCATTTTCAATATATTTCTAAATTTGATTTTGCTAAATTTTTAAATCAATGCCTCAGGTATTTATTGCTGATCTACAAATGTTCAAATTATGGCATAATTTTTATTTTTTAATTAGATTGAAATAAAATGTCATTTTAATTGACTTTAGGTATTATAGTTACTAAAATTTGAACTGTAAATTTTATTAGCTAAATAGGGAAATTCATTACAAGGGAAGTAATTCCTATAAATATAGTCCAACAGGGTACATTTACATAGTCAAAATATCTTGAGGAAGAGCTATTGATTATTTAAATCTAGGATCAATCAAATATGGCATATTATTTGCTTTCAAATATTTGTGTTTGCATCGAATTTCACTAATTTTTAATAGGATTGACTTTCAACAAAGACTTCCAGTCAAAAATTGTCCTGAGGCCAGGCTCAATGGCTCATGCCTGTAATCCCAGCACTTTGGGAGGCCGAGGCGAGGGGATCACCAGGTCAGGAGATCCAGACAATCCTGGCTAATATGATGAAACCCCATCTCTACTAAAAATACAAAAAATTAGCCAGGCATGGTGGTGTGTGCCTGTAGTCCCAGGTACTTAAGAGGCTGAGGCAAGTGAATCCCTTGAACCTGGGAGGCGGAGGTTGCAGTGAGCCGAGATCACGCCACTGCACTTCTGCCTGGCGACAGAGCAAGATTCGTTCTCAAAAAAAAAAATTGTCCTGAATGCATTTTATATAAGTCTGAACGCATTTGATATAAATGGAGTCTGCCAATCTTAACTAGAGATAAATTGTTCCAATATAAATGAGAAAGAAGTCTATTTTAGATCATAACTAAGCACTTTCTAATTGACGAAAAGTGTTGAGTTAACTGGTAATAAAAAACACTACAACCACTCTAAAGCAGACACAATTTCCCAATGGCTAATGCTGAGCACAGAAGTTTTCTCTCATTTTATGTGTAAATATGAAGTTTCTACCACAGATTAGTCACATTTGATATCAAACTGCTTAAGCTACTTGCTTAAGCTACTTTTATTGTTTTAAACCTAACAACCAGTAAAGGACTTGGGCAAATAACATTATTTCCAAAGCCTTACAAATGTGCAAATGTGTGAAGAGCATTGATATAGATCATTCCACATCATGTAGCCTAAGATATTTTATGTAACTCTTCTCTTTCCAGATTTGAAATTTTCATTGATTAAATTTGTTAGGCACCACTTTTATTTATTTTTTTAGCTGTTACCTATGGTAAAAAGATAAATTGTGGCACAATAAAATTATTGACTTTATATGAGCAAACAACAATTATTAAAACAGGCAGCTCCAAAGCAGAAAGAGTTTGGGAACTCTACCAAAGGAATACGAAGGGGAGGTTTTTATAGGACAGATGCAGAAGTAAACAAAGAAAATACATATATACCTTTTTAAATTGTTCTTTATTGTGCTTTGCAGATACTGCATTTTTTAATACAAATTAAACATTTGTGGCAATCCTGCATCGAGCAAGCTTATCAGCACCGTTTTTCCAATATTATATTCTCACTTTGTGACTCTGTGTTACATTTTGGTAATTATTGTAACATTTCAAACTTTTTTCATTATTCTGTCTGCTATGGCGATCTGTGATCAGTGATCTTTGACATTACTATTGTAATTGTTCTAGGACACCATGAAGCATGCCCACGTAAGACAGCGAACTTAACAAATGTTGTATGTGTTCTGACTGCTCCACCAACCAGATGTTTACTCATCTCTCTTCCTCTCCTCGGGTCTCCCTATTCCCTGAGACATAAAATATTGAATTAAGTCAACTGATAACCCTACAATGGCCTCTAAGTGTTCAAGTAAAAGGAAGAGTTGCACATCTCCCACTCTACATCAAAAGCTAGAAATGATTAAGCTTTGTAAAGAAGGCACATTAAAAGCCAAGATAGGTCAAAAGCTAAGCCTCTTGCACCAGTTAGCCAATTTGCGAGTGCAATGGAAAAGTTCTTGAAGGAGACTAAAAGTTCTACTCCAGTGAACATACAAATGATAAGAAAGTGAAACAGCCTTATTGCTGATACACAGAAAGTTTGAGTGCTCTGGATAGAAGATCAAACCAGTCACAAACATTCCCTTAAGCCAAAGCCTAACCCAGAGAAAGCCCTAACTCTCTTTGATTTTATGAAGGCTGAGAGAGGTAAGAAAACTGCAGAAGAAAAGTTGTGGAAGCTAGCAGAAATTGGTTCATGAGGTTTCAGGAAGCAAACTGTCTCTATAACATAAAAGGGCAAAGTGAAACAGTCATTGCTGATGTAGAAGCTGCAACAAGTTATCCTGAAGATCTAACTAAGATAATTAATGAGGGTATCTATAATAAACCACAGATTTTTATCAATGTAGATAAAACATCCTTCTATTGGAAGAAAATGCCATCTAGGACTTTCATAATTAGAGAAGAGAACTCCATGCTTGGCTTCAAAGCTTCAAGCTTCAAAGGTCAGGCTGACTCTCCTATTAGGGGCTACTGTAGCTGGTGACTTGAAGTTGAAGCCAGTGCTCAAAAAATCCTAGGGTCCTTAAAATTATGCAAAATCTATTTGGTTTGTGGTCTATTTGATTGGTGCAAAAGTAATTACAGGTTTTGCCATAAAAGCAATGGCAAAACCTGTAATTACTTTTGCACCAACCTAATATAAATAGAATCACAAAGCTTGGATGACAGCAAGGTTTACTGAATATTTTCAGCCCACTGTTGAGACTTACTGTTCAGAAAAAAAATTTCCTTTCAAAATATTGAGGCTTGCTGACCATGAACCTGGTCACCCAAGAGCTTCAATGGACATGTTTAAGGAGATCAATGTGGTTTTTTTTATGCCTGTTAACACAGTATCTATTCTACAGCCCATGGATCAATGAGTACCTTTGAATTTCAAGATTTATTATTTAAGAAATACATTTCACTCCTTGTCTCCCTCTCTGTCCATCTCTAAAAAAACACAAAGGAAGGAAGGAAGGGAGGGAGGGAGGGAGGGAAATACATTTCATAAAGTTATAGCTTTCATATAGAGAGATTCCTCTGATCTGTGCAAAGTAAATTGAAAACCTTCTGGAAAAAAAATTCATCATTGTAGATCCAATTAAGAACATTTGTGACTCCTCAGAGGTCAAAATATCAACATTAATTGGAGTTTAAAAGAAGTTGATTTCAACCCTTATGGATGGCTTTGTAAAGTTCAAGTCACTGAAGATGGGGAGGAAATACTAAGAAAACCAGAACTAGCCTGAAGATGTGACTGAATTTACTGCAATCTCAGGATAAAACTTTAATGGATGAGTTGTTTCTTATGGATAAGCAAAAAAAAAAAAAAGGTTCCTTTAGACGGAATCGATTCCTGGTGAAGATTTTGTGAACATTGCTGAAATAACAAGAAAGGATTTAAAATAGTAAATAAACTTAGTTGATAATACAGTGGGAGAGTTTGAGAAGATTGACTTTGATTTTGGAAGATATTCTATTGTGGGTAAAATACTATCAAACATAGCATGCTACAGAAAACTCTTTCATGAAAGGAACTTCATTATTGTCATATTTTAAGAAATTGCCACAGCCACCCCAACCTTCAGCAACCACAACCCTGAATAGTCAGCAGCCATTAACATCGAGGCAAGACTCTCCATTGGCAAATTTGCTGAAGGTTCAGATGATTCTTAGAATCTTTTCAGCAATAAAGTGGTTTTTAGCTAAGTTATTTATAATTTTTTACACATAATGCTATTCACAATAGATTACAGCACAGTGTAAACATAACTGTTACATGCATTGGGAGACCACAAAATTTGTATGACTCACTATATAGCAATATTCATTTTATTGCATTCGTATGGAACTAAACCTGCAATAAATCCCAGGTATGCCTGTATTTGACTGGTTACAGTTATACAGTTGCCATATTTGGTCTATCTAGTCAGGAAGTTTCCAGTTAAATAGTTACACGGGTTTTTTTGGCTCCTTCTAATTGGCTGAGCTTAAGTTCTCTTTTTATTTGATATAGGCATTTAGAAGAAATAGCTAAAGTTAAGTTTTGCTTATGTTGGCAAATCAAGCAAGATTTAGGTCACTTATGAGGCCTAACTTGCTTTCTCTGCTCAGGGATTTTTCAGGCTAGCTCTTCTTTCTAATTTACTTTAAAAATTCCCCTCTTTTGGTCATTCTTTCAGCATACCGAGAGTGTGTCCAAACAGTGTAGCATTACTCTTAGTTACCATTATTTATGTAGTCACTGGAACAAAGATTCAAGGAAATGTTATCATCATCAATAGTTGCATTGCCATGTAAGGTCACCTCATCTCTGTTTTTCAAGGTTGCATAGTCATTGTGGCTTGAGTGGTCCAGTTATTGGGTTCTTTAGGTTGTTGAGTTCTTCAAGTCATGTAATCCTGATGGCAATCATTTGACATGAGTGGCTGCTGAAAAGCGTTTAATACTCTTGAGCGGATACTGTGCAGTAGGAAAGTGAATACCATGAGTGTAAGGAGAATAATAGTCAAGGATTTCAAAAGACTTCACAGCAGAAATTCCTGGGAGCCATGATTTAACTGACTAAATACATTAATAAAGGAGGCAACACATCTCTGATGAAAGACTTACATTTGTTTCTGAAGATAATTTAAATTTGGGGCAATAATTTCTGATTATTAACATAGAAACATTTTTATATGCATAAGTACAAGCTCCTCCTTGTCAAGTTGTTAAGTTATCCATAAGTTTAATATTTTGGAGTACTGCTGAGGCTAAATTGTTCATTTCAGATTTTATTGCGCGAGGAAAATTCAAGCCCTCATTCTATAGAAAACAAAAGAAAAACAAGTTAATAGTTGGGCCACATTATGATCTTAGTTTTTGAGTTCAGAATGTTGCTAGTCAAGATTTCTAATTTGAGTTTGCAGCATCTTTAGATGACAGAATGAGGATGGCAGTTGCAATCTGATGAGCCAGTTTGAATATCTCTGATTATATCATCAGCAATTTTGATGAACTCTTTGAGTGACCCACATTGCAGAAGGCATGAAAATTGTTCATACGTGACCTGTTTTAACTTTTCTGATGTTTCTATCCAGTCATTTAATTTCAGTTTGCCGGGCTTGGGAAAGGGGCAATTTTAGTTTTTATTGAAACTAGAAAAATTTACGATGCAATCCAATTTGTGAGTGGATAACAAACCTCTAAGATAATAAAGAGGACTAGAATTTTATAATGGGTGTGCTGTAGTTTTCTATTAAAATACACTCCTTTTTATAATCACCCATTTTTTTTACCAAAAATAATCACCAAATTTACCCAAAATAAGCCTTATCTTTTTAAAAAAGCTTAAGCTCATTGAACTCGACCTGATTATTTATATAAGTGCAACAATACTGATTCTATGCATATTTTAAAGTATGACATTTAAGTTGTAGGTTTGGTAATAGCCAATGGGCCTTACAGACTTTGTATAAGTCAGTCTTAGTTGGTTGTTTGTTTTTTTAAAATGATTTGGTAATAAGGAATCTGAAGTTAAAACTTCTAAAACCTCTCCGGACTAAAAGTCAAGCCAAGGACTTGTCCAATTTTATCCTATTATGAGGACAACAGATTCTTATGGAACGTATGCAAATACTCATATTGCCATGAAAATAAGAATAGTTAGTGAGAGTTTCTAAATTACACAGTGATCAGGTAGATAGAAAAATGTAAATATTTTTGTTTGCAGAAGTACATTTTGTCAAACCACTGTAAGTCATAGACAGCTTAAGAGAACCAAGAAAAAGAATTCCTTAAATCTGAAAAATAAGACATTAAAGAACCAGCAATATTTTAAAGAAATGTCATAAGAGACATAATTATTCTCATCAGTTAATTTAGCCCCATGTAATTAATTATCATTTTGTTCAATATTGACTTAGCAGTTTTATGAATCCATCAGTTTTCCAACTGAGTTCTGGAAATCCTTACCCAGTTCAATAGTACAATCTTAAAGTTATCAGAAACCTGTACTTGTCAGTCTTTTTAATGAAATCTTTGTAATTTTGTACCATAGCTGCTTGTAAAAGGTTTCATGAAAGCATCAAAGTTAAATAACTGTCTGCGGATGACAAAAGACTTAAAATGACCACGATCGAAGAACTGATGAGAGCTCATTATAATGCTATTGACAAAGAAATTTGGTTGTTTTTGTGACATGCAACATTTTGAGATGATAACTAGAGATAGGACTATCATACTAGAACATATCAGATTTCTAGAAATTTCATATACTTATTGGAACATCTACATTACAGAATATATATTATATTAGGTATATAGGTATATATTAGGTATATATAGGTATATACTAGGTATATATATATTAGGTGTATATATATATATATATAAGGTGTATATATATAATATATATATATATAGCAACCTAAGAAGACTAAACATTACCTGTATTTGACAATACTTCCCATGTAATTTAACATATCAAATAAGCCTAATTAGTTTAACATTTCTCTTATGAAGAGAGAGGACAAATCTTTTGAGATATTCTAGGCAGATTATCTAACAGATAAACCAAAACTATTGTTTTTTATAATCTCTTAGTAAAACTGATCAGTTATCCAAGAAAGCATTATCCTTTTTAACACAGAGGAAACAAAATTTTAGCTTTTTATCAGAACATTATTGAACTAATTTATCTAATCTTAGTAGTTTGACCACACATAAATTTTTTTTCACAGACTGCCTACAGCTTTCTATATCTGTTCAGTTTTTGTCTTACTCTTTCACTCCTTTTTTATTCTATAATAGTCATCTTAATTTAAGACAAATTTACTCTTTTTTCCTTTAGTGAAAACACATGCCTTATATACTTTTCTTTATTAAAAACATCCTACTTTTTTGTACACTTTTTGCATACAGTTGTTTTCATTCATCCTTAGTACTTCTAGTAGTTTTAATTACATACAACATTTAGAGTTCTTAACCCCTAGTAACCTTCGTATCTAGTGAAAACTGGTAAATGCATAATTTAATAACTTATAAAATATATATTTCCTCACAGTATGCATATTTCTTATGTAACACAGGGCACACTTACCAGCAGATCCAAATATCTCTAATTCCTCTTTAAGAAGCAGCCAAAAATAGATAAGCTCAAACTTATGTTCAGCAATTAATGTGTAAGTAGTTTATCTTATTTGGAAATGATCTATATATTTAATGAATATCTATCATTTAATTTAACTTACATGAGAACAAATATATGAGGAATGGAACACAAAACTGAGACTTTTTTTATAGTAGAATGGATCAAGGTAAGATTTCAGGCTTACAATGAGGGACACTTGCATGCCAAAGCACAGCAGGTAGGTCTCTAAGTGAGGAAAGATGCTCTAGGCCAATTCTCACTTATTTCCTAATTTTTTTAAGGTAAACTTGGAGTACTGTAAATAAAATCTGTGAGCTACTGTACTGACTCCTTAATAGATTCTTTTTTCTAAAACTTAAATATTGTAATAACCTTATTAAGGATCTGGTTACATAACTCCTGATTAATTAAAGTTTGTGGGAGTTTTTCTCCTGTCTGCATATTTGGTAAAAGTAACTTGATCCCTGAAGATCTCTAGTGACTATTCAATTCTCTGTTTTGATTTGTTAATAAAAGTTTTACTTATATAACTTTCTCATTTATTAAATATATTTTCTTCCTGCTCTGTTTTTAGTTCCAAATATAGTGATGATCAGGTATTTCTTTTATTGAATATGTTTCCTAGTTGGTAATGGATTTATATCAGATTGTAAGAGACAGAACTCTTAACTTTCCTTTTCATCCTGGAATATTTCACTACTTAATACCTTTCAATAAAGTGATTTTTTTTTTTTTACCAATATGGTCAAAGAATAACCAAATATTCTATAAGTAGTAGTTTTCTAAATATTCTTGTTAGAAGGATGACATCTGGCTAGCTGCTACTTCATTGAAAAGACAAGATATAAACGTATTGGTATACTCTCCTAAAGGCTCCTTCAAGTACATATTAATGTCAGATTAATTACTAGAATATTCTGGTTCTGGCAAAATCTTAGCAGTAGTAGTGACTCCAATGTGGCAATACATTAGAAAAAAAAATACATGCTTTATAACTTTATAAAGATACTGATACCTGGGCCTTCCCCCAGACAAATTAAATGAGATTCTATGGAAGTGCAGGCTGGACATCTCTGTTTTTTAGAAACCTAACCACCAAATAATTATATGTTAAATGTTCTATCACATATAAATTTGTTAAAACATTTCTTCACAGTGGTTGAAAACTACCAGAAACTCTAAGTGTATGTTTCTAGAATCCAGACAGTCTTGAGCCTTGAATTTGAAAATAACTTCCATAATTAAAATATCTAAGAGTTGGAAATAGAATATGAATACTTCTGTGCAAAATATGAATTTAATTCATTAAATTCATAATGAATTAAATTCTTATGTCTAAATTTGAAAGGTTTGAAAATCTTCTAAGAAATTAATTTGCCACTTAATAAAATAGACATTTTGGAGGTTTTTCAAGTTGAATTTCAAAAGGCAATTTATTGTCAAATTTCATTTTAATTGTTAGCCTTAATTTCTCTTATCACTTTGAAATGGCTTTCAAACTCTCTGCTGTGTTCATTTAGACCAATTTTTCCTTTTTTTTAACCTGTCATTCTCTTCTTACCTAATTGTTTATTTCATACTTAAATGGGAAAGTAATATTTGAAATTGATATTGTAGTACATCATTGCATAGAAGGTATTTTCAATATAAAGTTCAATTAGTTTAATCAAACATTTACTGAATGTTATAGGCTCTTTACTAGCATCAAAGAAGTCCAAAGGGCTTCCTTCCTTCCATTTTACTTTGTATGTGATAAATTATTTTATTTTGAAATGTTTTACTATAAACATTGTGGCACAAGTGTGTGTTTTGAGTGGGGGTGGAGTAAGATAAGTTTATTCTTTAAGGACAGTAATTTAGTATTTGAAATACTGTAGTCAAGATTGCAAATTCTAGAAGCATTTAAAGAAAAGTATTAAAGTTGATACCAAAGGTTTATTAATTAACATTACAAATGTTAGAAAAGAAAATTTTTGAAAAAAATGAGTGTTTAAGGCATTTAATTGGACAGCCAGTTTATGCAGGTGCCACCTTTAGAATAAATAAGGTTTAAAAGTCAGTCAAGTTCTAGAACTTCTGGAGGACTCTTACCTCACTCAGATAAAGGGATGCACACTAGAGAATATTTTGACACCTGCCTCATAGTGAAATCTTGAAGCAAGGTGCTTGTCTGAGTATCTGAGGACAGAGTGGAATTTTCCAGACCTTCTTGAACTGGACCGTATGTATTTGTATTTTATTTTATTCCATTTCATGTTGCATATTTGCTAATACAAGTTTGTATCTCAATAGTGTTCTGTTGACCCTTGCTTGCATTTACTAATATCACTTGGGAGGCAGTCTGTGGATAAGGGCTATCTATATATGGCCAGAATATATGCCTCCTTATCAAAAGAGCTCGTTACTTCCTGATTGTCCAATTTGGCCTAGGTCAGTTCACAACACTTTCTTTTTTTCCTTCCTGCTTTCCTCATTATATCTTTTCTTTTTTTCATCTCTTTTCCTCTCCATTTTCAATATTTGTTTATTGAAGTTTTACTGTCTTCCCAGCATGGTGTAAGGAATTAAGTAAAACTTTCCTAATTTATATTTTATCCCAGTACAGAAAACGGAAGTCTTTCTTGCATAGACTCAAAATTCACCATAGTTAAGAAAGCTGCACCTCTTTGCCATTGTTTCTTCAGCAACAAACCTGAAAGCCCCCTAGCTACTCTTATGACTCCCCAGCCTAATACCAGGTAGTTTTCTATAATTTTGGTTGTGACCTCTATGTTATGACTGAAAACTAAAAATAAAAGTAATGGCAAAACCCACGATTACTTTTGCACCATTCTATAGATAATTAATAGATAATGTATGCATCTAATGGTTTGAGATTTTTAGGCTGCCATCTGCCATGTTAATGTTAATTTAGAGTGGAATGGTCACACCAGGATTTATATAGCAACAGGACTACCTGTTAGAAAGGCAGGTCAATGAGTGAGGTTAATTCGGAATGAGTTGACAAGAATAATATTGAGACAAGGTAGGCAAGCTGTAGGAATTAGCAACCATGGATTTACAATAGAAGGACCATCAGCATCCAGAGGACACAAACTGAGAAATATATGAGGTGACAATGAGGTGACAAGTCAAGTCAAGGATTCTGGTTAATAGGAGAGTGAGCTCTCCTCCAGGGCCTGCAGGCTTACCACAGAGCACTTGAGCCCACTGCTGAGTGCTAGTCAGCTGTCTCTTCACAGGTAACTTTCTATGCCTTTTTCTGTTCACAAGGATGATGGCTAACTGGGACTATTACTCTATAATGGGCAAAAATTATGTGCTTATTGTTTTTCATTGAACCCCAGAGATGTTCACATGGGTTTATTCAAGGATAGCAGATAATGTAAGATAATCTCAAGTTCATAAACCAGATATATCTTGTTTTGGTGTGTTATTTTTCAAAATGTCATGTTTTCTTACTGCTATGGACTTTATAAACATGTTAACTCAGGTGATTGTATGATGAACTCACTTCCATGACTTGATTAGGTATTTCATGCCTCAGTGTGTGTAACGATGTCTATGTCTTACCCCAGGAGTGAAGAGTGCTTCTTTAATTTATTTGGCTCATTGTACTCTCTACAAAAGAGATGAGGGAAAACAAAGCAACCCAGAATGAAAAAAATTGTGGACTTTTGTACCTGTATTTAAAATTTGGACTCCTTCTTATGCCAGGCAAACCTCTGATACTAATACTGTGTTAACACTAAATGTACTGTACCTCCTATTTTCTTTTCTTTCAATATTATTTTCTAAGGCTTTCATTTTCTAAAAATCTCATCTTAGCCACGTTGTTCTCTTTTCTCTTTTAAAAAAATCCTTAAAAATAAATTCTTGTAGATCCCATTGACTATGAAAATATTTCATTTTAGGAGTTATCATGTATAATAATGTGAGCCACGTGCTTAGCTAATTATCATAGCTGTTACCTGTTTGGTTCCTTCAGCAAAAAATTGTCAAATTCAAAAGTTTACATTCAGAAGTTGAAGAATATGATTGGATTTTTAATCTTAAGAGTCTAAGCACCTGCCTTTGATAACTCTTTGTAGCATATATGTTAACATTCTTACCAAGGGTGTTTGAGCTGTACCAATTACCTCAGTGTCTGTCCTTGGAAAAAAAAAATGTCACTCTTTACTAATTGATCTCAGCATCCAGGAGCAGTTCATCAACTATAATCACAACTTTAAATTCTTCTGCATTTGAATTAAGGGATACAGAGGGACTAGATTAAATGAAGTTAGATGTCTCCTAAGAGTGGGCTTTGGTGTGGAGTCAGCATAAATAAGAGTAAGTGCAGTATATAATGAATAACTCAAGTGGGAAGTTATGGGAAAGAAATACAGTAAGGCTTGGTGTATAATGAATAATTCTGGCTGTGAACACTCTGAATGATGATAGCTCACCGTCCTCCTCCCCATATTTTAAAGGTGAAATTTAAAATGAAGAAAACTTGAGAATGCTCCTCATCAGGAGAACACTAGAATACAAAAACCAGTACAAGTATTTTGAAGCGACTATATTAGAGATAAAACTTCTTGATTCAAACTTAAGGTTTGTCCAGACCAGTTTCACATCAGACATGGTTTCCTTTTCAACAATAAAAATCTTTTCTAATATAATCACATCGACAGAAATATTGGTCAGACTGAAAGCAAGTCGACTAGTTATTTCTTTATGATGACCTATTTCAGTTCTCTTTAAGCTACTTACAAATGTTCCAAAATAGTTTAGACTTTCAACTGCCATTTTTATAAAAAGTTTTCAAAGACAAATTTTAACTAGCAAAATATATGAAGTATTTTTTTTACTAAGCTACAGATGTAGTTTCCAATTCCTGTAACTTTGGGCCTCCTTCTACAGGCTTGATAGCTATAAAATAAAACCAGTTATTATTTAATTCAGTGGTTAACTACACTCTTTTAGAACGTTCGAAGGTCATGAAATTAATGTTCTACCCTTGTGAAATGAAAGCCTGAAAGCTGAGAAGTTAACTCAGCATATTTTAGTAAGACTTAACTGCAGGCTATATATACACTTGGAATAGAAGTGTTCGGATCTCTGTATTAAGGATGTCAGCATTTCCATTAAAAATAGCCTAGGTAAGGAGTTTAACTAGATTCAGTCATTGCATTTCTTTGGTTAGAGTTACTTAGGCTAAAATATTCTCAAATATACATATTCTGATTATCTGATTGCTTCAATTGATGAATATATTTAAATACAGAATTTGAGTCCCTCTCCTAGATATGTTTCCTTTCATTTGTAATTCATCATTTATTTAATGAAATAACCACATTGTGTCTTTAGCCTTTAAGAATTTCCTTTCTTAAAAGAATTATGTGTGTGTGCATTTTGAGACAGCCTAATGTGAAGGATCATTTGAAAAAAGCTTAGTTGCTTCTAACTTCAAACTCCCTTGGTAAAACACCCACTCAAGGAACAGAACGAAACAAAAAAACTGCAGGAGATTTAACACTAGGGGGCACTAAGAACCTCCTCTAAACTTTTCTGTCCTTTCCTTCTCAAATTGTATGCTGGTTGTCAGTCCCCGCTTTATTTATTATCTTTAGGTGTTAGTACCCTTCTCTTGATTTGGTTAGTAGATTTGTCTGTGAGAAGGCCAAGGAGTGAATGGAGAAATGGCATGTCAGCTTGTATTTTCAGTATTGGACAAAATGTACTGTAAGAGAAGATCCTGCATTCTCCCACATAGAGACATCTACTTCTCTGGTATTACATATTTTAGTAAAATACGTGATCCTTAAATGAGACACTTACAGACACAACTTATAGAATCCCCCAAAGGCAAGCTTAAATTGCCATTTTCTGTTATTCATATGTGCAAATGTGGCTTGTTGTAATAGCCCATCCTTAACAAAAATTATTTTACTGTACCACTGCCCAGTAATAATGATGACTAAAATTGATTTAACATTTTCTTTGTATCCAACACAGTACCAAGCACTTCATTAGGATTTTCTCTTTTAACTTTTTAACACAGTCCTATGATGTTGAATAGGTTACTTCCTTTACTTTGTAGATGAGGAAAATCAGACATGGGAAGATTAACTTGCTCAAAGATAAAATAATTAATAAGGGTGACAGCATGTCCACAATGCAAGTGTCTGTGATACCAACATTTTTAAAATTTTGATTTATCATACATTGAACATTTGGCTCATATTCATAATTAGCTTTGATTTAAAATATTCCCTTCTATATGTCAGACCATATGTTCTGCTTTTGTTTCAGAAAATATAATTGCCATTATTTTTTTAAAAACTGTAAAGCTAGAAAGTATTATGTAATATGCAAGTAATGTGTTTAGAATTATATTATTTGACCAAAAATGTTTATGCTGCTTCAAAAATCCTAGTGTACTTGAAAAATTTTTCTTGGTTACAAATTCTCTCTATATATTTACATGGTCCATCACTGAATGCGATAGGCACCTATAATGGGTCAAATACTATGAGACATATATGCCATACAGTGCCACTTCCAATGTCCTCAAGGGTCAGAAATATACACACAAAATATATGGAAGATTGGTCAAACAATGAGTAATGCTTTATAAGGAAATACATTAGAATTTCGGCAAGAGGGCAGTTGACTGTGTTCTGAGATGGCCAAGGAAAGAATTAGATAACAATGGGGTTTGGCCTGCACATTTCTGCACATGCACCCGAGAACTTAAGGTATAATAAAAATAAATAAATAAACAATGGGGTTTGGATTAGGCTTCAAAGAATGGGGAAAGGGAGAAGTGTAGAGGAAAGGAAGCAGATTTCCAGCAAGGTAACTATGTTAACTAAAAGTCGTTTCTTAGAGATGAAAATGGAAAATGTTATGATTATTGGGGAGATATAGGTTCCATAGGAGATCAACAGTAGAGAATAAAAAACGATAGATCAAAATGGAAAGATGGCTGACCAAAATTTTAGACTTTAATCTTTATCCTTTCACAAATTATTGTAAAGATACTAATGGTTATGTAAAAACCATGTTCATGGAGATTGATCTTGTGTGTGACTAATATATTGCAGAAGAAGGAGATAGGGATTGCAGTTAGGAGACTTTTACAACAATCCAGGCCCCTTGAAAAGTTAAAAAGGACCGATTTAAGTCCTGACAGTGAAAAAAAAGAAATAAACCATACATTTTATTTAATATAACAGCTTTAATGAGATATAATTAACATACCATAAAATTCACTCCTTTAAAATGTACAATGCTATGTTTACAGTATCTTCTCAGAGCTATGCAACAGTTGCCACTAAATATAGAGCATCTTTATCATCCATGAGAGAAACCCCATATCAATTAGGTCACTTCCCGTGCCTCGTTTTCCCCAGACCCTGGCAACCACTAATCTCCTGTGTGTGTTTATGAATTTACCTATTCTGGACAATTTAGGTGATAGAATCAAATAAGTCCTTTTGTGACTGGCTTTTTTCACTTAGCATGTTTACTAGGTTCCTCTTTGTGTATAAACTTTTTATAGGTTTTGATTAAGTAGCAGTGCCTGTTTCATATAAATCTTTAGTCAATCTTAGTTACAATCTTAATTACTAAGTATGGTATGTCTACGTTATTATTTCAAATCTCCTTTTCTTAAAAGTTGTACTACTGACTGAACAACATTAAGTACATAGGTGGCTGGTAGTACACAAGTAGACTTAGCCAAATTAGGCATAAGTGGTAGTTTTTAAGGGTTCTTTAAGTATAATTTTGTGACTTGAGGAAGTGAAATATTTTGTCTCAGGTACAAAACTGAGCCTGTCTCAGCGCTATAGCCACAACCCAAAAAGTTACTTAATATGAAATGAGTGTTGGACTAGATATGATCTAAACTTCTCTCACCAACTAAAAAATTCTTTGTGTTCAGATAATTAGCAGAATATTTTCCCTGACCTACATCAATCTTCAGTCTTAGCATTATTGATGAACAATTGTTATACAGTTATTTTAAACTTATGATTCACTGTCCATCATAGAAATATGATTTCAAAACTATTTAACGTTTTCTTTGTGACAAGCAAGCCAATATTTATCTGATAATTTTAATATCTATTGCAGATAAAAAATTTTTTTGTTTTGCTCTTTAAAATGTAGATATTTTTTCCCTTTCTCTCAAAGTACAAGTATTTTCATTAAAGTTTCCTGCCTTTGGCACTTGGACATCCCACACTTTTTAATACAAAAATATATATTGCATTTATCATTACATTTTGCTTTTTCAGAAAACTAAAACTTGCGTCACTTAAGGCAAATAATATTATGAAAAACAACTGTAGATGAGGCTTCACACTCAGTCTACCAGGAATGACAGAGTGTCATACCCAAAGATATTCTTCTTTATATATATTCATAAGAATAAGTACTGGAATCGAATTGTTTTCAGGCTTTCAATGTGAATTTTGTCTGAATGTATATAAGTTAAACATTTTTGAGGCAGTTATTTTCTATTATAGATACCTTCACAATGAAAGAAAAATATGTTACTTCTATAATGGACTCATCCTGAGGCCAATTTGCATATCAGTATATATTTCTTTACACTATGAGATATGTTCAACACAAATCATGAATACTATTGTTGCCTGAAACTCTTTAAAAGTAGAGGGGGAAAAATGTTTGAAAATGCTGAAGAAGAAATTAGTAATTGTCTATATAACGACCTCCTAGTCAGTACAAAAACATTATTGAAAAAATATAAGAAAGGGGGAAAAAGCAAGTTCAAATATAATGTACAGATATTTGTTAAAAGTGAGCATTTTTATTATAACATATTATTTTATAGAGAGCAAAATGTATAGGTGACGACATAAATATTAATGAATGCAGTTAGCTGTTATCTCTATGTCATGGCAAATTGTCCAATTTTTATACATCTCTGACTTAGATTTAGTTAGAAATCAAGATTTAGATTTAGTTATAAATTTCAATTTCTAATCAAATTCCTTAATCAATTTTTATATTTATAAAATCAACTTCAATTTATTTTATGTCTTGTTCACTTGTCTCTCTTTCCTTCTTTGGCTTTGTTTATTTGTGTAGCACATAGCCAGTTGTTATTCTTCAGAAGATGTTTGGAATAAATATGTTGCAAAAATGTGCTCCCCAAATAAAGTTGCAACAGTGAAGTGAACAAATGTATCAACTATACACATATTTTGAAGACATAAAGTTAACCCTCCCCCTAGGTCAAAAATAGTGGCAGGCAGTTTCCTAAGAGAAAAAACTAATGGCTTCATATAAAATTTTCTGAGATGATATGAAGATAGGTGTTAAATGACCATGTTTCTTTTTTGGCTTAATTATGTTCCTTTTCAAAATGTATTGTTAACTGTTATTTTGTAGGATGAAGATGACTAAGCAATTTCTGGACATTCACCCCTCTGGAGGCTTAGATTTCATAGTGTGAAAATGAATGTGCTATGTGTTGCATTATACTCTCTGAATAAAATCCTGATTACCTATGCAACAAGGACCACAGGGGGCACGGGATAGAATTATGAAATCAGTTATGGAATATGCATTTAGAACAGAAGTAACTCTGCCCAAATAACCCAGGAGGAAGAAAAGGACTTCTCCACAAGGGCAAGTACACATAGAATAACTGCAAAGCAACCAAGAACTTCAATGCACACTAAATTGGCCATCATTATTTTAATGAGCTGGCTGTAATTTTTAAAAGCATTTGCTTTTGTAGGCAGATGCATAAAATCTGTTCTAATGGGGTCATTTATTAATTTGCCTAAAGATTATTTCTTGTGACGAAAGCCTAATGGATTTAATAGAATGCATCTTTAAGTAGCAGGGCCTAAAATTTGTGTGTGTGTGTCTGTGTGTTTAATTTCAAATCTTTCTATTGTGCATTGCACCAAAATTTTCCATGTTAATCATCTTTTCTTATGTTCAAATTATTAGAACTCTAAATTCAATAAGGTTTTCTATGATCGTTGTTTTGGTTACTGAGAACCTAATGTTTTTGCATATTGCTTTCTACTTGACCTTCTTTAGATCTATGTTCTATTCTTGCACACTGTGAAAGACTGCCTGACCTCGTCATTGAAAGTCTCCAAGCTTATTACTCTCTCTTTCCCTTATCTACTTTATTTTTCTTCAATGCACTTATTACCTTGTTTATATGTTTTCTCAGTAGGAATTAAGCTTCATAAGGGCCTCTGCCCTTTGCTTAATGCTGTCACCCTGGAGACTGGCATGTTGTAGGTGCTCAATAAATATTTGTTAGGGGAATGAATAAAAATACAAAAGCTAGACAAACGGAATTCATTCCAATTCACTTTCAAAATGCTGGTCATTTTTTTTAAAGGATGTAATCATCAGCTTTAATGCACTTCCATATGAGGAGTTATCTTTATGGATGTTCTCTACAATAATTCAGCATTGTCCTAGTTTAGGCCTTCATTTTATCATACTAAGACTCTGCAACACCCTCTTAATGGTTCTTTTTTGGTTTCAGACTTCTTAACTTCAGTCTGATTTTACAATATTTCTGGATATCTTTTTAAAGTGAATAAGGACCATGCCACCATTCCGTGTATGCTCCTACCAGCCGCATGTCCTCAAAATAGAGTATGAGACTAATTCTGGCTATTGCCCGGACATGAGATGAAGGTATAAATTCCTGCCTTTTTGGTAAGGTTACATGTTATTTCATTAAAACGTAAATCATGCTTATTCTGTGTCTCAGCAATACCTTTTATGAAGGTCATTTTTATTAAAGCAAAATTCCCAGTATGGTGCCGGTAGACACCAAGAATGTTTGGCACAGCTTTGCTTATAATTGCAACAAATTGGAAACAATCTGAAATCCAACTGTCCACCAAAAAGCAATGATAAATCCATATTATGGATCATTATGCAGGTAGCACAAAAAAATGAAGTAGATATTTATGTACTAAACAAAAGGAATGTCCAAGTAGAGCAAAAATTAAGTTTCAGAGTAATGTTTCTAATACCTTATTTTTTAAGGGAAGAGAGAGAAAGAGAGAGACAGAGATGGAGAGAGGAGGAGAAAGAATGCTATAACAACAAATTTTGAAGTTCATACATGATTTCATAATTAAAATTTTAAAATATGTGTATTTGATCAATGTCTTTTAAGTTAAATGTACAATAAGTTTCAGAGTGATGTCTCTAATATCTCATTTTTGAGAGGAGAGAGTGAGGAAGAAAGAGACACAGAAAGAGGAGGAGAAAGAATGCTATAACAACAAATTTGAACTTCATACATGATTTCATAATTAAAATATTAAAATATTAAAATATGTTATTTGGTTAATATCTTTTAAGTTAAATGTACAATATCTTGCTCTATGGTAATATATGTGCTTTAAAATGTAGGAAATACAGATGCTTAAATATAGAAAGAACTTAAAATTACACATATTTTTTGTATTAATGAGAAAGCTGATATTGAAAAAAGTTATTGGACAAAGGTCACATAGTATGTTTAAGGTAAAATTAGAGATAAACTTATATCTCTTGACATTTTGACTGGTAATCTTTCTAATGAGACTTGTTACCTCTCAAGGAGAATATTTGCTTCTTGTTTGGGCTTGAGTTTGCTTAATTATTATTGATTATAATGTCAATTATATGCAGAACCAGAGAATACTTTGTCAAGAATAAAAATGCCACCAAAAAGCCAAAATAATTAGATTTGTATTGATTTAATTTGAAGAAGGAACTATAACTTTTTTAAAAAGTATGATTAAAAATTACAATTAGATAAGATAATGAATTTTAATATACTTTGACACATTAATCACATAGAAAACATTTCAAAGTTATTCAAGTTTACAGGGAAAAGAAAACAATGTGCCTAAGCTGAAATTTAAAAATAGACTGCGTATTGTTATGACTGTCATCATAAGTAATTGAATATGCCAACTGATTTCTGTGATCAATTATCACATGGTAATATAGCTGCGACTTCAGATTCACCTACATTGCATACTGTCTAGACATGGGCTCAATTTAAAGTGTCATAAATACCTTTTTTGTTTGTGTACATAGAATATATGTGGAACTGGACAAAACGAAAGCCAAATAAAATGCTTCAGAAATTATATTTTACCCTAGACTACTCTCTGCCATGCATTAATGGCTGTATTTAGAATAGTTTCTGATTTATTTAGAGCTTTGCAACTGCATTTTTATCAGGTAAAATATATGACTTCTCACATATCAGAACGCTTTGATGATATGATATTGAAATACAAAGTCATTGCTTTTGCCTTGGTTGAAAAAAAGAAAGAGTTAGGGGGGACAGCAAACCAAACTTTCCCTAAAATCCAAAAGAAGAGTGATAAAACAGCTTTGTATTTTTTGATTGCCAATTCAGCTATTTGGTAACTATAAGCAGGAGCTGCCTGAATAGGAGAGTGCAGTATTAGTACCCTTAAAAAGATGAAGGAAATGTTTATGACCCTGACTTGAATGCAGTGTGTATTGTGCATAATCTATGGGACAGTGACATTGGGAGATGCATGGACTCTGGCTTTGAATTCCTTAAAACTTTCCAGACCTATAAGATACTCAATAATATTTTTTATAAAATATATATGTATAAAGATAACATATAAGTATTAGCACATGCCAGTGCAGTCATTGTGCTAGCATTTATATGTTATTTGTATGTTATTCAGACACATATTATTTATACATATAAATAACATTTATGCCTATAAATACACATAAATATAAGCATGTATTTATAGGTATAAATAACATATGTATAAGTAACACATAAATAGAAATATGTATTTATAGGTTATAAATAGCATGTATAAATAACACATCAATAACATATAAATGTTATTTGTATGGATGAATAACACATCAATAACATATAAATACTAGCACAGTGACTGCACTTGCTTGTGCTAATATGTATGTTTATTTTTATACATATCTTTTATAAATAACATGTACATATTTATAAAATATTTATAAAACACACATTTTATATTTATACATTTTTATATATCCATAAAATATGTATATTATATATTTATAAAATATTTATAAAATATGTGTTATTTATACCTATAAATACATATTTATATGTTATGCTATTTATATACCATATAAATATGTTTCCATATAACATAAAATAACATAAATATGAATTTATAAGTATAAATAACATAAATATCTATATACTACATAAATATTAACATGTTTTATAAAATAAATTATAAATATAAATTAACATATATAGTGTAGCATACAAATACTATGAAGTCTTACTTAAGTCTTATTTCATAGCAAGTTTATGTAACACATAAATACTTAATATAATTATATATTAAACCTGACTTCCTATGAAGTAAGACTTCATCCAATACTTTCAACCACTAAAACCAGATGAGGCTATCTTAAAAATCTTAAAAAGCCTTTATTATTGAGATGGATCTTTGTTTTTTTTTTTTTTTTTTTTTTTTTCGAGACAGTGTCTTGTTCTGTCGCCCAGGCTGGAGTTCAGTGGTGCGATCTCGGCTCACTGCAACCTCCGCCTCCTGGGTTCAAGCGATTCTCCTGCCTCAGCCTCCTCAGTAGCTGGGATTACAGGCATGCCCCTCCACACCCAGCTAATTTTTGTATTTTTAGTAAAGACGGGGTTAAGCTATGTTTGCCAGGTTGGTCCCGAACTCCTGACCTCAGGTGATCTGCCCACCTCGGCCGCCCAAAATGCTGGAATTACAAGCGTGAGCCACCAAGCCCAGCCGAGATGGATCTTGAGTACAGCATTAAGTAAAAAGCTTTTAAGAGAATGGACCCCAAGAGGCTTTGAGGTAGAGGAGGGTGAATCTAGCAAAGTCACTGAAAGAAACAGATACTTATTGATTTGGAGGACGTTAAGATCTGTTGATGAGGACAGATAATGAGTTAGTAATTAATTGGACTTTACATCTAATGCTTTGAATCTACCAGAGGATTCTAGAGAGGAGTAGGCATTGCATTAAATAAAGACTGAAAATGAATATTTTTATTATAGCAATGGTTGTGAAACTGAAAAGAGTGAATTAAAAAGATAAAGTAAATTTGTCAGATTAGACTATTCTACATAAAATATTGATTTTCTTTTTTTAATTATACTTTAAGTTTTAGGGTACATGTGCACAATGTGCAGGTTTGTTACATATGTATACATGTGCCATGTTGGTGTGCTGCACACATTAACTTGTCATTTAACATTAGGTATATCTCCTAATGCTATCCCTCCCCACTGCCCCCACCCCACAACAGGCCCCGGTGTGATGTTCCCCATCCTGTGTCCATGTGTTCTTATTGTTCAATTCCGACCTATGAGTGAGAACATGTGGTGTTTGGTTTTTTGTCCTTGCGATAGTTTGCTGAGAATGATGGTTTCCAGCTTCATCCATGTCCCTACAAAGGACATGAACTCATCATTTTTCACAGCTGCATAGTATTCCATGGTGTGTATGTGCCACATTTTCTTAATCCAGTCTATCATTGTTGGACATTTGGGTTGGTTCCAAGTCTTTGCTATTGTGAATAGTGCTGCAATAAACATACATGTGCATGTGTCTTTATAGCAGCATGTTTTACAATCCTCTGGGTATACACCCAGTAATGGGATGGCTGGGTCAAATGGTATTTCTAGTTCTAGATCCCTGAGGAATCGCCACACCGACTTCCACAATGGTTGAACTAGTTTACAGTCCCACCAACAGTGTAAAAGTGTTCCTATTTCTCCACATCCTCTCCAGCACCTGTTGTTTCCTGACTTTTTACTGATCGCCATTCTAACTGGTGTGAGATGGTATCTCATTGTGGTTTTGATTTGCATTTCTCTGATGGCCAGTGATGATGAGCATTTTATAGATTCAATGCCATCCCCATCAAGCTACCAATGACTTTCTTCATAGAATTGGTAAAACTACTTTAAAGTTCATATGGAATCAAAAAGACGCCCACATTGCCAAGTCGATCCTAAGCCAAAAGAACAAAGCTGGAGTCATCACACTCCCTGACTTCAAACTATACTACAAGGCTACAGTAACCAAAACAGCATGGTACTGGTACCAAAACAGACATATAGACCAATGGAACAGAACAGAGCCCTCAGAAATAATGCCACATATCTACAACTATCTGATCTTTGACGAAGCTGACAAAAACAAGCAATGGGGAAAGGATTCCCTATTTAATAAATGGTGCTGGGAAAACTGGCTAGCCGTATGTAGAAAGCTGAAACTGGATCCCTTCCTTACACCTTATACAAAAATTAATTCAAGATGGATTAAAGACTTAAATGTTAGACCTAAAACCATAAAAACTCTAGAAGAAAAACTAGGCATTACCATTCAGGGCATAGGCATGGGCAAGGACTTCATGTCTAAAACACCAAAAGCAATGGGAACAAAAGCCAAAATAGACAAATGGGATCTAATTAAACTAAAGAACTTCTGCACAGCAAAAGAAACTGCCATCAGAGTGAACAGGCAACCTACAGTATGGGAGAAAATTTTTGCAATCTTGTCGTCTGACAAAGGGCTAATATCCAGAATCTACAAAGAACTCAAAGAAATTTACAAGAAAAAAACAAACAACCCCATCAAAAAGTGGGGGAAGGATATGAACAGACACTTCTCAAAAGAAGACATTTACGCAGCCAAAAGATACATAAAAAATATTGATTTTCTTATAAAATAATGCTATTTAACTAAAATAATATTTTAATAAAAACAATTTAATTGAAAATATTTTAAATTGATACTAATGTATTTTTATTACAACTTGTTTGGCTTCTGTTTCCGCCTTGCTCCTCCCTGCTAATCGTCTTTCTCTCTCTTTCCTAAATACCTCCAGTTTCAAATCTCATGCATTAAACTATACCATGCATTTTCTGTTTTTGCTGCACTTACCTTGTGAGTCTTAACTTTCTTACCTTCATTCCTTAAAGATGTAGTTTCTGGTTCTTGGTTATTTCTTCCCCTTTTTCCTACTCGTGAACATTATTCTACCAATTATCCTCTTCCTCTTGCACCATTATTTTATTTCTTACTACTGGATAATTCCAAAAATTATACAAACTTTTCTATATTAACACAGAAAAGCAAAACACACACACACACACACACACACACACACACACACACACAATAAAACCTCTCTTGACCCAACATTTCCCTTAAGCTCCATACTTTATTCTCTGCTCTCCATTTAAAGGAATAATCTTTGAAAGAATTTTCTATTCTTGATACCCACAAATACTACTCTTTCTTTCCCTCTAAACTCATCTTAGTTCTACCACTTCACCATTTCTTTTTTGTATAGATCACTAATAACTTACATGTTGCTGAATTCAATCCAGTTTTTAATCTTCATATCACCTGTCTTGTCATCAGCATTTAACAGAAATCACTCCATTTTCCTTGACAGACCTTCTTCACTTGGTTTCCAGGACATCACTCTCTTAGGTTTTCTCCTACCTCACTGGGTGGCCCTTCGTGGTCCCCATTGTTAGATTCCACTCATCTCCCAAATCTCTCACATTGGAGTGTACAATTTCAGCTCCAAGCCTTCTCTATCTGAACTCACTCCTTTTGCAATATTCTCAAGTCTCATAGCTTTAATTACCATTTATTTGATGATGATTCAAAAATTTTATATACAACTTAAATTTTTTCTTAAACTCCAAATTTAATTATAAACTACCTATTGGATGCCTGTTAGATTCACCTGGAAATTTAATTTAATAGGCACCTCAAATTTAACATGCCCCCAAATAAATTTCTAATCTTTTCCCCAAGTCATATTACTCCAGAGCTGTTTCCTACTTAGGTAATGGATCAGTCCGTTCTCACACTGCCATAAGCATACTACCTGAGACTGGGTGATTTATAAAGAAAGGAGGTTTAATTGACTCACAGTTCCACATGGCTGGGGAGGCCTCAGGAAACTTACAATCATGGCAGAAGCTGGAGGGGAAGCAAGTCACATCTTACGTGGTGGCAGGAGAGAGAGAGTGCAGGGGAAATTGCCACGTTTAAACCATCAGATCTCATGAGAACTCCCTCACTGTCATGAGAACAGCATGGGGGAACCGCCTCCATGATCCAATCACCTCTCACCAGTTCTCTTCTTTGACACGTGGGGAGTACAATTTGAGAAGAGATTTGGGTGGGGACACAGAACCAAACCATATCAGGTAATAAATATTCTACTAGTCCAGTATATCAGGCCAAAAATTTTGGATTTTCCTCTTTCACATCTCACATCCAATCTATCTGCAAATCTTAAAGACTCAACCTTGAAACTATAAGCAGAATTTGACAACTACTCATCACTATCTCCTGGTCCAATTCATCATTGTCAATAATCTACCAGTAGGATATGGATAGTCTTCATATCTCCATTCTTGTCCAACTAGTCTCATTTCCACTTAGCTGAAAGTTTATCATTTCTTAAAATAATTTACTTAATCACTTTATGCTCAAAATCTTATAACATCACCCCATTTCATTTAGAAATTTGCATTATGGCCTACTAGCTGCATCACATTACCTCTCTTACTTTATATCCCATCATCTAACCCCCTCACATTTGATTCAAGACTTGTTGGCATCTTTACCATTCCTAGAGAGCACATAGGCTCACATTTCAGGATACTAGTCCCTTTGTCTAGAATATTTATCCCTAGTTATCTTTATAAATTGCTTCTTTGCCACCTTTATGTTTTTGTTCAAATGTTACATTCTCAAGGAACCTGCTTTAAAATAGAAATTTTCTGTCCCAGTACTGTAATGCCTTCTCTCTCTCTCTCTCTTTTTTTTTATTTTTTAAAGGTACATTGCATTTATCATCATCTAGCATGCTATATATTTTACTTACTGTCTGTCATCCCAAGTAGAGCATGAACTATTGTATTAGTTTCCCAGGGGTGTGATAACAAATCACACAAACTTTGTGGTTTAATATCAAAGAAATTTATTCTCTCACAGTTCTGGAAGCCAGAAGTCTGAAATCAAGGTGTCAGTAGTGCCACACATCCCCTTAAGGCTCTAGAGGAGAATCCTTTCTTTTTTTCTTTTTTTTCTCTTTTTTGAGATGGAGTCTTTCCCCTCCGCCCAGGAGTGCCCTGGTGCAATCTCGGCTCACTGCAATCTCCGCCTCCAGGATTCAAGTGATTCTCCTGCCTCAGTCTCCCGAGCAGCTGGGATTATAGGCACCCACCACCACACCTGGCTAATTTTTTGTATCTTTAGTAGAGACAGAGTTTCACCATGTTGGCCAGGCTGGTCTCGAACTCATGACCTCGTGATCCACTTGCCTTGGCCTCCCAAAGTGCTGGGATTACAAGCATGAGCCACCACGCCCGGCCAGAGAGAATCCTTTCTTGTCTCTTCTAGCTCTGGTGGCTCAAGGAGGCATTCCTTGGCCTATGTCTACATAACTACAATCTCTATCTTCACATGGCCTTTTCCTCTTTTCTCTGTGCCTTCTCTTCCATCTCTTATAAGGATGTGTGTCAGGTTAGGAGTCTGAGCAATAAGCAATAGTGGAAAACTATAATTGAGGGAAGGACAGGAGGAAGTACAAGCCATAGACTTGGTACTCTACTTAAGTAAATCCTTGGGGACTGCACAAGCAAGATCAACTCTCCACATGGAAATTTCATGGATACCAAGGTATACATAGACTACACTACAGCACGGAATATTGTCCAAAGTACACTCTATGATGAACTCATACTTGGGTTTAAGATTATGTTTGAAGCAGACATGTTATTATTTTTATAACACTGAAGAAAGAGTTAATTGTAAAATTTAACCAAGAGTTGAACAGAACTCATATCACCAAATGAGCTAATATTGGTAATATACTTTGAATAGTGCCCATCACATAGGAAGTGCTATATAAGTGGTTGTTAAATAAAATAAATAATATGCTGAAAGGAAATCAAAATAGCTCTGAAATGAATACACACACATATGTATTGCTCAATTCAAACTGTATGTTTATCAAATTATTTAAATACGTCTTTCATTCTAAGTTTTAAATAGTTTATTGTTGACATTACCACTATGATTTACTTTACCTGTTAATTGGAAATATATTCAGAGTCATCAAAACCTTATCCTTTTTAAAATAAGCAGAAAAGCTTAAGTTGATACTTACAAACTCTCATAATGTTTAAGCACCTTCGTTGATTTGTGATAGAGTAGCTAGTTGATATTTTATGAATGCTTATTATTGTTTTTGTTAATTTACTAAATGGACATGCAGATATCTCTTTGTATAAGTGTTTAGTGGATATCTGTATTGAGCCTGTTTTGTCCTGCTCTGAACCCACTAGGCTGACCACACACACAGGGCTTTTTCTTTTTACGGTCAGTGAAAGAAACTCTATGGTCTATCTATCTATCTATCTATCTATCTATCTATCTATCTATCTATCATCTATCTATCTATCTACCTATCTATCATCTATCTTATCTATCTATCTATATCTATCTATCTATCTATCTATCTATCTATCTATCTATCTATCTATCTAGCAAAATATTAGCCTGAGCTTTCTAAACTGTAGACAAAATGTTTCTTGGAACCAAATTTTGATAAGTTTGTATATTTTTACACACTATCTTGGCATATTCTACAACGTAAGCATTAAATACAGCATTAAATAAGATTCTAAGATTTCCTGTATCTGTTCATTTTGCCATATGCATATCAAATTATTCCAGAGAAATAAATATTTCTACTAAGTCTGAAAACTGAATCACAGTTCGTTATTTTTTGAACTATTATTTTATATTTACTCTAATATTCACAGATGCTGACAAGAAATATTAAATGTAGTCTCTTCTCAATTCAAAAAACTTATTTTAAATAATAAAAAACTATGGTTATCCAACTAATTATTACAAGTTAGTATTTACAAAACCCTCATAACTAGATCAATTTGTGTGTGATATACCAAGAATTTAATCTGTAAGCCTACAGGAAGAGTGATAATTTATTCCTTCTTTGTTGGCCATTCTATTGCAAAGAAATATAACTTTCTTAATTTGCTCCCACAATACATGGTACCTGATCATTTACATGAAAGAATATTTTTATAGACATTTAAGACCAGTGTATTCTAAAGAAAAGGTCATTTTTCCACTTGAATTACAAAGTAACTCAGCTCTACTAATGAAACCTATGACTATCAACAGTATCCAATTAATTTACAGTTGAAAATAGAATAATTTTTCTCCACATTTTCAACTAATGAAACCTGATTCCTCTCTTAACTCGGCATGTAACTCTCCTTACCCATCACCTTCATGTATGAGCTAGGCTAATGTTGTCCCCTCTGCCCTGTGTAGGAAGGATCTGTGCTTAAGTAATACACTGCTTTTGCTACTGGGTTTTAGGTTTCTGACCTATTCCTCTATTTCATTCTTTATTTCTCACTCTCCCTTCCCCAGTTTCTTTTACATATATACACTATATACATGCATTATATTTTCTTATGCCTTTATTCATCTAAATTTACAGAAAATATCTTAAAAGGTCTGCTTCTAATTATTTCTCCATAATCTTTGGAATGAAGGCTTTCAGTAATTACATAATTATAGCATAATCATTACATAATCATAAGAAGTTGAAGAAGGCTTTTTAGAATGGGTTCAGGAATCTTCTTCTGAAGATGTTATTCTTTTTTTCAAAAACAGTCAAAGACTAATGAATAATGAGAAATTTTTTCCCCTAAGTGTGTATTATCAATACCTCTACTGTCTTTTGCCAGCCTGCTAGTTTGTAAAGGGGGGAAATAAACCAAAGTTAAGTTAAGTTAATGGTGAGAAACTGTTTTTGTTCTGATGCATTTAGGGAACTGGATCTGGATTAGAAAGGATCTGGATCCTGGTTCCGTAAGGTATCCTCTAAGTGGAGCTTTGATCAGGAAACCAGATACAGCTTTACCATATTTCAAGCAGGAAGAGACTTAAAAGGGGGATTAGAGACATTAAACTGTCAGAAGGCTGAGGGAATTAAGGTCAGGGAAGCCAACATCGGATTATTGCTAAATATATTTGTCAGATAAGTCAAAACAATACTGTTTAGAAAATAACAAATTATAAACCAGCGGGGAAATACCCCAATGATTTTAGCTCTCTGGAGTCCTGAAGTGGTGATTTGTAGAAGGATACAGAGAAGCCCTAGCAAATCCCTTTCACGTTTAGCTGCCAAAGTTCCTGAGCTTTCCCGGCTTTTGGAACAATAATAGTTCTGCTTCTCTTCCTCTGTCCAAATCTTTCCCATGAAAATTAAACCAGAATCTTTCTAATACGTGAGTCTGGAAAATGTAATTTCTAGTCTTCCAGCTGCTTTAAGTACAGGATCAAGCTTAGAAGGGCAGGAATATGGCTGATTAGCAGCATACAGTACATGTTAAATTTGCTTAAGTCATGTTGATGGCTACTGAAGTTTAAAAGATTGTTAGTAAATTATAAAAATTAATCTATAGAAGCCAATCTACAATGTGTTTAATTTATCCAACTAGTCCAAGAAAGAGAACTAACTCTTATCCATGGCAGTACTTTCCTAGTATATTAAGATGATATTAGGATGATATTAGATTTGTTAGAAATGTTGTAAGATGACTATAAAATTTCATTATATTCAATATTTATGAAGACAATTGAATGTTTATTTCAAATAATTCAAAAGTCCAAGTGACTTTTATTCAATATCAGTGAAAAAAATCTGCAATGTTCTTAAAGGAATATTTTTTTCGGAACATATTTTGTTGTTGCTTGTTTGTGTGTTTTGCCCACTTTTCAGGAATAGATTTCATTGTCAACTTAAAAACTCTAAAGAACATTCACATGAAGGTTAATAATGTATAAATGACTACATTGTGAGAAAAGTGAATTATGACAATCATTCAATTGAGGTTGTTGTTAGAATTTCAAAGTGAATAAGACAAGCATGTAACTCACAGTTCCAACAGACTTAAACTTAATAAAGAGGTTTACAGTATAGTAAAAGAACCAGTGAACAAATATTAGGACCTTTAATCTTGACTTGCAAAAGGCCTTATTAAGAATAGTGTACAGAGAAAGGGCTTGTGGGAGCCAAATGTTAAATATCACTTCTGCAAATTAAAGATTAATCATGCATGCCTTACTTAGGTAGCATTTATTGCACTAATGTTGCAACCTAATAAAACTTTCAGAGCTGCTAAAAGTGCTTCATTTACAACAAAGAAGTATCTCCTTAGGAAATTAAATAATATGGTCCAGTTATCTTCTCAAAGCTAGTATAAATTAAACAAGAAATTGTTAAACAAGACTGGAAATTATTAAGCAGGAAAATTCTGATCATTGGCAGCTCAGGGAGCTATTAATGGTGTCACACAAGAAATGCCTTCTTATTCATAATTTCATTAGTAGTAAAACCATTTTAGCTTGGAATCCAATTAGGCAGCATAGATAGCTAACAAAAGAAGTGTAATATAACTCTCCTCACAGCCACAACCTAGGCATTTTTTGTGACATTAGGCACACATGTGGGCAGACTAGAAAGGCCCAAATCTAGTTTCTTTTAAAGAAAGCAGCAGGCAGTTTATAGAAATACTGGTGGGAGCAAGCCTCCCTGGGACTCAATTCATAATGACTTGGTATAAACGAGCACATCTCTGAGTCCATTAGCAAAATGTATACGAATCTGCAAGTAATGATCCCCATACAAGTGAATCAATCCCAGAAGAAATGGAATAAGATGTACTGATGATCAGCAAAAATTGGACAATATGATGAGAAGGAACTGGCAAATAACAGATTTTTCTTGGCCAACATCTTTAAAAATTCTCATTAGCATCTTAACGAAGAGAAAAAGTTTATATCAGAGTATGCTGTATTGTGCTTTGTAGTTTGGTGTATATATTCATGCTTAAATTTATGTCTAGAAAAATAATATCATTACAAAATGTTGGCTCAGTTATCTTCATTTAACAAAGGCCAGGGGTTATATATCTGAACAGTTATGGAGACCCCTGGTCAAAGCAGATTCTACTTCATTGCTACTGTTTCATGTTTCTGATGACCAAAAGAGATGAAACACAGATTACTGTAACAAAAAATGCTTATTTTAGTTCAGGCATGCTGTAGTTTTGTAACTCAGCTTGTTTGATATATTTTCCATCAGAGTTAGAGATAAATTTTTATTTCAAAAAATATTATTAGAGTAGAACTGCATCTTTCAAGGTTAAAAAAAGTTTTGTTTTATTACAGCGGAGAGTCTGGGATTTTCTTACTTGTTAAATTGCCTTCACACAAGGGAATCAATATATTTGAAAGCATATCATTTTTCACGGATTGATGCCTGCAAAATAGCAGTCTTCTGAGTAATCTTATTTTCAAATCCTCATTTGATAAATAAGAATAAATTGTTAGAATGAAATCTAAATTGTTTTATGTCATTTCTCAGAGTGAAGCAATTTATGTATGATAATATATGGACTGTTTGAAAATACTCTTTAAAAATGAAACAAAGTATATTACTTTGGAATCGTCTAAATATTCCGAATATTTTTATAGTATGTAACAGTAATTTTGATTCTAACATAAACAACATAAGTAGATATTACTTTTATAATTTTATATATACACATACATATAAGCACATTATATTCTATATTATAGTTGTTTAAAGAGCACTTTGTTATCTAGGACAAGGAGAAGATGTGAAAAAGAGACATTTTACAATTAATTTTTGCAACTTAAAAATGATGAGCTTCATATTCATTTGGGAACATGAGGTAGTATGAATATTCAACTTTCATGAAAAACTATTTCAAGAGTATTTACTCACAGACAAGATGGGGAATCATTCAGCGGGGGGATCCCTAGTGTGGGACAAGTTTACCATGGTCCAAAGTTAATTCCATAGAATACTTTCTATCTATCTATCTATCTATCTATCTATCTATCTATCTATCTACCTATCATCTATCTATCATCTATCTATCTATCATCTATCATCTATGTATGTATGTAGGTATGTATGTATGTATGTATGCATGTATATACGTATATATCTGTCTCTCTGTATCTACCGCATATATTGTGTGTGTATACATATATGTAATAAAGGTAAATAACATCTACTTGTATATAAAAAGAAAAGATAAAGGGCAGAATGTCTCAGATCATTTAATAGACAAATCTACATTGTGAATCTCAGAGAATGAAATATTGTAGGCATAATTTCCCAGATTTATTTGACTTTCCACCTCAGAGACCCCTTTCCTTGCTTTTCTCATCACAGCATCTCATGAAACTAGTGTTTATTGAACCTGTAAGTACTGAATTAGACCTTAATCAATTATGCTCCTGACAGAGATGACTACTTTCCTTCGCAGTGCTTAGCAAATTATTCCCATTTTCTATTGATGAAGACCACAAATTCCATTTGGTTTAGTGGCATTGAGAAAGTACAGCTTCAATTTGCATGATGGATTTTCAACTATAGCAAGATTTTAAAAATGGAGATGCTGACAGATAATATGTTATTTTCTTGATGTCTTTTGAATACATTTGGGTGGCCTAGCAACCTCCCCATCCTCCTCCTCCATTTAAGTGTAAATTGTGTAATTAATCCTTTAGAAATTCGCAAGGCCAAATGCCAGGAGGCTAAGCCAGGTAGGTGAAACGACTGTACCTCCTAATTTTATTAACCACTTTAGTGCAGCTGCCATGAGAACACAACCTTGAGAAAAGGGACTAGGAGACATGGAAAAATAAATATTTTTTTCTGAAACCCCTTAGATGCAAACTAATTATCTGAATCTGGCGAGTACTTTAAGCATTTGAGAAAAAAATGAGAAATAAGGAATAGAATTAAAATTTTAAAATAATTTACAGAAGTATAAAGGCAAAAGAGAGATGAAAATGTTGATTCAGATATTGTCATTGTCAAGTTTTATAAGACTTTAAATCTTGCAAAACAGATCCCTCCTGGCAATGGTGCACCTTAGGAGATAAATCTTGTAGCACTTCATATGGTGATAAACATTGCTAAATATCTTTCAATAATATTACAAGATTTTGTTTCTTAATGGATTAAATGAAGCCCTTTTTAAGAAGCAAAACCCACAAGAAAGAAAAAAAGAGGAAAATAGTCCTTTGTTTTAAATCTACTCTGTGCTTTCAAGGGAAAAATATTCTGCAAAACAGAATATATTTTTTCAGAAGTAGTGGTTTGATCTTTTCTGCCCATTTTTAATAGGCCAGCTCATTTCAACCTCAGAAAAAATTTCAACCTCAAAAAATGTTCAATCTTTGATTCTAGCAAGCTGTTGTCATCTCAAGGTAAGAATAAGAGGAGTAGTCAGGCACATTATTTTTTTAAATTCTGCTTTTCCAGTGAGGTATAGAAAATAATGGCAGAGGAAGAATTCAGGATTCTGGTTCCCCAATCCTGGCTATTATTATTTTGCTCTTTATCTTTTTACCTTGTGTTTGACTGAATTGAAGAAATCATCCTTAAATACAATGTAAATGAACATTAATATTATCTAGAACACTCTGAATATTGTTCTATGGACAGCAAACTGATTAGAAGTCATTGTCCCTAAAATGCTACTGGTGAAACTAAAGGATGTTAATGCCCGCACCCAAGTCAGCATTTAATTTAGAAAGTCTTTCTTCTCTGTGGCAGTGTGTGTTAGAACATTCACTCTGATTTTTTCCAAAGACTTCATCTTATTTTTGAAATGGAATGGCACATCAAATAAGAGTAAAAATATATAAATCCTCATGAAAGCTAAAAAGCTGGATATATATGAATGTTATATTAACAGTATATTTGGAAGTCACAAATACAAAAATGAAACTATAGTCAAATAGGAAAAGAATCTGCTGGTAAATGGCTTAAAATGAGTCTATGTTTTGCACTTTGAACATTTTATAGACGAATCTTTGTCAGAATGTTTCTTCTTACTGATATCTAAAACCAATTTTAAGTGGAAAGTGTTCACTGCTTCTGTTTTTTTCCCTCTGAATTCCTCAAAATAGCATACAACCCTCTCCTTATTCCCCCAGCTCTTTTGGGATATTCTGCTATAGGTAGGCCTTACATTGACAGGTGCTATCATCACTTTGCCTAGATGTTGTAACTTTATCTGATTTTAATGGCTTCTGCCTAATGGGTCTCAACTTTCTTTAAAAAGAATGTGGAGAAATGTGTCTATGAATACAGCAGTCACATTGTGGACTAAGGATTTCACAGGTAATGCATGAATATGTTGTGTGCCCACTGTGCTCCCAAGACTTTGGGAATATCATATAATTAAGCCTGTGCTATACTGTAGTGGTCTACAGACATTCCTGATTAATAGTAAAAAAACTTTTGAAGACTGTACCCCCAGTATATTTATGCATCTTTTATAAATTATATACTTTTAACATATATTACATAAATTTTTTTAATAAGCAAGAAAATATATTTAAAAAAGAAGACAAGGGTCAGGTACAGTGGCTCATGACTGTAATACAGGCACTTTGGGAGGCCAAAGAAGGAGGATCACTTGAACCCAAGAGTTTGAGACCAGCCTGGGCAACATAGCAAGATCTTGTCTCTACTAAAAGTAAAAAAAAGAAAAAAAATTAGCTGGGCATGGTAGTGTGTGTCTGTGGTCTGAGCTACTCAGGAGGCTGAAGTGGGAGGATCTCTTGAAGCCTGGGAGATCAAGGCTGCAGTGAGCCATGATTACACTACTGCACTCCGGCCTTGGTGACAGAATGAGATCATGTCACAAAGTAAAAATAAAAATAAAAGAATATAAATTAAATAATACGAAAAATATTCTTTTAATCATTAATCAGAAATGCATAGTGACAATAGTATGACTATAGTTGTTTTATATTTTCAAAATTTTGATTTAATTCTTTGTGGTAAGGTTATTGGAAGTCCTATTCTAAGTTCTGTTTACTTCTGTACTTTATTTCCACAGCTAACATAAATGAAAAAGTTACTTCTAAAAATACAAAGGTCTGAAAGTCTATACATTATTGATAGGGTTTATTAAAGCAGTACATATATTTTTCTTTTTTTAACTTTTAAGTTTAGAGGTACATGCAGGTTTGTTATAAAGGTAAACACGGGATACTTTTTTTAATTATAAAAAACTTACAACTAATTTTTAGAAATTTGACTATAAGTTTTTAACTTTCCTGCTTTCAAACTGTTTTTCTTCTAAGTTTATTGGAATGCTAATGAATTTTTATATTTTTAAAGAATGCTTTCAAAACCCACTAAAACTCTCTATTTAAAAAGTTTAAAAATTCTATTTTCAGATTCTTTAAGAAATAGAAATGACTCACTTTCATTATTCAAACTAAAAATGATTTTAAAATATTTTAGGATAGTCTCTATAGCAAAAGGTTTTTTTTGCTCATTCTCGTTAAAAAAATTACCTTTGAAAGGCAAGATTCAGTTTCTTATTATAATTCATCTTGTAAAGTGAAAGAAACTAGAACAAAAAAGCTACATATTGTATAATTCCAGCTATGTGACATTCAGGAAAAGGCAAACTATAGGAGAGAACACAGATCAGTGACTGCAAGGGGTAGGGATGTAGAGAAAGGATTAACTACAAACGGACCACACATGAAAAATGTTAAGATGATGGAATTGTTTGGTATGATTCTTTAGTTGCGGCTACATAACCCTGTCTTTGGCAAAACCACAGTGGGTGAAACTAACTATGCAAATTAAATAATCAACTGGAATGTCAAAAATCCCAGGAAAGAGGGCCAGCTGTAACAAACATGTGACACAACCTCACTGAAAAGGTGGGGAAAAGAGAGCTGACCTAAGTAACTTTGGAAACATTATGTATGGCTTTTTATAATGCTAAAGACAAAAAAGAACTATATGTAAATGCTATACTCTACTTTCTAATTCATTTCTCACTGGAGTTGGCTTTAGCAATTCTGAAACTATTTTACATATGTACTGAGATTGAACCAGCAAGTAAATAAATGTAGATAATGGTAAGCCAAGTTTCTCACTGCCAGAGAAAGTAAGTTATAAATAAACAGGGAGGGATTAGAATGAACCCCATACTGCTGGACTGGAGTAAAAGATAACAGTATGAACTCATATTTAGTTAATAGATGTATCAGATAACAGATAGAGAAATATAGATATGTACATATGTAGGGTAGTACATAAATATATACCTTAGCCCTATCCACTGAGGCAGCCTAGAAGCAGTGGAACCTCAGTAACAATGAGCATACCTAACTAGTAATCTTATTTTTAAAAGACCACTCTCTCCAATGATAGGAAGCAGTGCTTCTTGGAGAAATAGCTGATTCTAGGGTTGGGGCAGGAAAAATACAAGATGAGACCAGGGGTGCCTCTAAGTGAAGTAGGAGCCAATCTGAAAAAGTTGCCAATGGCCAAAGCTGGAATAATTTGACCAGTGAAATAAATACTGATAATATTGGATTATAACTCAAAGAGTAAAATAAACATCCATTGATAAATATTGACCTAAATTAATGGCTGAATAAATACATAAATTAAGAAGAAAACATGTTTTTCTTCAATAGAACTCTAAATAATGAATGGAGGAGGAATGAGAAAAATAGAAAAACACAGAATATCACAGTAATAAATGCTGCTCTATTGCAAGATCTATAGGTGAATTTTAAAATTAATAGATGAATCTTTAAGGAGAATGAGAATATTTGCATGACCATAAAGTATCTCACCCAAAATACTAATTAATTAGCATGATGATTTTATACATATCCACAAATTCTCTAATACTCTTCCCTCCAGGAGGTGAAGCTTAATTTCTCTCCCTTAAGTGTGTGCTGGAACCAGTGATTCACTTCTAATGAATATCATTAAGAAAACAGAAAAACAGTAACTTTGTAATAGAGAAATCTGGCAGTCACCACCAGGTTAACCAAATAATCAAGGTTAACATTTCTGGTAATAAATAATGTTGATATAAGTTACCATCTGATATAATTTGAAGAAAAGGATACTTTGCCAAAATCTGTAACCCTAGTTTAATCATGAGAAAATATTGGACAAACTCCAGTTGAGAGACATTCTGTAAATATCTAGTTGGAACTCTTCCAAAGTGTCAAGGTCATAAAGAACAAAGAAGGGCTAAAATAGGTGTTTAAAAATTATGCTGAGCATGGTAGCTCATGCCTATAATCTCAGCACTTTGGGAGGCTGAGGCAAGAGGAATGCTTGAGCCCTGGAGTTTGAGATCAGCTTGGGCAACATATTGAGACCCTGACTCTACAAAAAACAAAAAACAAAACAAAACAAAACAAACAACAACAACAAAAAAAAATACAAAACTTAGCCAGAGGTGGTGGCATTTGCCTGTAGTCCCAGCTACTCAGGACGCTGAGGTGGGAGGATCATGTGAGCCCTAGAGGTTGAGGCTGCAGTGAGCTGTGACAGCACCACTGTACTCCATCCTGGGTGTCATAAACAAACAAACAAAACAAAATTACTAATGATCAGGTAAATGCAAATCATGTTCATAGTGAACTATCACCTCACCCCAATTAGAATGGTAATTTAAAAAAACACACAAAAAATAATAAATGCTGAAGTGGAACATTTATACACTGTTGGTGAACATGCAAATTAGTGCCGCCATTATGTTATACAGTATAGAGGTTCCTCAAAAAATTAAGAATTACCATATGATCCAGCAATCCTACTACTAGTATTTATCCAAAGAAGATGAAATCAGTGTGTTGAAGAGATGCCTGCACTACCATGTTTATTGCAGCACTATACACAATAGCCACAATAGACTTAAGTGTCTATCAATGAATTAATGAAGAAAATGCGGTAAATTTGGAATGGAAAAGTATTTCACTATAAAAAAGAATATAATTCTGTTATATGCAGCAACATAGGTGAACCTGGAGGATAGTATGTTAGGTGCAATAAATCAGGCACAGAAAGACAAATACTGCATGATCTCACTCATTTGCAGAAGTTTAAAAAGCTGATTTCATATTTTATACACAAATGCATACATATTTATGTATGCATAATTATGTACAGAGTAGAATTCCTAGAGGATAGGGAGGGTAGAGGTGAGAGGATGGGAATAGATTGGTCAATGGGTACAAAATGACAGGTAGATAAGAGGGATAAGCTCTTGTGTTCTATTGCACAGTAGGATGGCTATAGATAACAATATTGCATTGTGTATTTCAACATAGCTAGAAGAGGAGATTTGGAATGTCCTCACCAGAAAAAATGATAAATATTTGAGGTGATGGATAAGCTAATTACCTTGATTTGATCATTACACAATGTATACACATATCAAAACATCACAATGTACCCCCTCAATATGTACAATCATTATGTGTCAGTTAAAAAACATAAAACTTAAAAATAGCTGAGAAATTGTCACAGATTAGAAGATTAGAGGAGACTAAAGAGACATAATGACTAATTGCAATGTGCTACCCTGGATTAGATACAACAACAGAAAAAGGTCAGTCCTGGCAAAAACTTGTGAAATCCCAATGAAGTCTGTAGTTTAGTTAATACTGTTGTGGCAATGTTAATTTCTTACTTTTGATAAATGTACCGTAATTGTGTAAGATATCAACATTAGGGAAGCTGAAATCTTCTGTAAGTCTAAAACTACTTTTAAAATAAAAAGTTTTTAAAATTATATCACTTCATCATCTTGTAATAATCATCATTAAATAATTTAATACATATAAAGATCTTAGGACAGTATACACACTATTCAATAAATATCAGTTGTTATTTTTATTTTTTATTCGATACTCATATTTGTAAGTAGGAAAGCTAAAAATTGCTTTCATTGAATAGGTCAAGAATTTTACTAATTTTTTATGATATTAAATTGAGATATTTTGTTAAGTGCTGAAAGGTGTAAAGAGAAAAATAAAAATAACTTTAATGACAAAATCCAACCATATCCACTGTTAACTTTGTGTTCTATTTTCTGCCAATATTTTCCGATATAAATATGTATGCATTTGTGCGTAAAATATGATCAGGATAATTTTTTACCAAGCCCTGCTATAAAGGTGTCTTCCTCTGAAGGGGATAGCAATATTAATTAACAAATATGCACCATGAATTTTGAAAATATTTTATTTATGTAATTTTATATAATCGTTACAATAGTGTCATGATGAAAGTACTCTTATTATGAATTTCACTTTACAGAAGAAGAAAGTAAAGAACACAGAGGTTAAGGGAAGGTATCCTCATTACTAATAAGTGGTGGTGCCACGGCTTCTGCAGAAGAGACGACTGGTTCTAGATTCCATGTTGTTAGCTGCTGGGCTGTATTGCTTTAATACATTTGCTTTTACAAGATATCCCAGGCACCCCACATTTGAAAACTTTAAGTCATTGTTTAAATTTTGTGGAACCCCAGATCACGTGAAGTGGTGCTACAAATTCCCATGAGTACTGGCTGGTATTTTACAATGTCTAGGTCTGTCCTGTTCAGCTCAATGCCAAGGAAAGGTTTCCTGCATGAACCTGGGAAGAGCGATGAACTTAGTTCTGCTCTGTCTTACCTCTCCTGCGGGTGTAATCCTTGAAGCCACCACAGCTTAGTGTGTGAGGGGTTCTTAGCTGATGCTCCATCTTCGGCAGGCTCTGGACTTGGATGGTGGCTGACCTCTATGCTCCCACTCCTAAGGCTAAATAATTGTAAAATGTTGAAGCAATGAATGAAAATACTTACCATAGACTATTTGAGTCTTTTCCTTGGAGAAACAGAGATATTTTGTTCCAAAGAAAGTAAACTTAATATTTTTATTTTAAGTTTTAATTTAAAAAAAATTATTTTAAGTTTAAATTTTTATTTCAAGTTTAATATTTAGAGGCTTTAGAAAGGTAACTGAGAAACTGAGTGAAATCAGCTGCATTGGGAATATACTTTGAAATAGAGAGTAAATATCAATCCATGATTAATCAGTTCAATAGTTCTGTTTCATTATTTCCAAAAGACCATAACTGCCAAGTACTTAAAATAGGATTTACAAATTTGTGATGTGAAATGGCGTCTGTAGATTAGAGGTTAATTGCGGCCCAGACCATTTAAAAACTGTTCTTGGCTTAAAATATCAGGGAATAGGAATAGGGGGTGACCAAATTCAGGAAAAATTATTTTTATATTTATTGGCAAAATTAGCACGTGTTGACTAGCATTTGTCTGAGTGGCTTATTCCTGATAAACAGCATCATGTGTTAAATTGAGTTTGGGTCCTCATGGATGACTGGGCTAAATTTTTTTTAAGCTTGAAAGCTTTCTAATTGTCTGTATAACCATATAGCATAATTGATGTTGTATATTAAAAATAACCAACTTGAACACATTGAGTGATTTTTTCCTCCTAGTAACATAAAGTCATCTGAGTATTTATGGAAATAAATTTGAATAGCCATAGGTATAATAATTAAGAATATAGTATCTATGTTTTTCAGCACAAATGATTTAGTCATTTCATCAGTTCCAAGCAGTGCAATGTCTATTATAGTACTTGAAGTAATATAATTTTTATGACTTACATGCAAATGTTAAGTTTTGATTGCATCCTTTTCATATTATCATCATGAAAAGTAAAATTCTACTAATTCGTAAACACCATCCTCTGTACGAAGCGTTTCCTAGCTAGAACTCATTTTTATTCTGAGCTACTTAAAGATCTATTGTGGTACTACTCAAATGACACATTCTATATATTGCTTTATATCATGGCTATATACATAGTAATGTCCCATTGTTTGCTCTTTTCAGATGAAGTATACTTTTATCAAAACAATAATTTTTAGAATTATTAGAAATTTTAATTAGAATTAAAATAATAATTTTTCCATTATGAGAAAACATGTTTTAAATATCTTTGCATTCTTTATATATCCCAGTGCTCTGTCAATAGGACATGTTTGCTAAGAGTCTGTTGAATAGGCAAGTTAATGAATTTGTACCCCTTTATTAACAGACTTTATCCTAGAATAATAGAAGTATAATGCAGTTCTCTGAACCAGCTGATCTGAGAGGTTTCCTTCAGGATGCTGAACCAACCCATTTATTTAGACAGCTTACAATCTCAACATAAAATGAAACAAGCAGAAATAATAATTCTGTATATAGATGAGTATTAAATTTATTAAATAGGTCTTTAGTAATTTAACACTTAATGAATACTGGATAACAAGATTGTACCACCTCTTTACCTCTTTAGATTTTGCAGTTGCAAGATCTAATTGTACGAATAAGTCATGTTCTGTGTGCTGTGTTATCTTTATTCATATGCTATAAATCAAGAAAAACATTCAACTTTGTTATTCGTCAGACATAATATCCAAATGATATAACCGTAAAGCAATTTTAATAGCTTTTAATTTCATTTTAGCAAAATTCTGGAGAGCATGTTGCTCCAGTATTAAATTTTTATTGCCATAACATCTTTAATTGTTCTTATTATTGGGAAATAATGGGATCACCCTGGAAGAGATCAGCAGAATTGTTCACTGTGCTTGTCATCCATGGGCTTCAGTTAACTGTAGGCTGCAGGACTGGATAGACAAAATTACACAAAGGTACAGTACAAGGTCCACTGCCAGTACAAACTGTCCATTCAAAAAGTTTCTTGTATTTTAAAATACACTGTTATGCAGCCCATTGATCCATTGGTGGTTTATGGAGCACTCAAAACAAGGAGGAATATGAGACTCATGAAAGTTAAGGAAGGCCATGAGCAAGAAAGATTAAAAAGGTAACCCAAAATGCAGACAGTACCAATATCAACTAGACAGATGCCCAGTTTTCAAATTTGAAGGCAACTGAAAGGACGTTTGTTTAAAATGGTACCTTCTTGAAGTACACAGTGGTCCGATGTAAAACAAAACAACAGTGCTAAATTTAAAAGACTTCATCTAATATATTCTATAAGTTATTTAATGGCTTACTTCTCAGCATATTTTATATAAAAACATAACAGAAATTTAAATTAATATACCCTTTTTGGCTAAGTGTTTGAAAGGCCAAACATTTTCTTCTTTCCAAAGATATAATCAGTTCTCATCATTTTTGAATCAAGACTGACCCAGCAAATTAAACGTTCAGACTCCCTCAGTTTGTATTATTCAGGATTTTGAATGAACTAATTAGCTTCTTATATCTAGACACAATTTATATTGTATCTCCGTGTTGTGACAAATGAGTCCTTTCAAAAAACAAATGATTAAATAAAAAAGTAATGAAACTGTCCTAAGTCGTAAGTTTTAAGACAAAAATAAAAGCAGACTGCTATGTGGATAGCAATCAGCAAAAACGGAATCTATTTGGGAGGGCAGGTGTGGATGTAATTTTCCAGGAATATAAGTGTGGCTTAAAGTCTTGCCAAAATCTTTTTTTAAAAGCCATTCCAAAATTATGTGTACCCTGTACATAAAGTGGCAGTACACAGAGAGCTAAAAGCAGGTATTTTCAGAATTCTGTTATCATCAATGCATCACTATGTTAGATGAGGACCCACTAGAACTGACACTGTGAGGCATAGATTTTCTTTCCATGTCTACATAAATGGGACAGTCTTGGTTTTCATCACCATCGTATTCAAGTAGACTTTAAATATGGAATTTTTGTGACCTTTCTGTATTCCAAACATAGCAAGCTTTATTAGAAGTCATGGCAGGATAGCAGGAGAATTTTAGAATGGTATGACTCATTCAGAAAGGTTTTTTTTTTGTTTTTTGGGTTTTTTTTCATTATGAAAAACAAAGCTGTAGTCTTTGTGTGGTTGCTTGCAGGCCTAGTTCTATAACTTTGATTTCCACTAAGCTCAACAACCCATGGAGGATTATCCCAGTGAATGGCATAGCAAATAACTCATGTCCTTACTCGGGACAGTTAGGTTTTTACTGTACCCATACTTGAGTTTGCGAAAAGGTTTAAAAATTTATGTTAGGATATTCAGCCTAGGAAGTTATACTATCAGTTGTTTGCAAATCCAATACTCCAGTGTGATAACTATTCAAAAGGGTAACTGTTTATTACTTCCATTCTATATAGACTCAATGATGTTATTTGCTAGAGATTATAGCACAAATTAGTAGCAATAAAAGATGATTTCATCTTCATGATCAGCAGTTTTCAGTGTTCACTAACAACTTCACAAATGGTGTAAAGCTTAAAACTGTAGGGTCATCTATAAAAACCTATTAAAAGGAAACAGTTGGCAGCAGTTGATAATATGTTTCTTTGATTGTTTTCACATATGTAGTAATACTAATAGTAGTAGGAGTACTAGTAGCAGCAGCAGTAGTAGGAACTCGAGGTAAAGGAGGAAGCGGAGTGTGACCGTTTAATAGGTACTGCAATAATGAACTAAGTACTTTACATGCATTATTACATGTAATGCCCAGTAGATGTTTTATTGTTAGTACTAGGAGGAATTTCAAGATATTAAGAAACTTAAGTCTGAAAGCCCCCAGAATATATTGTTTAACTTACTTGACATCGTTCTGAACGAACTGAAAGAAAGAAGAAAGAAGAGTAAGTCAGATGGTGGCCACATATCTTCTTTTTATTCATAAAAGCGACATAGAAGAAAATCATATTTCTGACAAGTGGGTTTCCCAATGATCTGCTAAATTAGACACATTGACTTACCCTGGAGGAACAGAGTAGAGTGTATGTTCCTTAAGATTACTCCCTCCGAAGAGGAGGAAACCAGGCAGACGTGAGCTGTGTGTGCTGAGCTTCTCCTTCCACTCACCATTCAAGTTGGGGATCCATGCTCCTGAAGCAGAAAGAATGTGGGACTGTAATAGGCCGGCAGGGTAACACTAACGTGATGCGAGACTGGAGAAGAAAGGTCCTCCATATTCCACAGTCTCAGATTGTTGATTCTGTTGCTGTTGTTTACTTGCTTGTTTAATCCACCAGGCTTAACCGTTAAGCCCATGTTCAAGGTGTGGTGATAGTTTTCTTAAAATATGCGACCAACAATCTATCAAATCAAAGACTCCTGTTCCCTTCCCAATAAAGTTATTCCCTAAATGTAAATCTAAAAGGCTTGGAGTATGTTCTTCAGAGCGCCTGTTAACAGTAGAGATTTTTCCCTCAGAGGGCAATAAGTTCATGTCTTTTCTCAGAAGATGCACTACAGCACACAATACATTATAAGAAAAAAAAAAGCAAGCATATTTCATTATATTATATTATCATGGTATTATATTTCTCCAGAGAGGCAAGGTTCATATTAGATTTTCCATTAGGCCTTGAATCTTAGTCTATTTCCATCCATCATGCCAAATATTTCTGGAGCAATACTTTCTATGGACCAATCTGATAATGAAAGGAGAAAATGTATTTGAGGATACAGGAGAATCAGCTATGAAGTGGTTAAGGGCATGTTGTTGAAGGGATAAATGGATATAAAAAAATATGAAACAGGTTGTTGGTAGTAGCTGACCTTTAGTTACAGAAGAGTGAATGGAAGCACTGCCCATATCAAATATAACATCAGTTCCAAACTTTAATAAATTGCCTTTAAAAGATAAGATTAGTTTTGTCATTAAAGTGTAAAAAGGTTTGAGTGCGATCACACTTTAATCTGTTCCTTTATTTTGAAAAGTGGCAATTTGGTTCTTTTTCAAGACCACATTTTGTTTGTGTGGCTTTCCTTCAAGATCTAGCAAGTGACACATCATGCAATTCAAATTTAATTTAATCTTTGCTTGGCTTCTTTAATTAAAATAGAGAGAGGATGAGGTCTCTTACATTGTCTATAAATACATCTTTCATAAATAGAACATTTATAAAAGTGCTGAGTATGTTATGAGTGATGAAGTCTATTCAAAATTGAGATCAGAAGATGTTCATCCATTGACTCATATGAGGCAATAGCTTCCATGTCTATTAAATTTTAAAATAACAAACTGTTCTTATGAAACGATCTTATAGCAGATTTAATTTTTCCCAAAGATATATATAAAACATTATTTTCTGAGTTTGGAGTATGGCTCTTCTTTGTAGGTAGGTAGAAAGATCAATTTATTAAAATAGTACTTACTGGTTTCTAACATGTACCTGGGACCTCATAATAAAAATTAAGTTTACACTAAGGAACTTGATACAATATTCCAGGATAGTAGAGTCTAGTTGTAAATATGTGATCTAAATTGTATTTTAGGCAAATATTTTACAAAAAAATTAGAAAATACTGTGGTAAACAAGTAAGAACTGGGAATTAGGGGGTCTAATATTTAAAAGTAGAATAAATTAATGTTGAGATGTTACTGTAATTATCGGTATGGGGCATTTACAGCGTATTTATGTCATTAAGCGAGTTTAAAAATGAAAAAGAAAGATCTTGAGTAAAACTGAGTTTGTTTCTGAGCACTGAGTTTGGACATCATACTGCTTGGACATCATCGTGGAGATTCCTAGTAAGCAGTTGCAAACCTGGATCCCATGCTCAGTAATGAGGTCCCAGCTACACATAGAGATTTGAGATACATTAACTTTCTTGTGATAATTGAAACATAACTAGCAGAGCTACCCCTCTTATTGTTGGTAAATCATCCATAGAGTAAGTAAGAGTAAGATAAGTTGATAATTATGGAAAATGGTAAAATAATAAGAAAGGTTTTCAAGGCAGTAGTCTTCAAAGAATTCTGAGGAAAGAATATCAGAGCAACTGTAGGAACCAATGATCCAGACAAACCTCAAAGTATAGGTGTCAGGCCCGGTGGGGTGTCTCATGCCTGTAATCCCAGCACTTTGGGAGGCTGAGGCAGGTGGATGACCTGAGGTCAGGAGTTTGAGATAAGACTGGCCAAGATGGTGAAACCCTATTAGCTGGGCATGGTGGCAGGCACCTGTAATTCCAGTACTCGGGAGGCTGAGGCAGGAGGATCGCTTGAATCCGGGAGGCGGAGATTGCAGTGAGCCAAGATTGCGCCATTGCACTCCAGCCTGGGCAAGAAGAGCGAAACTCTGTCTCAAAAAACAAACAAACAAACAAAAAACAAAACAAAAAAACTATAGGTGACATATAATATCAAACATATTTCTGTTAGTATTAAATTTAAAGTTTTTTTATTGCTATTCTGAGACTAAAGGAAATAAGAAACAGCTCTATGGATCTATGTTATTGAGCATATGAATGGTGACCTGGGCAGTATAGGTAACATCTCAGAAGTGATGGTTTGAAAATGCTCCCCTCAATGGTTCCTGTAAAGACATTTTTCTGCCTTACTCGGGTTATACTTGGGAGACTTTGATTATTATTAGTCAACAGTAGGACTCAAACAGCTGTCTCTGAGTCAATTTGCCATAGATATTGGTAGTTTCGTCTCTTGTTCATTGGTTTATTTCATTCAGAAGGATTATGATGACTTCTTTTGTTTCTTTTCAATTTCCTACTCACTTTCAGTCATAAATCAACCTGTAAGGTCCCAACTGACAACTAGGTGAGTATTAGACAAGCCTGGGTACTGTGAATTTGGAGTGACTTAAGTATCTGCTTTTCATCAGAGATAGGGACTCATTTCCAATGTAGTAGAAGATGGCTCTCTTAGAAAAAACATATTTCTACTTTTATACATCAAACATGTCTATCTACTTGCAAACAAAAAATATCAAGGCTATTGCCCAATCCCTGTGAATCTACCATAGGGTATTCTAAAATTGAAGTTAAATTTTATGATGCTATTAAGCACGTTACTTTTTTTCTTCCCAAATGCATGCATAAAATGTTATTTTGTAGAATTCAAAAATTTGGAGGAGGTTATATATTGTTCGTGTGTGTCTGTGCTTGTGTGCTTGAACGCATCTAATTTAACCACTTTAATTTAGTCAAGTTTGCTAACAACTTTATTCATAGGGAAAGGGAAAATATCTCATATTATAGATAAGGAAACTGAGGCTTGAAGAGTTAATAAACTCCAATTACATAGTAAGTTCCCTAATTTGACTTTGTATTGCACTCAAAACAGTCCCTGGCCATTAGCAAACCCAAGAGGAAGTTTGTGACTAAATGAATGACTATAATTAATCACACTGACTTGCATAGTCACAAAATGTGCTCCAAAAATTGTCCATCAGGTGTGAATATTTCTGGAACTTAATGCACACAACATGTATTTTGATTCTGATAATGAAAAATGTGGGAGTTTATAAAATGTCATTTAAAAAATCTTCATTATCATTTATCATTTTATCTCAAGAGCAGCTAGAAACACTATATATACGTAATCAATTCCCTAAATTTGTATAAAGAATTATCATCTTTATTTGAAAAGGGGTATAAACTACCAGAAAGGTCAATTGTTTTAGGTGGTTGAGAAAATACAAAAGCTGGATTATTTCAGTTATGAAATCGAATAGTGTAACACTAGCTTGTTGAAGGAAATAGCTAGATACCTGAATCCCTGGCAGCATGCATTTCCACCAACACTTTAGTTTTTCATTGACATGATGGATTTCACTAAACTCATCTATTTGTTCAGTGAAATAAATATTATCAAAAGCCTATTGTTCGTTGGTCAACAACAACAAAAAAAATTGTTCAGTTCCTGACTTTATTATGAGAACAGAATGTACTTTTATCCTTTTCCTGTCAACAGCATACTTTGGTATTTTGACAATGGAAAGAAAATGAATTGCATTATATTGCAACCAACATCATTTTAATAATTTTATTCTTTTGGCATATGTAAATTTTCCCTAGAATGTAAAAAGAGTTCTTCTTGATATAAGTACATGCTTGGAACTAATTTAGAATCACCAAGCCAATGCCTAAGAAATCAATAGTGGGATCCCAGTTTATACAAGTCTTGGCCAAACAGAATTCTTCATAATATGTAGACCTAGCTATAAAGGTTCAATGGTAAATTTTCTAGTATTAATCAATAAATACAGCCCATTTCATTTGTGTAACTCAAGTAACTTTTAGGTATTCTCATTCATTTTGAATGTCTTATAATTTTTGTGCTTCTCAAACTCTCAAAGGCATATGGTGATATGAGGGACAATCCTGAAACAACAAGAGAAACTAGATAAATCTCCTAGGATCTCTTATTTGACTCAAATATTTACATGGAAATCCAGTTTTATATTTTAAAAATGATAATTTTAGATAGAAAAATTCAAGTATCACATACGTTTTTGAAGAAATTTTAGAAGGGAATCTTACAATGAAATTCCACCACTGCCTACCTGCTCAGACCCAGTTTCACTCATTCACCAAGTGGGACCTCCTGCTCCAGGCCTTTTAGAGGACATCTCATTATCTACATATGCCTTCTTTCTCATAAATCCCAGCTTTTGCCCTGAAATGGCTCAACACAGAATATCATTCTCTTGCATCTTTTCCTGGCTAACTTGTATTCCTATAAGACTGTATTAGTCTGTTCTCACACTGCTGATAAAGACATACCCAAGACTGGGTACTTTATAAAGAAAAAGAGGTTTAATGGACTCATAGGTCCACGTGGCTGAGGAGGCTTCACACTGATGGTGGAAGGCGAAAGGCACTTCTTACAGCAAGAGAGAATGAGAACTAAGCAAAAGGAGTTTCCCCTTATAAAACTACTAGATCTCATGAGACTTATTCATTACCATGAGAACACTATGGGGGAAACCGTCCCCAAGGTTCAGTTATCTCCCACTGGGTCTCTCCCACAACATGTGGGAATTATGGGAGCTACACTTCAAGATGAGATTTGGGTGGGGACACAGCCAAAGCATATCAAAGACTCACTGCCAACTTCATCTCTTCTCAAACCTTCCCTACCTGCTTTTATGGAGCCATTCCTGTACTCTGGATTACCACAGCTTCCCATGCATAGTTCCTTTAAAGCTTTCCTTATGCTATATTGTAGACTTATCCACCACTTTTACTAGACAATGTGCTTCTTGAAGACAAAAGCAGTATATTTTATCTTTGCATGTCTACCTTTTAATCAATTTATACTTTCTTTCTCATCTCCCCACAGCCCTCAGTAAGGTATTTAATACCCATATGCAATCTGGCTGAGGTTTGGACTAAAATCACTCTATCATAACATCTTATAAATATTAAATATTAAGATATTTATAATTTATGTCATACCTGTTTCTAAAAGTAATGAGGCAGCTTTAAAATGTACCTGAGCAAATATATATCACAAACCCAAGACTAGGTAACTAAATGATATTTTATGGATCTCAATTAGTTGCCATTAACTTTGTCAGCTTTGAATGTGTGAAATTATTAATTGGACATTAAACCTTAATGTGAAATTATTTGAAAGTCATCTTTTGTCTTATATTATACAGGAGAGAGTGTGTTATCAGTATTTTGGAATTTAGCATAACAATGTCATGTACCAAATGTATGGGGACCAATTGAATAACATTACAACATCACAGCAGGAAGTAATTCTTGTCACAAATATTTCCAGAGGTAATTCTTGATTTAGTTATTTTGCCAGTGGATGTGTCAAGTTCCATATAAATGAATGTTGGTTCCCTTGTGGAAAGAGAAAATTAGTAACTAAAAGAGGAGCCTTTAAAGGGGCAAAATCTTTTAAAAGTGATCCATTTCTATATATTCCTACATGGAAGAATATGGCTGGAAACCTTAATTTATTATGAAGAGGCCAACACATATTATTTTTGATTTTGAAAAAATTGAAGTTAATGTATTTTGTAACACATGAAGATTATTAACATAAGGATAAGTGGTATAGTATATGAGAAGAGAAAAATATAGAATTTTTTTTTCTAGGTTGGAAGAATCTCTTCACTTGTTCATGCCAAAGAAAAGCTTTAAATTTTTTTCAGCTTTCAAATCGTGCACAGTTATATTTGTTAAATATAATATGTAAAGTTTTGATTATTATAATGGCTAGTATGTAAATGATGCTGCTTAACAAACTTCTATCTGGATAACATCTGCTATAGTAAAAACATACAATTTTTATCATTTCAACCACAACAGTATTTTCCCTTTTATGGCTTATATAAATTTGTATCTATACCACACACTTTCAGTACTTATACCATAGGTTCTTTTGTCTACCTCTAAACAACAAAACCAAGACTTATAGCAGGGGATGCCTCCCACTGCTGCAGCTGGGTTCAAGGTCATAATAATATTAATTGACTCCTCTGGCAGCAATTCTGGGTTACAGTCATCCTCAGACATCGTGTTTGCTGGTCTAGGCTGCTTGCTTAATGGGGAAATCACTGATGGGTCTGAGCACCTGGTGACCATGCCCTCGATGATTGCTAATATTATCTTTTCATGGTTTATTACCAAGCATGCAAACACCAAGAGGTGCCTGGTGGCTTCCTTGAATTCCAAACATTCCTCCTACCACCATCATATACAGACCCCTCGATCTACTTCTGAGCAACAGGGTTAATTACCGCTGCCAGTGTAATAATTCCCTTTTAAACTTGAGATCTAGTGGCATAAAGAACCCTGAATGACTAGGTGTCATCCATAGCATTAGGCTAGATGAACTCTGAGTGTGTCACCTGATGGAAGGTCCTCCCCACTGAGAACCAGGATCTTTAATCTGGCAGATCCTGAAGTTGAGCAAACAGGCAACATAAATTCCCCAAGTGAGCAACTGTGAGTGAGGATGAGAGGGTGTGACAGGTGCGGGTGATACCCTATCATACCCTCCTCATCTTCAATGCCCCAATACTTAGCATGACTTCTGGCTGCCAGCATCTGCATGTCTTTGCTGGAATGCCAGGGAATTAAAGCCTCCAGGAGCAGTCCTCAACAAGTTACTGGCTGGAGTTGGAATAAGAATGTCCCAGATCCCTCACTTCTTGGTGGCTTAACTACGAGCCATGCGTTTTACCTGGGCTCACAGATTTATCCTATGAGATACAAACTTGTTATCCATAGTGGAAAGAGTGTGATACAGCAGCATTTATTATCCCCTTTCCTTCTCTGTCTCACTTCTTCACACCCCCATTGGTGTGCGCTTCACTTCTACATACATTACTTGCATTTGGATCCTCGTTTCAGTTTCACCATTTGGAGGAAGCCCCCGTTAATTCCAAGATCCCATTTGTAATTCTAGCCCTTGGTTACTGAGTCCAAGCATTCTAGCTTAAGGATCATGGCACCACATAATTGCTACTAGTTTAAAATATATATCACACCTTGAAAGACAGTGTTCTGAACCTACAGTGTCACTCTTCTCAACCTGGTACTTACAGATGTATGTTTAAGAAACCATTCCACATTCTTTCATGCCAGTTGCTTCAGGATGAGGCAGTCTACTCAGAGAGCCAGTAGATTTTGTGGTCAGGTGCTCATCATTGCACATTCTTCACCATAAAATGGGTCCCTTGGTTAGGGCAATGTTATGTGGGATAATGAGAAATGAAACTCTCTGTGAGCCCTCACATACTGATGCTGCCTGAGGGACTGTGAAACGGGATGACAAACCCATACATGGAGTATTATCAATCTCACCAAAGATGAACTGCTGTCACCCTCCCCACTTTGGTGGAAGATTTCAATATAATCAAGTTGCCACTCAGGAGCTGGCTTGGTTTCTCAACGAATGGTATCTTACCAAGACATGATGTGAATCTCTGCTGCTGCTGACAGGCCATACATTTAATAGTGATAGTTAAATCAGCCCTGGTGAGAAGCAGCCCATGCTGTTGACCCATGCATATTCTTAATCCCTCCTACTATGGCTGGTCCATTCATGGGCACATTGTGTAAGCACTTGAGTGGCACACTGTAGAGGCTAAGTAGCATCCACTGGACAGGTCATCCTCTCTACCTTATTGTTGAGAGCCCCTTCTTCAGAATTTGACGGTCATAGAAAGCTCTCAGGCAAAGAGTTGCAGCTGGACATCACTGGATCAATGTACACATAAACGTCTAGTACCAAGCAAATGTAGGTAGAGCATTAAATGTGTTTAATACAATCCCGGACATCATAAAATACATTTATCTTTTAATCCTCCGAACAACCTTCCTGAGAATTAACTATCAAACTTCCTTTAATCCAATTAGTTAACTTTATATTAATTGACTCATAGAATCTAAATAACTTCCTATAAAACTTCAGTATTTTGATTCAAAAGCCATGTTACTTTCACTAGGTTCAGCAGCATCTACAGCTCTCCAATAGCAGATTTCCTTGATAAATTTCTGTCTTTGGTTTCAGAACAGTGAATAGAATATTGATCATAGCTGGGCCTCAATCCTTCCCAGAATATGTAATTTAGATATTATGAAGACATTAAGAATGTGTTATAAGAAATGTCAGAGCTTCCAATAAATCTCCAGAAAGCAGAACAGAAGCCATAATGTTTCCTGTTCAGGCTGAAGGAAATTACTTTCTGGTTAGGAATTAGGGGGAAAAAAAAAGGCACACACACTTAAAAGTCATTCTTTCAGAGAAAAAATTGAAAAAACTGGTAGCAACAAGTTAGAAAGTCACAGGCACAATGCATGTCCAGACACACACTTGCAAAATGACAATTTAGTGTCAGCCCACTATGTGGATTGCATTGTGAACAGTTTTGGTTGACATTCCCATTCCTTCTTTCAATAGCTATTTAAGACTTAGGCCATGAGAATGGGCAAAAAATGAATCAACCAGCCCAAAAACAGAACATAGAAGGCTGAAGGGAGTCTCAAAGACAAGCATATGGATCCTCATACTGTGAAGAAACCTACTGTCCCTACTACCTGGCTCTTTCTGTTGATTTACCATTGGGTTAGAGCATGTTGTAAGTCTCAGAATTGGTACTTCATTACCAGAAATATAATCTGCCTGAAGAGCCATGGAACCCACATACTGCATCATGTGTGCAGTGGTAATTCGAATAAATAGTATTCTCCCCTCAAAAAACATTTTCAATTTTTGTGTTTTTTTTTCTATAATTAAAAATCAAGGCATCTTAAAATTTTCATTTTTGATTTCTGACCCTCTCAATGTAGTCCTTTCAAACTCTCTTGAAACTCTCTCTCTCTCTTTGCCATTTGCCCACATAAATTCTAAGACATCCTACCTCTGTCTTTTTGAACTCCTTGATCCCAACACTTTCTCTCTCCAACTTTTTTGTTTTTTCTTTTGAGATCAACTCTTGCTCTGTGGCCCAGGCTAGATTGCAGTGGTGCGATCTTGGCTCACTGCATCCTCTGCCTCCTAGGTTCCAGCAATTCTTCTGCCACCACCAGAATAGCTGGGACTACAGGCATGGGCCACCATGTCTGGCTACTTTTTGAATTTTTAGTAGACATGGGGTTTCGCCATATTGGCCAGGCTGGTTTTGAACTCCTGGCCTCAAGTGATCAGCCTACTTCTGCATCTCAAAGTGCTGGGACCACACGCGTGACCTATCATGCCTGGCCTCTCCACCTTCTTTGTGCTCTTATTTTTCTCTTGTGAATAATTTTTCTTGTTTCAAAAAGTAAGCAAAATTTCTATAATTCAAAGAAGGCATATTATTGATTCTTGACATATTTTGTTAAATTGTCTTCTCATACACTTTCCCATACTTTTACCAAATTTTAATTTGTTGTTGTCACACATTAATATTTGTCTTCCTGTTCTTGTAATACATCAATATTTGTCCTCTACTATTTTCCAAAATCAGAGTGAAGACCCCTTGCCTAACCCTGCTAGCATCCAATGTGATTTGAAATAATAAATGCTAGTGTGTGTGTGTGTATGTGTGTGTGTAATCATTTACCAGTTAGGAAAAACTAAGGCTGTGTGAATTTATGCAAATTGGCTAACAGGCGGCTAGAAAGAAGCAGAGCCAGAATTTGAAACCGTAGAGTTAACTCCTAGAGTCTGCACTCTTAATAACCATCTGGAGTGCCTCTTTCAAAAGAGCTCAGAGTGTCTTGGATGTTTGAGTTCTATGAAGAGGTGGCCATACCAAGACAGCAGAACAGGGTACAGCAGGAGCATGTTATAAGGTGATGAAGGAGGTTTGAGTAAGAAAACTGCCTTTATTTTTCGGTAGTGCAGAATATGACTATTTACTTTCATTTATATTTTATAAATCCTACCTCTAGTAATTGATACTCAGTTTGCAAATTATAATATCGATGCCATCCAATAAAATGTTATCTTATGGTGTGATTTCTTCCTATCTCTGGGAGAGTGAGGTGCTTGAACAGTCAAGGTCTTACACACACTTAGAATCTGCCTTATAGAGGCGTTAATGAAAAAAAAGTAAAATATTTCATTTGCATTCCTGAAATTCTTAAACTAATAGTGGCTAACTTAAGAATTAAACATTAATTGATTTTTATTTTTTATTGCATATATAATACATAATCCTTAGAAAAACTTTGGGAAATAAAGATAGGCAAAATGGAAACATAAAATGACACACTGTATTTTATTTTCTTCCTTTTATATGCACACAAATATTTGTAATCTTATAAAAGTCAGATTGTATCTTATACCATGCTCTATACCCTTCTTTTCTTACTTAATATATAATAAATATATCTCCAAATCAATAAACTTAATTCTACAATGATATACTATCTACTTGCTATTCTGTTCTGTTATTTTAATAAATACTGAGCATCTGTTAAATGGATACAATACCATTAGGTATTGTTTATATAATTAGGATTTTAAAAAAATCCCTCTCCTCATAGAGCTTACATTCTAAGGGCAAGAAGCTACAATAAATAATCCAGTGAGTAAATCATGCCAGGTGCGGGTAAGTACTGTGCAGAAATCTATTAAAAACTAACCAAGGAGTATGTGAGTTTCAATTTTAATTAGTCTTCTCAGAGAAAGCTTCAAGAAGAAGCTACTATTTGAGCAAAGATTTGACTTAATTAGTCTCCGGTAGTGGATACTTAGGCTGTAGTTATAATCATAAACAATGAAGCAACAACTATGTTTGATTTTGCATATCTGCTAATTTATTCTCAGGACCAAAGAAAAAAGCAAACTTTCTGTAATTCAGAAAAGATAATATTGATTCCTGACTTACTTTGTCAAATTGTCTTCCCACACATTTTATTTTTCCATATTCTTAACAAATTTTAATGTTGTCATTTGCTCCTTTTTAAAAACTTTGTTAATGTGATGGTGGAGAAATGTGTCTCTTTCATCTATTAAGAGATTTTATTAATTTTAAGCATTGTATATTTAATTAATATTGCTATACATTAGTCATGTCTGAAAATTCATTTTTATAAAAAATATTATTTTTAAAGGAATATTTGATTTCTTCTGTTTTTAATCAGATGTGTGAAATACAAATATGATCCAAACCATCATCTTGTATGAGTTTGTTTTCTTTCACATTCACTAGCTGATAGCCTCTTAAAGGTAGTAATCTCACCAATGCCAGTTATAAAATGTCAGATTAACATATTTTCTGTGTTCTTCTTTCTCCATTACACCCATGTGCCAGCATTTTTTACTCATAGCCTGTTTGTCACTGCCTAGACACTCTCCTTTATTTTCACTCCTTCCTCTTCTTTTTATTGGCCTGCATATATCCTAATAATATTTCATATTTTATCTTAATGTCATCCACCCCAAAAGTTATTTCTGGACATCAGAAATGAGTCATCTATATATCTTATTTATTTATTTTGATATATCTTATGAAATGATTAGCACAATTAAGCTAATAAACATATGCATCACTTCTACCATGTCAAACAAAAATGGTGACTATATATATATATATATATATGTATATATATATATATATATATACACACACACACCAATAGCTACCATTTTAGTTTGGCATATATATATAGTTACCATTTTAGTTTGTGGTGAGAACACTTCAGATGTACCCTCTTAGCAAATTTCAAGTATACTATAAAGTATTGTTAACCATAGTTACCATGCTGTACGGTAGGTCTGCAGAACTTACTCATGTTATAACTGAAAGTTTGTACCCTTTGACTGAAATCCCCACCTTCCCCCATATCCCAGCCCCTGGAAATTACTGTTCTATTCTCTGCTTTTATGAGTTCACCTTGTTTGCTTCACATGTAAGTGAGATCATACAGTATTTGTCTTTCTGGGTCTGCCTTATTTCACTTACCGTAATGTCCTCTAGGTTCATATGTGTTGTCACAAATGGCAGTTTCCTTCCTTGTTAAGGCTGAGTAATGTCACTTTTTGTAGACACTTATGTTATTTCCATATCTTGGCTATTGTGAACAATGCAATAAACATGGGAGTGCCTATTTCTCTTCCAGATAATGATTTTATTTCCTCAGGATATATACCCAGAAGTGGGATTGCTGGATCATACGGTAGTTCTATTTTTAGTTTTCTGAGAAGCCTCCTTACTGTTTTCCATAAGAGCTATACTAATTTACAATCCCACCAACAGTGTACGTGGGTTCCCTTTTTTCCACATGCTTGTCAACATTTGCTTTTTTGATGATAGCCATTCTAAGAGGTGTGAGGTAATAGCTCATCGTGGTTTTGATATGCCTTTCCATAATAATTATTTTCACATACCAGTTGTCCATTTGAATGTCTTCTTTGGAAAAACGTCTGTTCCGGTCCTTTGTCTATTTCTTAATTGGTTATTTGGTTTTGTTTTTTTCTTTTGCTGTTGAGTTTTATGTGTTCCTTCTCTATGTTGAGTATTATTCTTCTATTCAATATATGGTTTGCAAATATTATTTTCCCATGTTGTAGGTTGACTTCGTTTTGATGATTGTGTCCTTTGCTGTGCAGAAATCTTTTCGTTTGAGGTAGTCACAACTTTTTTTTTTTTTTTTTTTTTTTTTTTTGACAGAGTCTCGCTCTGTTGCCTAGCCTGGAGTGCAGTGGTGCAATCTTAGCTCACTGCAGCTTCAGCCTCCTGGGTTCAAGCGATTCTCCCGCCTCAGCTTCCTTAGAAGCTGGGATTACAGGTGCCCGTCACCACGCCGGGCTAGTTTTTGTATTTTTAGTAGGGACGGGATTTCACCATGTTGGCCAGGCTGGTCTCGAACTCTTGACCTTAAGTGATCCACCCGCGTTGGCCTCACAAAGTGCTGGGATTACGGGCATGAACCACCCCAACTGGCACCACTTATTTATTTTAGTTTTTGTTGCCACCGTTTTGGGCAGACATTGAAAAATTATTGCAAACACTGATGTCAAGGAGTTTTCCTTATTTTTCTGTGAGAATTTTTATGCTATAGGGTTTTATGTTTCCTTTTTTTTTTTTTTTTTTTTTTTTGAGACGGAGTCTTGCTCTGTTGCCCAGGCTGGAGTGCAGTGGCATGATCTGGGCTCACTGCAAGCTCCGCCTCCCGGGTTCATGCCATTCTCCTGCCTCAGCCTCCCGGGTAGCTGGGACCACAGGCGCCCACCACCACGCCTGGCTAATTTTTTGTATTTTTAGTAGAGACGGGGTTTCAATGTGTTAGCTAGGATGGTCTCGATCTCCTAACCTTGTGTTCCGCCCGCCTCGGCCTCCCAAAGTGCTGGGATTACAGGCTTGAGCCACTGCGCCTGGCCATGTTTACGTTTTTAATTTACTTTGAGTTTATTTTTATGTATGATGTAAGATAAGGGTCCAATGTCATTCTTTTGCATGTGGATATCCTGTTTTTTTAGTGTCATTTATTAAAGAGACTTTTTCTCCATTGTGTAGTATACCATATATATAGATTTATTTCTGGGCTCTACAATCTGTTCCATTGGTCTATGTGTCTATTTTTAATTCTGATTCTATACTGCTTTGATTTCTATAATTTTATAATATACTTTGAAATCAGGTAGTGTGATGCCTCTTGCTGTATTCTTCTTTCTCAAGATTGCTTTGGTTGTTCAGGATCTTTTGTGGTTGCATCTTAAAAAATGTGATTCATATCTTATGAACAGAATAAAGGATAAAAATGTATGATCATCTTAAAGGATACATAAAAAAGTTGAAAAAATTCAACATCCATTTATGATAAAAATGGTCAAAAATTTTGCATAGGAAGTATATACTACAACATAATAAAGGCCATATATGAGAAGCTAGCAGCTAACATCATCCTCTATGGTGAAAATCTTATTTGTCTTTTCCTCTAAGATTAGGAACAAGACAATGATGCCCATTCTAGGCACTTCTATTCAACATAGTACTTAGTCCCACCCAGAGTAATTAGGCAAGTAAAAGAAATAAAAGGCATCCATATGGGAAAGGAAGAAGTAAAATGGTCTCTGTTTGCAGATGACATGATCCTGTATATAGAAAACCCAGAACACTCCACCAAAAAACTCTTAAAACTAATAATTAAATTCAAATTCAGTAAAATTGTAGGATACAAAATCAACATACAAATATCAGTTGTGTTTCTATATCCTAACAACAAACTATCAAAAAAAGGAATTGAGGAAACAATTCCATTAATAATAGCATCAAAAAGGATAAAATAGTTAGGAATAAATCTAACCAAGAAGATGAATGATCTGTACGATGAAAACTGTAAGACATCAATGAAAAAAAAACTGAAGAAAGCACCAATAAATAGAAAGATACTTGTGTTCATGGATTTGAGGAATTATTATTGTTAAAATGCACATACTACCCAAAGAAATCCACAGATTCAGGGCACACCCTATTAAAATTCCAATGACAATTTTCAGAGAATTAGAACAATCATTTCTATGTTATTTAATCTTAAAGCCTTGAATATCTCCATTGTTGCCATTTTTTTTACAAATATGGTTATAAAGATTTTCTTTAATTAATTAATTAATTATATGTTAAGGTCTGGGATACATGTGCAGAATGTGCAGATTTGTTACATAGATATACATGTGCCATGGTGGTTTGCTGCACCCACTGACCGGCCATCGACCTGACATGGGTGTACTGATATATCTTTCACACCCAGATTTCATTTTTAAAAATATATGCCCAGAAATGTGATTGCTGGAGCTCACGGTAGTTCTATTTTTAACTTTTTTAGGAACCCCATACTGTTTTCTATAATGGCTGTACTAATTTATATTCCCACCAAAAATGTATAATGGTTTTCTTTTCTCTACCTACATCCTCACCAACCCTTATTTTTTATCTTTTTGACAACAGCTATTCTAGCAGGTGGGAGGTAATCTCTCACTGTGATTTTAATTTGTATTTCCCTGATGATTAGTGATGTTGAACATTTTTTCATATACTGGTTGGTCATTTGGATGTCTTCTTTTGCTAAATTTCTATTCAGATCCTCTGCCCATTTTTTTGCAGTGTTTTTATATTATATTATATTATATTATTTTATATATACTTTAAGTTCTAGGATACATGTGCAGAACGTGCAGGTTTGTTACATAGGTATATACATGCCATGGTGATTTGCCACACCCATCAACCCATCATCAACATTAGGCATTTCTCCTATTGCTATCCCTCCCCTGGTTCCCCACCCCTCGACCGGCCCCAGTGTGTAATGTTCCCCTCTCTGTGTCCATGTGTTCTCATCGTTCAACTTCCACTTATGAGTGAGAACATGCGGTGTTTGGTTTTCTGTTCCTGTGTTAGTTTGCTGAGCATGATGGTTTCCAGCTTCATTCATGTCCCTGTAAAGGACATGAACTCATCCTTTTTTATGGCTGCATGTGGTGTACATGTGCCACATTTTCTTTATTCAGTCCATCACTGATGGGCATTTGGGTGGGTTCCAAGAATTTGCTATTGTGAACAGTGGTACAATAAACATATGTGTGCACATGTCTTTATAGTAGGATGATTTATAATCCTCTGGGTATATATCCAGTAATGGAATGGATTGCTGGGTCAAATAGCATTTCTGGTTCTAGTTCCTTGAGGAATCGCCTCACTGTCTTCCACAATGGTTGAACTAATTTACACTCCCACCAACAGTGTAAAAGCATTCCTATTTCTCCACATTTTCTCCAGCATCTGTTGTTTCCTGAATTTTTTTGTTTGTTTTTGTTTTTGTTTTTTTTTGAGACGGAGTCTCACTCTGTTGCCCAAGCTGGAGTGCAGTGGCACTATCTCGGCTCACTGCAAGCTCCACCTCCTGGGTTCACGCCATTCTCCTGCCTCAGCCTCCTGAGTAACTGGGACTACAGGTGCCAACCACCATGCCCGGCTAATTTTTTCTATTTTCAGTAGAGACAGGTTTCACCGTGTTAGCCAGGATGGTCTCGATCTCCTAACCTTGTGATCCATCCGCCTTGGCCTCCCAAAGTGCTGGGATTACAAGCATGAGCCACTGTTCCCGGCCTCGTTTCCTGACTTTTTAATGATCGCCATTCTAACTGGCATAAGATGGTAGCTCATTGTGGTTTTTGATTTGCATTTCTCTAATGACTAGTGATAGCATCAACATCAACAAAAAGGACGTCCACACAGAAACCCCATCCGAAGGTCACAAACATCAAAGACCAAAGTTAGAAAAATCCACGAAGATGAGGAAAAAACAGCACAAAAAGACTGAACATTCCAAAAACCAGAACACCTCTTCTCCAAAGGATCACAACTCCTCACTAGGAAGGGAACAAAACTGGACAGAGAATGAGTTTGACGAATTAACAGAAGTAGGCTTCAGAAAGTGGGTAATAATAAATTCCTCTGAGCTAAAGGAGCGTGTTCTAACCCAATGCAAGGAAGCTAAGAACCTTGATAAAAGGTTAAAGGAATTGCTAAGTAGAGTAACCAGTTTAGAGAAGAATATAAATGACCTGATGGAGCTGAAAAGCACAGCACAAGAACTTCGTGAAGCATACACAAGTATCAATAGCCGAATGTATCAAGCGGAAGAAAGGATATCAGAGACTGAAGATCAATGAAATAAAGTGTGAAGACAAGATTAGAGAAAAAAGAATGAAAAGGAAAGAACAAAGCCTCCAAGAAATATGGGACTATGTGAAAAGACCAAACCTACATTTGATTGGTGTACCTTAAAGTGCTGAGGAGATTGGAACCAAGTTGGAAAACACTATTCAGGATATTATCCGGGAGAACTTCCCCAACCTAGCAAGACAACCCAACATTCAAATATAGAAATTTTTTTCTAAATATTTACCAGTGCCTCTAGCCACTATTCAACTATAAGCGCCAATAAAACATGTTCATATTAATTATTTTTTCATCCCCCAGTAAAAATACTTCCCAAGTGTCTCCAGTGCTGAATGAGTTCCTGCTTCATAATAGTCATTAATTCAACACGTTAAGTAAAAAATAATAGTGGTAACGATGAAAATATCGTTATATATGTTCTCATTCTCATATTTATTGTAAAGTCCTAAACCTGTATTTTAATAACTATACCCCAATAATCTCAACTTAAATAAGTGTGTACCATGTAGAAGTGTTACCATGGTTTCACTCTGTGTTAAGCCCATAGTCAAGAAATATGTTCTCCCACAATTTAGCTTCAGCTTACCTCTTCATCCTTTTTCCCCTCATTCTTTTGACAGTACCCTAAGATCTTAATTATGCTGAGGTTACTAGTCACTAATATCAAGTAACTGTCCAAAACTATGACTGTAAGGACCTTTTTCTCTACCAAGAATACCATCTTTCTCTTTTTCTCGGTATAAATTCCTGCTCAAATTTATATATCAACTTCTGATATATAATGTATATCATTTGTGATCCTTTGGAGAAGAGGTGTTCTGGTTTTTGGAATGTTCAGTCTTTTTGTGCTGTTTTTTCCTCATCTTCATGGATTTTTCTACCTTTGGTCTTTGATGTTTGTGACCTTCGGATGGGGTTTCTGTGTGGACGTCCTTTTTGTTGATGTTGATGCTATCACTAGTCATTAGAGAAATACAAATCAAAACTTCTCTCTTCCTGACTCCCCCAAACAGTATCGATATTCTTCTTCTCTAATTAGTACTTGTCATATTATATTTGCATATATATAATGCATATTTTATTATATTTCATTTTCTACTAAATTGTGTTACCAAGCTGCAGTGCATTCTGTGTTCCAAATGACTAAATAGTACTTGGCAGTGAGTATGATGTTCATGTATATGTATACATGGGAAAATAATAAATAGACTTTCTTTAGTAACCTCAGTATTTACATGTTAACATTTGCCATGACCTTATAACTCTTTGATGTCAGTGATTAATATAATATAGGCAACTATTTATCTTCTATTCTTAGAACCACTAGAAAAACTTCCTAATTAACAAGGTTCTAAATATAAGGTAAAATAAGGCTTGTTATTCTTACCATATGTCAGAAATGAAATTAGAAATGTTAAAAGTATTTTTTAGATTATTTAATATTTATGTAGGTAATTTGTTTTCAAACTTTATATTTTTGATTTTTCATTATAGCAATGGTATTCATTTTGTAAATTTTGTAATTTACTATTATCTAGAGGATATTGAAAAGCAAACTCTTTAATTGTGGAATTTAGATAGAAGAGGAATTTTAGATATTATTATTTGGGTTCATAATTGCAAATGGCATTTATTTATGTATTTATTTATTGGCATGAGAATGCTACAGCTGTAACATTATAATTCCTTCCTATGATAAGAACTTCACTTTCCTATTCAATGCTAAGGACTATAATTAGAATCACATTTATAAGTTATCTTTATTATATTAGCCACAGTATATATTAGATTATTGTTAAAGGGGTATATAATGTAAGTACTTTTTAAAATTTTTAATGTAAGATGAAAGAATTAATTAATTTCTAGAAAAATACTACAAAATATCCCCTTATGTATAGCTTATTTCAGATTAAGTTTAACAGAAAATAAATTCAATAGTTTCTGATTATAGATTTATAAGGAAGTTAATAAATTGAGAACCTATTTTATCTTTACAAAGTCATTATTGTTTAATTTAACTCAGTGGAATAAAAAATAAGGAATAAGTAAACAAGTCTATATGGGAAATGTCTTAGTAATTAAACTCTGAAATAAAAATAATCCCTCGAAATCATCCTTGAAAAAATCGTTCTTTGCATACATTAACTACATTGTATAAGTTGCATTATAAGTTATTTTTATGTGTCTTCAAAATAGTATTCTGTGCAATGCCTATATTAATTGACAGATTACTAAATATTTTATTCAGATGGAACTCAACTTGTATTTGTAAGTGTTCACAAGTTAAAAAATAAAAATGAAATTTATAAATATTCAAGCTGAATATCACCATTAAGAAGTAATTTTCAAATTGGTAAATGACTAAATTAGTTACAATTAGTGTTGATTATTACATTGTATGTATTAAATCTTTGAACTTCACTAGAACTTATTCACTTTCCATTTGACCCTTGAGCTTCTGTTTGTACATAAGTCGAATCTTACCTGGGCTCCAGGGTAAGCAAATACAATGTGAATAACCCCCAGAATAACACATATGTTCCATTGTGTCTGCGGCCATCTTACACCTTTCTCCCTTCTTCCTCACATGTCTTTGTGTGACAAGGACTGGAAGCCTGGAAGTACGCATCATTATTCCTTCAACAATGGTGGGTACCTGCTTGAATTTCAGTTGAGAACAAATAGATGATTTGTTAGCAGATTCCAGGCGTTCTGCAGATTACCTGTTTAATTGCTATAGGCACTAAGTTCATGAGTAGCGGTTTCTTCAAGCTCCTGGAATTGCCTGAGTTCCTGAAAGCTGAAAATGTGTTTTTCGGACTTCTGATCATCCAGTCTTTTGCAAACAGTGGATTCTCACATTACATACCATTCTGTTTGGTACAGATAGGATGTTTCCTGTTTCTTAACCAAATTTACCACTTACACACTTTAAGCCAAATGTAGTCAACTAAGAGTATCTCAAATTCATTAATAAAGAAAATACGGCCTATAAGGACAACATCAAAATAAATCAGAAGCTTTGTTTCAACATGGCTGATTCTTTCCCATGAAACTTACGCCTACAGAAAAATACATACGTAATATTACACTGAAGTGGCAGATATAACATCTCAAAATATGTCAAATTAAAAAAACTCCTATTTTTTAAATACCTGGTAATCATCCATTATAGTTAATTACATCATTTTAGAAAGTTTTTAGATTTTTGGCTCTTTCTTTCCCTTCACTTTTTTGGGGGTGGATAAGAGGAAGTAGAAACTCAGAAGATGATAAGGCTATAATCTTGTCCCAGCACATAAGAGAACCCACATTTATCAGCATTATTCAACTCTTAACAGATCTCCCCAGAAGGCAGAGTTGGCTTCTACACTTTAAAAATATTTTTTAAGTTTCTAATTATTATGGGTACATAATATTTGTACATATTCATGGCATACATGTGATATTTTGATACATAGCATAAAATGTGAAATGATCAAATCAGAGTAATTGAGTTATTCATCACCTCAGGCATTTATCATCTCTTTTTGTTAGGAACATTTCAACTCCATTCTTTTAAGTTATTTTGAAATATGCAATAAATTATTGATACCTGTACTCACCCTATTATGCTACCAAATACTAGATCTTATTCCTTTACTCTGTGTGTTCTTGTATCCATTAGCCATCCTGTCTTTATCCTTTCCTCCTCAGTACCTTCCCAGTCTCCGGTAACCATCATTGGACTCTCTTGAAAAATCTCCTCGAATTCAACTTTTTTTTAGCTCCCACAGGTTGGTGAGAACATACAATATTTGTCTTACTGTGCCTGGCTTATTTCACTTAACATAATGACCTCCAGGTCCATCCACATTGTTGCAAATGATAGGATTTCATTCTTTTTCTGTTTTTTCAAAGTAGGTCATATCGTGTATCCGCTTTAAATTCTTCAGTGTCTTTCACCCATTCCTAGAATGTGTTTAATCTCTAGCTCACAAGGCTTCCTGCTTCCTGGCTTACTGCTGCTTGCCTGACTTCACTTCCCACTTCTTCTCCACTTACCTGACACTCCATCTATGGAAAACCATTGCTGCTTCCTTTACCTGCAATAATATCTCTGGCCTCTGGAGCATCTCCTCACACTGTCACCTCACCCAGAAGGCCATTGAGCTAAAAAGGGATCTTGTCAGTGATTTCAATGATCCAACATTATGATTTAGCACATGATAAATGTTTTCATGATGGTCAGATATTAAATAAACATAAGGTTTTAGACAGTGAATTTTTCTTTTAAATAAAAGATGAAAACAAACATGAAAATGGGGTTACGTCCAATAGGAAATAGACCCAGAAATTAAGACTTTGTGGAATTTAGTTTTTCCTAGCTTTTTCTATGTGGGCTTACCATTACCCTCTTGACACCTTTTACTGTCATTGTACAGGCTCTCCAGAGTGACTATCAATAGTGACAAGAATAATAAATCTATATTGAAATATCCTCACAGTTTTACTACCTAAAGGAGCTTGTTTTTCATAATATGAGGGACCAAATGAGCTGTCTGCCATCTTTAAAAAAAGTTTCATTGATTTATCTTCTTCACATAGACAATAAGATTTTTTCATTCATATTCAAAATACACTAAGATGTGAAATTCCAAAGGCAGAACATCATGTATCAAATTTACTAAGAACATACTAATAAAATGATATGCAGAATGATTCTTGAATTCATTTACCTACAAAGAATATGAAATAGTCAAGGTAGAGGAGATTAAAACTATTGTGAAGAGATTTCCTTAAAAGAATTTTTTTGTTGTTGTTATGAGAGACCCACATTTTGTAATGAGTGGCTACATTTGTACTGGCTTGACAACCTATTTTAAGGGGATTACAACGATGTGAGCTTGTGTAATAAGAACTGCCAGGGGCCAACCCAGGGAATGAAATACATCACTTGAGGTATACAAAGAAAAGGGCCCAGGAGTGGGATTCCCCAGAGAACAAAGGAAGCATGTGCCAGAACTATGAAGCCAAGTGAAACAGTTCTCTCTCCTGCACCTGCCCACTCTCTGATTCAGGTAGAGGCAGAAACAATAGTTTGGTGTGGAAAAAAGATGATGTGACAGAGGAAAACCAAAAACTGACTGTAATGCCTTCCACTAAGGCAGGCAATGTCACCTGATAGGCCCTAGTACACACAAGAAGAGGGTAAAGGAGAAGTCTCTTCTATAAATAAAAATGGAAGCACTGAATGATACCTAGGACTGGATGTATTCTAGTTACAAAACTGTTAATTAAATATAGGAAAGTCTAGATTTAATTCACATATGATCTGCCAAATATTCTGTCTGAGAGCTACAGCAATTTACTCCCTATCAAATAATGTTTAAAGTGGTAGGAACAGTTGGAAATAATTGGATCAGATCTCATATTCTATACCTTATGTGGTCAACATATGCTAGACATACAATTTTAGATATCTGTTGTTGACATTCAGAAAAAATAAGCATATTTACATATTTATAAATAAGTTCAAAAATTCAGTTTTGGAAATACATATTTACTTATATATTCTGATATAAAAATTATATATATATATATATATATATATATATATATATACATACACATACACACACACACAACAGTTTGGCAAAAATCAGAAAGGCTAAAAGATATGCTTTTAAACCTATGTTCCAAACAGACACACGTCTTAATAGCAAGTGAGGAGTTTTAAATGTATGTCAACCTCAACTGATAGGAGAACATGTAAGTTGAATGAACAGTGCTAACTTAAAAGAATAAGGAGGAAGAGCAAAATAATTCTGGGTCCCAGGGTGAAATGGACTGGATGCAAGAGTACAATGCTATGTGTATTCTTTTATAGGATTAACAAATGTTACTCTTGAATCTGGAGAGGAAAGTTACTTATTGTATTTGGAAAGCTCTGATAAGTTTTTGTTTTTATAAAATACAGACAAGAATGTTGTATTTATTTTGAAGAATTGATTTTAAAGGTTTTGATGAGCTCATCTTGAGATAAGGGTGGGAGGAGGGCTAACACAGGAAATAAAAATTGGAAAAATTATCAATAAGAACCATCTTGGAAGGGGAAAGAAAGCACGAAATACAAGTTTAAAGAAAAGCGTGCTGGTGATGGTTATAGTAGTGAAGAGGACTCTGGATCATAGTTATTGGACAATTATTTTTCTTCAAATAGATGCATCGATAAAGAATGGCAGCATTAAAATAATTCTATCATTTTGTTCTGAGGAAAATACTTCACAATTGTGAAATAAAAAACTTTGAAGATTTTTTTTTCAGCTCAGCATTCTGCAAAACAAATCTCACTGTTTGAAATAGCTTTATTTTTATTTTCTATTATTTTATTATAAATAAAATCTGTAATCCCAGCTACTCAGGGGGCTGGGGCAGGAGAATCGCTTGAACCTGGGAGGTGGAGGTTGCAGTGAGCCAAGATCATGCCATTGCACTCCAGCCTGGGTGACGTGTGGAAATGAAAATGTATGGTGACTTTGTGAATCTTTAAGGAGAATAATATTAACAAAGTAGGTACTCAGTGCAGGTGGGCAATTGCAGTGATGCTGGGAAATTATTTCTGAGGTAGAAATTCTATGACTTGGGGGCTGAGTTAAAGGAAGTGGCCAAGACTTTCATGGTACCATGTCTCAGGCAGTGTCTAAATTGAGATGTGGCTTGGTGGAGATAGAGAAAGAAATGAAGATTTTAGAAGGAAGTTTGTTTTGTGGTATAATTAAGCTCAGAAGATTGAAGATTTTGTGAAAGTGGACATCTTCCCTAGTCTTCCTTTCAATTTTATCCCTGTGGCCTGACCTATAGCAGACATAAAAAAAACATAAATTAGAAATAATACAATAAAATAAAAAATTGTTTAAAATATTTTGAATCAATGAAGGAGTTACTAAATAACCTTACAGGTTGTAACCACCAGGCTGTAGAGGTCAGGATTAGAAAGTAAAGACTGGGACTGTGAGAGTAGATTAAATCACCAAATTAGAGGATGTCCTTATTGTCCCTATTGTCTTTGGACACTTCATGTTAGTCCCATGGTATAAATTTTCCTGAAGCTTTGATATTTAGCAATCCTACCTAAGAGATTTGAATCTGATTATCCTCGGCATTTATATTTATATTTACATTTTAATGCCTAAAACAGAATTTAATATTCATAAGCAGAGAAGAGTTATACATACGAATGCCATTGCATACACATGAATGCCATTCTTTTTATTATGATAACACAAACCTCAATTTATGAAAAAAATTAATAGCCCTAAACAATAATTCTATAAAAATACAAAAATCTAAAAAATACACTCCATAGGCACTTTCTCACTTTTTCTCACTGCTGGTCAGTAATGATAAAAAAGAAAAAAATTAGATGTAGAGCAAGAAGAGAGTCTAAGATAGATCAGATTTGATAAATGTGGAACTGAATAAAGACTCATTAATCAGCCTCACAGGTATGAAAGGTTAGAAGTAGAAAGAGATTGTTCGTAATCATCATTTAGTAATGTTGCCCCATCTAGTCCTCAAATACACACACACACACACACACACACACACAGAGAGAGAGAGATAGAGTGAGAGAGACTTCACAGCTGAGAAAACAAGTCAAAATATGTTAAGTGCCTTGTCCATTAATACCAGGTTACTGACTCAAATCTCCTACTTTCTATTCAGGGATCTAAAACAGAACAATTGAATAATTGTTTCCAAGGGTTATTTACATCAATGTTTGCACTTATATGTCAAATGTAATATTTATTTATTCAAAAGCCTTTCCAGCTTTTGTTTTCTCATAGTCATTACTGACTAGCAGTAAGAGAAAGTGAGAAAGAGCATATGGAGTGTATTTTTTACATTTTTGCATTTTCAGAAAATTATTGTTTTAGGGGTATTAATTTCTTATCTTTCATAAGTTGAGGTTTGTATATGCATCATAAAAAAGGATGACATTCTTATAAGTATCTCTTATCTGCTTATGAGTATTAATTTCTGTTTTAAACATTAATATGTAAATATAAATGCTTAGGATAATCAGATCCAAACCTTTTATTTAAGATAGCTAAATATTAAGGCTTCAGAAAATATTATAACAGGAATAATGTGATTTATAAAGACAATAAAAACAAAAAGAGGGAGGAAATATGGCAATGTTAATATATTCTGTTAGGCTTAAAAAGGGAAGTAATTCTGTCTTTCCAAACAGAAGCCATTAACCACAAACTGATTGTAATTAGATAATATTCTTTGCTTTGTAAAGCTTAAAAAAAGATAGCATCTCAGCGCTGAGTAAAATATTTATGACTTGAACTTGTGTATACATCACAATTTAATAATGATCTTTTATATGAAAAGTAGTAGTTTCTTAAAGAAAGTCTCTCGATAAAATGACGCATAAATAATTGTCCAGGAATTCAGTAAAAAACATTTTTCTCTTTTCTGAAAGTTTTAAATATAGATATTGCTTATTTTAGGAAACAGTTTCAATTTGTCACATATCTTTATCCTGTAGAGCAATAAAGCTTAATGTATTATTTCTACAGTCATGTGCTAAATAACAATGTTTTGGTCAATAACTGATAGCATATATGTTTGTGGTCCCATAAGATTATAATGGAGCTGAAAAATTCCTATTGCCTGGTGATATCATCCTAGCCAACATAATGTCATAGCACAACATATTACTCACCTGTTTGTTGTGATGTTGGTGTTGTGATGTTGGTGTAAACAAACCTACTGTGTTGTCAGCCATGTAAAAGTATAGCAGATACAATTATGTAGAGTACATAACACGTGATAAAAATCATAAATGACGATGCTATTGGTTCAAGGAATGTTTGTCAATTTGTTTGTGTCCTCTCTTATTTCATTGATCAGTGGTTTGTAGTTCTCCTTGGAGAGGTCCTTAATGTTCCTTGTAAGTTGTATTCCTAGGTATTTTATTCTTTTTGTAGTGATTGTGAATGCGAGTTCACTCATGATTTGGCTCTCTGCTTGTCTGTTTGGTGTGTAGGAATGCTTGTGGTTTTTCCACATTGATTTTGTGTCCTGAGACTTTGCTGAAGTTGCTTATCAGCTTAAGGAGTTTCGGGGCTGAGACGATGGGGTTTCTAAAAATAGTCATGTCACCTGCAAACAGAGACAATTTGACTTCCTCTCTTCCTATTTGAATAAATGTTTACAAAACATACATAGTTAAGATAACCTTAAGATGTTCAAGTTGCAAAGTCCATGTTGGTATTGGAATTCTAAACTTCTAACTAATAAAATCTTTTGTGGCAGTGCAAGGGTCATCATACTGTGTGCTGACAAGTACTTTGTAATGTTATCTTTGCCTGGTTTAATGAAACATGTATGAGGTGTTTTGACACAGGCTTTACTGTTGTGAAAGACAACCGAGTGATGGTTTGCTAGTGGAAGACCCAGGCAGTGATGCCTTTTCTTCCAAATAAACTTTATTCTGAACTAGACATAAAATATTCTAGTTATTAGAAATTTGAAATTCTAACAAATTACAACATTGAATAAAGAAAATCACTTCTAATGGCATCTCTATCTCATAGGGTGAGATAGATTTTCCCAACTAGATTGAAAAACATCTTTCTAATATGTGTAGATTCCATTAGAGAAAAGGAAACTAAACTTATTTTAAAAATTAGATGCCCTAAATTTAATGTACTTTTTGATCTTTAAATTTATAGTAATAAGAATTTCTTTTAAAAATAATAGTTCCCTTCGAAATCAGTAGCAAGACACACGTGAATACCACCATTGCTGTTATCTAGCATTCTTCTGGAAGTTCTGCTCAACTTAATTTGATAAGAGAAATGCACAAGAGATATACAAACTGGAAAATAGGAGACAAAAATTGTCACTATTTTTAGATATGACGATACTTAGAAAATTTAGATATGATGCTACTTAGAAAACTGACTTAAACATATTAAAAACTATAAGATACTTTGGTGAGGTTATAAAATCTATGAAAAAGAAGATTAACAAAAAGATAAAATACCCAGAAATCAAATTCATTTGTAATGTTGAGGAGCTACAGAAAAAAAAATGATGGAATCCACATAGTCTATTGGCTAAAATTGTAGTCTCTGAAACCAAAAGACGTTTATTTGAAACTCTAAACATGGCCCTCACAAAGATAAAAAATTGGATACAACTTTCAAAGATCTTACATCCTAGTGAAGGAGCAAAGACAAAATCAAGAGACCATGATCATACAGCCAACTTCAAGATCATTGCAGGAGCAGATTTAATGACCAGAAAGAAACTTGCTAACTATGATGCCTCCTTTCAAAGCCATATTTCATTTCGTTTTGTTTTGGCTTTTAGTTTTGCTTGAGCTGAGGATAAAAAGACAGCAGTTTAGAAATAAATGGGAAATAATAAAACAGAAAAAGATGACAGGATCAAGAGAATATAAAACAGAAGATTTAGAATTCTAACTAAATGAAAGGTTTTTGGAAACAACAAATGACTCTCACAACTGTGTTGAGATTCTCAGGATAGAACTCCGTCTAGGTGATTTAGAAGGGTCTAGCAGAAACAATTGAGCTCAATGATAGCTGAAAATCCAACAGGGAGGTACGGTGCAGCTAGGCTGTGTTGTAGGTGCACCAGAAATAAGTCACTACAGTGGGAATCAGCAATGCATCCATCTGCAATTCCTGACCATCAATAGCAAAAAGGTGCCAAGACTACAATACATGATCAGAACACACTTATGTGAAACATGGCTCTAGTCTTTTCTGAGTGTGTAGCTTTCAACATCATGATAATTATAATTTCACTCTAATCAATATAAATGTCTATCAAGAAGAGAGAAAATCAATACAATACCAGTCAGCAGTGATACTATAGACAGTGATAGGAGCCTACCTGACATTTAAAGCAGGACGCATAGACTTATGTGTAATACATGCTGCCATTTATGTTAAGAGAAAAAAATGTGTATGTGTATCTGGTTAATTTGCTCAAATATGCATAGCAAATTCAGTGGAAGATACAAGAACAGTATTTGCCTCTAGGGATGAAGACTATGGCTACTGAATACAGAACTTTCATCAAATTTGAAATATATTATGACAAATATGCATTACATTTAATATAAAAAACTGAATAAAATAATGCAATATATATCTATATATTTATGTATTTTTAGACTATGGCTATATATATGTAAAATAAGAAACCTATTGAAAGTTATACAAAAATATTAATAGTGGCCATCTCTGGCAGTATATTTACAAAATTTTTTTTCTGTTTTCCAAATATTTGTTAACATATATTAATATGAGAGTCAGCAAAAAATAATTTTTATAATAATAGATGTAAAAAGTTAATCAACTTTTACGTTTTAACGTTCTGAATAAATTTTAAACGGCATAATCACAAAAAGTACTCCAAAGTAACACTCTTCCCTTTTCTCTTTTGACCCTTAGAGGAATCTGTACTGAGGCAAATTGGAACATTGTCTTCATATCTAAAGCAGTCAAAACAAAAACACAAACCAGAGCAACTTCATTTGGGTTTCAGTTGAGAATGAAATGTAATAAATAATAATGTATAAAGTAAATAGTTTAGAACCTGGCTCTTGGTTAAATTCAGTAGATGTTAATTTCCTTCCTCTTTTTCTTTAGGATCCTTTTGTTTTAGAGACAGAAAGAGAAATGGGCCCTATTGTCTCTGGAGATGCTGGGGATGAGCCCAGCTTGCTTTGCTCTTTTATTGGCCATGTGAAATAAAGAACTAAAATGACCATCCAATAAGCTCAATTCCTAAAACTCTGCTAAATCAAAGATAATAATGTGAACAAATGCTTATTAGATAGTATGTGAAGAGAAACTAAAATGAAAAGCTCATGCCGGGAAAGCCCAGTGACTGTGATTTAATTTTTATTTTCTAGAGTGGATGCCTGTGTGGTTTCGAATCAAATCTGCTCATGCTTATGAATCTTGCTGGTATAGAAGCCCTGCCATTCACTACTGTAGGGATGATCCCCATGTGGAGAAACTGACAAAAGCCTTTTTTCTGGAGTGGAGCTGGAAGTTACTCCTAACTATCTCAGTGTTAAAGCAGCAGGGGATGAGGAGAAATTCTTGAAAATGCTGTCACATCAAAACCAACTTCTTATAGAATGCCACAGTGAAGAGTGGACTTCTCAGGACAACCCACTTACTATAGATGCTCAGATTCTGAAACAATTTTGAAATACTTCAATACTCTAAATTACAGGCGGGAATCATTATTTTGTTCAATACCTGCTGACAAGAAGTAAAAGCACTTTTTTTTTTTTTTTTTGAGACACAGTCTCACTCTCCAACTCAGGCAGGAGTGCAGTGGCATTATCTCAGCTCAATGCAACATCTGCCTCCTGGGTTCAAGCCATTCTCCTGCCTCAGCCTACTGATTAGCTGGGATTACAAGCATGTGCCACCATGCCCGGCTAATTTTTGTATTTTTAGTGGAGACTGGGTTTCACCATGTTGGCCAGGCTGGTCTCAAACTCCTGACCTCGGGTGATCCACCCACTTCCCAAAGTGCTGGGATTACAGGCGTGAGACACCATGCCTGGCAAAAGCACATTTTAAAAAGTGTATTAAATACTTAGTCAAGAAAAGGAAACCAAAATTGAAGAAGTGCTCCCTCCCTGTGTGTCAGTCATCATGTAAGGTACTTTGCATGTGTTCTCACAACCACTCTGAATGAACAGATGAGGCAACAGATAACTCAGAGGTTGAGTGCACAGACCAAGGTCAACTCTGCCTGAAAAGATCAGGGCCTATGTGCCAGCTTTCTTTTACCTGAAAGAAAACCCTGTCCTCTTCACTATAGCATGCCATCTCAATACATTGAACTTCCATGTAGCTTCCTCATGCGGATGCTTTTGAATATTGTAATCACAGAATTTTAGTCCTGCACTCTCAACCCATCAGTAAATTGTTCATCACCCATAAGAAGAATCAACTTCCTACAAACATCTCCCATGTATTCGTAGCCATCAATATAGAGATGATCACTTACAGAGTAATATTGTAAAAAGGACAGTGACTACATTGCTTTAAGTCTGAACTTTTACAGAAAATTCTGGCACCTTTATTTTCAGTGTTTCCCCTAATGATAATAATAATTGGCACAAAAGAAAGGGACCCAGTTGTATTGCAAAATACATATGTATTACAAAATGTTGGCAGTGGAGAAATGCATTTATGCAGGCTAGATAGGGGAAGCAATGATTTGTGTACTATTTTTGTCTTTGTCTTTGTCTTTGACAGCCAGTATCTCTATAAGAATAAGTCAGTTGATATGTTTTGGGTGGAGATTTCAGGGTAGATAATCCCATTAGCTCTTTGAGAGGATGAACTACAGAAACACGAGATTTGGCCTCTATTGTGTGAAATACTTATATATTACACATGTGCACAATTTGAGGCAGAACACATTATTCAGAAAGAACCAATTTTCCTTTGAACAAGAAAAGAACTTACAAATTATGTCGGAATGTTAATATAGCATGTCATCATTTTCTGTTATTGAGGAAATGTTATAATCTGGGTGAACATAGAAGCTACAATTTATGAAGTATTTCTTCCATGAAGTGACCCACCAAAGTCAGCATATTCTACAAATGACTTAGCTGTTTTGCTGTACACCAAATAGTCATCAGGAATTATCATTGTGGCCCAAATGGCACACCATTAAAAATCCAAGGTCACTTAGATTTGACTGAGGGCGTACTTTCAGAAACAGGCAATTATGCTTTTGATTTTAAAGGCAAAGAAACAACTGTACTTAAGGTTAGCATTTTAATTGCTTAGCAACACAGGTAACTGACAAAGGAAGATAGTTTTTATTTATGCTTCATCAAGTTCTTTCCTCACAGAATACTTTTTCTACCTAGAGTTTCTTTATTTTAAAGTTTAATTTTATATATATTTTAAATCCTGCTGCTGAGAATTACTTTCCTCCAAGACTGCGTAAAGAGTATAGTAAGTGGAAAAAAGGAAGAATCCTGCTTCACACATTAAACAACACGAGAAAAGCAGGTCTTTCCACAAAGGGAACATGGAATCTTCCTCTGATCCTTTTTGACTTGCCTTAAACCAAATTGCAAGATCCTATAAACCATTTGGAAAAGAATAGAGCTCAAGGGTTTGAAATCACCTTATATTCTTACAATCATCTTATTTTTTCCCATTAGTGGTCACTCTCCTTCATTTTTTCTCTTACTATTCCTAAGAATATATTAAATAATATATTTAGCAAACATTTATTGAATTATTACAGGCAAATCCAAATTATTACAGTTACTGTAAAAGATCCCCTTTACTTAGAGTACATTGCAGGAACTCAAAAGATAAAGAGTATCTTTTTACTCTGATTTTCAAGAGTTTAAAATTACAGTGATGTAAAGACAAGTATAAGAACTACTCTAAAGCAGAATCTGATCATGGGGATAAAAAAAGACACAAAGGATGTACTTGAGAGAGGGAAACAATCTTGGGAGAAAAGATCATTTGTAATTGAGGGGACCAGGGTAAAATTGTATGAAGAAAAATATCTTTAAACCAGACTTTAACTTCAGGTGGGTGATGGTTAGGGAAGAATTGATAAATGATGTCATGACTAAAACAGATGCAAAAATCAGAAAACAATGAAATGAGATTGAAATAAGATGTTTTTCCGGACCACAGACTGCACAAAAAGTAGTAGAAAATGAGATTGGTTTTACAATAGTTTTAGCTTGGAAATTATGTGACTGATCAAAAAATTATTGTATGCCAGTACAGAACCTGTGACAGATACAATTAATCACTGGAGATGGGCTGTCTCAGGAAAGGGCATAGCCTTCAGCAAGGTGTTTGAGCAGCAGAAGCAAGTTTAGAGGGGATGATTGTTGATGGTTTCTGCTGACCATATACCCCGACAGCTAGGTGCAAGTCCTTTACTAATGAGAACTGTACAGAGCCCTCCTTGTCCACCACACTTCACTCCTCTGCCTCTCACATCATCTTGGTTCATAGACATTCTGGGAGCAGTTCTTCCAGGACTCCATCAAATCTTTCTTTCACAGGAAAATCTAGAAGCAAAGGAACTGCAGCTCCCTTCACAGGCTCTGCAGCTGCTCTTGAGACCGAAATTGGTCAGCTCTTCTACCACTATCCATTCAACATACCCATCACCATCAGCTGGTCTCTAGGTTGGTCTTGGTAGTTTAGGTGGTAACATGACACAGGCTCTTATCCCAGAGGAATCCAAGATGTTGATCTCTGTGGCCTTCTAAGGCCAAGTTTGCAGCGCGTGTGTGTTCGTCATTTATGTTGGACACAGCAATACCACAAGATGTTCAAATGAATGGCCTGGGCACTAAATGTAGTCATCTAGTTGAGCAATGCTGGATGACATGGGAGAGATGAATTCAATGAAACCACAATCCAAATAATTACAGTTACTAAGAAAAGCCCCTTCTAAAGAAATTTAGTTTATCTGCCACATTACCTGGGTATGTAAAAATTTAATTCGAATCAGTTTGTGAAAGCTACAAAAATCAAGCTGATTTCGTAAGCAAAAACCACCATTTTGCACCTAGCTTCAATTCTTATGCAAGGACACTTTTGAAAACATTAACATTACAGAAAAGCACTACATGCATATTGAAAATGTTCCCATGCTTTCACAGGTTTTGAGAATACGAACATGTCATGTGAGTCAAAGTTTAGGTACTACATGATTTTTCCGAAAGAGTAAAAGGAACAACTCATTATTCTGAACCTGATTCCAAGAGACATGATAAAAGTGAAATGCAAGCTTTTCTGGGCTACATTTATAAAACTATTCTGATAAGCTGTTTATAAAAGGATACTATAATTATAACAAAATTCTTATAGAAGTGATGAAAACTGATTGTCATAACAATCATTGTCACCATAGGATAGGACACATACTAACAAGTTGTCTTAGTGATTTAGTAGCATCAAGATTCATATTCTTCAGGAGAAAAAAAGCAGCAAAAACCAATATTTATAATATCAAAGAATAATATCCAAAGTCTGCATGTGTAGATGGATGCAAATATGTGTGTGTGTATATATATATATATATATATATATATATACACATTTTTTTTTTTTTTGAGACGGAGTCTCGCTCTGTCGCCCAGGCTGGAGTGCAGTGGCGTGATCTTGGCTTACTGCAACCTCTGCCTCCCAGGTTCAAGAGATTCTCCTGCCTCACCCTTCTGAGTAGCTGCGAATACAGGTGCCCACCACCATGCCTGGCTAATTTTTTGTATTTTTAGTAGAGATGGGGTTTCACCATGTTAGCCAGGATGGTCTCCATCTCCTGACCTCATGATCTGCCTGCCTCGGCCTCCCAAAGTACTGAGATTACAGGTGTGAGCCACCACGCCTGGCCACAAATATACATATTAATACACTCTAATCATTCTAGCAAATCAGTTGTGCAGAGGCATTGAGATCTCATGGGGAAATGCCTAGTTTTCAGTTTGCAGACTTTGTCTGAAAACCTTCTCTGCCACCTTATGTCATGTAGGGAAGTCATGTGAACTTACTCTGCTTCAGTTTTCTCATCTGCACAATATGGTTGAAAAGATCAAATGGAACAGTATGCATGAAGGACTCTGGCCTTACTTGTCACAGAGAGCGTGCTCAGAAATTGCTGATTCTCCTCCTTGTTGCTGAAAGTACGGAAAAATAAGGCTTATTTCTTATCAAGTATCAGTTATTTTCTCTCAACCTCAGTAGTTCCAGTACACTAAAAATATGTTGTTCAGTATCATTAGGGGTTAAAGAACAAAATTAGTGCCAGCAGCAGAAATCTTGTAACACTGGAAACATCAGATAGGAAATTAAAATAGAGTAGAAATGGGTTAGGTTCAGGTTTTCACTTTTAAAACAACATTTACTGAGGGGTAACAATTTTTACTGAGGGATTAAGTTGTGAGGGGTATATACTGTTGTATACTACTTAGGCAGCAGTTGTCTTGTGATATGGTTTGGCTCTGTGTCCCCACCAAAATCTCATCTTGATTTCTACTCCCATAATTCCCATATGTTGTGGGAAGGACCCAGTGGCAGATAATTTGAATCATGGGGGTGGTTTCCCCTACGCTGTTCTCAAGGTAGTGAATAAGTCTCACAAGACCTGGTTTTATCAGGGGTTTCTGTTTTTGCATCTTCCTCATTTTCTCTTGCTGCCACCATGTAAGAAGTGCCTTTCACCTCCCACCGTGATTCTGAGGCCTCACCCGCCATGTGGAACTGTAAGTTTAATTGAACCTCTTTTTATTCCCAGGCTCAGGTATGTCTTTATCAGCAGCATGAAAATGGACTAGTATAGTAAATTGATACTAGTAGAGTGGGGTGTTGCTGAATAGATATCCAGAAATGTAGAAGCAACTTTGGAACTGGGTAACAGGCAGTGGTTGGAATGGTTTGGAAGTCTCAGAAGAAGATGGGAAAATGTGGGAAAGTTTGGAACTTCCTAGAGACTTGTTGAATGGCTTTGTCCAAAATGCTGTTAGTGATATGGACAGTAAGGTCCAGGGTGAAGTGGTCTCAGATGGAAATGAGAACTTGTTGAGGAGAAATTCAAGCTGGCTGCAGAAATTTGCATAAGTAACAAGGAGCCTAATGTTAATCCCCAAGACAAGGGGGAAAATGTCTCCAGGGCATGTCATAGGTCTTCAGGGAAGACCCTCCCATCACAGACCCTGAAGCCTAGGAGGAAAAAATGGTTTTGTGGGCCAGGCGCAGGGTCCCCATGCTGTGTGCAGCCTAGGGACTTGGTGCCCTGTGTCCCAGCTGCTCCAGCCATTGCTGAAAGGAGCCAAGGTACAGCTCAGCACATGGTTTCAGAGGGTACAAGTCCCAAACCGTGGCAGCTTCACGTGGTGTTGAGCCTGTGGGTACACAGAGGTCTAGAATTGAGGTTTGGGAACCTCTGCCTAGATTTCAGAAGATGTATGGAAATGCCTGGATGCCCAGATAAAAGTTTGCTGCAGGGGTAGGGCCCTCATGGAAAACCTCTGGTAGGTCAGTGCAGAAAGGAAATATGGGGTCAGAGGCTCCACACAGAGTCCCTACTGGGGCACTGCCTAGTGGAGCTGTGAGAAGAGGGCCACTGTCCTCCAGACCCAGAATGGTAGATCCACTGACAGCTTGCACCGTGTACTTGGAAAAGCAACAGACAATGCCAGCCAGTGTAAGCAGCCAGGAGGGGGGCCATGCTCTGCAAAGCCACAGGGGTGGAGTTACCCAAGACTATGGGAACCTACCTCTTGCCCAGCATGACCTGGATGTGAGACCTGGAGGCAAAGGAGGTCATTTTGGAGCTTTAAGATTTGACTGCCCTGCTGGATTTCGGATTTTCATGGGCTCTGTAACCCCTTTGTTTTGTCCAATTTCTCCCATTTGGAATGGCTGTATTTACCTAATGCCTGTTCCCTCACTGTATCTAGGAAGTAACTAGCTTGCTTTTGAATTTACAGGTTCATAGGCGGAAGGGACTTGCCTTGTCTCAGATGAGAGTTTGGACTGTGGACTTTTGGGTTAATGCTGAAAGGTGTTAAGACTTTGGGGAACTGTTGGGAGGGCATGATTAGTTTTGAAATGTGAGGACATGAGATTTGAAGGGGTCAGGGGTGGAATGATATGGTTCAGCTCTGTGTCCCCACCCAAATCTCATCTCCAATTGTAGTTCCATAATTCCCACGTGTTGTGGGAGGGACCTGGTGGGACATAATTTGAATCATGGGAGCAGTTTCCCCCATACTGTTCTTGTGGTAATGAAATAAGTCTCACAAGATCTGATGGTTTTATCAGGAGTTTCTGCTTTTGCATCTTCTTCATTTTCTCTTGCTGCCACCATGTAAGAAGTGCCTTTTTCCTCCTACCATGATTCTGAGGCCTTCCCAGCCATGTGAAACTGTAAGTCCAATTAAACCTCTTTTTCTTCCCAGTCTCAGTATGTCTTTATCAACAGCATGAAAACAGATGAATACATCTTGTGTGTGTGTTTTGTTGATTTGTTTTTTGTTTGTTCCTCTTCAAGGAGCTCAGGAATAAAGAAGCATTTTTCAAGCTCACATGACTTGTTTTGCCAAGGAATCAGCCTGAAATCATAATTAAAGTTTGCAAAGCATGAATAAGGCTATATCTAATTTAGCAAGTTTGTAATTCCTTCTCCCTGCCTCTATCCCTGGCCTCACCTATCTTCTCCCTTTTTATCCCACTACCTTCCCCACGGATCATGACAGCTGCACCAGACTAGGAAAATGAGGCTTTTTGTATTTTTCATTTGGGACACAGTCATTCATGCACAGCATTCAAGTGCTTCCCTACTCCACTCTGGCTTCTTTATACGAGGAAAGATAATTTTATATTTAATTTTTGTCTGGTCTTTTTAATAATACTCTGCCTATTCTGTGTAGTAGATAAAGAAACAGGAAAATTGAGATCTTATACCCCACCCATTGGACTAGGAGCATTGAACATGAATGCATGGATGGATGCTATTTTTCATGCTACTACTCTCTTCAGTTGGTCAGCACGATATTGTGGAAGGAGCCCTAGTCTCAGAATCAGAAGATGTCATTTCTGGTCCCCAGTCTGTCATTAGGTCATTAAGTCTCTGAGTTTAGTTTCTTCCAAAACAAAATGTGGAGATCAGATAGGATATTCATGGAAAGACCATTCCAGCTCAAAACTTTTATCACTCTGTGTCACATTTTTCTGAACTACTCCTATCACCCTCAATGTGGAGATCAGATAGGATGTTCATGGAAGGACCATTCTAGCTCAAAATTTTATCACTCTGTGTCACATTTTTCTGAACTCCTATCACCCTCAATGTGGATTTCATTTGTCAAGTAAACATGGTTGTGTAAAATGAATAAACACTTCTCCTCAACTTCCCCTGTTCTCCTGCTAAAAAAGCTTTAACCAGAAGTCTCAATTCAGGCATTCTTTGAGAGCTGTTGAGCAAAACAAGTTTTGAAATCTTTTTTTTTTTTTTTGAATCTAAGATTCTAAGCGTTTAATGTTACAAAATTTAAACATTTACTGAGGAAGAGAAACATCCTTGTCAGGTTTCACGCAGGCTCATGTCCAATTTCATTGCCTTCTAATGGGCAAATGCTCAATTCAACACATGCACATTGCCACTTGGGTAAATACATGCAGTGAATTGCAGTTCCTGGGCATTTTGTTTAATTTTCCAATCTTCTTCAGCTCTCCTCTCTTTATATTTCAAGAAAGAAGTAGGTTTAGAAACTTTCATGACATGTGCACTGTAAGTGCAATAATATGCTTAGCAGGTTAAAGTTTTATCTCTTTTTTTGAAGGAAGATTATGAATAAAAATGATGTGTGCTTATTGAACAGTGATTGCTACTGCTCTTAATAGAATGAAACTCCTGTATCAAGCTCCCTTTCGATTCTTTTTTCTTTTTTTGAGATGAAGTCTCGCCCTGTTGCCCAGGCTGGAGTGCAGTGGCATGATCTTGGCTCACTGCAACCTCCATCTCCTGGGTTCAAGTGATTCTCCTGCCTCAGCTTCCCGAGTAGCTGGGATTACAGGTGCACACCACCATGCCTGGCTAATTTTTGTATTTTTAGTAGAGACGGGGGTTTCACCATGTTGGTCAGGTTGGTCTTGAACTGCTGACCTCAGATGATCCTCCTGCCTGGGCCTCCCAAAGTGCTGGGATTACAGGCATGAGCCGCTGCATCCGGCCCCCTTTCAATTCTTGTATGTTGTGATCATCTTCTCATAGTGGTGAGTGGGTCCGCGTAACAAAATTAAGTACAGAAAAGGATTTCTCATCAGTAGGTAAAGAAACAGAGTCTTTTTACCTATATATTCATAGGGTGCTTAAATGTTTTTCAGAGGCATTAATAATTCTTAAAGTGTTATTTTACTATTTTCCTGGATAATAAACTGGGTATAGTTTTGGACACGAGGATCAAGTAAATATATTGAGCAAAGATGGCAGGATTCTTTCTTCCTCCACCCCTCTTACGATATACAAAGATAGAAAGGAATATACCTTGCTCCTGAGACTTCTTTTAAACTTCTGGTGTCCCTTCTATTGTGTATTTTTGTTTTTTCTATTGTGCAGGGATGTTAGAACCCTTTCCCAGGTCATTCTCCTATTGCTGACCTGCACATGTGTTCCCTTTTTTTTTTTTTTTTTGAGACGGAGTCTCACCCTGTCGCCCAGGTTGGAGTGCAGTGGCGTGATCTCGGCTCACTGCAAGCTCCGCCTTCCAGGTTCACGCCATTCTCCTGCCTCAGCCTCCCGAGTAGCTGGGACTGCAGGTGCCTGCCACCAAGCCAGGCTAATTTTTTGTATATTTAGTAGAGACGGGGTTTCACTGTGTTAGCCAGGATGGTCTCGATCTCCTGACCTCGTGATCCGCCCGCCTCGGCCTCCCAAAGTGCTGGGATTACAGGTGTGAGCCACTGTGCCCGGCCACGTGTTCCTAATACTAATATTGATAAGGGTAACAGTAGTTGTTATGAAAACGACTACCAAATATTGAGCACTGTTGTAGTGTCAGGTACTAAGCTAAATGCTTTACATGGTTTACATGTTTAATCCTCCAACAACCCACTGGAACATTGTTAACATACACATTTTGCAGATAAGGAAATTGCAGCTTAGACACAATACATACTTTATACAAGGTTACGAGGAGAGAAATAGAAGAGATATCAAGCATTCTAACTGCTGAGCTCCAGAGGCAACATTTTCATGGTATGCTAGATATCTCTGGTTGAGTGTTCTATAGATAGTTCAAATTCAACATATCAAAATGCAAACATATTATCTACCCTCAATCTCTATCTCCAAAAATAAAAATTCAATGAATGTGCTTTCTCTATGTGCCCCCTTTCTGCTAAAGTCTTTAGGGGACTTTTGGGATATGTTGGGAAGGCATGATTTGTTTTGAAATGTGAGGACATGAGATTTGAAAGGGCCAGTTATCTCCCAAGTTTCCTTGAGAGAATATTTTATGCCAAACCTCAACATTTTCTTTTTTTCTCACCTTATCTTATCTTCATATTCACTTTGTCATTCATATTAATTTACAGTTTAAATATTATTTATTTGTTTCCTCAATGTCATCCCTGTCATTACCTGAGCTTTGGTCCCTTATTGTTTGCTTAAATTTTGGTAAAGTCTTATAACCAGTTGTTAGAGGTTTAATGGTATCCTTCCCAAGTTCACACATTGAATTCCTAAGCACAGTACTTCAGAATGTGATCTTATTTAGAGATATGGTCTTTATAAGGGTAATCAAACTAAAATTAGGTCATTAGGGTGTGCCCTAATCCAGTAATACTAGTGTTCTTATAAAAAGGGGAAATTTGGACACAGAAACACACATACGCACAGGGAGAACGCCATGTGAATGTGAATGCAAAGATTGGGTTGATGTATCTACAAGCCAAGGAACACTCAAAGTTGCCAGAAAGCCACTAGAAGGTTCTTACCTCATGGAACGGATTCTTCCTCATAGTACTCAGAGGAAACTAACCTTGCTGACACCTCCATCTTAAACTTCTAACTTCCAGAACGTTGAAATAATAAACTACCATTGTTTAAGCCATGCTATTTGTGATACTTTGTTATGGCAGCCCTAGCAAACTAATGCAGTTGTTTTTTGATGTTCTCTTTGCCATCAGATTTATTTAAGTCACTAAGTAGAGCTACTGCAAGCTGCTCTTCTTCCACCAAAGATACTGTGCCTTCTAACTCCTCTCTTCCCCAGAGTTTGTGCATCCCCAAATCCATTTTCTCTTTACCTGGCAAACTCATGCTCATCTTTCAGATACTAGCTTAAATAAATATTTCCTTTCTTTAACTTTTTCCAAGGTCTACCCCGTTTCACTTCTGGTAGAGATTTCAGCTGCACTAACTTTCCTAAATTAACTTTGGGGTATATATCAGTTTGGATACAGACAGAAAGCAAATTACTAGAGGTGGTAAAAACATAGGTAATTGCCATTTTTACTGGTCAGATTCAATTCAATATCAGCAATTTCATCTAATTTAAAATTTCACTCTAAACAGAGCAAGTTATTTCACCTAACTCTTTACATGTAACAGAAAAGCCAAAAAACTAAACACAGGATGGTGGGGCAACTCAGGTATTAGCAGCATTAAGGAACTGCTATCACCTTAGCACTAGAGGGACAAAGGGAGGAAGCCTGTTACTAGATCCCAGGGGTTGGCCCGTCTGGTAAGAGATGGAACCACAGCTGGTCTATAAGGCAGGAGCTGCAGCCACAGAGGAGTTTCAGGAGCATCCTGAGAATCCATCTGAAACAGAGAGGGAGAGAAACATTCCAATTTATCCCATCATCCTGCCCTCTAGTCTTCTGTCAGTGCTTCCCATTGACCAAGCTAATTGGAAGCCAGAGGACCAGGGAGCCTGGGAAATATATTTTATTACACAGAAGTGGAATAGTTAGGGAAGAGGAGTAGATTTGAGAAGAAACAGGTGAATGAAAAGCAGAGTATGGTTGTCTTATGTGTGACCTCAACTTGTTAGACATTTGCCTGGTCTTAGGCTTGATGCCTAGGGATGTGTTGCTCTACAGAGCTGAGCCCTCCACTCTCAGCACTTCTGTACATCTTGAACTTAACACAGACAAATATGAGAATAGAACTTGCCAGAGTTCTCACATCCAGTTTTGGGATGAATTGCTACAGTTACAGCTCTCTCACCTTTAACATCAAAGAACAAAGTAAGAGCCCCTAACAATGAGCTCATGCTGAGCCACCAGTCCACTGGCCTCAAAGGAAAGCTCAGCAGATTTCTGCTTCCCAGGCAGAGAGATCAGAGGCGGGACCTGAGATTGCACACCTAACTGCAGGCATCTGGGCAGATGTACATTTGGCATGCAGAACAAGGGCTGCAGAAATGACAAGACAATCCAGCACAGCCTGAAGGTAAGTTGCAAAAAGCACACCTTCAGTGACTCAGGGATGGGGCAGAAAGGGGGGATACGTCAGCTCACAGGATATATAACATCCCTGTCACTTGAGCTTTGCAAGCTGTGTGTCTGGGTTTTAAATTTTAGAGATGAAATCCACTGTCAAATTAGGAATGGGTATCATTAGATTTTTACCACTGGGATCACAGTAAACCCAGAAATGATTCTTTAATTAAGGACTTTAGATTGAGGCACCTCCCAATAGTAGAGGATAACTATACCTGCACTATGAAATAAACTACACAAAGATTACTAAAAAGTTAACTAAAATGGAATTGCCTAGATGGCTATATGAAATTTGAATGTAAGTGGGCCATCTTGTTCTTGCCTTCAGATCCTTCTTAGCATTGTGCCATATTAAGCTAAACTGCCAAACCTTAAATAGTAATACAAGTATTTTTTGAAAGTCTCTTTATAATACTAAGGGTAAAGTTTGCAGAACCTTTTTAAACTTTTTCATGTCTTCCGGGCATTTCTTTTTCTTCATTTGTCCCTGCTTTTGCTTAAGTTAGTCATTCCCTGTTTCATTTTCTCCTGTCTTCTCTCTCTTTCTGAAGCTTCTCTGGGTAGCTGTGTCCTTTGTCTTGCAGATCTAACTGCTTTACTCATTTGCAATCCTATGTATCACTGCTCCAGAAAGCAAAAAACATAGTCATCAGGACTCATGATTTTTTGGAAGCTGAAAAGGAGGGAATGTTTTTGTGAAAAGCAGGGAATTCTAAACACACTTTTATTTTTATGTTCCACATAAAAGATTCTATACACACTATGTAGAATATTCTGGTAGTCACTTTGAAGTTTTCTTCATTAGAGGAAAACAAATTTATTGGCCACATGAAGCTAAAAAATCTTTGCAAATTTCTGCCTTGAATCCTGTTCTTGGTTTAGCATTGTGCATTTTATTTAGTGTTACCAAGCTGATCAAGCAACTCAAATAAACATAGCTGTTCTCAGGCCTCCTGGAACCTTCCCAGAAAGTCCAAATAGAACCATTGGGTCTAAGAACAGTTCATTAAAATATAAAAAGCAAGCAATTCTCTAGATGTCTCTTTCTGTTCTCTCACTGGTAAAGTTAACCCTCTAGGATCTCAATTCTACTACAATCTCTGGTCAGAAGACCCTGTCTGGCACCTCCAATGGATAAAAAAAGAGCCTCTTTAGATCACATTGCTTTGGATTTAGAAGATGAAGTTTCTGTGCCTGTCAGCAGCAGCAATAAAGACTCTGTTAAAGCTCAACCCTCATTCCCAGGGAGGGTGAGATAGTCAGTAGCACTCAGAGATAAGGGAAGAGAAGATGATGGAGGTGTCTGGGGAGGAATGGTGGGATTCATCAAGAAGCCACCGAATTCAGGAAGCAAACAAGCAGATGGGATTAGGTGGGCAAGTGGGACCAAGATTTCCTAAAAGGTGCATAAATTGGGATTTGCACAAAGTATGTATAAGATTATACATAATTTTCTCCATAGATAAATAGAAAATCCACATTTTATATATATATACACACATATATATAAACACACACATTTATGTATCATATATATATATAAAAATCTATCTACCAATCAATTGTATGAGCTAGATATAAAATTTTCAGAATAATTCTTTGTTTTGATAACTTAAATTTAAAAATGTAAAATGTAAATTCTACCTATTCTACTTACTTAACATTTTGGGGCAGCAAAAGCAAAAATATATTTAGTTTTATTATCTACATAATTAACATACCAGTTTGCACTATGTGACATAATACAATTAAGAATAATAAAATCTACCTCCTGTGAAGAAACTCCAACATCATGTTGCAGATACCTAATAAGTATAGATTAAAAATAGTGTCAAACATTGAAAGATGAGAATGTTTAATTCATGAAATAAAAATGTCCAGGAACCACAGAGCCTACAGTTTTGCTAATGGTTATTTTTTTGTCTTCACTAAACGTTACCTCCTCATGCGTGGTGTGTACACTCTAATATATAGGGGATATAGGTGACTCTATTGTAAACAGCTCCCACTAATAATTATAGACTGGTTTCTGTATGACAATAAAGAATGGGTTCCCTAAGGCCCACAGAGAAGAAAACAAGCTGCCCAAATAGCTATGAATCCATTCTGCTCCCTCTGCCCAGAGAAAGTGCTCTGCAGTGATAATAAGGATTGAGATGAGTGGATGGAAATGTAATTTGTTTTTAAGCATTGAGGTCACAAACTTAGCCATTAAGTATGGCTAAAAGAAAAAACAAAATTAAAGTACAGGGGTGGGAGGTGGGGAGGGAGAATACCAGTGATGATGACGTGTGAAAAATAATGAATCATTTTATAGTTTAGGATTAAAGTTCAGAAAGTAGAAGATTGCCTATCTATATATATTTGGGTTTTTACAGACGTACCTAAAAAAAACAAAGTATCTTCTTTCACTCGCGTCCGTGTGAAGAGACCACCAAACAGGCTTTGTGTGAGCAATAAAGCTTTTAATCACCTGGGTGCAGGCAGGCTGAGTCTGAAAAGAGACTCAGCGAAGGGAAATGGGGGTGGGACCGTTTTATAAGACTTGGGTAGGTAAAGGAAAATTACAGTCAAAGGGGGGTTTTTCTCTGGTGGGCAGGAGTGGGGTCACAAGGTGCTCAGTAGGGGAGCTTTTGAGCCAGGATGAGCCAGGAGAAGGAAATTCACAATATAATATCATCAGTTAAGGCAGGAACAGGCCATTTTCACTTCTTTTGTGGTGGAATGTCATCAGTTAAGGCAGGAACCGGCCATCTGTATGTGTACGTGCAGGTCACAGAGGATATGATGGCTTAGCTTGGGCTCAGAGGCCTGACACCTTCTTCCTAAAAAATAGAAGTATAGGCATGCACACATGCACACACACACACACACACTAAGTCTCTGTATATATTCATATCTCTATATATTTATGTGTGTATATATATATAAAACATGTGTGTATATATGTGCGTGTGTTTATGTATGTATAAAAGAGTGAGTATACAGTATAAAGAAAAAAATGGACTATCAAATTCAAATATAGTTTCTTCCCTTTACCAGCTTGTGATACTGTGATTTTGGGCAAGTGGCTTAAAATCCTCTCACAAGTATTAGGTTGAATTATATGAAATTTCCATTTTTATGGGTCAAAAATTGCTGGACAGTAGCAACTGTCCTATTGTCCAACATCATAAAATGAAGGGAAAAAGGAGTAAATAACGCTTCACAGAGTTGTGGGAAGAGTTTAACAGTACACATAAATTACATAGGATGGTTCGTGGCACATACTAAGTATGTATATATTTTATTAAATATGCAGTTTTCAATTTTAACACAATATTGAATTTTGAATAATATGTCAAGTGCAAGTGAACTTTTGAAGGTTTTTTATAGCCTTCAGTTCTGTTCTATAAAATAAGTGATAGAGTTATTGATAATGGAATATCTGCATAAACATGACAATAACAACAACTAAACAAAAATGACCTCACAAACTGGTTATTTTTCCCTATAAAAATTATTCTTTCCCACTTGAGACTTGATACTTGGATGTATGGAGAACCATGCTATTTAGGTAATATGAATGAAATTCCATTATACACTAAAAAGAAAGGGCCCCATTCTCTGTTCCTTTTCTTGCCTGAAAAATAGAGTTATTACCTGAATCAAAGTTCTTCATTTCAAATCACCTCATGGAATAGAACCAAACAGGTAGGTAATTGAGTATCCACTTAAACTGATGGAGTAATAGAAATGATTCATGTCAGTTAGAATTAAAGAACACACTTTATTTGGGAAGTCAATCACATTAAAATGATACAATGAAAGAAAAATGCAGAGACATTTCCCAATACAAAACCATAAAAATACGAAGCTGTTGAATCTTCTACCCCAGAAATCCTGAGGCCTCCATAACAGTCTTGGGCTCTGACTTGTCCAGCTGACTCATACCACTTTGCACCTTACATAATAACTAAAGGAGAGAACGCTTCTATGTGAGTTATTTCCAGCTAACAGAATGTGAGAGGAAGTGGAGTCCACTACAGCACTACCTCCAGGTGGAGGCCACAGTAACTTCCCACACTGATCCTTCCTGATTTCCTTTGATGCAGGAATGATGCAGATGAACTTAGTGACTTTGGCAGCCATGGGTTAAAAATAACTTGGAATGAGCCTGATTTCTTCCATTAGTACTTACAGAAGAGCTGTCTGCTGACTAGGAATGCCTATTCTGAAATCCACATTAGGAAGAAACAAACTTCTCTTGTGTTAAGCCAGTGAAATAACTAACTGCCTTTTGAATATGTAATACTGGAATTGTCACAAGCACATATAATTCAAGGTATCTAAAATGGAACTAACCCATAATTTTTCTCCCTAAATCTTCTCTTCCTCTCCCCAAGATTTGTGGTTTCAGTGATGACATCATTGTCTTTCCAATTACTCAAGCTATAAACTTTGGTTTGCTATTAATGCCCCCAACTCCCTCAAGGAAAAAATCAGAAACCAAGCTCTCTAGTGTGAACTACAAAATGTCACTTAAAATCATTTTTTAACTTTTCATAGCACTATTATCTCCTAAATTTAAACTGTGTGTCTCTAACCTGTTTTATTTCCTTATTTTCCCACCTGGTCTCCTGTGTCTTGCCTTTAGAATAATCTGTCCCTGAAACTGCCATTGGAGCAATATAGCTGAAACACAAATCCTATCAATTCCATACATAACATATTAATAATTCTTTACTGACCATGAGTATAATGTCATTATATTCTGGATTTTCTTCTTTTATGTCATTATATTCTGGATTCAATCACTTTTATTGCTCTATTCTCTCACTGCTTCTCCCAGAAACATCTACTGTAGATTAAGGCCTTATGAGGCTCTACACCTTTTCATGGGCTGGTTCCTCATCTTGGAATTCACCTCTCCTGAGCCCCTGTAGTGTAGACATCCTGAGAATGTAAAGGTCATAGGATGTAGAATCAAACTGAGTGTGATGGTTTATACTGAGTGTGAACATGATTGGATTGAAGGATACAAAGTATTGATCCTGGGTGTGTCGGTGAGAGTGTTGCCAAAGGAGATTAACATTTGAGTCAGTGGACTGGGAAAGGCAGATCCACCCTTAATCTGGGTGGGCACAATCTAATGAGCTGCCAGTGCAGCTAGAATATAAGCAGGCAGAAAAAGGTGAAAAGAGAGACTGGCCTAGCCTCCCAGCCTACATCTTTTTCTGGTGCTGAATGCTCCATGCCCTCAAACATGGGACTCCAAGTTCTTCAGTTTTGGAACTCAGATTGGTTCTCCTTGCTCCTCAGCCTGCAGATGGCCTATTGTGGGACCTTGTGATGCTGTGAGTTAATACTTAATAAACTCCCAAATATGCATACATAGATATATATATATGTGTATATAGATATATATGTACATATACAAGTTCTGTCCCTCTAGAGAACCTTGACCACTGAGCATGGTCAAATAAAGAACTTGGCTCTTTATGCTGAATGAATGCTTTAGAAAAAATCCTAATGACTCTGAGGAAATATTAATTCCTACCTGTGAACAAGCATATATATATGTATATTTAATGAGAAATGAAAGAAAAAGATAGCAAACAAAGCAGTTCCCTTCAGACACTGAAGTCAGGCTAGAATTCCCACCTTCACCTGTTCGCAGCCTGCCTGCTGCTCTTGCTCAGTGAGGTAATAAAGTAAGTATGTTTCTAACCCTTGCTTTCTACTTTTCTTATGTTCACAGCAAACACGTAGGTGTATTCTTAGCATATCTCAGGTGTGTCTTCAGCTTAGAGATATTTTCCCCCACAATTCAATAAAGAGAGTTATGGCCTTGTAAAGTCAAGTGCAGCAGTTCCACCAGTCTTCAGCCAGCTTAGAACCACTAATTCCTGGACATTTAGCCAGATAGTGGACTTTAGGAGCATCCTTTGCTCCCAGATTTTAACTTAAGAGTCTGAGGGCTCTTGTAAGGCAGGCCTGGTGTTGACAAAATCGCTCAGCATTTCCTTGTCTATAAAGGATTTTATTTCTCCTTCACTTATGAAGTTTAGTTTGGCTGGATATGAAATTCTGGGTTGAAAATTCTTTTCTTTAAGAATGTTGAATATTGGCCCCCACTCTCTTCTGGCTTGTAGAGTTTCTGCCAAGAGATCTGCTGTTAGTCTGATGGGCTTCCCTTTGTGGGTAACCCGACCTTTCTCTCTGGCTGCCCTGAACATTTTTTCCTTCATTTCAACTTTGGTGAATCTGACAATTTTGTGCTTTGGAGTCGCTCTTCTTGAGGAGTATCTCTGTGGCGTTCTCTGTATTTCCTGAATTTTAATGTTGGCCTGCCTTGCTAGGTTGGGGAAGTTCTCCTGGATAATGTCCTGCAGAGTGTTTTCTAACTTGGTTCCATTCTCCCCATCACTTTCAGGTACACCAATCAGACATAGATTTGGTCTTTTCACATAGTCCTATATTTCTTGGAGGCTTTGTTCATTTCCTTTTACTCTTTTTTCTCTAAACTTCTCTTCTCGCTTCATTTCATTCATTTGATCTTCAATCACTGATACCCTTTCTTCCAGTTGATTGAATCGGCTACTGAAGCTTGTGCATGCATCAAGTAGTTCTCATGCCATGCTTTTCAGCTCCATCAGGCCATTTAAGGTCTTCTCTATGCTGTTTATTCTAGTTAGCCATTCGTCTAATATTTTTTCAAGGTTTTCAGCTTCTTTGCAATGGGTTCGAACATCCTCCTTTAGCTTGGAGAAGTTTGTTATTACCGATCTTCTGAAGCCTTCTTCTCTCCACTCATCAAAGTCATTCTCTGTCCAGCTTTGTTCCATTGCTGGCGAGGAGCTGCATTCCTTTGGAGGAGAAGAGGCACTCTGATTTTTAGAATTTTCAGCTTTTCTGCTCTGGTTTCTCCCCATCTTTGTGGTTTTATCTACCTTTGGTCTTTGATGACTATGACGTACAGATGGGGTTTTGGTGTGGATGTCCTTTCTGTTTGTTAGTTTTCCTTCTAATAGACAGGACCCTCAGCTGCAGGTCTGCTTGAGTTTGCTGGAGGTCCACTCCAGACCCTGTTTGCCTGGGCATCACCAGCAGAGGCTGCAGAACAGCAAATATTGCAGAACAGTAAATGTTGCTTCCTGATCCTTCCTCTGGAAGCTTATTCTGATAGGGGCACTAGCTGTATGAAGTGTCAGTCGGCCCCTACTGGGAGATGTCTCCCAGTTAGGCTACTCGGGGATCAGGGACCCACTTGAGGAGGCAGACTGTCCGTTCTCAGATCTCAAACTCCATGCTGGGAGAACCACTACTCTCATCAAAGCTGTCAGACAGGGACGTTTAAGTCTGCAGAAGTTTATGCTGCCTTTTGTTCAGCTGTGCCCTGCCCCTAGAGATGGAGTCTACAGAGGCAGGAAGGCATCCTTGAGCTGCAGTGGGCTGCTTTGTTTACCTACTCAAGCCTCAGCAATGGCAGATGCCCCTCCCCCAGCCTTGCTGCCACTTTGCAGTTTGATCTCAGACTGCTGTGCTAGCAATGAGCAAGGCTCCATGGGTGTGGGACCCTCTGAGTCATGCACGGGATATAATCTCCTGGTGTGCCATTTGCTAAGACCATTGGAAAAGAGCAGTATTACGGTGGGAGTGTCCTGATTTTCCAGGTACTGTCTGTCATGGCTTCCCTTGGCTAGGAAAGGGAATTCTCCGACTCCTTGCACTTCCTGGGTGGGGCGATGCCCTGCCCTGCTTCGTGTGCTGTACCCACTGTCTGACAAGCCCCAGAGAGATGAACCTGGTACCTCAGTTGGAAATGCAGAAATCACCCATCTTCTGCATCGATCATACTGGGAGCTGTAGACTGGAGCTGTTCCTATTCGGCCATCTTAGAACCTCAAGACCATCGATGCTAGGAAGAAACTGCATCAACTAATGAGCAGAATAACCAGCTAACATCTTAATGACAGGATCAAATTCACGTATAACATTATTAACCTTAAATGTAAATGGCCTAAATGCTCCAATTAAAAGATACAGACTGGCAAATTGGATAGAGTCAAAACTCATCAGTGTGCTGTATTCAGGAGACCCATCTCTCATGCAGAGACACACATAGGCTCAAAATAAAGGCAGGGATGAAGATCTACCAAGCAAATGGAAAACAAAAAAAAAGCAGGGGTTGCAATCCTAGTCTCTGATAAAACAGACTTTAAACCAACAAAGATCAAAAGAGACAAAGAAAGCCATTACATAATGGTAAAGAGATCAATTCAACAAGAAGAGCTAACAATCCTAAATATATATGCACCTAATAAAGGAGCACCCAGATTCATAAAGTAGGTCCTTAGACACCTATGAAGAGACTTAGACTCCCACACAATAATAATGGGAGACTTTAAGACCCCACTGTCAACATTAGACAGATTGACAAGACAGAAAGTTAACAAGGATATCCAGGAATTGAACTCAGCTCTGCACCAAGTGGACCTAATAGACATCTACAGAACTCTCCACCCCAAATCAACAGAATATACATTCTTCTCAGCACCATATTGCACTTATTCCAAAATTGACCACATAGTTGGAAGTAAAGCACTCCTCAGCAAATATAAAAGAACAGAAATTATAATAAACTGTCTCTCAGACCACAGTGCAATCAAACTAGAACTCAGGATTAAGAAAGTCTCTCAAAACCTTTCAACTACATGGAAACTGAACAATCAGCTGCTGAATGACTACTGGGTACATAATGAAATGAAGGTGGAAATAAAGATATTCTTTGAAACCAATGAGAACTAAGACACAGCATACCAGAACCTCTGGGACACATTTAAAGCAGTGTGTAGAGGGAAATTTATAGCACTAAATGCCCACAAGAGAAAGCAGGACAGATCTAATATTGACACCCTAACATCACAATTAAAAGAACTAGAGAAGCAAGAGCAAACACATTCAAAAGCTAGCAGAAGGCAAGAAATAACTAAGATCAGAGCAGAACTGACGGAGATAGAGACATAAAAAGCCCTTCAAAAAATCAATGAATCCAGGAGCTAGTTTTTTTGAAAAGATCAACAAAATTGATAGACCGCTAGCAAGATTAATAAAGAAGAAAAGAGAGAAGATTCAAATAGATGCAATAAAAATGATAAAGGGGATATCACCACCTATCCCACAGAAATACAAACTACCATCAGAGGATACTATAAACATCTCTATGCAAATAAACTAGAAAATCTAGAAGAAATGGACAAATTCCTGGACACATCATACACCCTCTGAAGACTAAACCACGAAAAAAGTTGAATCCCTGAATAGATCAGTAATAGGCTCTGAAATTGAGGCAATAATTAATAGCCTACCAACCAAAAAAAGTCCACGACCAGATGGATTCACAGCCGAATTCTACCAGAGGTACAAGGAGGAGCTGGTACCACTGATTCTGAAACTATTCCAATCAATAGAAAAAGAGGGAATCCTCCCTAACTCATTTTTTTAGGCCAGAATCATCCTGATACCAAAGCTTGTCAGAGACACAACAAAAAAAGAGAATTTTAGACCAATATCCCTGATGACCATTGATGCAAAAATCCTCAATAAAATACTGGCAAACCAAATCCAGCAGCACATCAAAAAGCTTATCCACCACAGTCAAATTGGCTTCATCCCTGAGATGCAAGTCTGGTTCAACATACACAAATCAATGAACGTAATCCATCATATAAAGAGAACAAAAGACAAAAGCCACATGATTATCTCAGTAGATGCAGAAAAGGCCTTTGACAAAATTCAACAGCCCTTCATACTAAAAACTCTCAATAAATTAGGTATTGATGGGACGTATCTCAAAATAATAAGAGTTATTTATGACAAACCCACAGCCAATACCATACTGAATGGGCAAAAAGGGGAAGCATTCCCTTTGAAAACTGACACAAGACAGGGATGCCCTCTCTCACCACTCCTATTCAACATAGTGTTGGAAGTTCTGGCCAAGGCTATCAGGCAGGAGAAAGAAATAAAGGGTATTCAGTTGGGAAAAGAGGAAGTCAAATTGTCCCTGTTTGCAGATGACATGATTGTATATTTAGAAAACCCCATCGTCTCAGCCCAAAATCTCCTTAAGCTGATAAGCAACTTCAGCAAAGTCTCAGGATACAAAATCAATGTGCAAAAATCACAAGCATTCCTATAGACCAATAACAGACAAACAGCCAGCCAAATCATGAGTGAACTCCCATTCACAATTGCTTCAAAGAGAAAAAAAATATACCTAGGAATCCAACTTACAAGGGATGTGAAGGACCTCTTCAAGGAGAACTACAAACCACTGCTCAATGAAATAAAAGAGAATACAAACAAATGGAAGAACATTCCATGCTCATGGATAGGAAGAGTCAATATTGTGAAAAAGGCCATTCTGCCCAAGGTAATTTATAGATTCAATGCCATCCCCATCAAGCTACCAATCACTTTCTTCACAGAATTGGAAAAAACTACTTTAAAGTTCATATCGAACCAAAAAAGCACCTTCATTGCCAAGGCAATCCTAAGCCAAAAGAACAAAGCTGGAGGCATCACGCTACCTAACTTCAAACTATACTACAAGGCTACAGTAACCAAAACAGCATGGTACAGGTACCAAAACAGACATATAGACCAATGGAATGGAACAGAGCCTTCAGAAATAATACCACACATCTACAACCATCTGATCTTTGACAAACCTGACAAAAACAAGAAATGGGGAAAGGATTCCCTATTTAATAAATGGTGCTGGGAAAACTGGCTAGCCATATGTAGAAAGCTGAAACTGGATCCCTTCCTTACACTTTATACAAAAATTAATTCAAGATGGATTAAAGACTTAAATGTTAGACCTAAAACCATAAAACCCTAGAAGAAAACCTAGGCAATATCATTCAGGACATAGACATGGACAAGGACTTCATGACTAAAACACCAAAAGCAATGGCAACAAAAGCCAAAATTGACAAATGGAATCCAATTAAATTAAAGAGCTTCTGCATAGCAAAAGAAACTACCATCAGAGTGAACATGCAACCTACAGAATGGGGGAAAATTTTTGCAATCTATCCATCTGAGAAAGGGCTAATATCCAGAATCTACAAAGAACTTAAGCAAATTCACAAGAAAAAAATCAAACAACCCAATCAAAAAGTGGGTGGAGGATATGAACAGACACTTCTCAAAAGAGGACATTTATGCAGGCAACAGACACATGAAAAAATGCTCACCATCACTGACCATCAGAGAAATGCAAATCAAAACCACAATGAGATACCATCTCACACCACTTAGAATGGCGATCAGTAAAAAGTCAGGAAACAACAGGTGCTGGAGAGGATGTGGAGAAATAGGAACACTTTTACACTGTTGGTGGGACTGTAAACTAGTTCAACCTTTGTGGAAGACAGTGTGGCGATTCCTCAAGGATCTAGAACTAGAAATACCATTTGACCCAGCCATCCCATTCCTGGGTATATACCCAAAGGATTATAAATCATGCTGCTATAAAGGCACATGCACACGTATGTTTATTGTGGCACTATTCACAATATCAAAGACTTGGAACGTACCCAAATGTCCATCAATGATGGACTGGATTAAGAAAATGTGGCACATATACATCATGGAATACCATGCAGCCATAAAAAATGATGAGTTCATGTCCTTTGTAGGGACATGGATGAAGCAAAAAACCATCATTCTGAGCAAACTATCACAAGAACAGAAAATCAAACACCGCATGTTCTCACTCATAGGTCGGAATTGAACAATGAGAACACTTGGACACAGGGTGGGGAACATCATACACTAGGGCCTGTGGTGAGGTGGGGGGAGCGGGGAGGGATAGCATTAGGAGATATACCTAAATGTAAATGATGTATTAATGGGTGCCGCACAGCAACATGGCACATGTATACATATGTTACAAACCTGCACGTCATGCACATGTACCCTAGAACTTAAAGTATAAAAAAAAAAAAAAAGAGTCGGACGGCATTTTCCCTCTAATGTAACACCCTATACGCCCTTCACTAGAGTTTAGGCCAACAGTGTTTGTGGAACAGAGTATATTTCATCTCCATAATCTATCATAGTATGGAATGTATGTTTTCCCACTAGAATGGGTGTGTTTTTTTTTGTTCATGCCCATTCTTAACTGTTTATGCTGTTTATTGTTTTTAAAATTTAGCTATTGATAGATTTTGTTGCATTTGCCCCTGAATATTTTTTTTAAAGAAGGAATTCTTAATGAAGTCCTACATATTCCCCAAGATTCAGGTCAGATGTTATTCTCTATATTAAGATTTTCTTATTCTGTTTGACTCAAAAACTAATAATCTTGCCCATAGTTGTTGCCTTGGAAGGTAGACTGTAGATTTATCATAAATTTGTTTCTTTTCCTTCTGCTACATATTATATTTGTTCTTCATAATTGTATATCCCTTTACTAATCATGTAATCTTAAGAGCAACTATGTTTATCTTTATATTCCTCTAGCATTAGCAAGTGACCAAATTCACGTATACACCTGCTTTATTTACACTTTACCTATAGAACAAGTCACCACATGAGTTTTAAAAATATTTTCTCATTTAAGTTGAATTGTCTTCTCAAATGTTAAATTTATTTCTCTGCACAACTTAATGCTGACATGTAAGTAGTTGTAAGTATGAAAGTTAGAATTCATCATGTGCTGGGCAGGAATGGAAAAGTTATGTTTCCAGTGAATACCAATAAATCCAGTGCAAATATTTTCTTTTAGCATTCCTGGCCAACTATGCCCCAGTTAAATGCAGTGGCAATTTTTCTCCAAGTTTTTTGTTTTGTTTTGTTTTTATCTGCAGACTATTATTATAATGTACTACTGAAATGGGCAAAACCCAGTTCAAACAAGTTTAATTACAGCTCACTATTTGCTTGCTCTCTAAGAATATAAGAATGTTAAAGCATTTTCCTAAGTTTCACTCACTAACATGGTCCTAAATAGCAATCTTTCTCCAATTGACATGGTTTCATTTTGGTCCTCTGCAGACATCAGTGGCTGTAGATCATTCACAAGATGTGGTGTAGTGAAAGAGTAGACAAAGAGTCACTGATTGTCAGTCTTTAGTACATGCTCCAAATAAATCATTAGACTCGCTATTTTGGCTCACACTTAAATGTACCAGTGGAAGAACTAACCTGAATTTATAAATACTTTTTTTCTTCATGTGATTGAAAAAGAAATTTAAAAAAATGTCAGCAGAATATACCTTGCTCAATTCTATGGTTTTATTAAAACTACTGAATGGTATTGTATATGCATTTGATTAATTTCACTGTATTAATGTCACTTTTCTTCATCTCAAAAAATGTGAATCTAGTTCCCAGTTGACAACCTGGAATTAACTAGCGTATATTAGAGCAACAGTTCTAAATTTGTGGAATCTCGTACCCCTTAAGAGTCTAAGAAATGTTTTAGATTTTATCTTTAGAAAAAGGTATATAAACAAAAGTACATAAATTTTCATAAAATTTTCAAGAATTCTTTTCTAGAAGGACAGTTGACCCCAAGTTAAAAACACATTTTATGAAGAATTTGAATCCTTAATTGCTAGTAATTCTGCATACTTCAAACTCTACTAGAGCTAGAAATCTAAATCTTTAGCAAAATAAATACCTCATGATAATATATTTTCTATTTATTTTTGTGAAAGCAATAATTAGTATGAAGTTGATTGCAACAAAATGAGGAAGAAAATAGCAAAAGTAGAAAATATGTAATTAAATAGATTTGTGGCCTTTTGCCTTACTGTGGAATACTTACATCTAGGTATGATGAATGACCATATCTATCCTAAGACAGCTGACTGGCACAGTAGAAATGACGTCTTTTCAAATACATGTTTTATATAAACAGAAAGCAAAACCACAGAATTATAAAGATATTTTACATTCTGATGAAAATAGCTACAGCATAATTTTCTGCCATTTCTTCATTCAAAATGATCTTATTTTTCATTTTTTATTTTAAAATATTTTATTGACAAATAAAGATTAAATATATTCAAGGTGTACAACATAATGATGCCATATACATATGCATTGTGTAATGAGAACTTACGGAGCTCTTTGTACTTAACACTGCAGAGGGACATGAATAAAAATAGCACATGCTCATTATATTCAGGGAATTTTTAAATCTATTTGAGCTGCTTACAATTTCCTTTTGGCAGGTAAAAATGGAAAGGTCATCAAATTTATCTACTCCACTCTCCCCATCGTTATTTTTTTTTCTAATAAAACCATTGTAGACATCACAGTAAAACTTTTTGCCTATTTAAATAATCTATAAATCATGCTATGCCTTATGTTCTGAAGAAGTGAATTGAGAATGTGCTACTTTTTTTTTAAACCTGTGTTACTGGGGCAAAGAGATTCAGAATATCCTTTATGATACAATGAATAAAGTCTATCTTTACATCAATGTAAAATTGTTAAAGTCATCATGAACACAAGAGGACAAAGTACCATTTGGAACATCATATCTAATAATCTGGATTTGTTTAGCATATTTTATTGTCACTTTTTTTGTTTCTCCTGAAAAACAAAAAAGCTATTAAGTGAGGTTAAGATTAATAATAGAGGTTTGGGGAAAACCCTTCCAGTCTGAAAGGAAATTTGGTTTGACCTCTAAGTCGAAGAGATGAAGAGGGTTGAAAAAGAAACAATGTATCAGTGTTGAGAATATTTTTTCTGAGAAAAGCACCAAAGGGCACGAATGTGTTTTTTTCTCTTCCGTGCTTTAATCCTGGTAAACATCAGAAATCGCAGAGAGAAATATTGCAGATCTGTTTGGATGACAGTAATGGCTAAACTACGGATATGTTTTCTTTATTTGACCACCTGCACACTATGACTCAAAAATTCTAACAAAGTCTTTTGAAAAATATTCCAATCTACTTACTGGTGCCCACTTTTTTTTTTTGACAGTTTAGTATATATTTTAAATAGACAAATATATGGGAGCGAAGTGTAAAATCATTTCAGATCATTGCAATATTAATTTCTTGGAAATTACTTTGAGTGAATCTAGATTGGTGGTGAAGCCCTAACCACTAGAAACGGTCAAGCTGGTTTATAGCTTAAGTCAGAGAAAAGAAACATTAAAGCAATGCTGCAATTAAATGACCCCATTTCTTCCCGAAAAGATAATATATTTATATTATATATCAAAACAGGTCTTTGAAAACAAAAAGCTATTAATTTGCCTGCAGTTTTTATAAACATGAACCTAGATGGTCTTTCAGTTAAGTAAGATACTGGTATTTATCTATGATGTTCACTGTGATGCTGTCCAAGAAGATTCTTTATCTTAGGAGACCCTTTAAAAAGCTTCAAGGGCTGCAGTGTCCTTGTAGTGATGAAGGATTTATTTGCAATGTTAAACCTCTAGTTGGGCTAAATTTTGAAAACTCTTTTATTGACAAAGTATTTCTAGTGCTTGGCAACACATCGAGTTTTATTGTCTTCTATATTGCCATGCATTAGCATTAAAAACACAGCCAAAATATCTGAAAGAAATGTTGTCGACTGTCGTAAGATTTATCAAATTCATCGGCACCAGGGACTTAAATCACTTCCTTCTTAAATAGTACTGTCAAAAATCAGTGCAGAATATGAAGCCCTTTCCCACTACCAATAAGTTCACTCTACTCTCAAGGACAAGTCTTAAAGAGCAAGATCAAACTGAGGACAGAATTTTCACGTTTTTTGAAGTCTTCTATTAAAATAATTTCAAATGGAGAATTTGGCAAATATTTTTCTTCACTTGAATACAATGAATCTTTTGATCAGAGCCTTGCAGCCACCATAATTAATATTGCAGAAAACTGGAGGCCTTTGGCCCAGTTGCCAAGATGAAAGAGGATACTAGAGGTAGGAACTTTGATTGTATTCTTCTTAATAGTTTCCAATGCTGGAGCAGTGCTTGCTTGGATAAGAATCCACAATTACAAAGGCTTTCAATTTCCAAACACATAAGAATCCTCAGACACCAAAGAAAATCTCTTTGATTTTATTTCCATTGAAGAATTAACATAGAAATATAGATTTTTAATTTCAAAACTGTATTATTAGTCTGCTTGGGCTGCCATAACAGAATACCACAGATTGGGTAGCTTAAACAACAGAAATGTATTTCCTTACAGTTCTTGAAGCTGGAAGTCCATGATCCAGATGCTAGCAGGGTTGGTTTCTCCTCAGGCCCCTCTTCCTGGCTTGCAAACTACCACCTTGCTCTTTCCTCATATGGCCTTACTTTTGTTGTGTGCACTTTTGGTGTCTCTAATTCAAGGACATCAATTGTAGTGGATTAGAGCCCTGCCCTTTTGACCTCATTTCATCTGAATTACCTTCTTATAGGCTCTACCTCCAAATACAGACACATTAAGAGCTAAATTTCCACCTGTGCATTTTGGGGAGATACACTTCAGTCCATGACACTATCCTACTTACAAAAATTGCTCAAAGAGAGATGCATTTCCAAAGATGATCTCATTGCTATGAGAATAAAGTAAGTGATAGCAACTTTAATTCATTTTTAATAGTCTTCAAGAAAATGGTATGTCTTGACATAAGCCTATACCTCTGTTTCGGTGGGAAACCTGATTCCTTTTGTTACTCTATACCTCTGTGCATCAGGATTTAAGCACATGTTGCAATAAAATAAGTGAAAAATTACTGGATATTAAAATAAAAGGGGATATCAAAGTCAAAGGCCATTCTGAAATTACAACTTTACTTCGTATTATGGGCAATAAGAGTACCCTTCCCTATATATTTCACTTTGAAAAAAATTATATGTATATTTTGAAAGTTGCCTTTACATTTGTATTAAAGGAAATGAAATTTGGCAACATTGTTTTTACATTTAAGATTATGAAAGGGATACATTTCTATTACAATAAAATCAATTGCATACAAAATTTTATGTATCTATGGTCATCACCTAATAATAGCTGCTCAGTGGTTCCTGTAATTGCTGTCCTTGCCTGCATTCTAATGTAACAGCAGTTCACTTAGTTTCTGAATCCCATAGACATAATGCCACATGGTTCTAATTAACAAATAACCTTCTGGCAAAATCACTCAAAGGGCTTCTCATTAGTGATCAGAGAAGAATCTTCCATTTTATTCAGAGCTGTGTTTGGGATTCTAGAAATTTAATTGGATTGCACAGGTTCATCTTACAAGAATTGTACTTTTCTCTAACAGACACTCTTATCTCTAACATGCTTATAATCTCATCTCATCTTACTAATTATTTAATTTTAGAAGATTCTAGATTCATAGTAATTATAACAAATCGGAGGTACAGGTTTGATCATTCCTTGCATGATTTAGCAGTCACTGAACTGTCTATTCTTTGTTCTTCTATCATTTTCAGAGTTAAAAAAGACTCCAAAGTAATTGGATAACACAATTATTCTTTTTTTATCCTTCTTTCTATACTAATGAATAGTTCAGACACACAAAAAGGCATAAAAACAGAAATATAACAAAACTCATATAACTACCACTTAGTTTAAAAAAATTACTAAGTCTTTTTTTTCTTCCTAATTTAGAGAAAGAGTAAAGGCAGCAATATTGAGTAAAATTATTGTACTGCATATCAAACACAAAAGCAGAATCTTAAATGGAATGTATTATTTGCTCTTTACAAGGTAAATGTTCCCAGTGAACTAACAGCTAGCCTTAGTTATTGTGAAAAAGTATGATACTGTTGAATAAGACTACAACCAATACATCCCTAAAATAATTAAACACAAATGAAGAAAAAAGGTTCTCTTGCAAAATTAACTTCACTGCACCTATATAATACAGTTTTGAGGTAAATTATGTTATGAATTAAAAAGGGGACATTACTCTGCTGATGTGTGAATACACATGAAATAAAGAAAACAGGTGCGGCTACTGGCATAGTTATGAAAATCCTATTTGTTATACTTTTACTTTCTTGTAGGGGACAGATTGGTGAAGTAAATGATGTGGAAGACTACAATCCCTGCATATTTTACGCCTTTAAAATTGGTATGAATCGGCCAGGTGCGGTGGCTCACGCCTATAATCCCAGCACTTTGGGAGGCCGAGGCGGGCGGATCACGAGGTCAGCAGATCAAGACCATCCTGGCTAACACAGTAAAACCCCGTCTTTACTAAAAATACAAAAAATTAGCCAGGTGTGGTGGTGGGGGCCTGTAGTCCCAGCTACTCGGGTGGCTGAGGCAGGAGAATGGCGTGAACCCAGGAGGCGGAGTTTGCAGTGAGCCGAGATCGCACCACTGCACTCCAGCCTGGGTGACAGAGGGAGACTCCATCTCAAACAAACAAGCAAACAAAAAAAAACAAAACAAACAACAAAAAAATTGACATGAATCTTTGCTACTCCATCTGGGATGAAAAAACTTAATGCTTTTTTTCCTTACGTAGTGACATAGGCATGGGGGCTAATTTCAAAGATTTCCATTTGGGCTTCGTCATTACTACATAGCTCTTACATAAAGGCCACAGAATAATGTGGTGGTCTTGAAAACCCCTCCAATATATCCATTTCACCTATATATGCAAAGACTTGCAAAATGGCAAGTGGGTAGGTCTGTGGACCCAGTGGAACTACGCTAATCTGGACCTGAGATAGGATTCTATTTACAACCTGGCTCCGACTCATTAATAACAGGGGTTGATGATAGTACTTTAGGGTCCTGAGTATCAATGTCATCTTAGATCCTGTGTCCAATGATTACCTGAGAATGTCTATGGGTCCTGTTGGAAAAGATCTCAAAGAATCTTTATTACATATATTCGCCATGGTTTTTACTTGGCATGGATCCTCTTGGGACACAGTCTTTACTCCAATCAATGATTTTCATTCAGTTCCAAAACTGGCTCAAGTATAGAAACTCAGTAAAAGATTCTGACTTGGGGATTTCTGTCCTCAGGTTCCCACCCACTCAAATTTGATTTTCTTTGACAGTTCAAGCAATATCTTTGTTGGATGCACCTGTCATGCCTCTAAGTGCCCTGTGTTCATTAATCTTCTCCACAGTTACCTGGGTATCTGTATCCTTGTTTGCCTTTGCTGCTTATTATAATACCTGCACCCAAATGATATTTATAACTAACTGTTGCAACTAGTCTCTATTACTTCAGGATCCTGGCATTCTCATTACTGCTAAAGATGCCAGTTCTACAAATATATCGCCTACTGTCAGTCCTGGCCAATAGAGGACATCCATCCGTGAAATTATCAGTGATGCTTGTGCTCCACTCACTAGCAAATTCCATATTATTTTGGTAGATGGGCAATCCTCTGGACCTCTCTATGGAACATTGTCAACTGGTGGGTTTCCAGTTTCTCATAGTATAACTGCTCTAGCAACCCCACTCTGAGCCTTTGATCCTCCACTGTCTTCTATAGCAATTCTCACATTTCCACATCACTCAGTTTGATACATTACTTTCTCCAAGTTTCCAAGAATCATAAAAACATTTGTTAGCAATATCTCCCAAAGTCCTCGTCCTTGCCAGGGGGTTAAATCTTGAATCATAAGATAGTAATCCCTTAATGTTCTCTTTTTTATCCAATTTTACATTTTACCTTTTTTTTTTTTTTTTTTTGCTTTTGTTGCCCAGGCTGGAGTACAGTTGCACGATCTTGGCTCACTGCAACCTCTGCCTCCTGGGTTCAAGTGATTCTCATGCCTCAGCCTCCCAAGTAGCTGGGACTACAGGCATGGGCCACCATGCCCAGCTAATTTTGTGTTTTTTTTTTTTTTTTTTTTAGTAGAGACAGGGTTTCACCATGTTGGCCAGGCTGGTTTCGAACTCCTGACCTCAAGTGATCTCCCTGCCTTGGCCTTCCAAAGTGTTGAGATTATAGGCATGAGCCACCGTGCCAACCCAGTATACCATTCTTGATCCAGCATCCATATATATTTTCCTGGACCCTGACAATATATGTTGGTCATATCCTACAACTCCTTCATGTTTAATTTCTCTCTTTTCTTATACAATCCAACAATCTTCTGATCAGGTTATGTTGTGATTTGTCTCTAGTCATTAGTATACTGGCCAAGAAGGGAGAGGAGAGGAGATATGGGTGTCGGGTTGGCCATATTTGGAAGGTAGTGTCCTCTGATCATCTTCAAGCAAGGGGTGAGCTCTAGTCTCCAGTAAGGAGGAGTATGCCGCTTCTGCAGGCTTAGAATGGTTGTAATAATGTAGAGATTCAAGATTCTGAGCACAATACCCGTATATCTCCTTGCAAAGTCTCAGAGTTCCAGTTCTTTCCAATCAGGAACATGATCATAACATAGGAGTCTTGGCTAGAGTTGAAAATTAAATATTCTCTAGAGCCCTGATAGCCTAATAATTAAGTGTTGAGCTTGATTCCCAGCTTTTTCTGTCAGCTGCAGGAGATCAACTGCCAAAGAGGTCATCTGGCTTTCAACATTCATCTTAAATCGATCACATTCAGTTCTGTACTATTAGCAGGTAACATTTCTGACAGCCAGAATGTGTGGCTTGATCTTGAATGCACAATCTGAGTGGTGCACCACAGTGTCTACTAAATATGGCTACAAGACAAGACATGACACTCATTGAGGAGGATATTTTTAACAGAGAATAAATCATTCGGAGATTTTTTTGAAAGTGATTGTGCTTGGGAAACAAAATACCTTGAGAACTGAAGCTCCAAGACAGCAAAGACAGCCATATTATTTAACTCATTTTGGTATGCATAACTATTAGCTAGCAATTCTTTTTTTGAACAGATTCTCTTTACCAATCACAAAAACCTGTATGTGAATAAAACTAATTTAGCAACTATCATGTAACCACTGAAATTGTGCTTTTGTGGCAATTAGTTTGGCTTATCATGTCTACTTAAGAACAAGTTGAATGTTACGAGTAACGACAAATATTAAATATGCATGCACGGCATGCTTTGAAAAATTCAAGATAAATTGACTCTAAGTAATAAAAAAAATGAGCTTAGTACTTTGCTAGCACTGCCATAACCAAGTACCATAGTCTGAGTGGTTTAAACAACAGAACTTTATTTTGTCACAGTTCTGCAGGCTGAAATTCCAAGATCAGAGTTTCAGTAGATTTGGTTTCTTCCGAGACCTCTCTCTTTGGCTTGCAGATGGCCACCTTTTTGTTGTGTTCTCACACAGTCTTTTCTCTGTGCTCACACATCACTGGTATCTTTTCTATTTCCTATAAGGATTGGGCCCAACTGGCTTAGGGCCCAACCCATTTTACCTCAGTTAAACTTAATTACATCTTTAAAGTCCCAATTTCCAAATACAGTAACTTTGGAGGCTAGGGCTACAAGATATGTATTTGGTGTGCAGGGAGGGTACAATTTTGTCTATAACAATGAGGTTATTCCCATGGGTTTATTTTCCCTAGATTAGAGAGTCTTCTGTACATAATGGTAATTCTATCACTTACAAGTACAAATTCTGAGGCCTTCAAGCAAAATAGTAAGAATGAAGATTGTTTTCCTTTGCTTTACTGCTTCATCAATGTGTTTTGCCCACACGGTAACACACACTTCATATGCACACACATATGCACACTTTCACACACACACATACACCTTACCTCTTTGGTCTAACTGGTAGTTGAATAAATTTCTGGATCTAGAGGTTGAGAAGTGGCAATGAGAAATAATCAGTATTGGAAAAGAGAAGAAATAAAAAAAGAAAAAGAAAATAATCAAGAATAGGTTTCATCATATGCCCAAACTAAAGAAATGTAAGGTTTTTCTTTACAGCTCCTTGTCAAAGTATAAATCTGAAAAAAAATAATAATCACACAATAGTAAGCATATGTCATGATTTATGGAACTGGAAAGATGACAAAGCTATTTCCAAAGACATTTTGAAAACTGGCATTTTGTAATGTATAAAAAAGAAAATAAATTCTTAAATACATGATATTAGTTACAAAATTGGATGATTATCTACAGGGTATAAAAATATCTTAATTTTTGATGTTATCTTCTCCAGTAGACCAATAAGAAAATCACTGCATCTTATCAGCTTTCTATAAGTTAGCTACTGACTTTATAGAGGTAAGAAATGTCTAGACCTAAGCAATAGTAAATAGTATGTTAAACAAACTTACAAGTACCTAGAGAGTAAGATGACCTGAGGTGGGCCTGTTGAACAATATTGTAAGATTACATTAAATGCTTAAACAATCATCTTTGTCTTATGTCTTATTTTGGAATATTTATTTATTAATATGCTTGTCCATGTAACCCAAGCAAGGTGTGGCCAAAATAACAGAGCAACAAGACAGTATCGAAATTATTTTTGTTTTACCCTTTCTGTTAGGCCCAAATCTTATTATTAGCACTAAAGAAATTGCCATTAACTTATAATTATAGTTGATCAATGTTGAAATAAATGGGTCAGCCATGGTTACAGGTAGAACTGTGAGACCTAAATATTCTTCCTTCATGTTATAAATAGTGAGTCCCTGACGGAAAATAATACATAATAGGTTATAATAACTATTAAGAATTATAGATATATGCACCTCTGGTTTACTGCTTTATAACAATTGAATGTAGTTCTCTAAGGCATTGAAAGTAGATCTTTAGGACAAATTCTACCATTTAGTGTAGCACATTAAAAAAATTTAAGATACCATTGACCAAGATGGTCTTGACATTCTCCAAGGTTTGACTGAACTTAAGCCAGGTTTCTTCCTGCCTCTAAGTCCTTGACCTCCCTCCCTCTCAAGCTGGCTATTACAGAATTCAGATGGCCTAATCACAGAAGTCTCTCCCTTCCCTTTTGTTATTTTCTTTAGAAAACTTATAATTGAAAGTTATTTCTCTCTCCCTATGAGACGTAAATTCTTTTAAAACCCTCTTGCCAGTTTTATAACCCAACAAACGTCTTTCCCAAGGACCTGAGAGCCATCCCACTGAAATGCAGTCATCCAGCAAGATACAGTCCATATCTCCCAGTCTCTGTGAAAGGGTAGGAGCCTAACTTCAATAGATGCTGATTAGCAAGCACAGATGGCCTAATCATAGAGGAAAACATTTGTAAACTCAGGAAATAACTCAATCTGCTCAAAGTCCATTGATCAACCTTCCTAAAGTCCTCTAGTACTTTTCCAAGAGCTCATCCCAGCCTTTAAAGACCATCTCATGCTTTGTTTCAGAGGAGTTCAATTCAGATTGAGTTCTGCCCTCTCACGTTGTAGAAACAGCCTTGTATAATAAGGTCTTCCCTGCTCATCTAACTTTGGTGAAATTTTTGCTCTGACAGCATTTTCTATAATGAGTACCTCATTCCCCATGTAACATATTTCTAAAATTGTCCTGTAGTTTTTTGTCTTAATTTCTGTATACTACACACCAGAGTAAAATATTAAATCAACATTTTATCTTACCCTTTTATTAGTAGAAAATAAAATTCAGTTGATTAGATGGGTCAATATTGTGATACTTATTACTTGAAAAAAATAATTTCTGAAGACAACTCTTTGATATTCTAACTCTGAATGAAAGGAAAGGCAAAAGTTAATGGTTTATTTGACCCAGTTGACTCTTTAAACAGAATCAAACTAAAATAAACAGATTTGAAAAAAAATGTACTTTTATGTAATTTTAACACAAAGTACAATAAATTTTTCACTTGATCAATTTTAACAAAGATCTTTGAAGGTAGCATCTTCTCTAAAGATTCATCAGATAATTGAAAGCCTATTTAATTTGCAATTAGCTAAAGATTATAAATTAATAAAGTTTCATCCTTGAAAGGTGAGAGAATATGTGTAATTTTTATGGTATTCCAAAATGTTTGGAAGCAAAGGTGATCTCTGAAGAAATAAGTGTTCATGATTCAATGATTCATTATTATGAATATTAATGGACTCCACAATAGCATTGCATAAAAATGAAATTGCTTAACTCTGGTCCTGCCATTCCTTTCTCCCAGCAGCAAATATATACATTACCCCCTTTAATTCTTCTCCAATTCATGGGGAGAAATAGCTCTATTTAAAGAACCGAGCTCATCTGTCACCCACATTGCAAACATGTTATTTAAATCAATTAATTTGAAAGGATTGAATATTGACCATCTTATTATATTAAAAAGGAGTCATCTAAGCCAGCAGTGATTCTTTTAATAGCATATTCTCCTATTGTATTTAAAATGTGTTTACACATTGTTAACTACTTGAATGAGAATTAGGGATACAGAAACTTAATGCCCAAGAATTAAGAGCCACTGTATATGAATATCAGAGATAAAGATGAAACATTAGTCATATAAAGCATCTCAGTATTAAAATGATTAAATTTACAGATAGTCCATTTACATCTAACTTTATAGACACACATTTCCAATATTCTGACATCAGCAATTACTTTTGGGGCTTTTTCTTTTATGTGTAGGGGAAAAGTAACTCACATAGGATCTTAAAACAGACCTTTGTTACAAAGGACAGATTAAAAAGAGAAAAACAAGTTGCTTAGCAGGTATATTTCATATGTACATTGGAGGCACCCAGAGAATGAGTTGTTCTCCGAGAGTTGGCTTTAAATTTCAGTTTATATAGCATATTAAGCAAACAGCAGTAAATTTTTAGAGTAGTGGTAGGACAGAGGAAAAGGATTTTCAATCTCTACAGGTGGCAAATTGGGAGAAAGCAAATAACAGGCAGATAAAAGTTAGTAAAGCTTGTTAAAATAGATTACTTTGGTATCATATCCTGTGATACCAGCCGATAAGGGGCTAACACTGTCTTCAGTGGTTAACTTTTGTTCCTCCTGTTAGAGAGGTGGGCAGGATACCTTTTGTCTTTGAAAATCTATGTATTGCTTTTAGTGAAACAGAGGGAGGACAAAGAGCTTTCCTGCATCTACTTCTTCTTGTCTTCAGCTCAACAATCCTTCATATTGTGTAGAGCCATATGCTGGTCTCCCGCAATGGTTAATGAGCTTATTGTAGGTAACTAGAGGTTGCCACTTACATAATGTTGCTGGTGCTATGAATTATTGTCACAAGCATATTGGATTTCCACCAATTTGATGTTCTCATCCCTATCTCTTCCCCATTCTCTCAAAAAACAACCAACCAAACAAAAACAACAAAAAATAACTTGGCTTGTATTTCAACAGGTATTTATTAAATACCTCCTATGTGCAAGGAAAGTTCTTAAGGCACACAGAGTGAACAAGACAGTTAGGATCACCATTCATGGTGGCAGGGATAGGAGATAGTCAGGGTTGATAAGGTAAATAGAACAGGGAAACGTGGGATAGGGCTGCTAATTTAGATTAGGTTATAGGAGTGCTTTTTGTCAAGTGGTATTTGAGCAGAGACTCAAATATAGTGAATGGGGGAGTCCTCCACATAATTGGAGAAGAGTGTTCAGGCAGAGGAAGTAACAAATCCTAACTAAGACCAGAGCATTATGCATTTAGGGATCAGCAAAGAGGCCAAGTTTTCCTCGAAGCTCATTGTATTAGTTTCCTGTGGCTGCTGCAAAAAATTAACAAAAACTTGGTGGTTTAAAACAACGAAAATTTATTCTGGTACTTCTAGAGGCTAGAAATCTGAAATCAAGATTTTCACAAAGCTATGCTCCCTCTGATGATATTGCTGCACTAAACCTGGGTCTGCTCGCCCAGCACAGTAAAGCCAAACACCCACACCAAAGTTTACAGCAAGGGAAAGAAGGGCATTTATTTGCAGGGTGCCACACTGATGCTTAAGACCCAGTCTCCCTGATGGCTTGCATATAAGGTTTTTTAAAGGCGGGGAGGCAGAAATTACAGGCAAAGTCATAAATCAAGACATAGGGATTTACATTGGTTTGATCTAAAAAAGTGTGATATCTTGAAGTGGGCACCCAGGGTTGGGGGGTCGGGGGGAGACAGCTTACAGGTCATAGGTGGATTCAGAGAATTTTAGATTTGCAATTGGTTAAGGAAGATAAGCTTTATCTAAAAAGTTGGAGCCAGCAGAAAGAAATCTTAAAGTTTGGTCTGTGGGCATGACTTCTGCAGGCCCGTCAGGAAGAAATTTAGAACAAAAAGCAAGAGTAAGAGTTCAGACTTCTGTTCACACTTATGTGAGGTTTACATGGCAGAGGTTGTTTTTTTGTTTGTTTGTTTGTTTTTTCCTAATCTATCCATTGGCAATTTTTATCTGGCGGGGGTCTAGGTTTCCAAAAGACGGCTCAGGGACATGTGTTAAGATGTTATTTCTAGTTTCTATAGGGAGGCAAACATCGTGTGACTCTAACTGATTTGGGTGGATATTGCTTAAGCTATCATTACTTTTCTGCTAATCAGGCTGCTCATCTACTTTTTAAGGCTAGCTAGATGCCTGGAATTGCCCTTGATGGGACTCAAAATTTTTCCTTTATTTCCATGCTTAAGACAGGGACAGCAGGCCTCTAAAAGGGGTCTCTGCTATGTCTCAAAGCCGCTAGAAATGAATACTTCCTTGCCTTTCTGGCTTCTAGTGGCTCCCAGAATTCCTTGGGTTATGACTATGTTAATCCAATCTCTGCCACTCACTTAATGAGGTCTTCTCTGTGTCTGAATCTTCTCCTCTTTTGTCTCTAATAAGAACACTTGTCATTGAATTTAGGGCTCACCCATGTAATCCATAATGATGTCATCTCAAAATCCTGAACTTAATGACACCTGCAAACACCCTTTTCCAGATAGGGTTATAATCCTAGGCTCCTGCTGTTAATATGCAGTAATATTTTTTTGTGAGGCCATCATTCAACCAATGACACTTATCTTAATAAATATACTCTTCAGGGAAGTGACTGGTTTGAACTAATAGCAGGTGGGCTTCTCAGGAGTTAGCCTCAAATATACAGCAAAATCTTAGAAATTTTTCCCTTGTCTCCAGGCTAGATCTTATATGGAGTTTAAAGATACATTTTCTTTCAGGCAGTAAAAGTTCCACTTCTAACCAGAGGCTTAGAAATATGCTAACACAATGGTCCATTGGTATGACTGACAGTTTTGCTAAACTGTTGTGTTTGTCTTATGTCCTGACACAATTTTCTGCTGCTAAATTCAGGGAAAGCATCTCCCTGGATTTAGCATCTAACTAAGACAAGAGCATAGTGCATTTAAGAATCAGCAAAGAGGTCAATCTCAGTATGCAGAGTCTCTTTTTTAAACTCACATTATTTGGGCCATTTAAACACATAGCCCTGCATTCATTTATAATTTTTTTGCATTGATTTATTTCCCCTATTAAAAGCATCAGCCATATATAAAGACACTTACATACTTTAAATATCTAATTAGTGTACCCCGGTTCTGCATTAAAGAAACAGAATCAATACGTGTTGAATGCACATGAACTCCAGAATCCAATGGAATGGGAGCATGACATTTAGGCCATCATTAAGAACAAAATGTTATAAATAATTACTGAGGGGGGAAAAGCATCTTTTATTACTTTCTTCCAAGATTTTCGTTCCATATTTACCATTTAGACTGGTTGTTAGAAGGAATTTTTAGATAACTATTTGGAAAAATTTGTTGGCTTCAAGTAGGCTCAAGATAATGTTCTTTTGCACTTAAATTTATTTTTAGTTCCTGAGTATTAAAATTTTAAAAATATGTTCATATTAACCTGACTTTTGAAATTTAACAAACCTCTGTGCCTCAGATACATTTTTTTCTTTCTCTAATTCTAAGACCTTGTATAGTGACAATTCTTTATTCTTTGAGCCATAACTCAACATCTAGGTAATTTAAAGGTCAATAAACAATGTAAAAGCAATTTCATGTATTTCCCTTTCATCACCCAATTGTCAAAAGTACATTTGGTACTATGGAACATGTCATCAGCCTAACATCAGCATCATTCCCCCTCCCCTGCACTTCCTAACACTTGCTCTTGCTTGAGCTTGAGTTCTTATTTCTGGTATTAAACATTTCCTATTGTTCCTTATTGTTCTTATTAATTACAAACACAGGCAAATAGGGTGATTATAAATAGACAGTGTTAAGTAATTTTTAGTGATGGAATAAATACTAACCTATATTGGGCAGTTTATTTGAGCCATAAGTGATCACCCATGGGACTATTCCTCCAAAGAATATTGTCCTTTTGACTTTTGACATGACATATTCTAAGAGAAAACAATATTAACCTGCCTTGACTTGCTCAGCTCAATTGCTGGCAAGTAAGAAAACCCAAATCTTCCAAAGTTCTATATCAACAATACAGAGACACATACATCTTTATATGGTGTGTGTGTGTGTGTGTGTGTGTGTGTGTGTGTGTGTGTATGCGTGGTCAATTTTGTAGAAAAAAAGTCTTATGGTCCAAATAATGCATTGAATTTAAATGAGTTCTGAATAATGAAACATTAGAATGCTGAATGCAGATGCATTTTACTTTTTTTCCACATAAGTCCTTAAGAAAACAGAGCATGAAGAGTTTTTTTTTAATGATGTTCTAAGACTTTCTAAGGCTCTCTACTTAAATCAAGCATGTTATTCTTCATCTATTACCATAATAGGCAGTATATGCAGTCCCCATGATAGGCAACATATTTTACAAAAAGAAAGACTTTTCAGAATACATAAAAACATTCAGGAGTAGCAAATGATATATAAGACTCTTACTTATCCTCCCCTCCATATTCAGATGTGTTCTTGGGGAGTTGTTTCTAAAGAGTCATCTGGAATACATTCCAAAAAATTATTGATGATATGTATCTCTATGAGTTTTTTTTTGAGATAGACCCCCACTTTGACATGCAGACCTTTACATTTAAGGGTTTTTTGGTATTCTTTTATGAAAAAAATTAAAATTCAATTAACTAATTCCAGGAAGCACAAAATGCTGTGTATGGTATTCTGTATTTCATTTGTAAACAATTTTCAGAACTGGAACTGGTTTATTTCAACTTTGTGCACCAGTCTACTTCCATTAAAGTCAACAAGGGCATGTTGAGCATAAGAAAAAAAAGGCTCCACAAAATATTGCTCAGCTCTCATGTGATTTTTAAAGCTGGCTTTCATGGAAATGGCCCCTGGTACTCTGCTAGGTGCTGGGGAAACCACTGAGCTAGACAGACACTGGTCCTATCCTCATGGGGCCTATTAGTTATATACATAAGTCATTTGCAAGCAGAGATAAGGACTAAAAATGATGTGGCATTTGAGTTGAGAGCTGACTGTTAAGTAGGACATAACTAAGTGAAGAAAGATGAAGGCTTTCCAAGAAGAAGAGGCGTACATGTAAAGACCTTCAAGATGGAAGGAGCATGTGCATTTGTAGGAACTGAAAGAAGGTAAGAGTTCCTGGATCATTTTATGAAATGGCCTTTTGTAGAATAGGAAACTAGGCATTCTAAAACCTATACCAGATACAGACCTACAAATCTGTTATGAACAGAGTTTTCAAGAATTCTTTCACTTTCCTTTTTAGAAAATGTAAGTTGATACCAAATGCCATTTACATAAAAATAACCTTTGTGCCCAAGGCCTTGGGATCCCACCACTTGCATCAGTGTGGTCTGGATGTGAGACATCAAGTCAAAAAAGGGTATTTTGGAGCTTTAAGATTGAATGATTGCCCTGTTGGGTCTCAAACTTGCATGGGACCTGTAGCCCCTTTGTTTTGACTGATTTCTCCCTTTTGGAATGGGTGTTTTTACCCAAAACCTGTACCCCCATGTTGTATCTTGGGAGTGGCTAACTTGTTTTTTTATTTTACATGTTCATAGTAGAGGGAAAGAACTTGCCTTGTCTCAGATGAGACTTTGGACTATGGACTTTTGAGTTAATGGCGAAATGAGATAAGACTTGGAAGACTGTTGAGAAGGGATGATTGTGTTTTTAGGTGTGAGAAAGAAATGAGATTTGGGAGGGGACAGGGATGGAATGATGTGGTTTGGATTTGTATCCTTGCTCAAATCTCACATCAAACTGTAATCCTCAATATTAGAGGAGGGGCCTGGTGGGAGGTGATTAGATCTTGGGGGCAGGTTTTCCCCTTATTTTTCTCATGATACTGGGTAAGTTCACATGGGATCTGGTTGTTTAAAAGTGTGTAGCACCTCCCCCTTTCCTCTCTTCCTCTTGCTTTGGCCATGTGAGATGTGCCTCCTTCCTCTTTGCCTTCCACCATGATTGTAAGTTTCCTGAGGCCTCCCCAGCCATGCTTCTTACACAGCTTGCAGACCTGTGAGCCAATTAAACTTCTTTTCTTTATAAATCACCAAGTCTCATGTAGTTCGTTATAGCAATGCAAGAGTGAACTAATACACTTTGCTATGGCAGAGCTAAATTTGCTTTATTGGTCCATAGATTTTGCATTTGTTATTTCCTTTGCCTGAAATAGTCTTCTACCAAATATCATATGGATGGTTCTTCTCTCCATTCAGTTTTTAGTTCAAAAGTCATCCAATAACAAAATCTTAAGATTTTTTTCTCTACCCTATTATCTTTTCTTACTTTCTTCACAGCAGATGCTAGCTGAAAGTATCTTATTTGTTTGTCTACTTGTTTATCATCTAATTATACCCACTAGAAGATAAGCTTCACAAAGTCAGGGCACTCAGTGACTACAGAAGTATCTGACCTACTGTGGGAATTCAGTAAATATTTGCAAAAAATAAATAACCTCCTCTCATCCTTTCTCTTTTCTTTACCCAGTTGTCATATCTCCTGACATCTGCCTGCACTTGCTTTCTGTACATGTTTAGTAAGCTTGCAGGCCAATTGCATATGCAGTATTTACCAATCAAAATCAAAACAAATAAATCGATTATGTTCATTTCTGGAATACTTTTATCTTCTTTCACTTCATATTTGTCTTGTTTCTAATTGTTGAGCTTTTAAGTTTTTTTTTGTTTGTTTTTCTGTTTTCGTTTCTTTTTTTTTTTTTTTTTTTTGACGGAGTCTTGCTCTGTCACCAAGCTGGAGTGCAGTGGCACAATCTCAGTTCACTGCAACCTCCACCTCCAGGGTTCAAGTTATTCTCCTGCCTCAACCTCCTGAGTAGCTGGGACTACAGGCGCATACCACCATTTTTGTATTTTTAGTAGAGATAGGGTTTCACCATGTTTGCCAGGATGGTATCGATCTCTTGACCTCGTGATCCACCTGCCTTGGCCTCCCAAACTGTTGGGATTACAGGCATGAGCCACCGCGCCTGGCCTTAAGTTGGTTTTATGAGCCAGACAAACTTGTAACTCATGCTAAAAGGCAGGATTGATTTTCAGAACCAGAATAGTGACCAGGTAGTACCCAACATCAGACCAACTAGAAAATCAGATGCAAAATATTAGCTGGGAACCAGCAGAGTCACAAAAATAACACAGCAAAGGTACAAAAAATGGAAACTAGAGAAGTCAGATAGGCTGAAGACAAAGACCAGTTTCAATTAAAGCCAAGATAATCTCCATAGAAAGCTGTTTCATAGAGTGCAGCTGCTAAGTCTTTAAACTTTTAGACCTGAGTTGGTTTTATCCCTTAGGCATGTTGTTTCATTTCAGATTGAGTGAAATTCTTATTTGCTTAGATTGAAATCAATTTTATCCTTCTAGCAGTTGTCATAGTCTCTAAACTAGCTGGGTGCGATACATAAAACTCTGTGTCTTCACAAATTCATTCAAGACCAATCTCTGAGGGAAGTGAATTGGTCCTTCAGAAGACCCTCAGACATAGGTCTCACTATGTAACTAAGAATTTCAAGGCAAAGTTATATTGTATAAAATGTTTCATTTAGAGAATGAATATATTCTTTTATTTCTAGTAGGTTACATAGTTACCAGTAACCAAACAAGTTAAATCCACTAAAATAAGATTAATGAGTAGGTCAATTTGCTTTTAGATGCTAGTATGTCATACTTCTTGCCTAGTGTTACAACTTCTGTTCTTTTACACATGAGGGCTTTGTGCTCTGGAATCGCCCTTCAGTATGAGATCTATTTTTATTTAGAAAACAGCAAACGTAAATAGATAAAAATGTCAATAAACAATACTGACCAGATTGTAGAAAAATTGTGAATGCATTCTGGAATAACTGTAGCTAGCATCAATATCTGTGATTGTAGAATCACATCTAAATTGTGATAAAATCATTGTTAAATAATATTAATATTATCTAGACTAGAATCTAAAGAATGGTTGACATAATTTACTCATATTTTCTCTCTAAATTATAAAATCTGTTTGTTCATTATAGGATATTTTGAAAAGGGTAATCAAAAACTAAAATCATATATGATATCACTATATATCAATAATCATTGATCTTTTGGGATTATTGATCTTTTGGTGTTTATCCTTTCAGTTATTTTTCTAAAATGCAATTTTGGAATAGATGGCCTAAAAAAGCTGTTTTAAAGTTAGTTTTTTTGGAATTACATGTCAAACAAATCCCTATGGAATTATATAATTTTTCTGCTGCCCCACTTAAAATTGCTAGAATTAATTCCTCTGATGTACCATACGCTGATTCAAAAGACAAAACCAAATAGGCACTTAAGTGTTCCAGGCATTTTTATTGATTATTACTATGGAATTCAGATTTTTTTTTTTTACTCTTAAAACTCTCCCATGATGTTTCTGGCCCTTGGAGTTCTTTCCCCAACAGAGTTTTGTGAAGAATTATTGCATATGGATTAAAACTCTGGGATTTAAGCCAAACAGACCTAGATTTGGGTCCTATTTCCACCACTTTCTGCCACTTTCTGACTGTGTGAACTTACGTATGAAAAATTTCCTTTTTCATCCTCAGTTTTCACACCTGCAAAATTGAAGTAATAAAAATAGGCAATTAGTAATTGTTGTGACAAATAGTATAACACTACAGTGGTTTTAAAATATATACACAAATTCTTTAAGGCTCCTGTCATTGGCAGGTGGAGGTTATGTACTTTCTGTTGAATCTGAGCTGACTTTTTTAATGTATTTTTTAAAATTTTATTGTAGGTTCAGGGGCACATGTGTAGATTTGTTATGTAGGTAAATACCATGTCACAGGGGTTTAGTGTACAGATTATTTTAATCACCGAAGTAATAAGCATAGTACTTGATAGGTAGTTTTTCGATTCTCATCCTCCTCTCACCCTTCACGCTCAAGTAGGACCCAGCGTCTGTTGTTTCCTTCTTTGTGTTCATGGGTACTCAATGTTTAGCTCTCACTTATAAAACAGAACAAGTATTTGGTTTTCCGTCCCTGTGTTAATTCTCTTAGTATAATGGCCTCCAGCTTCATCTCTGTTGCTGCAAAGATATGATTTTTGTTTGTATGTGTGTCTGTGTATATTCCATGGTGTACAGGTACCACATTTTTTTTTTATCCAGGCTATTGTCAATGGGCATTTAAGTTGATTCCATGTCTTTGTTATTGTAAATATTGCTGCAATGAACATCCATGTGCATGTGTCTTTATGGTAGAATGATTTATATTCCTTTGGGTACATATCTAATAATGGGATTGCTGGGTCAAATGGTAATTCTGTTTTAAGTCCCTTGAGAAATTGCCAAACTGCTTTACATGATGGCTAAATTAATTTACATTCTCGCCAGCAGTATATGTGCATTCCGTTTCCTCTGTAACCTCACCAGCATCTGTTACTTTTTGACCTTTTAATAATAATCATTCTGACTGGTATGAGATGGTATCATCTTATTGTGGTTTTGATTCTCATTTCTCTAGTGATTAGTAATGTTGAGTATCTTCTTATATGTTTTTTGGCTGCATGTATCTCTTCTTAAAAAATGTTTGTTCATATCATTGGTCTTTTTTTTTTTCTTGAGGTGTAGTCTCACTCTGTCACCCAGGCTGGAGTGCAGTGGCAAGATCTCGGCTCACTGCAAGCTCCACCACCTGGGTTCATGCCATCCTCCTCCCTCAGCCTCCCAAGTAGCTAGGACTGCAGGCGCCCACCACCACAGTTGGCTAATTTTTTGTGTTTTCAGTAGAGACGGGGTTTCAGTTAGCCAGGATGGTCTCGATCTCCTGACCTCGTGATCTGCCCACCTCGGCCTCCCAAAGTTCTGGGATTACAGACATGAGCCACCACGCCCGGCCTGGCCCACTGTTAAATGAGTTTGCTTGTTTTTTGCTTGTTAATTTGTTTAAGGTTCTTATAGATTCTGGTTACTAGACCTTTGTCAGATGCATGGTTTGCACATATTTTCTCCCATTCCTTAGATTGTCTGTTTACTCTGTTGTAGATTCTTTTGCTGTGCAGAAGCTCTTTAATTAATTCCCATTTGTCAATTTTTGCTTTGGTTGCAATTGCTTTTGGCATTTTCATCATAAAATCTTTGCCTGTGCCCATGCCCAAAATGGTTCCTAGGTTTTCTTCCAGGGTTTTTATAGTTTTGGATTTTAATTTAGGTTTTTAATCCATCTTGAGTTGATTTTTTTATACGGTATAAATAAGTGCTTCAGTTTCAGTCTTCTGCATATGGCTAGCCATTTATCTCAGCACCATTTATTGAATAGGGATTCCTTTCCCCGTTGTTTGCTATGTTGATTTTGTTGAAGATTAGATAATTTAGGTGTGTGGCATTATTTCTGGGCTCTTTATTCTGTTTCATTGGCCTATGTGTCTGTTTTTTTTTACCAGTACCAAGCTGTTTTGGTTACTATAGCCTTGCAATATAGTTTGAAGTGGGGGTAATATGATGCCTCCAGCTTTGTTCTTTTTGCTTAGGATTGCTTTGGCTATTCAGGCTTTTTTTTGGATCCATATGAATTTTAAAATTAATTTTTTCTAATTCTGTGAAGAATGTCATTGGTGGATGAATAGAAATAGTATTGAATCTGTACATTGCTTTGGGCAGTGTGGCCAATTTAGCAGTATTGATTTTTTCTATCCATGAGCATTGAATTTTTTTCATTTGTGCTGTCTCTGATTTCTTTCACCAGTGTTTTCTAATTCTCATCATAGAAATCCTTCACCTGACTGGTTAGCTGCATTCCTAGGTATTTCATTCATTTTGTGCTTACTGTGAATGAGATGACATTCCTGTTTTGGCTATCAGCTTGGACATTATTGGTGTAAAGAAATCCTACTGATGTTTGTGCATTGATTTTGTATCCTGAAACTTTAAGTTGTTTATCAAATCAAGGAATTTTGGGGCTGAGGTTATGTGGTGTTCTAGGCATAGAATCATATTATCTGCAAAGAGAGGTAGGTTGATTTCCTCTCTTCCTACTTGGATGTTGTTTATTTCTCTCTCTTGCCTGAGTGCTCTTGCTAGGACTTCTGTTACTATGTTGAATAGGAATGGTGAGAGTGGGCATTCTTTTCTCCTGGTTTTCAAGGGGAATGCTTTAAGCTTTTACCCATTCAGTATGATAACTGGCTGTGGTTTTGTCATAGATGGCAGCATTTACATTCAGTGTTATTATTAAGTAAGAACTTACTACTGCTATTTTGGTGCTTATTTACTGTTTATTGACTCATTGTTCCTCCCTTTTTAATGTCTTCCTTGGTGGTTAAGTGATTTTATCTAGTAGCGTGTTTTAATTTGTTGCTTTTCATTTTTAGTTCGTCTACAATAGGTTTTTTGTGGAAGACAGTGTGGCAGTAACTCAAAGACCCAGAGACATAAATACCATTAGACCCAGTAATAAGATTACTGGGTATAAACCCAAAGGAATATAAATCATTCTATTATAAAGATACATTCACACGTATGTTTATTGCAGCACTATTCACAATAGCAAAGACATGGAATCAACCTAAATGCCCATCAGTGATAGACTGGATATGGAAAAGAATGAGATCACATGTTCTTTGCAGGGACATGGATGTAGCTGGAGGCCATTATCCTTAGCAAAGTAACACAGGAACAGAAAACTATATACCACATGTTCCCACTTATAAGTTGGAGCTAAATGATGACAACATATGGACTCATAGAGGGGAACGACACACACTGGGGCCTTTCAGAGGATGGAGGGTGGGAGGAGGGAGAGGATCAGGAAAAATAACTAATGGGTAGTAGGTTTAATACTGGGGTGATGAAATAATCTGTACAACAATCAACCATGACACATGTTTACCTATGTAACAAAACTGCACTTGTACTCCTGAACTTAAAAGTTTACATATATATTTACATATATATGTATAATGTATACTACTTAAAAAACAAAGAAAATCAGGTGGTGTTTTTTAAGGAGTTATTGAATAAAAAGTCACAGTTCCATGCCTAGATCCTAGATCTAAGCCTATTTCAAATTCATTTACAAAGTGTAATATAGTAATAGATACATAACACTATCCATTTGTCAAAAACCCATAGAACTCTACAGTACAAAAAGTAAAATCTAGAATATACAAATTAAAGATAATATAATTGAGAAGTTTGGAGGATCCTAAAAGAGAATGCAGATTATGACAAAAGAATCTAACTTATATTACAGATGTACGAAATATCCTGAGGGGTATGTCAGAAATGTATTGACCTAAGTAACTTTGAAAATTAGTGGAGACTGTAAAACTAAGTGGCAAAGTATCTGTGCTTGCCATTAGTTAGATGCTAAAGTTTTTCTGTAGGGAGAAGGAATAAGAATTCTGAAGTCACTGTACATGTATACCGGGATTTGAACAATTAAGTAAATAGCATGTAGTGGGAGTCATGGTTTTCATTGTCAGAAGGCAAGATTGCAGATAAAAAGAGGAGAGGATAGAATGATGCATGATAATGAATTAAAGTTGGAAACACCAGTGTGAACTCATTTTAAGCTTATTCAGATGAATATACACATAATTATAGATATATGTACATACATGGGCTAGTTATACACATGTATATTTTTTTGCTCTGCCAGTTAAGAGTCTTGAAACAGTAATACCCCAATACAAATGAGCACACCTAGCACACAAATCTTGGTTTCTAACATCAGTCTTCAATAAAGTAAGTCAAGTCTTCGTGGAAAAATGGCAGATTTTAGTGCTGGAGCAAGGACTATACAAGATGACCTTGAAATCTACTGTCTGAAAATAAAAAGTACTCACTAAGTTATACTGATGGAGTATGTGAAAGGGATACAGGAATCAACTGAAAGAGCTTTCAATGGCCAAAAACGGAAAATTTGAGCTAACAAAAATAAATAATCATAGATTATAACCTGAAGTATAATATAAATAATATATGAGTTCATCCTTCTATAAAGAAATGAGTGAATGAATGAATAAGGAGAATAGACAAACATTTATTAAAGAATTCCAATTAATTTTGTAAATACCTTGTCCTCATGGAGAGGGAACATAATTGCCCCTTAAGTGTGGGCTGCATGGAGCAAATTCCTTGCAAAGAGTGCGGTATGGAAAGGGGGAAAAGAAACACTGCAAAATTTGACAGACACAACTCAAGCCATGTGATCAAGGCTAACATCAACAGTCATAAGTTATGTTGATAGTATGTACCCTGGATATGGGGTAGTATGAAAGACACTGTAGTCATCCATACAAAAACAGTCTCTCATCATGTGGAAAATGTCAAACAAATTCCAATTTAAGGGCTTTCTACAAAATGCTTGAGAAGTACTCCTCAAAACAGTCAAGGTCATTAAAAACTAGAACACTATTAGAAACTGTCAGGCCCAAGAGACACATATGGGAAATTTGCTGGACACATGTGTCATGATATCCTGGATGGGATCTTGAACAGAAAAAGGACATTAGGTAAAAACTAAGGAAATCTGATGAAAGCATGGGATTTAATTAATAATAATATATCATTATGGTCTTATTAGTTGTGATAAATATATCATAGTAATAAAAGCAGTCAATAATAGGGGAAAATAGGTGTGATGTGTAAGGGACATCTATGAACATCTTTGTAACTTTTCCATAGTCCTAAAACTACTCTTAAACAAAAATGTTTATTAATAAATTAACTTATCAACTATGCCTCTATGAAACTGTTAAGAAACACAGAGTAAAACTCTAGAATTACTGGAAATAGCATTTCTAATCCATTAAATATCCAGAAATTTATGAAAATAGACTTGATATTTTTAAAATGATCTGCTATACATAACAAAAGTCTCAATTATTTTTGAGGCAATAGGAATGTACTGGAAATCTCCACAGAGAATCAAACTTTTTTTCAAAATTACTAGATAAATAACATTTTAAATCTCTAATTATGCATGTTTATAACCATTTCTTCTTTCCTACCTGTGAGTGTAAAATTTAAATGCAAATGTCATGGCTTTCTGATTAAAGCATACACAATTCAAGCACTTCAGTTATCAAATAAGTTTATTTCACTTTCTTGGGAAATGCCAAATGTTGTACCAAATTAACTTAAGACATTTAAAATGATGACTCTGGAGATCACTTAATTAGTAAAGACTCAATCAATTCAAAGGAATATTTTTTCACCAAGAGTAAATAGAAAATACTTATTGTTCTTTGCTCATGGGAAATAACAGATACACAGGTTGATATTCAATAATTAAATTCATTCATTCAGTTTTCTACCTGTGTGGACAGGGTTGAAGATACCAAAGTACTTGCCACATCATAATGATCCAGTTGGGATTTCATCTAATGAAGGGGTGAAGCCCTCTCAATGATTTTTGAGCCACCACAAAAAGGCAATGGGAAGGTTGATAAACTATCCTTTTAATTTACTGATACATTTTATGTCCCTAGAATAAAGCATGTTTGCTGAAGGTGTTCCCTATAAGTCCATTCTATTCACTAGTTTCTAAAAGAAAATGTTTATTGTGATTGTCATTTAAATATTTAAAACAGATGTTCAGTGACTAGCAGCTAACTGTTGAGTTGGGAAATCACCTGTAAGATCGGTTCCACATTCTTTGCAGCCAAATCCAATTACCTAAAAAAAAATTTACCAGCCACCTTCTAATGGAAGGTCCTTTGCCCTGAAGAAACTCTGCATTTTCATGAACTAAAAAATAAACAAAGGTCATAACCCAAATTTTACTGTTGCTATTTGGGTTAATTGACACATTGACATAACTGGAAAAAATTCCATCTACCATCCACTTTCCTGTAGATAGGAGTCCATCACCTTTTTGGTGCCAAGGACCTTTTCAATCTCTGAAAAAGCTATAGACTTTTTTTCTCAGAATAATGTTATAAAAGCATAAAGTAAGAAAGGCAAACCAATTGCATTGACATAGATATAAAAATATTACTCAAATGTGTTGCAGTAATATATGCTATTTTATTAAAAATTAAATAATAGTACATAGCCACAGATATAATAGCTACTATAATTTTAAAGTAATGATGAGCATAAATATTATTAAAATGTATCTGTAAAAACTGTAATTCACTATGAAAGCGTATGAGGTTTCTAACAATAACAAAATGACAGATACTTCAAATACTATATTGTATTATTTTTGCCTATATTCATAACTGAAAAAAATAATATATTTCATTTACACTGCCCTTTTTAATGTTTCCTATGAGACAATAACTCCTTGCTGAGAAAATTTGCTCTCATTGTTTGTCCTGCCTAGAATGATCTTTCTCTAAAATAGAACTGATTCTTACTTGCCTTTTACATCCCAGCTTCAATTTGTCTTCAATGGAAAGGTTTTCTTTGACCTCCCAAACCACAGCAGCAAATCAGTCACTCTCTAGACTTGACCTCCTTTAAATCCCCTGCCTTGCACTTATTTCTTTATTCCTCAGTAGGTTTTCTCCTTCTCTTTCACCTACCTCCTTTACCTAGGCTATTTCCTGACACATGGTAGGTACTCAATCAATATTTGTTGAGTGAATGAATAGATGATATCTGCTGATTAGTGCCCCGCAGTTCACAGCCAGCTTCCTAGACTTACAACATGATAATCTGGGAAGGCTGTTTCAGTGTGCGAGGAGAGAAGGAGAAAACTCATCCTGCTGCCATCATCCTTTCCAGGGAAACATCCTTTTAGACCCACTCTTCTTTTGCCTTTTACTCCAGCATAAGTCCAAACAATTACCTACTAAAAATATAAACATGTGGAATCCACATATATCTTTATGTGAGTTTTCTCTCTTTAATTTTGCTTTTCCTCAGGGGTTTAAAAATATCATATCAAGAAATATAAAAGCATTCCAACTCTTCAACACCATGATTCCTTTTTGTGAAACTAAAGAAAGAATTCTTAACATAGAAAAGACATTTTGTACATAGATGATAAAGGTTATGTGACTGATACCAGAAATAAAGAACAAATTAAACTAAATGACAATGAGGAATAGGTACATAACTATATTAGGCAGCCATTAAAAGTATTTTTGTAAAATATTTTCAATGAATAAAAGTTTGTTGTGTTATATTATTGAATAAAATAAGTATACAAAATTTTACATACAGGAGAATGACATTATCAGATCTCTGGCTCTGTTCATTATCTATCTATATCTATTTTTTCATGTTTTCATTTGAGTTTAACAGGCTACTCAAAACAATAACCACATCTAAAATTTAAAAATACAAGGAAATAACACCAAAATTCTGGTTATGTTTGGTAGAAATATAGATGCTTTGGCTTCTACTTGCTCCTTTTTAGAATCTTTTGAATTTTCCTATGAGTCTACATTATTTTATAATGTGAAAATATATTTAAATCAGGGGCAGTACGGAGATGTTTATGGGTCACATCCTTTTCCCGGATCCATTATTACTGTCACTTGGTTCTGAGATGCTGTGGCCTAAGACAGACAATAGAAGTCCTTATTTTACATAGTAATTTACACATGAGATTATTTGGATGGAACTTGTGAGGAAGAATGCCAGCCGAAGAGGGGCTCTGGAGTGGCCAAAACATAATGTCAAAGGAGCTGCTTCATTGAGTAGATTAGTCTAAAAAGTGTGCCCAAGAGATTCTAGGACACATATGATCCATGCTTTTATATCCCAAAGTTCCTAACCCATTTTACTCATGCCTGTTTCCCTTCCTCTTTAAGACTTCAGTTCCTAAAATTGTAGATATCATTTTCTGTCCTTTAGTCCAGCAGTCCCCAAGCTTTTTGACACCAAGGACCAGTTTCACGGTAGACAATTTTTCCATGCCAGGGGCGGGGAAGGTTTGGGGTGATTCAAGCGTATTACATTTATTGTGCACTTTATTTCTGTTATTATTACATTGTAATATATAATGAAATAATTATACAGCTCACCATAATGTAGAATCAATGGGAGCCCTGAGCTTGTTTTCCTGCAACTAGGTGGTCCCATCTGGGTGTGATGGGACACAGTGACAGATCATCTGGCATTAAATTCTCATAAGGTGTGTGCAACCTGGATCTCTCACATGTAGAGTTCACAATAGATTTCACGTTCCTATGAGAATCTCATGTCACTGCTGATCTGCTGATCTGACAGGAGTTGGAGCTCAAACAGTAATGCAAGCAATGAGGAGCTGTTGTGGTAAGTCAGGGACCTCGAAAGGAGGGACCGGCTGAAGCCATGGCAGAAGAACATAAATTGTGAAGATTTCATGGACATTTATTAGTTCTCCAAATTAATACTTTTATAATTTCTTACGCCTGTCTTTACTACAATCTCTGAACATAAATTGTGAAGATTTCATGGACATTTATCACTTCCCCAAACAATACTCTTGTGATTTCCTATGCCTGTCTTTACTTTAATCTCTTAATCCCATCATCTTCATAAGCTGAGGAGGATATATGTCACCTCAGGACCCTGTGATGATTGCATTAACTGCACAAATTGTTTGTAGAGCATGTGTGTTTGAACAATATCAAATCTGGGCACCTTAAGAACAGGATAACAGCAATGTTCAGGGAACAAGGGAGATAACCTTAAAGTCTGGCTGCCTGTGGGCTGGGCGGAACAGAGCCATATTTCTCTTCTTTCAAAAGCAAATAGGAGAAATATCGCTGAATTCTTTTTCTCAGCAAGGAACATCCCTGAGAAAGAGAATGCATCCCTAAGGGGAGGCCTCTGAAATGGCCGCTTTGGGGACGGCTGTCTTTTACAGTCATAGATAAGGGATGAAATAAGCCCCGGTCTCCCATAGCACTCCCAGGCTTATTAGGAAGAGGAAATTCCCGCCTAATAAATTTTGGTCAGACCGGTTGTCTGCTCTCAAACCCTGTCTCCTAATAAGATGCTATCAGTGACAATGCGTGCCCAAAACTTCATTAGCAATTTTAATTTTGCCCTGGCCCTGTGGTCCTGTGGTCCTGTGATCTCACCCTGCCTCCATTTGCCTTGTGATATTTTATTACCTTGTGAAGCATGTGATCTCTGTGACCCACACCCTATTCATACACTCCCTCCCCTTTTGAAAATCACTAATAAAAACTTGCTGGTTTTGCTGCTTGGGGGGCATCACGGAACCTGCCGACATGTGATGTCTCCCCCTGACACCCAGCTTTAAAATTTCTCTCTTTGTAATCTTTCCCTTTATTTCTCAGACTGGCTGACACTTAGGGAAAATAGAAAAGAACCTATGTGGAATATCGGGGGTGAATTTCCCCCGATAAGCAATGGCTGTAAATACAGATGAAGCTTCACTGGCTTGCTCACCGCTCACCCACTCTGTGAGGCCAGGTTCTAAACAGGCCACAGCCCAGTTCTGGTAAGTGGCCCAGGAGTTAGGGACCCCTGCTTTAGTTTATACTTTTAGATGACAGACTGAATTAAAAGTCATCAGTGGTGAAACTAAACATGCTGAAAACCTGTCCTATCTGGTCATTTCTGAGACTTCTTTTCTCTTTGGTACAGTTCCAATTATGATGCCCAGAGCCCATGAGCACTGAGACTTTTTTTTTTTTTTTGAAAAGCTGGTATTTTAGGAGAGCTTCTCCTGGTAATTTCTAACTAGAAAACAGAAATATGTGAAACCTATATTAGTCAACTTTCTTATTTAGTACTAATCTATGATGAAAAACTATTGTGTCTATACCTGAAATGACATGTTATCAGTAATTTCATTTCTGTCTAGAGAGCTGTCCTCAATCACTGACAAACGAAAGGTATCAAATTTGGTGAAAAGTTTACGTACAAAACCTGGAAAGATACAGCTTGGACATTCAGAAGAACAGATCGCAAAATATGTTCCACAAGAAGCAAACAAAGATGAGCTTTACTTGATGGAATCAAATAAATAATTCCCAGTACAAACTCTTCCCGTAAGTCACAGGAGATGTTTTTAAATATACAGAATATTGGACTGACTCAGGCCTAATGAATCACAAATACCCTACTCAAAAATAGTATCTAGGCCAGGTGCAGTGGCTCACACCTGTAATTTCAGCACTTTGGGAGGCCAAGGCAAGTGGATCACTTGAGGTCAGGGGTTCGAGACCCGCCTGACCAACATCGTGAAACCCCATCTCTACTAAAAATACAAAAAGTTGCTGGGCATGGTGCATGCCTGTAATTCCAGCTGCTTGGGAGGCTGAGGCAGGAGAATTTCTTGAACCCAGGAGGTGGAGGTTACAGTGAGCCAAGGTTGCACCACTGCACTCCCGCCTGGGCAACAGAGCAAGACTCCACCTCAAAAAAAAAAGGACTCTATAATACTTAAATTTTTTAATCTTCAAAGACAAGTCTGATACTGCCCATCCATAGACTAGTACTAGGAGACCACTAAAGTGCATGATCTTTAAAATTCAATGTATTCATTTATTCATTTATTATTTATTGAGAAACAAGTATGCATAAGGTGCTGGAAAATCCATGATGAAAAGATCGACAACTTCCCTGTTCTCATGTGCACTATGCATATTACTGCACTCTGCTTTAGGGTATTCTCTGATGTGTAGAAGCCAGCTCAGCATAGCTGGAACATTGGGGCAATCCTCAAAGAATGAGGAACAACACGGCTCATAGGTAAATGCTCCAGCTCCAGTCATTCAGAAGGAAAATTCTGGTAGGCATTTTATGCCTGTTTCGGGAGGTCCTGCCAGAAACCAGCCCCCACTGTCCACTACCGTAATCTCTATAACATATCCTTATCTTGACTTCCTCCTTCGCTGTCTCAATCCTCTGGTCCATCACTCCAGCTTCCTGGGATCACTTCCCAAATAAGCTGAAGAGCCCAAGAACTTCCCTCAAGGGCTGCTCTAGGAAGAACCCAAACCAAGACAGAATTGGAAGATAAGGCTCTCTTCTTCCATTCAGCTCCTCTAAGATGAAGACATCTAGACATGATTAGACATGCAAGAAATTTGGGGCACAGGGAACACCTGTAATGTAGGGGGCTGAGAGAGCCAAGAGATCATGGTGCAAGCCTAACCCCTGTGAGGAAAATTGGGTCAGAGAAATCTTAAACAGATGTGCAGTCCTAAGAGCATTTTGATAAAGCCAATAGGAAGTCCTTGAGCCAAGGCTGCCATTTGAAGGAGCCCTACGTCTGCCAGGAATGGGCCTGACTTACAATTTCTTCCTGCTAGTCACTGACTAGGAGCAGGCCATGGGAAGTGTAGCCGTGATGTAAATGCACTTATGAATTTCAAGCAAAGCATCTGGGGCCCTCAATCAATTACACTTCCTGCAGTTGGAGGTGTGAAAGGAACATTAGGAACACTTTTGTGTGCAACAGTTTTGTGTGCTCCTGACAGGGTTAGGGAGACACATATCCACAAATCCATGAGCCTCTCTTCCTGAGGGAAAACTTAGAGGAGGAAGGTTAGTAGGATGAACTGCAGCCCTGGTCACTGCAGTTATTCTAAAGCCAACCTCTGATCCTTGTCCTCTTCCTCCTGCACATCCATTCTCAATTTCCAGCATATTCAGCTATTATCTCTACAGGTCATAATAGTATGACCTAATCCTTCCTTCCAGAGGAGAGTACACCCTTCATAATCATTCTTGTCTCAGGCCAGGTTTGCTGCATGAGTCCAACAATAATAGTTAAAATGGAGTAAAGGAGTCCCTACCAGCATTCTGGTGGATCACTTGCTCTCTACACATATTTCCCCTGCTCCCATGGTGTAAAAGCATTCCTACCTCCTTTCACTAATTAGGGACAACTACCCTGACCTGTTTGGTGACTCCTCACCATACCTCTATTTTCTGGACAGAAGGAGTCCCAAGTGCCCTGCCAGCAGCTATAGTTGCTTGTTCAATGTGTTCCCTAGCATGGGTATGACACTTTGGGAACAAGGACCTCCTACCCTTAGAGGTATGGAGACAGATAGGAAACACAAACTTCCCCAGTGGGTCATTGGTAATGATGGCAAATGGAGCTAAGCCTGCTGACATCCATTGGTTTCTTGGCTCATGTATTTTTCCTGTGGAAGACACAGCATGGCACAGAGGTCTCCGATACTTCATCTTAAAGGATGGCATTGCAGCCTCTCCCATGTTTTGCCACTGAGATAGTGTTTTAGTTGCACCTTAAGAAGCCGTTCCAACATTCTGTGAAAATCACGTGTGGATTGTAAAATATGATACCTTCAGTGTATCCCATGTTAATGGATCACTCCTGTACCTTCTTCCCTGTGAAATGAGTTTCTATTTGAAGTTTATTATATGAGGTTTCATTCCTACAGATAAGTTACTCTATAAGCTCCTAGATTATGATGCTAGTTGAAACTTTGTCAGCAGGAAATGGATCCATACCAGGAATGGATAGGTATCCATTCCTGTGGGATAAACCACTTATCTTCTCAGAATGGAAGAGCTTCAATTTAGTTGACTTGCCACCAAATGGCTAATTGGTAGCCACAAGGAATACTGCCACACGTGGGGATCAACATTGGGATCTGTTTCTGCAAGACTGAACTTTTAAAAATATTTTATTTGATTTTAAGTTATGGGTTACTTGCACAGGAAGTGCAGGTTTGTTACATAGGTAAATGTGTGCAATTGTGGGTTGCTGCACTTATCAACCCATCACCTAGGTATTAAGTCCTGCCTGCATTAGCTATTTACCCCGATGCTCTCCTTCCCCTCGCCACTCCTCCGACAGGCCCCAGTGTGTGTTGTTCCCCTCCCTGTGTTCATGTGTTCTTATTGTTCAGCTCCCACTTATAAGTGAGAACATACGGTGTTTGGTGTTTGGTTTCTATTCCTGCATTAGTTTGCTGAGGATAATCTGACAAAGGTCTAATATCCAGAATCTACAAGAATCTTAAACAAGTTTACAAGAAAAAGCAAACAACCTCATTAAAAAGTGAGCAAAGGACATGAACAGACACTTCTCAAAAGAAGACGTTTATGGGGCCAACAAGCATATGAAGAAAAGTTCAACATCACTGATCATTAGAGAAATGCAAATTAAAACCACAATGAGATACCATCTCGCACCAGTCTGAATGGCCATTATTAAAAAGTCAAGAAACAGCAGATGCTGGCAAGGCTGTGGAGAAATAGGAACACTTTTACACTGTTGGTGGGAATGTAAATTCATTCAACCATTGTGGGAGTTGGTGTGGCGATTCCTCAAAGGCCTAGAACTAAAAGTACCATTTGACCCAGCGATCCCATTACTGGGTATATACCCAAATAAATATAAATCATTCTGTTTCAAAGATATGTGCACGTGTATGTTCACTGCAGCACTATTCACAATAGCAAAGACATGGAATCAACCCAAATGCTCATAAGTGATGGACTAGATAAAGAAAATGTGGTATATATACACTATGGAATACTATGCAGCCAAAAAAGGAACAAGATCACGTCCATTGCAGGGACATGAAAGATTGAACTTTCAAAGGTATCTGTCTCTGCTACCTGGCCTGCTTCATGTGTGCACCAATTGTGCCAGGTCTGCACAGGATGCAGAAGAGGAGAAGTTTCTGTTCTATCTCTCATGGGTGACATGCTACGTTAGCTTCCCAGGGGAGCTTTAACAAAGTACCACAAACTAAGTGGCTTACACAATAGAAATGTATTGTTTCACAGTTCTAGGGGCTAGAAGTCTGAAATCAAGATATTGGCAGTGTTGGTTTCTTCTGAGATCTGTAAAGAAGAATCTGTTCTATGACTTTCTTCTAGCTTCCAGTAGCCCCAGGCATTCTTTGACTCATACATGGTGTTCTCCACATTATCTTTCTTCTGTGCTTGTCTGTCCCTGTGTCCAAATGTTTCCCTTTTTATTAGAACACCAGTTAAATTAGATTATGGCCCATCCTAATGACTTCATCTAATTCTATCTACAATGACCTTATTTCCAAATAAGGTCACATTCTGAGGTAATGAAGGTTAGGATCTCAACATACGAATTTTGGAGGGACACAATTCCACTTATAACACTGGGGAAACTGAGATCCCACTGTATGCAGTTTACATGTCCCCTGTGGTCCTCTTTGGGATAAATCCTCGCTGTATCATTTATATTTCACTGTAAACTATTGCTGGTCCTGTCCAAATTTGTGACTTGGTGGGAACAACATAATGGGCAGCCCCTGATACATGGTTACATGATGCCCCATCAAGTACTCTGTCTTGACACATTAATACCAGGGCCTATTTATACACCAAGAACTGTCTCGGAGAAAGTGTATACTCTTGACATAATCCCACATCTGCCACAACAGATGCAATCGGGGCCTCTGTTTAGTTAAACCTACAGTAGTCTACAGTCTACAGTCATTCTCATGCATCCATCTGAATTCTATGAGTGAAGGCTGGCAAATTAAATGGAGAGATGATAAGGCCTATCACCCCTGTATCTCTTAGGTCTTTTGTGCTTACACTAATATCCATTATTCCCCCTAGGATGTGATATTTTTCTCAATTTACTATCTTGGCTGCGGAAAAATTTCAGAGGTTTCCACCTCTCCCTTAGGATAGATTTTAACTCACAGGCCATAGACCTAATGTGAGGGTCATTCTAACCAAGTATATTAATTCCAGTTATACACTTGAGACTTGAAAATATGGCCAGTCGATGTGTCTTCAGACCTAGCATTGACCTTGTGAGGCAGGCTTTAGCCAGAGCTTCATTTATCACCTGGCTCCCATTAGCCCCTCCTATAACAATGGCCATGATGACGCTTTCGTTCTTCAGGTATCATTGTCTACCCAGACACTACATACAACAGTCCTTAGAATGTCTGAGTATTCTTTTATCCCCCAGGGTAGACACACCTAAGTAAATAATCAAGTTTTCTTTGAAAAATGACTGGGAAAGTCATCATAGTAAATATTTTCCATGGTTTTTTGTTTTGTTTTGTTTGTTAACCCAGGGAAATAATCTCTTCTATCAATGGGTTCTGGATTTGAAATAGGCTTAGGTCTGGGATCTAGGCAAGGAACTGTGGCTTTTTATTCAAAGCGCCTTAAAAAATACTGCTTAATTTTCTTTGCTTTTAAAGTGTTGTGTGTGTGTGTGTGTGTGTGTGTGTGTGTGTGGTGTGTGTGTATGTAAACTTTTGTTTTAAGTTCAGGAGTACAAGTGAAGGTTTGTTACATAGGTAAACTTGTGTCATGGGGGTTTGTAGTACAGATTATTTCATCACCCAGGTATTAAACCTACTACCCATTAATTATTTTTCCTGACCCTCTCTCTCCTCCCACTCTCCACCCTCTGAAAGGCCCCAGTCTGTGTTGTTCCCCTCTACGTGTTCATGTGTTGTCATCATTTAGCTCCCACATATAAGAGGGAACATGTGGTATTTGGTTTTCTGTTCCCGTGTTAGTTTGCTAAGGATAATGACCTCCAGCTCCATCCATATCCCTGCAAAGAACATGATTTCATTCTTTTTCATGGCTCCATTCTTTTCCATGGTGTATATGTACCACATTTTCTTTATCTAGTCTTTCATTGATGGGCATTTAGGTTGATTCCATGTCTTTGCTATTGTGAATAGTGCTCCAAAGAACCTATGTGTGAATGTGTCTTTATAATAGAATGATTTATATTCCTTTGGGTATATACCCAGTAATGGGATTCCTGGGTCGAATGGTATTTCTGTCTTCAGGTCTTTGAGGAATTACCACACTGTCTTCCACAATGGCTGAACTTATTTACACTACCACCAACAGCATATAAGCATTCATTTTTCTCCACAACATTGTCAACATCTGTTATTTTTTGACTTTTTAATAAAAAATAACAGTGCTGTGAGATAGTATCTGATTGGTGTGAGATGGTATCTCATTGTGGTTTTGATTTGCATTTCTCTAATAATCAGTGATGTTGAGCTTTTCTCCATATGATTGTTGTCTGCATGTATATCTTCTTGTGAAAAGTGTCTATTCATGTCCTTTGCCCACTTTTTAATGGGGTTGTTTGTTTTATTCTTGTAAACTTGTTTAAGTTCCTGATAAATGCTGGATATTAGATTTTTATCACATATATAGTTTGCAAAAATTTTCTCCTTTACTGTAGGTTGTCTGTTTACTCTGTTGATAGGTTCTCTTGCTGTACAGAAGCTCTTTAGTTTAATTAGATCCCATTTGTCAATTTTTGCTTTTGTTGCAATTGCTTTTGGTGTCTTTGTCATGAAATCTTTGCCCATGTCTATATCCTGAATGTATTGCCTAGGTTGTCTTCCAGGGCTTTGGTAGTTTGGGGTTTTACATTTAAGTTTCTAATCCATCTTGAGTTAATTTTTGTGTATGGTGTAAGAGAGTGGTCCAATGGCAGTCTTCTGCATATGGCTAGCCAGTTATCCCAGCACCATTTATTGAATAGGGAATCCTTTCCTATTGCTTGTTTTTGTCAGGTTTTTGGGAGATCATATAGTTGTAGGTGTGTGGTTTTATTTCTGGGTTCTTTATTCTGTTGCATTGGTTGATGTGTCGGTTTTTGTACCAGTACCGTGGTGTTTTGGTTATTGTAGCCCTGTAGTATAGTTTGAAGTGGGGTAGCATGATGCCTCCAGCTTTGGTCTTTTTGTTTAGGATTGCTTTGGCTATTCAAGCTCTTTTTTGGTTCCATATGAATTTTAAAATACCTTTTTCTAGTTCTTTGAAGAATGTCAATGGTAATTTCATAGCAATAACACTGAATCTATAAGTGACTTTGGGCAATATGACCATTTTAGCGATACTGATTCTTCTCATCCATAATCATGGGATGTTTTTCAATTTGTTTGTGTCATCTCTGATTTCTTTGAGCAGTGTTTTGTAGTTCTCCTTGTAGACATCTTTCACCTCCCTAGTTAGTTGTATTCCTAGGTATTTTATTCTTTTTGTTGCATTCGTGAATAGGAGTTCTGTCCTGATTTGGCTCTCAGCTTGACTGTTGTTGGTGTATAGAAATGCTGGTGATTTTTGCGCTTTGATTTTCCATCCTGAGACTTTGCTGAAGTTGTTTATCAGCTTAAGAAGTTTTGGGGATGAGACTATGGGGTTTTCTAGATATAAGATCCTGTCATCTGCAAACAGGAATAGTTTGACTTCCTTTCTTCCTATTTGGATGCCCTTTATCTCTTTCTCTTGTTTCACTGCCCTGACCAGAACTCTACTTTTCTACAGAATGTAATGTTTCACTAACCATCTCCACAACTCAATGCAAGTCAAGCCACACCCTCTGGATATCCCTTCCACCTTGTGGGCCATTACTGTAACTGTTGGGCAGCTGAGAACCACCTCTTGACCTCTGTTACTTTGGAGAGTCAACATCTCCATGGATATTAATGAGCCCAGGTCTGTAGTTACTTCCTCTACCATCAGTCCTGACTTGCAGAGGAGAGCCACCACTGAACTTCTTAATGACGTTAGTGACCTTCTTGCCAGCTCATTCTTGATAAATTCGGTAAACAGTGGATCCTCTGAGCTCTTCTATTAACATTCCATCTAAGAGATTTTCTGAGCAGTGGAAGTAATATGTCTATTCTTGCATGCCCCTTTCCCTCAATCTTTTTATTCATTGTTCTATCATCCTCCAGGGCAACTCTGACATTCTAATTTTTCAGCATTGGCCATCACTTTCTTCAGGCCTCCAAAAACCACTTTAACAGTGAGTTTACCACATTCCCTGGGGTCCTTGCCAGAATTTTAAATATTGTATCCTGAGAAGGTACTCCCAAGACAGTGAATTCTTGACTATCCAGTCTTATATTGTACCCCTTTAATCAAGTACCCCTTAAAAACATTCCCAGAGGTATTTTTTGTGTGTGCCTACTAGCAAAAAGACAGTGCAACAATTCTATTGCCATGGTTTAGATTTTACTTCCATTGATTTCCATTCATTAGTTCTGTCACCTTGAGTGAATAACTTATTTTTATTATGCCTCAGTTTCTGCATATGCAAAATAGAGGTGATTATATTAATATCTGTCTGAGTAATCATGAGTGTTAAATATAATACATATAAGGTACTTAGTACTTTGCCTGTGCACAGCAAACACTCAAGAAAATACTAGCAATTACTGCCTTCATGTAAAGAATAGCTTAGCTACCCACTGTCTTCTGGTCACCTTGCATGTGGTACTGTGGTCAGAGATGACAGTGGGTCATATAACAACTTATCTAAAATACTGTACTGCAAAATAAGCTACCACCAGCTTCACTTCAAGGACTCTGTAATGATTTTTATTTGGAAAAAAAACCCCACAAAATCTGGTATTTGTAATTGTAGCAACTTTCCAAACCATTACAGGGTGACACTGTTAACAGTGGTGGCTCTTAGCTTCAAGCCCTTTGCAGCCAACTCTCATTAAGGTGGAACATGCTACATTTTAGAGGCTTCTGTCAGCTCTCCTCATGGGTTAGGTGTTTTCACTTGATTCTAATGCTGCAAACCATAAACTGTCTCTTTTAGCTCATGACGAGTTGACTTTTTCCATGCGACAACAGAGCCCTCTGGTTGATTTTAAAAATTAGATTGGGAACTTGGGCTTTTAAAGATTGGATTGGGAACTTGGAAGAGGCAGTTCTGCCAGGAAAAAGGTACAGGATGCATGAAAAATAACATAGCCCAAGTGGAGAGAAGGTCTAGAATAAGGGTATGCACCTCTTAGCAACATGACAACAGGACATTAAATTAAGATTTAATAAGTATTAGGAGCTAAATTCCAAGAGAGATGAGCACAGGAGACACACAAACGTGCACCAAAGTGTAACTCAAAGCCACTCCAAATAGGACCTTTCCTTGTAGATGCAATAACATAAGCCAGACTGGACTGGGATCTAATCATAAGACACAAGGGTTGAAGCATAAATGTAGCTTCTGGGAGACTTGGGGGACAGGCTTACAATGGAATTATTAAAAAATGGACCATGAGTGTTTCCAAAATTACTTTGGAGGGCATGTGATCATGTTAGCTACACCAAGCACTCCCAATAGTTCTATACTCAAGACATAAATAACTATTCATTCTCAAATATTTGAGGGCCTACTACACACATTCCAGTTAAGAATATCTGGTGATCTTTGCATGGTTTTGAATCTGAGCTCTACAACTTACCAGGTGTGTGACTTCTTTATAATTCTGTTACTTCGGTTACACAAAAATAATTTTCTCCTGGAGTTATCGTGAAGATTAAATGATCTAATGTATACAAAGTTTCTAAAATTGTACCTGGCACAAACTCTCAATAAATGCAGTGGTTAATATCATTGTGATTGCTCCTTTGGTACTAAGATCTGAGTAAAACATGGTCCATACCAGTTTGGGGCTTATAATTCATCAAAACTAATGACAAACCAATAGTGTAATAAGTACTGTGGTTCAGTAATGTTTATTTTTGGCCAGGGAAAAATAGATGGTTTGAAGGATTTGCTTCCTGAGCAAGAAGGGCTGTTAAGAAGAAAACAAAGATAACGTTTTGAGGAAAAAGGAAGTCAAAATTTTCTTTTTTGGGGTGGGAAAGAAAGAAAATTATTGTTAGGGACTATCCACTAAAGCCTGTCAAAAATTCGAGTGTTTTTCTTTAAAGAGGTCCAGATAGAGGTAACACTGCACACGCAGTGCTGCATGCAAGTTTTGTTTTTGTTTTTTTAAAATAAGTATTCAGAATCCAGTTTTTCTTACATTTTATTAGTTATAAAGCATGATGGCGAATCCTTTTCCAAATTCTCCTGGTTAGAATTTAGGAACTGAGAAACGGCTAAGGGAACCTTGCACTTCCATGAAAGACAAATCAAGTGAGGCAAAAAGCTAAGGAGCATCTCACAGCTCAGTCTGGGCATGGACCATGGCTTTTAATGGCACTTCGCAAAAAGAAACAGAACATTTTTCCTGTACTGGGCTCCCTGCCAGGCTGCAGAGAGCATTTGTACATTAGTGTGTGGGCATAAACCAAAAAGCCGTTTCCATGAACAGGAAGGTAATGTAATGTAACTAGATCCTTGGGATCCTGGAAGCTGAGCCTCTGTTCCAGGTCCTCCTTGCAGTCCCAAGGATACACAGAGAGCTTGAAAATGTGGTGGGGACCAGTTTGGTCAGTCTTTAAAGGGCAGGTCATGTCAATGTTTATTAATGAACTGAAAAGCCCTCTATCTACTGGAGCCTGCTTAGGGCACTCCTCACACAGTTTCCATATCTTTAGAGAAGATAGAAAGTGAATTTTAAATTGGACCTTGACAAGGAAGACATTCTGGCAGACCTTATTGTTCCCTTTAGATGAGCCTTTGTGATGAGAAAATTGTCATCACCTCTCACCAAAAAGTTAAAATTGTGCCTCCAGTGAAATGGAGACCACATTGAAGATTTTCTTTGACTATTTGATTATATTTCAAATTATTTATTACCTAATGGAACACATTGAGTTTTTTTGTCATCTAAGTTTCTGTCATAATTTCTAATTAAAAATGAGTAGAAATCAGTGTCCTCCTCATAACATCTCCACAATTATAGAAGAAAATATAATAGGATCACCCTATTTGCATATTTATTCTCTTTTCTTGCTGGTTATTCTTTTAGAGCCCTAATTAGAAAAAAAAAAATTGACTGGTTGTCAAACTCATGCTTTCATGAATGCATTCATTTAGTCAACAAATATTTACGGAGTACATATCCTTGAGAACAGGAGAAGATAATCACGCAGGCCACTCTCTCCTGTGTGTTTATGTGTATGTGTGTCCTTATGCAGGGCTGGAAATGATATAAGCATACATCATATTCTTTGGTGTTTCTGTAATATCTATTTCCAGCAAGGTCATTTATTCCACAAATATTGTTGAACTTCTATGATGTTCTAGGCACTGTTTTAGTCACTGGGGCTGAAGCAAAAGCAAAGTCCTTGCCCTCTTGGTGCTTACACTCCAGGAGAGGGGAGGAGGTAGACAAACAATAACCGAATTACAAAATATAGTGTAATAAATCAGATGGTGAAAGTGCTAAGAAGAAAATTAAAGCAGAATAAAAGGAAAAGATGATGGAAGAAACCCAATTTTAGAATGACTGTCCAGAGAAGGTGACATAGAATGAAGTGTTGAATGGAAGACTCCTTGTCCATCCTAAGAAATTACCCCTGAGGAGATGGTTAGCAGGGTTATGCATGACATGTCTACACCTTTGTCTGAGTTTTTAAGGGGTTCATTTGAGCAATGGATTCAACTGGTGCACATCAATATTCAGCACAGGCTGGGCGCGGTGGCTCACGCCTGTAATCCCAGCACTTTGGGAGGCCGAGGTGGGTGGATCACCTGAGGTCAGGAGTTCGAGACCAGCTTGGCCAACATAGCGAAACACCGTCTCTACTAAAAATACAAAAATTAGCCAGGTGTGGTGGTGGACGCCTATAGTCCCAGCTACTCGGGAGGCTGAGACAGGAGAAACACTTGAACCCAGGAGGTGGAGGTTGCAGTGAGCCAAGTTCCTGCCACTGTACTCCAACCTGGGTGACAGAGTGAGACTCTGTCTCAAAAAAAAAAAAAAAAAAAAAAAAAAAAAATTCAGCACAGCGGTCAGTTCTTCCACCCAAGAGTTGAATGTAAACTCTGTTTGGGGAAGAAATAATGTGCTAACCAGAGGAAACAGGCCCTGGCAGCCTGCAGAGTCAAATGGGGGCAGAGTGAGGCTTTGCACACTTTCCAGAGGAGAGTATCATTCTGGAGAATTTCTAGTCTCTTCTAAACACAACTTAAACTCATTTATTATCTCAGTCTCCTTATTCAAAGCTGTGAGAAGGGAACATGTCAAGATAGCAATGGAACAAGATAATGGGTGTAAAATGACAAAAAACAGGAAACCTCTTCCTGAACAATTCTAAGTATTGTCACAAAGAAAGGAGAGTCAGTCAAGCATAGAAAAGGCAACTAAAATTGTAATTCAACATTTATGAAATGATTTATTAATTTTACCTCGGTAAGGATTCTGGTGAGATATTGGCTGAAACAATATACAATTACCAGCTTAGAAGGGTTGAGGAGTGGATACAATGAATTGAGGAAATGAGAGTTTTAAGTGACCTACTTTTTTTGCTTAGTGATTAGCTTGGAGATGCCTGCATTTACACAATCATAATCTTTACTATGAAAAAATAGAAAAGACTCTTAATAACAGACAATAATAAGTGTTCTACTCTAACTGTCAAGTATTTTGTATAAGATATATTTTACATAACATTGGTGACTGCTCTCTAGAGGATATAAAATTATAGTGTTATTTTCTTTGATAAGATTGAGGGAGAATAATTGCATATTTCATGATGTACAGAAACAAAATAATTCTCACCCTAACAAAACAGACCCTATCCCAGAAGACAAGCTGATAAGAGTGGTTACACCTATTGTGGAATTCTCTAATTTCCCTGTGATTTTGCTTAATTTTCTGATTGCTTGAATATATGTCTAATTTGTTCCCCAATTCAATGAGAAACTATGTATCAGAAATAATTAATTTGTAGGGTTTCTAACAGAGACATCAATTCTAATAAATCACTTTTATTCAGTTGCTTCCATTAAACAAGTGTTTTTTTTTTTTTACATACCAGGAATTGTGTGCAATTCTTTTTGCTTTCAAATTGTCTGGATTTTATAAAATGTCTGCTATAAATATCTATTGGTTGTATTATTTATAAACTTTATATTAAAAACAATAAAATTTTTTCATATAGTTATTCAAATTGCTTTTCAATGGACTTATTTCTGATGCTTCAAGTTCAAACTCTTAGGTCTACAACTAATTCTGTAATTGAAAGCTGGACCATTTAAATATTTGAAGAGAATTCTCTTTTTTATTGTTTTTTCAAGTTTCCTCTGTCTTCTTTTCTGGAGGATTAGGAGTTTCATCTCCACCTACCCTGCCTTCTGCCACATTATTCATTTCCTTCCACATCCTGGCCAGTCACTATTGAGTGAGAAACAGCTTTTCTGTGATGCCTAACCCTGAATGAAGAGCTATAATGTTACTGACTTAGAAAATCTATTAGGGTAGCATAAGATAACAGTAATTTTTTCTAATATTTGTTTCACCGAGGTGCTTTATGTTAAAGTTCCAGTAGACCTAGACCCTTGCATTTTATTTATACCTACTGGACTAAGCTATCCACCCCACACCCCCAAAGTTGTGCTAAGCAATTGGTTTTTCAATCATAATTAAGGCATTAAAATTGTTTATAAATATTAAATATTAATTTGTTAGATCACCCCACATCATCAGGTAGCAAATTATGTTAATATGTCATTGCTGGGCCAGGTGCGGTGGCTTATGCGTGTAATCCCAGCACTCTGGGAGGCCGAGGTGGCCAGATCGCCTGAGGTGAGGAGTTCAAGACCAGCCTGGCCAATATGGTGAAACCCCCCCATCTCTACTAAAAATACAAAAATTAGCCGGACATGGTGTTGTGCGCCTGTAATCCCAGCTACTCCAGAGGCTGAGGAAGGAAATTGCTTGAAGCCAGGAGATGGAGGTTGCAGTGAGCCGAGATCACACCACTATACTCCAGCCTGGGTGACAGAGCAAGACTTCATCTAAAAAAAAAAAAAAATATATATATATATATATACACACACACACACACACACACACATATATATACACACACATATATATACACACACGTATATATATACACTCACATATATACATATATACACACACACACGCACACACACACATATATATATATATATATATATATATATATAATTGCTGACTCAGCTAAAATAGTTTCTATTTCCCTTATATCCAAGGTACTATTTATAAGTATACTCATACACTCTTGCACAAGTAATTGATTACTTGATACTAACTGACATTAAAGAGATCAGTATCAAAACAAAATTATTGTGGCATGTTTTTAGAGACCTAATCTCAGACTCATAATGGTTTATTAAATAAAATACTTTTGGTAAAATATTTAAACACTTACTAATGATTGCCCTTGGAATTGTTATCAAAGCACTAAGAAGGTAAACTTAGTCCCAAATCCTGGTGAAAAAGCAGATTTTTAACCTCTGCCATTCCTATTTTTCAATGGTTCTTCTTCAACATTTCTGGCTTCCTTCTCTGTAAGATGAACTTTATTGCTGTCCGATACCCCTATGGTTACTTTTCTTCTTATGTTGCTTCTATAAGTTACCTTCTTTCTCAGGCTCTTATAACTTTGGTTTCACTCCCATCCACTGCTCGTGACTATTCTATAAAAAGACAAGGACGTCCGTCCATTCTGAAAATGAAGTCTTGTATACATCCATTCACTTAGTTTTAGGAACCTAATACATTTGCATAAAACAAAGAACTCATCTTAATCTGGATTCAACCAGATTTGAATCTGGTTAGAAATTGTAACATGTAATCTGTGCCAATTAATCTCAGACATAAAGAGGATTAAAAAGTATTTGGAGAGAGTCTACACTGGATAACTATTCATATAGGAAGATAATCAACAAACCAGGCTGGAAATCTAGAGAATGAGGGAATAAAGGGTCTACTGTCATCTGATGGAAGTATCATCCCAACAGAATTCAGCTTGGCATACCTGAGAGTTTCAGTAGAATAATTAGCTCATTGATAACAGAAATAAAAGGTGCTTCCAGCTGGTGCTACAGAGGAATGTTTACTCAATGCCTGCCTCCCTCCCTTCACCTACGTTGGGGGTCTTCTAAACCTTTCATCCCAAGTATTTATCCATAATCTGTGCCTCTAGCTGTTTCTCCAACCCCTTACCTTATTTCTATACAAAAGTCATGGTAGGGAAGGTAGAATTGGAGGGTTAATTGTGCCAGGGAATCCAGGGCAGAAGCCACTATGCTGCATCACAATAAGCTGAGGCATCTAAACCTGCATCTGCAGGGTCTCCTCTGTGTATGGAGACACAATCCACTTGTTAGATACCAGATTGCTGCCAACGGGACCCTCACCTGGACACTTGGATGAGAATGTGGCTCTTCATGGTGCCAGCTTGCCACTTCCTTGATAGAAGCAACATACACAGTGTTGAGGGAAGAAATCAACTGCTAAAAACCAGTATTAATTTTGTATTAACTGAATGCACTAATTTCTTCTTTTGTATTTTGCCAGAGTTTTATAAATGAAGAAAAATTGGCCATTGGGCAGCTGCCAGTGTGTCAACTAAGGCTTGAGAATCAGCGTGGTGAGTTAGAATAGCCAAAGGTCAGGGGGTAGAAGTAATTTCTACTGGCTGGAGTTATTGATATCTTTTATTTTTTGAGATAGATATTTTGTTTTCGGCCTACACTTGCTATTTTTATGGGGTGTCTATGTTCCTTTAGGGGTTAAGTTTTCTTGGTCCTCAATAAAAATAATTTATATTCATTGGATGTCACACATTTATAAATTAGACTCAGGGAAGGCTTTTTAGATTGGGAATTTTGATTTGTTTAACAATGCAAAATGAAGAAAACACTGAAATACAATCCTTGATATTGAACTAGACAGGCAAAAAATAAAAAAAAATTTCTGGAAGAGTTTCTCCAAAAGGATAAACAGCTACAAGTTTATAGAGAGTAAGTAATAAGAAAACTTGAGACTTAAGAAATGAATCCTTGCCACTTTCAGGGGTTTTAATTCCCCATATTTTTTGTGTTTTAGGTATATTAAGATTTTTGTATTCTCTCATTCCTTTATTTTAATGTTCTAAACATAGTTTTACTGGAGTATTGAGGTACCAAAAATTGCACATATTTAATGTGTACAATTTGATTGGTTTGGATATATGCATACACCCATTAAACCATCACCACAACTCTATTTCTGGGTATATCTACCCAGAAGGATGGAAATTAGGATCCCAAAGAGATATCTGCTCTCCCATATTTATTGTAGCATTACCCACAATAACTGCATTATAGAAACTACCCAAATGTCCAATGACAGATGAATGGATAAAGAGAATGTGGTACATATATACAATAGAACATTATTCTGCCTTTAAAATAAACGGAAATCCTACTCTATAGGAAAATACAGATGAATAAACGTATTCATCACCTCCCCAAATTTTTGTATATCCCTGTGTGTGGTGTGCATATGTGTGTGTGGTAAGAACACTTAATATGAGATCTACCTGAAACAAAATTTTAAGTGCATAATACAGTATTGTCGATGATAAGCACTATGCTGTATAGCAGACCTCTAGAAGTAATTTATCTTGCATAACTAAAACTTTACAGCAATTACAGACCAGTGGATCAGAATAAAGTGTACATAAATGAATTCACACATATAAAGTCAACTGAGTTTCAACAAGGGTGCCAAGAATACACAGTAAGGAAAATATAGTTTCTTCAACAAATGATACTGGGAAAACTGTATAGCCACATGCAAAAGAATAAAATCATCACCCTCTTTTACATCATATATGAAATAAACCCAAAATGGATTAAAGACTTAAACATGAGACCTGAAACTTTAAAACTCCTAGAAGAACACATAGGAGAAAAGCTTCTTTATATCAGTCTTGGCAAGAACATCTTGGATTTCTTTGTTGCTTAACACCAAAAGCACAAACAACAAAATTAAAAATAGAAAAATGGGACTACATCAAAGTTAAAAAGTTTCTGAACAGTAACAATTGACAAAATGAAAAAAACAAGCCTCAGAATAGGAAAAAATATTTGCAAACCATCTATCTGATAAGGGGTTCATGTCAAAAATATACAAGGAATGGATACAACTCAATAGCAGGAAAACAAATAATTCAATTAAACAGAGGGCAAAGGATCTGAAAAGACATTTTTTGAAAGAATTTATAAAAAGACCAACAAGTATATGAAAAAATGCTCAATGTTACTAATCATCACAGAAATCCAGATCAAAATTACAATGAAATATCACCTCATGCCAGTTAAGGAGGTATGTTATGAAAACTTTTAAGAGATAAGTGTTGGCAAGGATGTGGACCAATTGGAACTCTTGTATAATGATGGTGGGAATATAAATTAATATAGCTATTATGGAAAACAGTATGGAGGTTCCTTGAAAAATTTAAAAACTATCATATGATCCAGCAACCTATTTCTGGGTATATCTACCCAGAAGGATGGAAATTAGGATCCCAAAGAGATATCTGCTCTCCCATATTTATTGTAGCATTACCCACAATAACTGCATTATAGAAACAACCAAAATGTCCAATGACAGATGAATGGATAAAGAAAATGTGGTACATATATACAATAGAACATTATTCTGCCTTTAAAATAAACGGAAATCCTACTCTATAGGACAATACAGATGAACCTGGAGGACAGTGTGTTAAATGAAGTAAGCCAGTCATGGAAGGACAAATACTGCATGATTCCATGTATGTGAGATACCTAATGTAGTCAAACTCACAGAAGCAGAGATTAGAATGGTGGTTATCAGGGGCTGAGGGAAGGGGTAAATGGGGATTTGTCCTCATTTCACTTCCAAACAAGTGTTTTTCTTTCTCTTTGACTTAGTCTTACTTAGTACTATTTTTAGGTGTATCTGCCAAAATCAGGACCTACTTTAG